>NC_000017.11:46935980-47560980 GCF_000001405.40 Homo sapiens | reverse complement strand
TTCCTTTACAAATTATCTATTTGAAACTCAGAATGTATTTTCCTCCAAGCCACTGCTATACTTAAACAAGTAATCTAAACCACATAATTCTATATAGCCCACATATACCAGTGTAGCTCAGTACTAGATCAAACACATTGTGAGGTTTTGTTTTGTTTTTTTATTCAGATAGCAACTTCCCTATCATATTGTTTATGTGGTTTTAGAAAGCAGTTCAGGTGCAAAAAAATAAAGTTCACAGTTCAAAGAAGGCCTACAGTGACCACCTGCTACTTGGAACATACTTTGTTTCTCCACAAAGCTGAAAATAATGTTGCAATGGGAAAGAAAACACATCATTCTGGAGGATATCCAAGGGGGATTCAAGTGAAAAATGGAACCAGGAACTTACTTTGCAAAGCTTCAAGGTGACCTCCTTCTCACCCTAGGGCATAAAAGCCAATCAGATATATGCATAGTTACAGTTCAAGCAGTACCTATACTGACAGGTCCCATATTTTCAAATGGATTTCATATTTATATAACATAGTGATGGTCCTATCTTATTAGGCTATCTAAAAAGTCTAAAAAGAATGAGCATGTGCCAAATATAAATCTGGCTCAACAGAACCAAAAAATTCCTTCTAGGGTGCCCCTGCTCTTAATAAATGACTGTGAACTATTTCGTTAAAATCACTCAGGATTCTGGACCAGGATTTCCATTGATTAAGTGGTCTTACAGGGTTACTTAATTTGTCTAGGTCTCAGTTTATCTTTTTTTTTTTAAAGGACTTTATTTTGGGTAATAGATGAGTATATAATTCAAACTAATTATCTCTCTCCTACTTGACACCCACAAAACTAAAAAAGCTGGAAGGAAGGGAAAACCTCTCCTTAAAAGAATCATAGAACAAGATAAGGTGATCAAGATGAAGAAGAGGATGAAATTCCATAAGGAGGAAGCTTTGCATTCTAGGCCACTTTTGCTCTGGGGTCATTTGCTGATCTAGCAGAGAAGTAGCAGATTTAGAAGCTGAGGCTATAGGCCCCAGGGACAAAAGTGGGAATCCAGGGACCATCAACACTGGGGGCTTTGTGGCTGGGTGGGCACTGTGTCTGTAATCCCAGCATTTTGGGAGGCGAGGTGGAAGGACTGCTTAAGCCCAGGAGTTCAAGTAACACAGTCTATCTAGGTAGCACAGTGAGACTCTATCTCTATTAGAAGAGAAAAGACAAGACAAGACAAGACAAGACAAGAGGCTTGAGTAAATGACCCCCTCCTTTGGGCTTGAAACCAAAAAAGTGATATCCTACCAGGAAAGATGAACAAGAAGAAAAGCAGTCCACAAGTGGAATGTGATTAAACTTCTGAACATCTGAAGCCCAGACATTGGAAAAAGATGAACCTTAAGTATTAGTAACCAACGGGGAACAAAACAAAAGCTCCCCTAGATACTAGCAAACTATTCATATACCTGCTTACTATGTTCAAAAATATAAAATCCCAATCCTGAAAAATTTGGCAAGTAACGCGAAGTTACTTTAAAAAAACAAACAAACAAAAAAACTCCAAAAAAAACCCAAAACCAAGCAAAACAAAGAAAACAAGCAAATTTGGAAAAATTAATTCTAGAACAAAAATATGTAATAAGAAAAAACAGGCCAGGCACAGTGTCTCATGCCTGTAATCCCAACACTTTGGGAGGCTGAGGTGAGAGAATCCCTTGAAGCCAGGAGTTCGAGACCAGCCTAGGCAACAAAGCAAGACCCCATCTCTACTAAAAAAAATTAGCCAGGCACCACGGTAGCGTATATCTGTAGTTCCAGCTACTCAGGAGGCTGAGGTGGGAAGATCACTTGAGTCCAGGAGTTTGAGGTTGCAGTAAGCTGCGATCCTGTCACTGCACTCTGGCCTGGGTGACAGAGCAAGACCCTATCTTTTTTTTTTTTTTTTCCTCTTTTTTGAGATGGAGTCTCGCTCTGTTGTCCAGGCTGGAATGCAATGGCGCAATCTCGGTTCACTGCAACCTCCGTCCGCCTCCCGGGTTCAAGCAATTCTCCTGCCTCAGCCTCTCAGGTAGGGGGGACTACAGGCATGCGCCACCATGCCCGGCTAATTTTTTGTATTTTTAGTAGAGACAGGGTTTCACCATGTTAACCAGGATGGTCTCGATCTCCTGACCTTGTGATCCACCCACCTCGGCCTCCCAAAGTGCTGGGATTACAAGCGTCAGCCACCACACCCAGCCGCAAGACCCTATCTTAACAAAAAAAGAGGCCGGGCATGGTGGCTCACGCCTATAATCCCAGCACTTCAGGCCAAAGCAGGCAGATCACCTGAGGACAGGAGTTCAAGACCAGCCTGGCCAACATGGTGAAACCCCATCTCTACAAAAACACAAAAATTAGCCAGGCGTGGTAGCAGGCGCATGTAATCCCAGCTACTTGGGAGGCTGAAACAGGAGAATCGCTTGAACCCAGGAGGCAAAGATTGCAGTGAGCCGAGATCTAGCCACTGCACTCCAGCATGGGTGACAGAGCGAGACTCCGTCTCAAAAAAAAAAGTGGGGGATGGGCCAGGTGTGGTGGCTCAGGCCTGTAATCCCACCACTTTGGAGGCTGAGGCACGTGGATCACTTGAGGTCAGGAGCTCAAGACCAGCCTGGCCAACATGGTGAAACCCCATCTCTACTAAAAATAGAAAAAATTAGCCAGGAATGGTGGCACAAGCCTGTAATCCCAGCTATTTGGGAGGCTGAGGCAGGAAAACTGCTTGAACCTGGGAGGCGGAGGTTGCAGTGAGCCGAGATCACACCACTACACCCCAGCCTCGGCAGCAGAGCGAGACTCCATCTCTAAATAAATAAATAAAAATTAATTAATTAATACAAATAAAAACCCACAAAAATGAGCCACGTGTGGTGGCGTACACCTGAAGTCCCAGCTACTCGGGAGGCTGAGGCACAAGCATTGCTTGAAGCCGGGAGGTGGAGGTAGCAGTAAGTTGAGATAGAGCCACTGTACCCCAGCCTGGGTGACAGAGACTGTACAAAAAAAAAAAAAAACATGGAATCAAATCATAATTGCCTGGGGAAGGAGCAAGGAAAAGGAGAGAAAAGGATTATAAAGGGGCATGAGGAAATGTTCTAGGGTGATGAATATGTTCATTACCTGGTTACATTCATGAGAAAACTTATCAAATTACATATTTTAATATGTACCCTTTATAGTATGTCAACATTACAGGTACTCTCACAAAGCTATCAACAAAAATAGGAAAGAAGCAGCAGCAAGCAACAACAGCCATAACTACTGCCTGGAGAATTTCCCCCAAAACAAACAAACCAAAAAAAGTGTGGGCTGCAGCTAAAAGCAGTACATTTTTAGGATTAAAATTTATATTTAAATGAATATACTAGAAAGAAGGACTAAAAAGTAATAAGCCAAACATCCATCTCAAGACTTCTGTTTGTTTTTTGTTTTTTTTTTAAGGGTAGTCAAGTGAAGCAGTGGGAGTGAAGAAGGAATAAAGAAATCTGTAACTGGCTATGATTGATGAGTTATAAACACCACTGCACTGGGACCAGCCTAAAGAAGTTTTTTTAAATCTGCAAAGTAGACCGGGCATGGTAGCGGTGGCTCACACCTGTAATCCCAGCACTTTGGGAGGCCAAGGCGAACCGATCACTTGAGGTCAGGAGTTTGAGACCAGCCTGACCAACATGGTAAAACTCCGCCTCTACTAAAAATACAAAAATTAGCTGGGTGTGGTGGCACATGCCTTTAATCCTAGCTATCAGGAGGCTGAGGCATAAGAATCACTTGAAACCAGAAGGCAGGGATTGCAGTGAGCCAAGATCACGTCACTGCACTCCAGCCTGGGTGACAGAGTGAGACTCCGTCTCAAAAATAAAAAAAAAACCTTGCAAAGTAAACCCAAAGGAAGCAGAAGTTAATAAGGAAATAATAGTCAACTGAGGTCTACAAAGCAATGGTTAGTTCTTTGAGAAAAAAAGCAAGAAAACTGAAAAAGATCTGGGATCAAGAAAAAAGTAAAACAGGCTGGGTGCAGTGGCTCATGCCTGTAATCCCGGCACTTTGGGAGACCACGGCAGGTGGATCACAAGGTCAGGAGTTGGAGACCAGCCTGGCCAACGTGGGGAAACCCCATCTCTACTAAAAATACAAAAATTAGCCGGGCGTGGTGGCCTACATCTGTAGTCCCAGCTACTTGGGAGGCAGAGGCAAGAGAATTGCTTGAGCCGCCCCGTCCCGGAGGGAGGCGGGGGGCAGCCCCCACCCGGCCAGCCGCCCCGTCCGGGAGGTGGGGGGCACCTCTGCCCGGCCGCCCCTTCTGGGAAGTGAGGAGCCCCTCTGCCCGGCCGCCACCCCGTCTGGGAGGTGTACCCAACAGCTCATTGAGAGCGGGCCATGATGACGATGGCGGTTTTGTCGAATGGAAAAGGGGGAAATGTGGGGAAAAGATAGAGAAATCAGATTGTTGCTGTGTCTGTGTAGAAAGAAGTAGACATAGGAGACTCCATTTTGTTCTGTACTAAGAAAAAGTCTTCTGCCTTGGGATGCTGTTGATCTATGACCTTACCCCCAACCCGGTGCTCTCTGAAACATGTGCTGTGTCCACTCAGGGTTAAATGGATCAAGGGTGGTGCAAGATGTGCTTTGTTAAACAGATGCTTGAAGGTAGCATGCTCGTTAAGAGTCATCACCACTCCCTAATCTCAAGTACCCAGGGACACAAACACTGCAAAAAAAAAAGGCCGCAGGGTCCTCTGCCTAGGAAAACCAGAGACCTTTGTTCACTTGTTTATCTGCTGACCTTCCCTCCTCTATTGTCCTATGACCCTGCCAAATCCCCCTCTGCAAGAAACACCCAAGAATGATGAATTAAAAAAAAAAAAAAAAAAAAAGAGAATTGCTTGAACCCGGGAGGCAGAGGTTGTAGTGAGCCAAGGTCACGCCAGCACAAGACTCTATTTCAAAAAAAAAAAAAAAAAAAAAAGTAAAACAGAAGGCACAAATAAATAAAATGAGCCCTGACTACTACCTAACTTCCCTTCTAATTCTATTAACTTGAAACTATAGCAGAGCTTCCCTAACTGTGGCAGATCCAAACATGGATTACAGGTTTATCAAGATAATAATTCCCTTGGCCCTTGGACCAGCCTGGTAGGCCTAGAGCAATGAAAGATCTCTGATACCCTCCAGTTGTGAGCCTCCTCTTCCTTATGTACCAGGAAAACATCAGTTTCTACTAATGCCTTGAAAAAAAGTAAGGAAGCATTGATTTGGAGAACAACTAACTCTTCCAGCTTCACACTTAAGAACAGCATACATGGCCGGGCGCGGTGGCTTGTGCCTGTAATCCCAGCACTGCGGGAGGCTGAGGCAGGCAGATCACCTGTGGTCGGAGGTTCGAGACCAGCCTGACCAACATGGATAAACTCCATCTCTACTAAAAATACAAAATTAGCCGGGTGTGGTGGTGCATGCCTGTAATCCCAGCTACTCAGGAGGCTGAGGCAGGAGAATCACTTGAACCCGGGAGGCTGAGGTTACGGCGAGCCAAAATCATGCCATTGCACTCCAGCCTGGGCAATAAGAGCGAAACTCCATCTCAAAAAAAAAAAAAAAAAGAACAGCATACACTACAATGTTACTAACATTATGCAATCAGTGTTTTCTCTACATTTAATGCAAAACTACATAATTTACAGCAGTTTTTTATGCTCTCCATTTTCTTAATATTTAAAATACCGTAAAGAATCTTTACAATTAGTAAGTATCTTGATGGTAGTCCTTAAAGGGAAGTAAAATACAAGTTAAAGCTGGTAACAAAATAATCTCAAATACGAAATAATTTTGTTACCCATAAAGTTAATAGGATAGAGCACATGAAGAAATGCAGACCTGACAAGTCCCCCCTTATCTGCAGTTTCACTTTCCACAGTTTCAACTGCCTAGAGTCAACTACGGTCTGAAAATATTAAATGGAAAATTCCAGAAACAAAGAATTCGTAAGTTTTAAACTGTACTGTTCTGAATAGTGTGATGAAATCTTGTACCCTCCCATTCCATTCTGCCCAGAACATAAATCATCCCTTTCTCCGACCTATCCATGCTGTATATATATGCCACCCAGCCCATTAGGCACCTAGTAGCCATCTCAGTTATCAGATTGACTGTCAATGTATCACAAGGCTTGTGTTTAAGTAACCTTTATTGTACTTAATAATGGCCTCAAAGCACAAGAGTAGTGATGCTAGCAGTTTGGAAATGTCAAAGAAGAAGGGTGAGTATAATACAATAAGATACTATAAGAGAGGCTGGGCACAGTGGCTCATGCCTGTAATCCTGGCACTTTGGGAGGCTGAGGCAGGAGGATCGCTTGAAGCCAGGAGTTCAAGACCAACTTCAGCAATAAAGCCAGACCTGACTCACAAAAAATTTTTACAAATTTGCTGGGTGTTGGTGCACACCTATAGTCCTAGCTAACTGGGAGGCTGAAGCAGGAGGATCACTTGAGCCCAGCAGTTTGAGGCTGCAGTGAGATATGATGGCACCACTGCACTCCAACCTGGGCAACAGAGACTCTGCCTCTAAAAATAAATAAATGAAATAATTTTTTTTAAAAAGAAGATATTGGCTGGGCGCGGTGGCTCATGCCTGTAATCCCAACACTTTACGAGGCTGAGGGGGGAAGATCACCTGAGGTCAGGAGTTTGAGACCAGCCTGACCAACATGGAGAAACCCTGTCCCTACTAAAAATACAAAATTAGCCAGGCGTGGTGGCGCATGCCTGTAATCCCAGCTACTTGGGAGGCTGAGGCAGGAGACTTGCTTAAACCCAGGAGGCAGCGGTTGCAGTGAGCCGAGATCACACCATCGCACTCCAGCCTGGGCAACAAGAGTGAAACTCCATCTCAAAAAAAAAAAAAGATACTGTGGCTCACACCTGTAATCCCAGCAATTTGGGAGGCCGAGGCGGGCAGATCACGAGGTCAGAAGATGGAGACCATCCTGGCTAACACGATGAAACCCCGTCTCTACTAAAAACACAAAAAATTAGCCAGGTGTGGTGGCATGCGCCTGTAGTCCCAGCTACTCAGGAGGCTAGGGCAGGAGAATCGCTTGAACCTGGGAGGCAGAGGTTGCAGTGAGCTGAGATTGCACCATTGCACTCCAGCCTGGGCGACAGAGCAACGTCTCAAAAAAAAAAAAAAGAGAGAGAGACGCACACAACATTCATGTAACTTTTATTACAGTATATTGTTATAATGGTTCTATTTTTTATTAGCTTTTGTTAATTTCTTACTATTTCAAATGTAAAAATTAAACTTTATCATAGTACATATGTATAGGGAAAAACATAGCATATATAAGTTTTGCTACTATCTGTGGTTTCAGGCATACCATTGGGGGTCTTAGAACACATCTGCCATAGATAAGGAGGAACTACTGTAACTACCATATGACAGACTTACTCCATTTATCTAGATTTTCTTCGTTTCATTCAATGTATATTTATTAAATCCCTACTATATGTCAGATACCAGGGAAAACCACAAATGAAAAAGAATGAATCATAATTACTGGATCTTTTTTTTTTTTTTGAGTAGAAGTCTCTTGTCCCCCAGGCTGGAGTGCAATGGCGTGATCTTGGCTCACTGCAACCTCTGCCTCCCAGGTTCAAGCAATTCTCCCACCTCAGCCTCCCGAGTAGCTAGGATTACAGGCGCCTACCACCACACCCAGCTAATTTTTGTACTTTTTTTTTTAGTAGAGACGAGGTTTCACCATGTTGGCCAGGCTGGTCTTGAACTCCTGACCTTAGGTGAGCCGCCCGCCTCGGCCTCCCAAAGTGCTGGGATTACAGCCATGAGCTACAGTGCCCAGCCCCTCAAGGATCTTAAGATTCCATTGAAAAGTAGTACAGACATGACACAAACAAATAATTGCAATATGGTGCGGTTATATTAATGACAGGCAATAGAGTGGCAAGTACATGGACCCTAGATCCAAACCGCCTGGGTTTGAATCCTGGCTCTAACATTTATCAGTTTTATTACCTAAAGTAGATACCCTCTCTGTGCCTACGGTTGTTCTCTATATGAACATGTAATGCACTTAGTGCCTGGTATAGAGTAAACACTAAACTCACCATTATTTTTATAATTATCACTATTAAACATTACATTATGAAAAATGTTTCACTTGGTTAGGCACCTAACCTGAACTGGAGGTTAAAAAGAAGATAAAACGTTCCCTCTATAGTCAGCAATAAGCCAACTAAATTCCTAAAACAGCAGTCACTAAAGCAATCCATATCACCTTAAGGCTATTTAAATAATGTTTTAAAACTTACCAAATATAACTAAGACAAAATTTAAAACTATTCTACACTCATATACTTTGTATATAGCCATATGGAAACCTACACAGGTTCTTTATCAGACAGCCCCTCAATATTACTCAAAACCAACAAATGTAAAAGTGAAAGAATGCAAATACACTGCAAACTTCATGTTCTTTATCTCTGATTTGCACTAAAAAGGAATAAAGGGGCTGGCTAACTATCACTTGCTCCTTCTAATGCTGACATTTCTTTATTTGGCTCCAGTTTGAACTAATGATACTTAAGGGTTGTTTATTTGAGAATGGATCTATCCTGCATAGAAACCAGAATATATTTCACAGATAAGCATAGAAATCCAAACAAGGGCCAAGCACAGTGGCTCATATCTGTAATCCCAGCACTTTGGGAAGCTGAGGTAGGACTGCTTGAGTCTTGGAGTCTGAGACCAGCCTGGGGAACATTGCAAAACCCCATCTCTACAAAAATTAAAAAATTAGCCAGGTGTGGTGGCACATGCCTGCCATCCCAGCTCTCCGGGAGGCTGTGGTGGGAGAGTAACTTGAGCCCAGGAGGCTGCAGTAAGCCACGACTGTGCCACTGCATTCCAGCCTGGATGACAGAGAAAGACCTGTCTCAAAAAAAAAAGAAAAAAAAAAAAAAGAAAGAAATCCCAACAAACAAGATCAGAAATTAGAAACTTAAGACTTTTGTCTTAATGTTAACACTATATAAACTCTTCCTCTTTGAAAAATATGCCCTCTGTTTGTCACTATTGTCTTGGCAATTCGTTATACTTTCTCACAAGCAAAGAAACCTATTTCAGACTTGCGTTCACACTTATCAAACTATCACTTAAACAGAGTATTTAAGGTCTGGTGCAGTGGTTCACACCTGTAATCCCAGCACTTTGGGAGGCCAAGGTGGGTGTCAACAGTTTGAGAGCAGCCTGGCCAAAATGGGGAAACCCCATCTCTACAAAAATTTAAAAATTAGCCAGGTTTGGTGGCACACACCTGTAATCCCAGCGACTTGGGAGGCTGAGGCACAAGAATCGCTTCAACCCAGGAGACGGAGGCTGTAGTGAGCCGAGATAGTGCCACTGCACTCCAGCCTGGGCAATAAGAGTGAGACTCTATCTCAAATAATAATAATAATATTTAATAAAAACTCTTTGAATGACACAAATTACCACTTAGGCAAAAAGAACCTTGGTATTTACAGGGGTAAAAAGTTCAAATAAATAATAAACTTCATTTATTATTATATATAAGCCAAGAGAATTTATTATATGCAAGGGAATCACTGTTCAGACAATGAGCTGAGGGGCCAGAATTTGTGAGACAGAAGGGGTCCTTTTCACACAATATTTACTTGAAGTTTCACAATAATCAAAGGTATCTGCTTTTAGCCCAGTTATTCATGTATACACATCAACAAGATTTAAATTCACCAAAATGTTAAATGTTTATTAAGCAGCCACCATATAATGTAGGTTTTGGAACTAGTATTTAAATGGAAGAGTATATCTTCAGAGTAAAGTTCCATTGAGAAATAGAAAAGTCTGTAAAACCAGGTCTTGTCTTATAACAAGAAACTGATACTGACTTCTGTAACAAAGCTAAATAGTCTCTTGATGTGTAGTTGGCACAATTCCAGAAATCTAAACTACTAGCAAATTTGCTTATATCTGGTATAACTGGGCCGGGCGTGGTGGCTCATGCCTGGTAATCCCAGCACTTTGGGAGGCCGAGGTAGGTGGATCACCTGAGGTCTCGAGTTCGAGACCAGGCTGGCCAACATGGTGAAACCCTGTCTCTACTAAAAATACAAAAATTAGCTGGGTGTGGTGGTGCACACCTGTGATCCCAGCTACTCGGGAGGCTGAGGCAGGAGAATTGCTTGAACCTGGGAGGCAGAGGTTGCAGTGAGCAAGATCATGCCATCGCACTGCAGCCTGGGCAACAAGAGTGAAACTGTCTCAAAAAAAAAAAAAAATTATATATATATATATACATATATATATATCTGGTATAACTGTTACTATATCTAAAGAAAGGGATGAGAAACAAACCTTTAATTTCTACTTGAAATGATCTTTCATTATTGCAAAGAGAAAAGGGTACATAACTAATATCCAAACAGCGTTAATAAAAGCCTATTAAGGATTATTTTAAAACAAGTTCTTTAAAACAAAAAAAAAAAAAGTAAGTTCTACTAGTTGCAGTGAGCCGACATTGCGCCACTGTACTCCAGCCTGGGCGATACAGCAAGACTCCATCTCAAAAAAAAAAAAAAAACACACACATGCCCATAGGTCTTTCAAGGATGACTGCACATATCACAAAAAAATGGCCTTTTTCTTCAAATAAAAACTTACACAAAGAAGTAACAATTGGCTAGGCACGGTGGCTCACACCTTTAATCCCAGCACTTCGGGAGGCCAAGGCGGGCAGATCACAAGGTCAGGAGATAGAGACCATCCTGGCTAATACGGTAAAACCTCGTCTCTACTAAAAATACAAAAATTAGCTGGGCGTGGCAGCGTGCGCCTATAGCCCCAGATGCTGGGGAGGCTGAGGCAGGAGAATGGCGTGAACCCGGGAGGCAGAGCTTGCAGTGAGCCGAGACTGCGCCACTGCACTCCAGCCTGGGTGACAGAGCGAGACTCCATCTCAAAAAGAAAAAAAAAAAAAATTAAAAGAAGCAACAATTTCATGCCTTGAGAGTAATTTTCTGATTTTACTTTTACCTTCTTTTTTTAAATTATATATATATATACACATACATGTGGAAGGCCAAATCTATCCCTGTTCCCAATCCAAACTTTTTTTTTTTTTTTTTTTTTTGAGACAGAGTCTTGCTCTGTCGCCCAGGCTGGAGTGCAGTGGCACAATCTCCACTCACTGCAACTTCCGCCTCCTGGGTTCAGGCGATTCTCCTGCCTTCAGCCTCCCAAGTAGCTGGAATTACAGGTGCCTGCCACCACGCCCAGCTAATTTTTGTGTTTTTAGTAGAGATGGTGTTTCACCATGTTGGCCAGGCTGTTCTCAAACTCCTGACCACAGGTGATCCGCCCACCTAGCCCTCCCAAAATGCTGGGATTACAGGTGTGAGCCACCACACCTGGCTGCCCCCAGTTCAAACTTTAACAACTCATACAACTTCCCATTCTCTTAAACTCTAAAATTACGTGGGCTTACACATGACTTCAGGTTTTTTCCCGTTGCTGTGGTAGAAAAGTGTTGAGAAATGTACCTTAGCTAGTTCTGAAGGAAAATATTTTTTTTTTGAGACAGAGTCTCTGTCACCCAGGCTGGCGTGCAGTGGCACGATCCTGGCTCACTGCAACCTCTGCCTCCCGGGTTCAAGCAATTCTCTGCCTCAGCCTCCCGAGTAGCTGGGATTACAGGCACCCGCCACCACACCCAGCTAATTTTTTTATTTTTAGTAGAGATGGGGTTTCACCATCTTCGCTAGGCTGGTCTTGAACTTCTGACGTCATGATCCACCCGCCACAGCCTCCCAAAGTGCTGGGATTACAGGCATGAGCCACTGCACCCAGCATTGAATATATATTATGTATCTAAAATAATTTAACGTTTTATCAGAATCTCTCTTCAAATCTCCTTTTCCATTAAGTTTTCATTTCTCTCCTGACTCTCTTAGTAAGAACACTAACTGGGCTTCCGTGAGATACAGATCATTATGAGCTTAGCAACATTCGGTTACGCATATTCAAAACTTTTCAGTCAGGTCGGGCGCAGTGGCTCACGCCTGTAATCCCAACACTTTGGGAGGCTGAGGCGGGTGGATCACAAGGCCAGGAGTTCAAGACCAGCCTAACAAACATGGTGAAACCCCATCTCTACTAAAAATACAAAAATTAGCCGGGTGTGGTGGCACACGCCTGTAATCCCAGCTACTCAGGAGGCTGAGGCAGAAGAATTGCTTGAACCCCAGAGGCGGAGGTTGCAGCAAGCCGAGATCGTTTGGCGACAGAGCGAGACTCCATCTCAAAAAAAAAAAAAAAAAAAAAGAACTTTTCAGTCACCTGAATTCTATCCTGACATTTTTAGTACAGGAAGATAAAAAACAAACTTGAGCTGAAACCATGCCAGCTGGAAGGTACACATTTATATTACTAGATCTACCTATCTACATACCACTTTAAAACCACACATCGAATTTAAACATTCTCTACCTGCAACAAAGAAAGCCTTGTTGCTTTGATATACCTGGCTAAAGTACTTCTATTTTTCTCCACAGTTAAAGAAATTAAATAATCACTCTTTCATTTACCAGACAATTTTTTAAAAGCTGGCACTCACTCAAGTCCATTTGAAGAATCTGTTCTTCCAGCAGTTTGATCTAATTTACAATCAATTGAACTTAAGTACTTCTTGGGAATAGTATGTTCAACTGCTACTACTTTGACTTTCTATAGACAAAATAGTTTAAGAAAAAATCATAAATGTTATGAGGCCTTAAAATGAAACTTCTTTTCAGTATAATGTAAAGGAGAGAGGAAATCAAAATATAAAATGTAAGTTAAAAGATCAAATGTGTAAATTATTTTATTTTATTTATTTATTTATTTTTTTGAGACGGAGTCTCGCTCTGTCGCCCAGGCTGGAGTGCAGTGGCGCGATCTCGGCTCACTGCAAGCTCTGCCTCCCGGGTTCACGCCATTCTCCTGCCTCAACCTCCCGAGTAGCTGGGACCACAGGCGCCCGCCACCACGCCCAGCTGATTTTTTGTATTTTTAGTAGAGACGGGGTTTCGCCGAGTTAGCCAGGATGGTCTCGATCTCCTGACCTTGTGATCCACCCGCCTCGGCCTCCCAAAGTGCTGGAATTACAGGCGTGAGCCACCGCGCCCGGCCGTAAATTATTTTATATTAAAGAAGTCTCAGAGTAACCAATAACCATTTTGACAAGGAATGTCTAGGTGAAATCAAAAGTAAAAAGGCAACCAGGTGTGGTGGCTCTTGCTGTAATCCCAGCAACCTGCAAGGCCGAAGAGGTCAGATCCCTTGAGCCCAGGAGTTCAAGACCAGCCTGGGCAATATAGGAAGACCACCCCCCCATATCTATAAAAAAATACAAATACGAATATTAGCCAGGCATGGTGGTACACACCTGTAATATCAGCTACTTGGGAGGGTGAGGTGGGAGGATGGCTTGAGACCAGGAGACAGAGGTTGTGGTAGTTGAGATCATGCCACTGCCCCCCAGCCTGGGTGACAGAGCGAGACTCTCTCAAAAAAAAAAAAAAGTAAAAAGCAATCCAGCTCCAATACTGATGTACTTGTAAGAGTTTATGCCAAACTTGGTGTCTATTTAAAAAGCAGCTCATACGGGAATAAGATTTCCAGTCAAAATGGACTACTTTCATACTAAAATTATAAGGTCTAAAACAGTTCTCATTTTATAGACACTAATGGAGTTCCACATTCTATACCATGTTTCTTTTTAGCATGTTCTTCCCCTGTAACTAACTCCATTATTTAGCTTCTAATCTTCATATTGTCTCATAAAGCAAATGTTTTTCTCCGAATTAGGAGTATGACTTATCTCAATTTTAAACTACAGTACAAAAAGAAAAAAAAACTTTAAGAAAAACATAAAAACGAAGCCTCTTTGAGGAGCCTTTCATGTTCAAAGTACTTAATTTTTCAAATAACTCATCAGCTTTATTATGCATATTATATTCATTTTATACTTATGAAAATGTGATTTCCCTAGTATCACAAAATAAGTTAATCTTGGAAGTAGAATTTAAATTGTGACATTTGGCCGGGTGTGGTGGCTCACATCTGTAATCCCAGCACTTTGGGAGGCAGGCAGATCACCTGAGATCAGGAGTTCAAGACCAGCCTGGCCAATATAGCAAAACCCTGTCTCTACTAAAAATACAAAAATTAGCTAGGTATGGTGGTGGACACCTGTAATCTCAGCCACTCAGGAGGCTGAGGCAGGGAGAACTGCTTGAACCCACGAGGCAGAGATAGCAGTGAGCTGAGATCACGCCACTGCACTCCAGCCTGGGTGTCAGAGCAAGACTCTGTCTCAAAAAAAATAAAAATAAAAATAAATTTAAAAATAAAATAAATTGTGACATTTACTTTATTTCACAATACTGTTAGGTTATACTATTCAATATTTCCCATAAACATTTTACCCTTTTTCTTTTTCTTTTTTTGAGTCAGGGTCTCACTCTGTCGCACAGGCTGGAGTGCAGCGGCGCAATCATGGCTCACTGCAGCCTCGGCCACCTGGGCTCAATAGATCCTCCCACCTCAGCCTCCCAAATAGCTGGGACTACAGGCACGCACCACTATGCCTAGCTAATATTTCTGTTTGTTTGTTTGTTTTTGTTTCGCCACGTGGCCCAGGCTGGTCTCAAACTCATGGGCTCAGGGATCTGCTCG
Source organism: Homo sapiens (assembly GCF_000001405.40). Taxonomy (NCBI): domain Eukaryota; kingdom Metazoa; phylum Chordata; class Mammalia; order Primates; family Hominidae; genus Homo; species Homo sapiens. The sequence goes on along the minus strand of NC_000017.11, from coordinate 47,546,196 downwards.
CCTCAGCCTCCCAAAGTGCTGCGATTACAGGCGTGAGCCACTTCACCCAGCTGAATTTACCCATTTCTAAAGTAACAAACATTGAAGTCTTAACCTGAAAATGTCTCTCTCTCTCTCTCTCTCACACACACACACACACACACACACACACACCCCACATATGCACATGCAGACAGCAAATTAAAATGGAAAACAGCTCTTACCTTCATCTCCTTCTGGTGCATATGAAGCTGTAATAATATCAATATCAGCACAATTCATCACAATCTGATTAGTCGCCTGCCTCACCTAAGGGGAAAAGGAAAATCAACAGTGTCAGAAATAGCCTAGATTAATAGTATATACAACTTGGCCAGGTGTGTTGGCACACACCTGTAATCCCAGCACTTTGGGAGGCCAAGCAAAGAGGATCGCTTGAGCCCAGGAGTGAGACCAGCCTGGAAAACATGGCGAAACCCCATCTCTACAAAAAATACAAAAATTGGCCAGGAGTTGTGATGTGTGCCTATAGTCCCAGCTACTCGGGAGGTTGAAGTGGGAGGACTGCTTGAGCCCAGGAGGTTGAGGCTGCAATAAGCTGTGATTGTGCAGCTGCACTCCATCCTGGGCAACTGAGCAAGACTCTGTGTCTCTCAAATAATAATAATAATGATGTTCGTAAGACTTGAACTAATATCACAGTCAATTTTTTAAAATCCAGACTTCGCTAAAACCTAGACTGAGAATTTATGCATCAATGGTACAAATAAATGAAGTTTTAATAATCCAAAGCAACTCATATTTTCCAAATTATATTAAAAACAATAATGGATGTTTAAGTATTTCACATCACTTACATCTAACCAATGAGCCAAATAAAATAATGTTTTCTACTTAAACTTTGACTTTAAACTATTAAAGGGCTGGGCACAGTGGCTCATGCCTGTAATCCCAACACTTTGGGAGGCTGAGGCAGGAGGATTACTTGAGGTCAAAAATTCAAGACCAGCTTGGGCAACACAGTGAGACAAAAAAAATTTTTTTAATTAGGTGGGTGTGATGGTATCCACCTACAGTCCTAACTACTGGAGAGGCTGAGGGAGGAGGATCCCTTAAGCCCAGGAGGTCAAGCAAGGCTGCAGTGAGCTATGATTACATCACTGACCTCCGGCCTGAACAACAGAGTGAGACTCTGTCTCAAAAAATAAAAATAGGCTGGGGGCATCGGCTCACACCTGTAATCTTGGCACCTTGGGAGGCCGAGGCAGGCGGATCACTTGAGGTCAGGAGTTTGAGATCAGCCTGGCCAACATGGTGTAACCCCATCTCTACTAAAAATTAGCCAGGTCTGGTGGCACACACCTGTAATCCCAGCTACTCACGATGCAGGGGCAGGAGAATCACTTGAACCCAGGAGGTGAGCTTGCAATGGGCCGAGATCGCACCATTGCACTGCAGCCTGGGCGACAGAGTGAGCCTACGTCTCAAAAAAAAAAAAAAAAAAAAGAATACAAAAATCAGCCAGGCAAGGTGGCATAGGCCCATAATTCCAGCTACTCAGGGGGCTGAGGCACGACAATTGCTTAAACCCGGGAGGCAGAGATTGCAGTGGGCTGAAATCCTGCCACTACACTCCAGCCTGGTAACAGAGTGAAACTCTATCTCAAAATAAATAAATAAATAAATAAATAAATAAATAAATAAATAAATAAATACGTTTAATTTCATAAAAATCTTAATTAGGAAACATTTCTTACAACATATTGCAATAATTATATATTTTAACCTGCACATCGAACTCACCATGAGGCCTTCTGTGAGGATAGAGGAAGAAGGCTGACACTATAAATTATGTCAAAACTTTATACAATAACTCTTACCGCCGAGTGTGGTGGCTCACACCTGTAATCCTAGCACTTCTGGAGGGTCAGGCAGGCAGATCACTTGAGGCCAGGAATTCAAGACCAGCCTGGCTGACATAGAGAGTAGAGAGACCCCATCTCCACTAAAAATACAAAAATTAAGGCCGGGCACGGTGGCTCACGCCTGTAATCCCAGCACTTTGGGAGGCCGAGGCAGGCGGATCATGAGGTCAGGAGATCGAGACCATCCTGGCTAACACGGTGAAACCCCGTCTCTACTAAAAATACAAAAAATGAGCCGGGCATGGTGGCAGGTGCCTGTAGTCCCAGCTACTCGGGAGGCTGAGGCAGGAGAATGATGTGAACCTGGGAGGCGGAGCTTGCAGTGAGCGGAGATTGTGCCACTGCGCTCCAGCCTGAGCAACAGAGCAAGACTCTGTCTCAAAAATAAATAAATAAATAAACAAACAAACAAACAAACAAACTAGCATCTTGGTCCATGTTTTCCTGTGCACACATGAGAGAATTTTTCCATGGAAAGGAACCTAATAGTGGACTTTCTGGATTGTTGGACATAAATCTTCAACTTTACCAAGAACTGCCAAATTATCCTCTAGAGTGGTGTCAACTGACATTCCCATGAGCAAAGAATGAAGAAATCCCACTTTCAGCATGTTCTGAAAAACTTTAATATTTTTGACAATCTAATGGGTATTAAATGATAGTCCTGGCCAGGCACAGTGGCTCACGCCTGTAATCCCAGCACTCTGGGAGGCTGAGGTGGGTGGATCACTTGAGGTCAGGAGTTCAACACCAGCCTGACCAACATGGTGAAACCCCATTTCTACTAAAAAAAAAAAAAAAAAAAAAAATTAGCCAGGCCTGTGGTGCGCGCCTGTAATCCCAGCTACTTGGAAGGCTGAAGCAGGAGAATCACTTGAACCCAGGCAGTGGAGGTTGCAGTGAGCTAGACTGAGCCATTGCACTCCAGCCTGGGCAACAAGAGCAAAACTTTGTCTCAAAAATTTAAAAAAAAAAAAAATTTTTTTACTGATAGTCCATTGGTTTAATCAGAATTTCCCTGATTACTAATAACATTGGTTACTACGCATCTTTTCTCGTGTGTGTGTGTGTGCGCGCCATTAAGTTTTTCCACTGTGAACTGCTTGTTTAACACTCTTGTGCATTTTTCTTTTTTTTTTTTTTTTTTGAGATGGAGTCTCGCTCTCTCGCCCAGGATGGAGTGCCAATGATGCGATCTTGCGATCTTGGCTCACTGCAACCTCCATCTCCTAGGTTCAAGCGATTCTCCTGCCTCAGCCTCTTGAGTAGCTGGGATTACAGGTGTGCACCACCACACCCATCTAATTTTTGTATTTTTAGTAGAGATGGGGTTTCACCTTGTTGGTCAGGCTGGTCTCAAACTCCTGACCTCGTGATTCGCCCGTCTCAGCCTCCCAAAGTGCTGAGATTACAGACGTGAGCCACCACGCCTGGCCTCTTGTGCATTTTTCAATTTAGTCATAACCTTGCTTATATGCATTTATTTTGTTGTTTTAAACAAAACTTCAAATTCATTTCCAGACATTTGAATGTTCTAAATCTAAAATAACAAAAACACAGATGCCCTAAATCACAAAGAAATGCTTCCTGAGGCAGGTAAGTATAGCAAGCCATGTGGAAGCTGTGCACAACCCCTTAAAAGGAGGAGATGGTAGCCATTTCTTGGAGCCAATGAATTATCACTATGGTGACTGGCAGGTTTAGTGCTGACAGATCTTCCAATTTTTTTTTTTTTTTTTTTTTTTTGAGACGGAGCTTCGCTCTTGTTGCCCAGGCTGGAGTGCAATGGCGTGATCTCGGCTCACCGCAACCTCCGCCTCCCAGGTTCAAGCGATTTTCCTGCCTCAGCCTCCCTAGTAGCTGGGATTACAGGCATGTGCCACTACGCCCGGTAAATTTTGTATTTCTAGTAGAGACGGGGTTTCTCCATGTTGGTCAGGCTGGTCTCAAACTCCCGACCTCAGGTGATCTGCCCGCCTCGGCCTCCCAAAGTGCTGGGATTACAGGCATGAGCCACCGCACCTGGCCTGATCTTCCAATTTTTTTTAAAAAAGCTACAAATTCAGATTTCATGCGCAGTCTCCCGTTTTTTATTAATGGTAACTAATTCAAGTTTTCAGAAACACTGTATAGACCAAACAAAATCTGTGTGCAGATCAACAATGCTCTTAGACAACTGAACATACCACAAAACTAGGTAAGAACATCAGAGTAGTACGATATCTGCATGAAAGACCTGTATATGGGTAATCATTTATTAATAACCAATACATATTTAAACATGATTAGCTGGCAACTAAAATTACCTGCCTAAATGAGAGACAGTAAATTACAAAGTCTATAATGAGCTATTCAAAATCTCTAACACATAAAGTGAAACTACTTTGGCTCACAAAAAAAATGCTTCTCATAAATCTTCATGTTTCAAAACAAAGATGTCATTTAATGAATGGCTTATCTTTTAAGCAGCAATATTCCTTCACACTATTTCACCAAAACATACCTAAATAGCACTAAAACCTTTGTGTCCAACTGGCGATTTATAGCACTAAAGTTGAACAAAAAAACAAAAAGAATTCTTTGCCTATTCAGAAGTTGACTTAAAAATTCAGAAACATGGCTGGGCACGACGGCTCATGCCTGTAATCCCAGCACTTTGGGAGGCCAAGGTGGGTGGATCACGAGGTCAGGGGTTCGAGACCAGCCTGGCTAACATGGTGAAACCCCATCTCTACTAAAAATACAAAGATTAGCTGGGCGTGGTGGCAGGCGCCTGTAATCCCAGCTACTCGGGAGGCTGAGGCAGGAGAATCGCTTGAACCCAGGAGGCGGAGGTTGCAGTGAGCCGAAATCGCGCCATTGCACTCCAACCTGGGCGACAAAAGCAAGACTCCATCTTAAAAAAAAAAAAAAATCAGAAACACAAAGAAATGAAGCACTTACTGGGGTATGCTCCAATGGGTGAAATGAATAAAAACCTTTCTGAGTTTGAAGTTTATGCCAGCAAAATAATAACTGTGGTTTAGTTACTGGTCTTAATCATTATCTAGGCAACCACACTTTCATCCATCAACATCTACAGTGAATTTCACAGTAGCCAAGCAGTTAATCCACCAATGTCAAGATACCTGTACAACACTATACATGCCAAATCACACAGCACATTACTACTGCAACCATTCGAGAGAAAGTATTTGTGCATTTTGGAAAGGCACCATGCACAACATCCAATTACAAGTACCTTCCAACTCCTCCTGTGTTTAAGGGAAACTCATCTATTTATACTAATGAATTAAGCTGTTTCTTGAATTGTTACTAATTTTTTTTTTCCAGGATACTACCATTTCTGGAAGGGTGGGAGGGAGGAACCAAAGGAACAAAGGTACTTATCTTAAAAATAGAAATCCATTCACATTTTAAAAATTGGTCAGCATCTTGTCTTATATTAGAGATGCACTTATTTAAAAAGTTGACCAATAATGGGATAATCTATGTAAAGTCTCTGTTTTAGCACTTAGTGCTTCATATGTAGTCATCACTTAATAGATGTTAAGACATACACATACACACACACAGGTTAAATTGTGCTCTCATATCATCTAACAGCATTCACCTAACAGTTTATAAAGCTTCTGATCAGAATGATATGAAGTTTAAAAACTATGTATTGTATTATATGGCACTTTGGATATCAGCACATGTGTACTACCCCAAGAAGGTAATTTAAAATATCTGTTTGGACATAAGTGTATGTGCTGACTACAACGCAGTATAACACTGCTCATTGTGATGCTGCTCTTCCAAACAGTAGTGCTGACCTGATGGTGTAGTACATGATTTCCCACCTTTGACACCTTCATGTTAGTAAATATTAGCTGTGTGTTCCACTATCAAAAAAACAGGTAATAATTCAAAGAAATTTCAGCATTAAAATCTTCAGTTTCCCAGTTTAAAACACAAGTGAAACAAGGTTGGCATATAAAAGTGCACTGATAACAAGCTCATTTTCAATTTTTCTACTTGATGTTATTAAAGGATAGAATGTTAGTGTATCCTTGCTTTGTTTCAAACCCAGGATTAAGTCTTCTTGGCCTCCTATATAGACTGCACTTCAACTGAGCCAAATACTAAGTAAGGGCTGTACCAAAGAGGCAGCTTGACGCCTGGTAACAACTTTACAATGGAAGTTTCCTATGAGATAGGGAGGCAGAAATCGGAGATAACATTTTCCTGAATGAGTCTTTACTACAGTCACTCAGGAACATATCTTACATGTAAGATAGTAAGACTCAAGAGGGTTTTTTTCTGATTGTCAATGTCCTGAGATTTCAGTAAAAGAAAATCTCCAGTGTGACAATTCCAAATGCCAGTCTGAAGCCTGAGTCAATTTGCCTAATAAAACTGATTTCACCATTAAAATAGCAATAATTGTTGCCTTGGTGGAACAGTTCTATAATAGCTAAAGACAAGAAGAAGCAGATAATTAGTAAACTCAAGTTGAGCCAAGTTTTCTAACAAGAAACATTGAAAAGAGCCACTTGCAGAAGGTCAAAAATAATTACCATTAATGTAAAAATGCAAAAGGCACAGAATATTGGTATGTGATGTTTGTGGCTACTAATATGCAATTAAAGTTTTAAACTATACATAGGAATAAAAAGGAATAATACGCACCTACCTGAAGAAAGAAGTTACTTCTAGAGGCAGGGTGGGACGAGATGGAAATGGGCTTTAGTGATATCTGTGACATTTTATTCCCCCCCCAAAAAAAGCATGCACAGTCTGATGAAAATGGGGCAAAACGTTAACATCTGTTTAATCTCATAGTGTGTGACTTTCTTGTATTTCTAAAATATTTCCTAATTTAAAATAAAATTTTAAAGAGATTACAAGTGACCAAATAAACCAAGGACCACATACTTGTATGGTGTTCAAAACGAAATCACTAAAATCTAGAGAACTAATCTCAGTTAACAAAAGCCATCCGAAGGCTCAGATATTTCCCACTGACTCACATACAGATTAGAGTAAGATTTACTTCACAATAAGAGCAGGCTCATTTATGTGGCAAAGTTCGGAGAAGCTTCACAGATAATTTACTACTCAAGACCACATTTACCCAGGTTGTATCAGAGTATCAGTTGTATCTAGAACCAGGAGGCTAAAAAGAAAAAAGAAAAAAAAAAAAAAAAGGCCTAGATGAAAAGCCAAAATAGGTGATACAAAGTCCGTACAATAAAACGCATACCCTTTACTCAGAAGAGAATCCAACAAACTCTCACACAGCAATTGATTTTTTAGCCCAAACAAGCTTGTTTATCTGGCTACTAAGGCTTCTTCAGATGAAGTTCAGTAAAATACAAGAGGGAAGAAATTGCACAACAGGCAGCAACAAGGCACAATAAGCAGCAAGAAGAACATGAGAGTAAGGAAAACAAAACAACTTTAAAGAACAGATACAGGCTGGCCGGGTGCGGTGGCTCAGGCCTGTAATCCCAGCACTTTGGGAGGCCGAGGCGGGTGGATCACAAGGTCAGGAGTTCGAGACCAGCCTGGCCAATATGGTGAAACCCCTTCTCTACTAAAAATTCAAAAATTAGCCTGGCATGATGGCAGGTGCCTGTAGTCCCAGCTACTTGGGAGGATGAGGCAGGAGAATCGCTTAAACCCGGGAGGCGGAGGTTGCAGTGAGCTGAGATCACGCCACTGCACTCCGGCCTTGGCGACAGAGCAAGACTCTGTCTCCAAAAAAAAAAAAAAAAAAAAGAAAACAGATATGGACTAGGCGCGGTGGTTCATGCCTGTAATCCCAGCACTTTAGGAGGCAGAGGCAGGCGGATCACCTGAGGTCGGGTGTTTGAGACCAGCCTAGCTAACATGGCGAAACCTGGTCTCTAGAAAAATACAAAAATTAGCCAGGTGTGGTGGCATGCACCTGTAATCCTAGCTACTAGGGAGGCTGAGGCAGAAGAATCCCTTGAACTAGGGAAGTGGAGGTTGCAGTGAGCCGAGATCGCACCACTGCACACTCCAGCCTGGCCTAGGCAACAGAGTGAGACTCTGTCTCAAAAAAAAAAAAAAAAAAAAAAAGAACAGATATGGCTAGGCGCGGTGGCTCACACTTGTAATCCCAGCACTTTGGCAGGCGGAGGCAGGCAGATCACCTGAGGTCAGGAGTTCAAGACCAGCCTGGCCAACATGGTGAAACCCTGTCTCTACTAAAAATACAAAATTAGCCAGGCGTGGTGGTGCATGCCTGTAATCCCAGCTACTAGGGAGGCTGAAGCAGGAGAACTGCCTGAACCTGGGAGGCGGAGGTTGCAGTGAGCCGAGATTGTGCCACTGCACTCCAGCCTGGGCAACAGAGCGAAACTCCGTCTCAAAAAGAAAAAAAAAAGAAAAAAAAAAACAGATATGAAACTGATAAATTATAGTACATAGTTTGGGGTCAATGAGAGATGTTCAAAATAAAGTTCAGTATTTAAAAAAAACAATGAAACAAACCTACACTATGAGGAATTGCAAAGCATAAAAAGATAATGTATTTTAGAAATATTTCCATTCAGATTAGTCAACTTTTTTTTTTTTTTTAAAGACAGGGTCTCGCTGTGTCACCCCGGCTGGAGTGCAATGGCGTGATCTCAGCTCACCGCAACCTCCGCTCCTCCGCTTCCCGAGTTCAAGCAATTCTCCTGTCTCAGCTTCCCGAGTAGCTGGGATTACAGGCATGTGCCACCACGCCCGGCTAATTTTTGTATTTTTTTGTAGAGACGGGGTTTCACCATGTTGTCCAGGCTGGTCTCAAACTTCTGACCTCATGATCCACCCACCTCAGCCTCCCAAAGTGCTGGGATTACAGGCGTGAGCCACCACACCCAGCCTAGTAAACTTTTTTAAAAATGTCTAAGGGCCTCAAAGGGTAAACTTCAGTTATCTGGAAAATTCACTGCAGAATTCATTGCCAGATGAATTAGACAAAGCTTAGCATACAAAACTGTTATACTTCTTTCCTCACAGATACATTTCAAAAAACAGAAAATCTGAACAAATTCAATTCCTTATCACCAATATTTTGAATTTAATTTTATATATATGAATTTTTTTTAAGAAAATTTCTTCCTTTTTTTTTTCCTGGAGACAGGGTCTTGCTATGTTGCCCACACTGGTATCAAACTCCTGTGCTCAAGCAATTCTCCCACCTCCACCTCCCAAAGTGCTAAGATTACAGGAGTGAGCCACAGTGTTGGCCAAAATGATTACATAGAAAATATGCAGAAAATGGCCAGGCACGGTGGCTCATGCCTGTGATCCCAGCATTTTGAGAGGCCAAGGCGGGTGGATCACCTGAGGTCAGGAGTTTGAGACCAGCCTAGCCAACATGATGAAACCATCTCTCTACTAAAAATACAAAAAATTAGCTGGGCTTGGTGGTGCGCGCCTGTAATCCCAGCTACTCTGGAGGCTGGGGCAAGAGAAACACTTGAGCCTGGGAGGCAGAGGTTGCGGTGAGCCGAGATCGCGCCATTGCACTCCAGCCTGGGCAACAAGAGCAAAACTCCGTCTCAAAAAAAAAAAAAAAAAAAAAAAAGAAGCCAGGCACGGTGGCTCGGTGGCTCACGCCCATAATCCCAGCACTTTGGGAGGCTGAGGTGGGTGGATCACCAGAGGTCGGGAGTTCGAGACCAGCCTGACCAACATGGAGAAACCCCGTCTCTACTAAAAACAGAAAAAATTAGCTGGGCGTGGTGACGCATGCCTGTAATCCCAGCTATTTGGGAGGCTAAGGCAGGAGAATTGCTTGAACCTGGGGGGGCAGAGGCTGCGGTGAGCCGAGATCATGCCACTGCACTTCAGCCTGTGCAACAAGAGCGAAACTCCATCTCAAAAAAAAAAAAAAAAAAAAAGAGAGAAAATATGCAGAATTTGGGCAAAAAATTTGTAACACAGAATTGACAATAACCATTCAGGTGCCAAATTTTTAATCTGCCAAACAAACTACTATATTGGCAACTATTCACTTAGTGCCAATTTAGTTATCTCCAACATGTATATTTTGTTAGTAGAGGCCAGGGGTTGGCTAGGATATCCTGATTTCTGGCCTTGAATGATAAACTTAGTTTCTCTGGCACAGGTAAAATATTTCCATAAGAGAAAGCCCAGCTGGGCACGGTGGCTCACGCCTGTAATCCCAACACTTTGGGAGGCCGAGGAAGATGGAATGAGGTCAGGAGATCAAGACCATCCTGGCCAATATGGTGAAACCCCATCTCCACTAAAAATACAAAAAAATCAGCCAGGCATGGCGGCGCGTGCCTGTAGTCCCAGCTACTCAGGAGGCTGAGGCAGGAGAATTGCTTGAACCCGGGAGGCAGAGGCTGCAGTGAGCCAAGATCCCGCCACTGCACTCCAGCCTGGGTGGCAGAGCAAGACTCCATCTCAAAAAAAAAAAAAAAAAAAAAAGAATACCCAATTATTGTACCAACCACTACACACTCATAATCATAAATAGTAGTCACACACATAAACTTATAATTCATTTTAATTAATTATCCACAAACGGAGAGGATCAAAATATGAAATATCTACAAAAGTCCACTGCTCTCAAGTATCCAGTGTAAAGGGAGGGGACAGGGAATGAAATAAATTTTGGGCCTAGAGAAACTTCTGTATAATAACAAATTTTCAAAACCAGCTAGACCACACTAATGTGAAAGACAACTAATTTTTTTTTTTTTTTTTTTTTGAGACGGAGCCTCGCTCTGTCACCCAGGCTGGAGTGCGTGGCGCGATCTCGGCTCACTGCAAGCTCCGCCTCCCGGGTTCACACCATTCTCCTGCCTCAGCCTCCCGAGTAGCTGGGACTACAGGCACCCGCCACCACGCCCGGCTAATTTTTTGTATTTTTAGTAGAGGCGGGGTTTCACTGGGTTAGCCAGGATGGTCTCGATCTCCTGACCTCATGATCTGCCCGCCTCTGCCTCCCAAAGTGCTGGGATTACAGGCGTGAGCCACCGCGCCCAGCCTTTTTTTTTTTTTTTTTTTTTTTTTTTGAGACAGAGTCTTGCTCTGTTGCCCAGGCTGGAGTGCAGTGGCGCAATCTCAGCTCACTGCAAGCTCCGCCTCCCAGATTCACGCCATTCTCCTGCCTCAGGCTCCTGAGCAGCTGGGACTACAGGCTCCCGCCACCACGCCCAGCTAATTTTTTGTATTTTAGTAGAGATGGGGTTTCACCGTGTTAGCCAGGATGGTCTCGATCTCCTGACCTCGTGATCCGCCCGCCTCGGCCTCCCAGAGTGCTGGGATTACAGGTGTGAGCCACCGTGCCCGGCCAAGACAATTGATTTTTAAATCACTGAACATGGACTAATTTCTTCACCTTCTGCAGCAGTCCACACCCCAGGCCAGGTTAAAAATCCACTAAGTTGGCCGGGCATGGTGGCTCATGCCTATAATCCCAGCCCTTTGGGAGGCCAAGGGAAGGGGATCACCTGAGGTCAGGAGTTCGAGACCAGCCTGGCCAACATGGCAAAACCCCATCTCTACTAAAAATACAAAAATTAGTTGGGCGTGATGGCACACACCTGTAGTCCCAGCTACCCAGGAGGCTGAGGCAAGGAGACTCGCTTGAACCCGGCAGGGGCACAGGGTGGAGGCTGCAGTGAGTCGAGATCACACCACTTCACTCCAGCCTGGGAGAAAGAGCGAAACTCCATCTCAAAAAAATAAAAATAAAAAATAAAATAAATCCACTAAGTTTCTAATATGTAACCTACACAAATACTCTGGGCTTATCGTAAAATTTTGTAACTAAAGCAACTAAGCAACTTGCATGTTTTGTGTTATGTGATTCCAACTGTTAGGAAACTGATCCAATATCAGTCATAAATATAGGTTTCTACAGATAAGAATTTTGTCGCCGGGCACAGTGGCTCACGCCTGTAATCCCAGCTCTTTAGGAGGCCAAGGCGGGCAGATCACGAGGTCAGGAGGTCGAGACCACAGTAAAACCCTGTCTCTACTAAAAATACAAAAAATTAGCTGGGTGCAGTGGCGGGCACCTGTAGTCCCAGCTACTTGGGAGGCTGAAGCAGGAGAATGGCGTGAACCCGGAAGGCAGAGCTTGCAGTGAGGCGAGATCGTGCCACTGCACTCCAGCCTGGGCGACAGAGCGAGACTCCATCTCAAAAAAAAAAAAGAATTTTGTCAATATTTTAAAATGCCCACAAGATACCACCTAATGCCACAATTTAAACGTATTGCTCTAATTCATGGATTTCAAAAACATTAATATATGCTTTTTACTTCTTACCAATGTTAATTCCTCTTTTACCCTTCCAAACATGTCAATTAGTACAATTTAAAAGTCCAATCATCCTTTAATAAAACCTGTTGGAATTCACTATTGTGTCATCTTTGTGTTGCCATCTAGCCTGAAAAGAATTTCTGGAAAAAAAGTGTTTTGAAAAGTTCATGCTACTTAAAAAATTTATTTATTTTTTATTTATTTCCTTGCATCAAATTAACAAGTCCCTGCTAATATCTAGTATATTACCATATGCTCACTCAATGGCACAAACCAGTCTTCCACAAAAGTAGAAAAGAGGTAAGGAGAAACATGTCACTGCTTGTTGTTCTATCCCGATACTTAAATCAAACTCACTTCTTTAATAAGTAATCATTTAAAAATCTGTACTTTTTTCTAGACTTTTCCCAAAATATGTTTGCCTCCAAAAATTATGAATCCATTTTGGCAACTAATAGGGTAAAGAAACAAATGTTTTTTTTAATGTTAGTCTTTTCACATAATGCGAACTCATTCATCACTAGGTTCTCTTTCCCAAAGGTTTGCCAAGTCACAAGACACACTACTGTTTACAATCCCTCCCATCTGCCCCTTGCCAATATATATCAAACACTCTAGTCACTTGGCTTAAGCCACAGTTTCCCAAATAACCTTCTCAAATTCTAATTTAGACCCAAGATGCATTCGTTCTGATTCATATTCTTAATGGAAAAATTTTAAATCACCTGATTTTCACTAAGTTCTGCCTTTTGATGCTGCCAAATCCTAGAGCCCTCTTGCTTTCACACCAGTGCTCCAAATGTGACAGCTATAGTTATCTATCACAGATAAGTATAGATAACTATACTTTTAAATTCTGTACTTTTAGACATATTTTTAATCTGAGTACCGTACCCTCTTGGTTTTTCAAAGACAACTACCAACATTCAATTCATTCGAGCACCAGTCTTCACTTCATTTCATTACTATATACACCATGTTCTTTAAGGTGGGAGCCTACTGATTTCCCCCGACCCCAGACTGCAGTAGGAAGAGAAATGAAACAAAATATATTTACTAACATTCTATTTACAGATAACTATCAAACAGTTCCCATTTTTATTACAGGCTTCCTATTACATAGTATCATAAATGCCTATTGTGCAGGATGTTTGTCGGGCATCTATACTGATGGTCTCCAAAATCAAACAATACTTCAGATAATGCTGCGGGAGGAGGGAGTGGAGTATGATTCACCAAAAACTGCAGTGAAGAGTAATGGAATATTTTCACCGGTGGTATGTTATAACTAATAGCTTCTTTCTTTCCTTTTTTTTTTTTTTTTTTTTTTTGAGACGGAGTCTCACTCTGTCGCCCAGGCTGGAATGCAGGAATGCAGTGGCGCGATCTCGACTCTGCAACCTCTGCCCCCCGGGTTCAAGTGATTCTCCTGCCTTAGCCCCCGAGTAGCTGAGATTACAGGGGCCCGCCACCACGCCCCGCTAATTTTTGTATTTTTAGTAGAGACGGGGGTTTCACCATGTTGGTCAGGCTGGTCCCGAACTCCTGACCTCAAGTGCGCCCGCCTCAGCCTCCCAAAGTGCTGGGATTACAGGCATGAGCCACCGCGCCCAGCCAGCTTCTTGGGAGAGGAAGGTACTGCTAAGCAACCATCACGGTAGCAATAAATCCACCAGCTTCGAAGGCCGCAAAGCTAGGAAGATAGGTGGAAAAGCGGAGATGGGGTCCTCCCGCAGCTTCTCTGGAGGTTAAGAGAGAACAAAGTCACTGCTGCACTGTCACTTGAGGGAAAGGGGGAGGGGGCGGATCATCTTGGAAACCCAGCCCCTGGGCTGGAGCAGGCGGGGAGAAGTCAGCGAGGCTGCCTGGGATTAACATTCTCGTTCTCACCCTCTCCCCCCCCTTCTAGAAGCTCCCCTCGTCGCTCCAACGCGGCGGCCAGAGTCCCAAATGACCACCCCCTCCAATCTATCACCCGAGAGGTGTAGAGAGAAACCAAAGAAAGAACTGAGTCAGGTGGTTGAGGCAGAGCGGGGACTCCCATGACCTCTCCGTCCTCCCCCAACACCCTCCAGCCTCCCCCGGAACACTATCAAGCCCAGAAGGGTCCGGGGCGGGGGGGAAAGCCCCACACAGGTGTGCTCGCCGGGGAGGGGCGCAATGGCCGGGCCGCCGGCTCCCCAGAGCTCCCGCAGCGCGGCCCCAGCCCGAGCCCCAGCCTCAGCTCCGGCCACGGTCCCTGCCCCGGCCCCAGCCCCAGCCCCAGCCCCAGCCCCAACAGAGCAAGGCAGAGCACGCCGAACCCGGCGCCCTGCGGCCGCCCAGCCCCGACCCGAGGCCCGCCCGCCCTCCCGGCCGGGCCCTGAGTCCAGCCCGCGGGCGCGGCCTAACTGCTCGCCCCGCAGCTTGCCCCGGGGCCCGAGGGTCGCTGTACCTGGGCGGCGGCCTCCAGCTTGCCCTCGAAGGTGAAGTCCAGCAAGTCGGGCTTGAGGCAAAGGCTGTAGTTGATGGGGGAGACATCGGCAGGCAGCCGCTCGAAGGGCCTCTTCTCCGGCATCGCGGCGAGGCCCAGGCTGTGGAGGCGGCGGCGAGAGGAGCGGCTGAAGACGAGAAGGAGGAGGGGAGGAGGCGGAGGGCCGAGGAAGAGCAGGCGGCGAGCGAGGGAGGGGGCGGCAGCTGCCAGCCACATCCACCGAGCGCGGGCGACCGCCGGAGGAGAGCGACCGGGGGAGCCTGGGGGGCGGGGGAGAGACCCAGCCGGAGCGCTAGGGGCTGGGAAGGAGGCGGTGCGGGCGGACTGGCGGGCGGGCTGCCTACGGGGAAGGGGGCGGAGGGGAGGGAAGGGGAGGAGGGCCCGCAAGGAGGGAGGGAGAGGGGGAAGTGGTGGCGGCGGCTGCGTGCGCGGCCCCGCCGGCCGGGCGCGCCCCCGTGGAGTGCGCGCGCACGCCTGGGCAGAGGGCGGAGCGGCGAGGACGAGGGCGCGGCCGGCGGGGCGGGAGGGCGTCGGGTTGCTCGCGCGAGCGCAGGGCTGGAGGCGGGCGCTGCACCTGTCGGCGCCGCTCAGGACTGGGGGCGGCCTTCCAACTGGAAGGAGCCGGGAAGGGCTTGATCAGAGGAAGGAAAGGCATAAGGGGCCCTCGGGAAATTGAAGCCTACGCAGTTGGTCAGTTCAGCCAGGGTCGCATGCATAAAATACCAGTTACAAGCAAAACCCCAAACTGGATTCTGCCTCCAGGTCAGCGAAAAGCCCTGACTTGAGGCTCTCTGGCCTTAGTTCCTGTTAAGTAGCAAATTCAAAGGATGATTTGAAAGTTTTGTTATAAAACCTTTAATAGCCGGGCGCAGTGTCTCACGCCTGTAATCCCAGCACTTCGGGAGGCCGAGGCGGGCGGATCACGAGGTCAAGGAGATCGAGACCATCCTGGCTAACATGGTGAAACCCCGTCTCTACTAAAAGTACAAAAAATTAGCCGGGCGTGGTGGCGGGCGCCTGTAGTCCCAGCTACTCAGGAGGCTGAGGCAGGAGAATGGCGTGAACCCGGGAGGCGGAGCTTGCAGTGAGCCGAGATCACACCACTGCACTCCAGCCTGGGCGACAGAGCAAGACTCCGTCTCAAAAAAAAAAAAAAAAAAAAAAACCTTTAATAATCTAGGTTACTTCAACCAATGAGATTTGGACTTTTGAGGGAGTGATTTCAAAAACTGTATTTTTGTTTCCATGATTTAATGTTTAAAATGGGATGTTTCGGGCGGTCGCGGTGGCTCACGCCTGTAATCCCAGCAATTTGGGAGGCCGAGGCGGGCGGATCACAAGGTTAGGAGTTCAAGACCAGCCTGGCCAATATGGTGAAACCCCGTCTCTACTAAAAATACAAAAAAAAAAAAAATAGCCGGGCTTGGTGGCGGGCGCCTGTTGTCCCAGCTATTCGGGAGGCTGAGGTAGGAGAATCGCTTGAACCCTGGAGGTGGAGGTTGCAGTGAGCCGAGATTGCGCCACTGCACTCCAGCCTGGGCGACAGAGTGAGACTCTGTCTCAAAATAAATAAATAAATAAATAAATAAATAAATAAAATGGGATGTTTCACCTTTTCCCCATTTTCATCTTTGTTTCTTTTTAAACTAAAAGATCCTTCAGCAATCATGGCCTCTTTAATGGTGAACTATCTGTGGCTCTCTCAGTTCTGTAGATACCTTGCAAATTGAGGAGGTATATATACAAATGCATATATATATATATATATATATATATATAATGTAACTGAAATTATCTTTAAAAAGGGGGGCCAGGGCCAGGTACGGTGGCTCACACCTGTAATCCCAGCACTTTGGGAGGCTGAGGCAGGTGGATCACGAGGTCAGGAGTTCGAGACCAGCCTGGCCAATATGGTGAAACCCTATCTCTACTAAAAATACAAAAATTAGCCTGGCATAGTGTCATGTGCCTGTAGTCCCAGCTACTAGGGAGGCTGAGACAGGAGAATCGCTTGAACCCGGGAGGCGGAGGTTGCAGCGAGCCAAGATCACGCCACTACACTCCAGCCTGGGCGACAACGAGACTCTGTCTCAAAAAAAAAAAAAAAAAAGTGGGCCCAGGTGTGGTGACGTGTGCCTATGATCCCAGCTACTCGGGAGGCTGAGACGGGAGGATCACTTGAGCCCAGGAGGTGGATGGAGGCTGCAGTGAGCTGTAATGGTGCCACTGCACTCCAGATGACAGAGTGAGGCCCTGTCTCTAAAAAAATAAAAATGAAATAACAATTTTAAAAATGTTATTTAAAGTGTCAAAGGCAAGGAGATTTATCCATAATCTTCATATTTCTTTATAGAAATTTCTCAGATAGAACCCAGTAATTTCCAAAACTGAATGTAGTATGTTGTAATGGACCAGTACTGTCCAGCAGAAACATACTATGAACCACTAGGTAGTATTAAATCTTATAGTAGCCACATCACAAAAAAGTAAAAAGGAAACAAATGAAAACACATCTTATTTAACCCAACATATCCAAAATATTATCATTTCAACATGTAATCAATATAAAAAATATTAATGAGGCCGGGCACGGTGGCTCACGCCTGTAATCCCAGCACTTTGGGAGGCCAAGGCAGGTGAATAACCTGAGGTCAGGAGTTCAAGACCAGCCTGACCAACATGGTGAAATCCCGTCTCTACTAAAAATACAAAAATTAGCCAGGCATGGTGGCGCATGCCTGTAATCCTAGCCAGCTACTCTGGAGGCTGAGGCAGAAGAATCACTTGAACCCAGAAGGCGGAGGTTGCAGTGAGCTGAGATCACAGCACTGCACTTCAGCCTGGGCAAAAAGAGTGAAACTCCGTCTCAAAAAAAAAAAAATTAATGAGATATTTTACTTATTTTGTTCACACCAACTTTGAAATCCAGCATGTATTTTACATTTATAGCACATCTAAATTCTGACTATCCACATTTCACGTGATCAGTAGTCACGTGTGGTTAGTGGCTCTTGTACTGGGCAGCACAGTTTTGGACTCTGGGCCTGGCCTCTTAGCCTCTGAATCCTACATACTTTTCAGAAAGGCAGATTGAAAAGCTGCAATCCTTTCAAACTAAGGTGTGAGATGGGGCCTTTTCTTATATATATGTAGTTCTATGACCACTTACTGGTCAGAGAAATAATAATTTAAATAACATATAATAATTTTTTTTTTGAGCTGGAGTCTCCTCTGTCACCCAGGCTGGAGTGCAGTGGCGTGATCTAAGCTCACTGCAACCTCCACCTCATGGGTTCAAGCAATTCTCCTGCCCCAGCCTCCTCAGTAGCTGGGATTACAGGCGCCCACCACCATGCCCGACTAATTTTTGTATTTTTAGTACAGATGGAGTTTCACCATGTTAGCCAGGCTGGTCTCAAACTCCTTACCTCAGGTGATCTGCCCACCTAGGCCTCCCAAAGGGCTGAGATTACAGACATGAACCACTGTGCCCAGCCCATATAATAATAATTTAATTAACTGTAATTGAATGTTTTTCGAGTGCTTACTAAACACTTTTTTTTTTTTTGAGATGGAGTTTCGATCTTGTTGCCCAGGCTGGATTGCAATGGCATGATATTGGCTCCTGCAACCTCTGCCCCCCGGGTTCAAGCGACTCTCCTGCCCCAGCCTCCTAAGTAGCTGGGATTATAGGTGCCCGCCACCATGCCCGGCTAATTTTTGTATTTTTAGTTTTATTTGTTTGTTTGTTTTGTTTTTCTTGTTTATTTTTTCTTTTTTTTCTTTTTATTTCTTTTTCTTTTTTTAATTTTTGTATTTTTAGTAGAGACTGGGTTTCACCATGTTGGCCAGGCTGGTCTCAAACTCCTGACCTCAGGTGATCCACCTGCCTAGGCCTCCCTAAGGGCTGGGATTACAGGCATGAACCACCACGCCCAGCCCATATAATAATAATTTAATTAACTGTAATTGAATGTTTATCAAGTGCTTACTAAACATTTTGTTTTTTTTCTTTTGTTTTGGGTTTTTTTTGAGATGGAGTTTCACTCTTGTTGCCCAGGCTGGAGTGCAATGGTGTGAGCTCGGCTCACTGCAACCTCCACCTCCTGGGTTCAAGCAATTCTCCTGCCTCAGCCACCCAAGTAGCTGGGATTACAGGTGCCCACCACCACACCCGTTAATTTTTTTGTATTTTTAGTAGAGATGGGATTTCACCATGTTGGCCAGGCTGGTCTCGAACTCCTGTCCTCAAGTGATCCGCCCACCTCGGCCTCCCAAAGTGCTGGGATTACAAGTGTGAGCCACTATGCCTGGCCAACACTTTTCATATATTAATTCATTTAATTATTCTCAACAACTCTGTGAGGCGGACACCATTACCCCATTTCACATTTGAGGAAACAGGCACACAGAAATTCAAGGACTTGCCTAAGGTCATACACTAATAATTGGCAGAGCCACAGTTAGGACCTAGGCATTTTTTTTTCTCTCCTGAGAATCTTGCAGCAGATTCCCTGTTGTTCTAACTCTCCAGTTTTGTTTTGTTTTGTTTTGTTTTTGAGACAGAGTCTCGCTCTGCCGCCCAGGCTGGAATGCAGTGGCGCGATCTCAGCTCACTGCAAGCTCCGCCTCCCAGGTTCAAGCCATTCTCCTTCCTCAGCCTCGCGAGTAGCTGGGACTACAGGCACCCGCCACCAAGCCCAGCTAATTTTTCGTATTTTTAGTAGAGACAGGGTTTCACCGTGTTAGCCAGGATGGTCTCGATCTCCTGACATCGTGATCCGCCCGCCTCGGCCTCCCAGAGTGCTGGGATTACAGGCGTGAGCCACCGCGCCTGGCCCTAACTCTCCAGTTGTATTTTATTATAGTTCGTCTGTTTCTCAGCTTCTCAAAATGTTATTTTCATTATGTCTGTTAAAGCAAATTTCATTCATAACCATTTAAGGCTCTCCATGAACTGTCCTTATCATTTTCCCAGACTTGTTTTTTCTTATCCTTTAACATATATTCTCCAGTCTTAACAAGCTAACCGGTTTAATGCTTGGCCCTTACAGCTTGCTCATTCTTCTCTTCTCTACCATTGCTCAGGCATTATTGCTGGAATGACCTCCTCATCTTTTTCGGCAAACCGGGGCCCCTCCCTTCCTTCAACACTCACCTTTTCCAGAAAGTCCTCATTGACTAACTCCACCCAACTCTCTTTTCCCATCAGTTCACAAGTACTGGCTTTTGCTGATTTATTTGTACTTGTTCTGACTGTTACTCTGTAATTATGTTGTTTTTGTTTTATTCTGGGTTTTTTTTGAGATGGAGTTTTGCTTTTGTTGCCCAGGCTGGAGTGCAATGGCACAATCTCAGCTCACTGCAACCTCCGCCTCCTAGGTTCAAGCGATTCTCCTGCCTCAGCCTCCTGAGTAGCTGGAATTACAGGCATGCGCCACCATGTCTGGCTAATTTTTTGTATTTTTAGTAGAGATGGGGTTTCTCCATGTTGGTCAGGCTGATCTCAAACTCCCGACCTCAGGTGATCTGCCTGCTTCGGCCTCCCAAAGTGCTAGGATTACAGGCGTGAGCCACCGCGCCTGGCCTATAATTGTGTTTAAATTTATTTTATATGTGTATCTTTGCAAGATGTACTACTAGTAAGAGCTTGTTTCCTAATTCCTTTATTACTCTCAGTACTGGACCCTGCACAAAGTACATCTCAATTATTATTGAGCTGACTAACCAATTAACCAAGAGACAATATTTTACCCAGTCTGTAGCCTTTCCTGTATGTACAAGATGTATGCCCCATAGAGAAACTACGTGAACCTAAGACTGGAGGCAACTTTCTTTTATAAAATCACAGAAAAGATTAAAAACAAAACACTAGGCTAGGCACCATGCCTCACGCCTGTAATCCCAGCACTATGGGAGGCCAAGGTGGGCGGCTCACCTGAGGTTGGGAGTTCAAGACCAGCCTGACCAACATGGAGAAACCCCATCTCTACTAAAAATACAAAATTAGCTGGGCGTGGTGTTGCATGCCTGTAATCCCAGCTACTCGGGAGGCTGAGGCAGGAGAATCGCTTGAACCCAGGAGGCAGAGGTTGCAGTGAGCCAAGATCACGCCATTGCATTCCAGCCTGGGCAACAAGAGTGAAAGTCCATCTCAAACAAAAACAAAAACAAAACACTAGGGCCACAGACTTCATGGCAGCAGTAATTTTTGATCCTGCTGAGGAGAAAGAAGAGAACCTTACATGGCCCCATCCTTGGTCCCATGATCCAAGAGATTCCAATGCAGCAAGTCAAGAATAAACCCACACTTAGAACTTGGGCTAGAGGAATGGAAGGTAACACACAGTTCCCTTAAATATGACTGGATGACCACCTAACATATGCTCCATACAGGCTTCTCTGAAATAACAGAAATTAGAACACAAGGGCCCTTGGAAATTCATTTCCCTCCATGGTGCTTCAGAAGGAATGGGAAAGTCAGTAATGTCCCAAGATCCTTAGCCCTACTTTTAACAGGCTTCTAGGCTTCTCTGTTTACCACACCTTTGAAAATCTGCAAATGAAAAACCTATGGAAGTCCATATATATCAATAAAAAGTTAACAAAGATTTGGGAGACTGAGGCAGGAGGATGACTTGAGGCCAAGAGTTCAAGACCACTCTGGGCATCATAGTGAGACTCCCATCTCTACAAAAAAAAAAAAAAAAATTGGCCGGGCACGGTGGCTCACGCCTGTAATCCCAGCACTTTGGGAGGCCGAGGCAGACGGATCACGAGGTCAGGAGATCGAGACCATCCTGGCCAACACAGTGAAACCCCGTCTTTACTAAAAATACAAAAAAAAAAAAAAAATTAGCCAGGCGTGGTGGCAGGTGCCTGTAGTCCCAGCTACTCAGGAGGCTGAGGCAGGAGAATGGTGTGAACCCGGGAGGCAGAGCTTGCAGTGAGCCAAGATCGCGCCACTGCACTCCAGCCTGCGCAACAGAGCAAGACTCCGTCTCAAAAAAAAAAAAATGTTTTTAATTAGCTGGGTGTGGTGGCCTATGCCTGTAGTCCTAGCTACTTGGGAGGCTAAAGTGGGAGGATTCCTTGAATCCAGGAGTTTGAGGCTGCAGTAAGCTATGACTGCATCACTGCAGTCCAGCCTGGGCAACAGAGTGAAATCCTGTCTCTGTTTGTTTTGGTTTGGTTTATTTTTTTTTTTGAGACAAAGTTTTGCTCTTGTTGCCCAGGCTGGAGTACAGTGGCACAATCTTGGCTCACTACAACCTCCGCCTCCCGGGGGTTCAAGCGATTTTCCTGCCTCAGCCTCCCAAGTAGCTGGGATTACAGGTGCCTGCCACCACGCCCAGCTAATTTTTTGTATTTTTAGTAGAGAGGGGGTTTCACCATGTTGGCCAGGCTGGTCTCAAACTCCTAACCTCGGGTGATCCACCCGCCTCAGCCTCCCAAAGTGCAGGGATTACAGGCATGAGCCACTGCGCTCGGCCGAAATCCTGTCTCTTAAAAAAAAAAAAGTTTAAGAAAGAAAAGAAAGGAAAAAAAACAATCAGTCATTCTAGCCAGAGCCACTATTGTTTTCAGTTTTCAAGTACTAGCCTGACAAATATGAGGACACAAAAAGAAATAGTTTCAATATCATCACTGACTTTATGACCTAAAACAAGTCCTAGCAATTCTCTGCCTCAGTTTCCCCACCTGTAAAGCAGATGTGGGCATAATGCACGCTTATCTCAAAGAAAAGTATGATTTCTCCAGTGGTTTGAGAATTTCTTAAAAAGCCTATTATTGGGCCAGGCATGGTGGTTCATGCTTGTAATCCCAGCACTTTGGGAGGCCGAGGCAGGCAGATCACTTGAGGTCAGGAGTTCAAGACTAGCCTGGCGAACATGGTGAAACCCCATTTCTACTAGAAATGCAAAAAAATTTGCCGGGTGTGGTGGCGGGTGCCTGTAATCACAGCTACTTGGGAGGCTGAGGCAGGATAATTGCTTCAACCCAGGAGGTGGAGTTTGCAGTGAGTCAAGATCACGCCATTGCACTCCAGCCTGGGTGACAAAACGAGACCCCGTCTCAAAAAAAAAACAAAAAAAAAGCCTATTATTTTCTTAATGTGAGAATGGTCTTTGTAGCAGGACTAGTAAAAAGTTGAAGTAAAATTATAGAGAGCAAATGTAAGTCATCGAAAGAAGTATTTCAGAGCAAAGATAATGTAAAGGAATTGGATTAGGGAGGCAAAATATTCAGGCAGGAAGGAGAGAAACCCCAGCTATGGAACACAGAAAGAGAAAGATGTGGAGCGTTTGAGAGAACCATTACAAAACCACCAAGTTAGATCAAAACAAAGCATTACAGTTACTGTTTAGCCTCTCTGACTTACAAATTATGGCCTTCAATGTCAATTTCAAGCATACAAATTATAACTCGAATTCCACTAATATGTGTCTTACCTGCGGAATATGATGAAGGGGTTCCAAAGGCCAGGAACACAAAAACTTGGAGAGCAATCCATGGAAAATGATGCCATGAGGTCCCAGCCTTGACTCTTCCGTAACTTAAAATGGCTGTTGAAATGACAGTTGGAAATGTGAGTAGATGGAATGCTGCCTACCCATCCTGTGTTCTTCATGAAAGGAAAGTAGATTAATTTCACATGCTTTAAAATGTTTGCTATACTGATGGATAACTTAATTTGTCATAATAATATATGAGCTATAGATTGGATAGATTGATGGATAGATACATAGTTTTATTTATTTGGGGATAGCAATATGACATTATGCACATAAAAATGTGGCCAAAGGAAGGTCCTATCTGGTCATAGTTTTATTTCTCTTTGTATCTTTCCATTAGGAAGTTGAAAAAGACATACATTTCCACCTTTCTCACTTCCTTTCTAGCCCTCCTCTTTTTTTTTTTTTTTCAGTACTTCTGCTTCCCTTTTCACAACTACTTCTGCAGGTCTGTTTACCAATCCCAAGGGAGTGACAACTACAAGAGCAAACCTAACCCCTTTGTTGATGATCTTCAAACTGAGATGACCTGTTTGGCTGTGACCTGTTTGGTTGTAAAGGGTTAGCCACCAGGGCTTTGCAGAATATAAGTTAGGGAGCCAACTTATATGATAGGGTGAAGCCAATACCCTCTGCTGCAAAGAGTGCATATGTCTATGTCTGATGCGTGGGCCTCTGGAATGCTACTATAACATTTCTCCTGAAATCCCAAGTCTTTTTTTTTTCTTTTTTTGAGACGGAGTCTCTCTCTGTCGCAGTGGTGCGATCTTGGCTCACTGCAACCTCCACCTCCCGGGTTCCAGCAATTCTCCTGCCACAGCCTCCCGAGTTGCTGGGACTACAGGAGCATGCCACCATGCCCGGCTTTTTTTTATTATTAGTAGAGACGGGGTTTCACCATGTTGTGCAGGCTGATCTCAAATTCCTGACTTCAGGTGATCCACCCGCCTCAGCCTCCCAAAGTGCTGAGATTACAAGTGTGAGCCACCACGCCCGGCGAAATCCCAAGTTTTTAAAGGTTACAGTGCTCTGGAGCTGGCATGCTGGAATTGAGTTTGCAATGATGTTTGCCTTGACGTCAAATCCAAAAAAATCAGTGCGAGCTCAGGTTGAACCAGACCAGTGGGGTAGCCAAGAGGATTAGAAGTCGCAGCTTGGCAAGTCAGGGGGCCTCAGTTTCTCCACCCTTGGCTCTATTTCTGTTTGCTTCTTAAATCCTTGACAAGAAGAATTGACATCAGAATAGTCCTCACCCAATGTGCTATCCAAGGCCTAGCAAAGAGAATAAGCTTAACCCAGGTTAAGGGTGGGGTGAAGAGAAGAGACCCAAGACATTAAGGCCTACTAATCTGGCAGAATCACATCTCATGGGGCGTGATTTTATGAGAGCAATTTGCCTTGGAGTCTTAGCCACATAAATAACTAAGGATAAGAATCTTCTGCTGCCAGCCTCCCTACAGTTTGAGAGAGCAATTTGCCTTGGAGTCTTAGCCACATAAATAACTAAGGATAAGAATCTTCTGCTGCCAGCCTCCCTACAGTTTGCATAGGAGTCAAGATTAATAAATACTTAAAAAGTGTAAGGGGAGCTAAAAATTGGCTTGTGACCTGCTTATTCATAGGACTGAACCAAAAGTCATAGTGTCCCCAGTAAACAAATAATGCTAGAGCTAAAGAGAAACCATAAGGTAAGCATCTAAGATCCTTTCATTTTCAGATATACATGCTTTAGAAAAATTGTCTTGGCATGGAGACTAGCCTTTGGGAACTAGTGCCTTTAAAAAAAATCTGATGGTAACATCTCTATTTTGGTAAATTGATTCAAGAAAAAGGCAAAGAGACAAAAAGCAATTCAAACTGCTCATACTCTTTAGCCCTGGGAAGCCTGCACCGGCAGGTTTCTGGATATGGTCTATTTTAGTTCAAAGTGCAATCACACTGTATAAAATATAAAGTCACTACGAATGAGGCATAGCACAAATACCCTAGGGACCTGACATCAGGAATTAGGGCAGGTCACAAAAGAAAAAGACAAAACTCAGAGCTTCACTCTTGTTGCCCAGGCTGGAGTGCAATGGTGCAATCTCGGCTCACTGCAAACTCTGCCTCCTGGGTTCAAGCGATTCTCCTGCCTCAGCCTCCCAAGTAGCTGAGATTACAGGCATGCGCCACCACACCTGGCTAATTTTGTATTTTTAGTAGAGACGAGGTTTCTCCATGTTGGTCAGACTGGTCTCGAACTCCCATCCTCAGGTGATCCACACCCCCTCGGCCTCCCAAAGTGCTGAGATTATAGGCGTGAGCCGCTGTGCCTGGCCAAGACAAAATTCTTTAGGCAAAAAGGCACAATTTAAACCATTCGAGAGAGATTTATATTCCTGTTGCCCCAAACCTACATTAGCTGTTAAGTGGAGGCCACAGTTTTAGCAACTCTACATCAGGAAACCCTGAACTCTTGTTGTGCCCTATCCCAATGTGTCTCAGTGCCAAGAGATGCCAAACGATGTCATCTTTGTTTAGCTCTATGTACTTTTGCTAAAGTGATTCATTACTGTCTTATCTCAGTGTAAGAGGATATCAGTAGATGCAGGAGAGGGTGACAGAATCAAAGGAGTGGAGGAGGTGGAAGAAGAGAAAAAGTCGTCACTATTTTACAGAAAAAGTGCCATTATTGGTGTCTGACAAGGTAAATCGTTTTCTTTAGTTTATAAGCCCTGCCTCCTTTTATTTTTTCCAGAAATTAGAACAATAGTTCTATCCAGGTTTGGTTCAGACTTGAATTGTACAAGTCGCAGTTCTTAGAGCTGATACCAGGGTCCCATTCTGTCACCCAGGCTGGAGTGTGGTGATATGATCTCAGCTCACTGCAACATCTGCCTCCCAGGCTCAATGATCCTTTACCTCAGCTTCCCAGGTAGCTGGGACTACAGGCATGCACCACTAGGTCTGTCTAGTTTGTGTGGAGTTTTTTGGTAGAGATGGGATTTCACCATGTTGCCCAGGCTGGTCTCAAACTCCTGGTTCAAGCGATCCTCCCGCCTCCCCAAAGTACTGGGATTATAGATGTGAGCCACTGTGTCTGCCCTAAAATGGTAAAATCTTTAAGACCCTTGTTTTCCCTAATTTTTCCTCCCCTTCATGGTAAAGAAGTCCAGTATGCTATGTTACTAACGCTAGGATTCATAACTTACATTTTAAGGATAGCCAAAGTAAGTTGAAAATTACTTCCTATTGTTTTGTTCTTTATAATTGTTTTAGGGGGCCTCAAGTACAAGGGGTCAAAAACTGATGTAGGACAAAGATAGATGCAGTCATTGCCCAGAGTTAACTGCAAAGCAATGACTAAAAGCCATGATGAGAAGAATTTCTGACTCCCAGGCCTCTCTTCTTTCTGAATATCCTAGCAGTCCTAGATAACTCTCAGAGGACAAGTGTTGAAATGTGTTGACAAGTGTTGACAAGGAGGACCACACATACCCTAGATTTTCCAGGACAGTCCTGATGGCAAATATTCTCCACTGTCATCAGAAGCCATGTAAATAAATGTCCTAGAAATTCCAATATTCTAGCATTTTGGGTTAAAGAAAATGGAAGAAGAACTGCATGCCTGGGAGTCAAGGCAAAAAGGGCACATGATAGTTGGTGTCAAGGCCAGGTAACAGGAAGGAGACAGAAAGATCTGATTGCTAGAATAACCAGGCAGCTCAAATGAGGGTAACAGAATCTTGTGCAGCACAGCATCATGATGCTAAAAAAAAATGCTCTTTCCATGAGTGCTTAAAGCAGACTGAGAGAAAAGTTGCTGTTTTCAACCCACCTCTGGAGTACTAGTACTCCAGCCTCCATTAGTCAGGCTTCCACCCTGGAGATCTGACATAGTATGACAAGTCCTACAAAGCCAAACAATGAGGTCATCCTTTGTAGGTTACTTCATTGTGGGTGATAACTTAATCAGGAAAAAATATGTTCATTCAGCATTTTTCAAGTCCTCAAACTGCTTTATGAAATCAAGTCTGTTCATTCCTCTCTAGGAAGAGCAAACCTAGCAAGAGAAACAAGTTCTCTAGGTTTATAAATCTATATGGTTAATCCTAGGCTCTTAGCCCCTACTTAAACAAATCCTAACCCTAGAGATCTAAATGAAATATTCTCTTTACTTAGTACAATTAATCCATTACCACTCTGAATAATTGGAAATATATTTAAATGCTTTCATAGTGTGAGAGACAGAATGGAAATCCATGGAGCAGAAGAAAGGCTCAGTTCTTCTCCTTTTACCATGATCATGATAACTTTATAATTCCATGTAGTAAACCCTAAGGGCACGTTCTCATCAGCCAGGTTAGAGCCCCTTGTTCTACAGAGTAATGAAAGAGTTAGACCAAGTATCTTTCCCCAGTAATAGGGTGGCCAGATAAAAAAACAGGACACCTAGTTAAATTAGAATTGCAGATAAAATGAATAGTTTTTTAGTGTAAATAGTCTCAACTATTTCATGGGACATGCTTAGACACATGCTTAGACTAAAAATATGCAATAGTTTGCCGGGCGCAGTGGCTCATGCCTGTAATCCCAGCACTCTGGGAGGCCGAGGCGGGCGGATCACGAGGTCAAGGAGATGGAGGCCATCCTGGCTAACACGGTGAAACCCCGTCTCTACTAAAAATACAAAACATTAGCCGGGCGTGGTGGCGGGCGCCTGTAGTCCCAGCTACTCGGGAGGCTGAGGCAGGAGAATGGCGTGAACCCGGGAGGCAGAGCTTGCAGTGAGCCGAGGTTGCGCCACTGCACTCCAGCCTGGGCAACAGAGTGAGACTCTGTCTCAGAAAAAAAAAAAAGCAATAGTTACAAGTTAGGTTACTAAATACTAAAAACTATTCATTGTTTATCTGAAATTCAATTATTATTATTATTTTTTGAGACAGAGTTTCACTCTTGTTGCCCAGGCTGGAGTGCAATGGTGCGATCTCAGCTCACCGCAACCTCCGCCTCCGCCTCCCGGGTTCAAGTGATTCTTCTGCCTCAGCCTCCCGAGTAGCTGGGATTACAGGCATGCGCCATCACGCCTGGCTAATTTTGTATTTTTAGTAGAGACAGGGCTTCTCCATGTTGGTCAAGCTGGTCTCAAACTCCCGACCTCCAGTGATCCACCCGCCTCGGCCTCCTAAAGTGCTGGGTTGTTTTTTTGTTTTGTTTTGTTTTTTGTATTTTTTAGTGGAGACGGGGTTTCACCATGTTAGCCAGGATGGTCTCGATCTCCTGACCTTGTGATCCGCCCACCTCGGCTTCCCAAAGTGCTGAGATTACAAGTTTTCTTTTCTTTTTTTTTTTTTTTGAGATAAGGCCTCACTCTGTGGTCCAGACTGGAGTGCAGTGGCATGATTACAGCTCACTGAAGCCTTGATCTCCTGGACTCAGGTGATCCTTCCACCTCAGCCTCCCAAATAGCTGGTACTACAGGGATGCACCACAACATTTGGCTAATTTTTTTTTTTTTTTTTTTTTTTTTTGAGACAGAGTCTGGCTCAGCTGCCCAGGCTGGAGTGCAATGGCGCAATCTCGGCTCACTGCAACCACCCTCTCCCGGATTCAAGCGATTCTCCCGTCTCAGCCTCCCGAGTAGCTGGGATTAGAGGCACCCATCATCATGCCCAGCTAATTTTTGTATTTTAGTAGAGACAGGGTTTCACCATGTTGGCCAGCCTGGTCTTGAACTCCTGACCTCAGGTGATCCACCTGCCTCAGCCTTCCAAAATGCTGGGATTACAGCTGTGAGTCACCACGCCCAGCCTTTCGGCTAATTTTTGTATCTTCTCTTTTTTAGAGAAGGGACTTTGCCATGTTGGCCCGACTCGTCTCAAACTCTGGGCTCAAATGATCTGCCTACCTCGGCCTCTCAAAGTGCTGGAATTACAAGTGTAAGCCACTGAGCCTGGCCCGAAATTCAAATGCAATTGGGCATGCTGTATTTTTATTTGCTAAATATAGTAACCCTACCAGTACTATGCTTTCAGATTTTTTTTTTTTTTTTGAGATGGAGTTTTGCTCTTGTTTCCCAGGCTGGATTGCAACGGCATGATCTCGGCTCACTGCAACCTCCACCTCCTGGGTTCAAGTGACTCTCCTGCCTCAGCCTCCTGAGTAGCTGAGAGTACAGGCGCCCGCCACCAAGCCCAGCTATTTTTTTTTTTTTTTTTTTTTTTGAGACAGAGTCTCACTCTTGTCGCCCAGGCTGGAGTGCAGTGGTGCGATCTCGGCTCACTGCAACCTCCACCTCCCAGGTTCACGCCATTCTCCTGCCTCAGCCTCCTGAGTAGCTGGAATTACAGGCACGTGCCACCATACCTGGCTAGTTTTTGTTTTTTGTTTTTTTTGGGGGGGAGGGGGATGGAGTCTCGCTCTGTCGCCCAGGCTGGAGTGGAGTGGCGCAATCTTGGCTCACCGCAAGCTCCGCCTCCTGGGTTCCCGCCATTCTCCCGCCATTCTCCCGCCTCAGCCTCCCGAGTAGTTGGGACTGCAGGTACCGGCCACCACTTGCGGCTAATTTTGTGGGGTTTTTTTCTTTTTTGTATTTTTAGTAGAGATGCGGTTTCACTACGTTAGCCAGGATGGTCTCGATCTGCTGACCTCGTGATCTGCCCAGGTCGGCCTCCCAAAGTGCTGGGATTACAGGCGTAAGCCACCGCACCAGGCCCATATCTGGCTAGTTTTTGTATTTTTAGTAGAGATGGGGGTGTCACCATGTTGTCTAGGCTGGTCTCGAACTCCTAACCTCAGGTGATCCACCCGCCTTAGCCTCCCAAAGTGCTGGGATTACAGGCATGAGCCGTCACACCCGGGGTAAATAGGGATTTTAAAATAGCTTTGTGTGCTGGCAAATATCTTTTTCTGGAGAGTGGAATGACATTCTGTCATGTTTAATTTTTTAGGCTATGAGACCGCTAAAAGGGATATCTAACTCTCTTCTCCTTTTCTTATTCCCTAGGGTATTCACTTTAGTGGAAAACAGCATAGGTTAATATCAACTGGCTCCATAAAAATCAACTTGTCCCTTTAAATATATCAAATACTTTAAATAGTTTTTCCAATATTAAATATCCATGTTCAGAATATGGTGGTGATTATGCTGTATTTAATAAGAGAAATTACTTTGAGAGTGATGTTGGCAAGATTATGTCAAGTAGCAGCCAAGGCCTGATATGCCACACTGTCAAACCAATGATTTTTTTTCTTTCTTTCTTTTGCCACTGTTACTATATTAATATACTTTTAGTATTTCCACTCACCTGAAAATGATGCAGGCAGATATTATAAACCTGATTCTGCCACTCCTGCAAATATCAAAGCTTAAACATTTTAATGGGGAGGAAAAAAAAAAACACTCTGAAGAATAAATATTCATAGGATTTTAATCCAGAAGTATCCCAACAGGCGCAGTGGCTCATGCCTGTAATCCCAGCACTTTGGGAGGCCGAGGCAGGCAGATCGCCTGAGGTCAGGAGTTTGAGACCAGCCTGGCCAACATGGTGAAACCCCCGCCTCTACTAAAAATATGAAAATTAGCTAGGCATTGGCCGGACACGGTGGCTCATGCCTGTAATCCCAGCACTTTGGGAGGCCGAGGCGGGCACATCACGAGGTCAGGAGATGGAGACCATCCTGGCTAACACAGTGAAACCCCGCCTCTACTAAAAATACAAAAATTAGCCTGGCGTGGTGGCAGGCACCTGTAATCCCAGCTACTTGGGAGGCTGAGGCAAGAGAATGACAAACCTGGAAGGTGGAGTTTGCAGTGAGCTGAGATCGTGCCACTGCACTCCAGCCTGGGCGACAGAGCAAGACACCGTCTCAAAAAAAAAAAAAAAAAAATTAGCCAGACGTGGTCGCAGGTGCCTATAATCTCAGCTACTGGGGAGGCTGAGGCAGGAGAATCTCTTGAACCCAGGAGGTAGAGGTTGCAGTGAGCCAAGATTGCGCCACAGCACTCTATCCTGGGTGACAGAGTGAAACTCCGTCTCAAAAAAAAAAAAAAAAAAAGTATCCCAGCCAGGTGCAGTGGCTCATGCTTGTAATCCCAGCACTTTGGGAGGCCAAGGCGGGTGGATCACGAGGTCAGGAGTTCAAGACCAGCCTGACCAACATGGTGAAACCCTGTCTCTACTAAAAATACAAAAATTAGCCGGGCATGGTGGCGCATACCTATAATCCCAGCTACTCAGGAGGCTGAGGCTGAGGCAGGAGAATGGCTTGAAACTGCAAGGCAGAGGTTGCAGTGAGCCGAGATTGCACTGAGCCGAGATTGCACCATTGCACTGCACTCCAGCCTGAGCGACAGAGTGAGACTCTGTCTCGAAAAAAAGGTATCCCAACAGAGTTTCACATTTTACCATAACCCACAGGAGAGAAATCTTTTCCATAATCATTAATAATTTAGTTCTTTAGAAAAATCATTTCCTTTTCATGTGATTTTTCTTGTTTTAGACGTGGTCTCATGATGTTGGCCAGGCTGGCCTCAAACTCCTGGGCTCAAGTGATCCTCCTGCCTCAGCCTCCTGAGTAGTTGGGACTACAGGGATGTGCCATGACTTGTTTATCAAGCAGTTATTGAGTACCTAGTGTGTGCCACTCAGTGGCTTGTAAGTGGCAGAGCCAGTGGCAGAAGCCAGGTTACCTTGACTCAGAACAGGCACTCTTTCCTAATACTTGGTCTTCCCATGATCTCTTTCTGGAACCCCCAGGGCTGATGAAATATAACCCAAAGAATAAACTGGAACAAGACAAAGAGAAATAAAGCTTGAGTTTCCATTTAGCTCTTCCCTGACAGGTGGTACATAACTTAGCCCATTCAAGAGCAGATGAGTTTCCATCACCTGTTTTGTTTAAATATTAAGAACTATTAAAAGACATTATTTTCCCTTGATGGTTATCAGAATCTTCTGGCTTTCCAACAGTGCCACCCAAATCCTTTATCTGTCTAGAACCCCTTGCTGTTTCAGTTTATTCATCTGTAAAATTAGGTAATGGATTAGATCATCTTCAAAGTTCTTTCTAGCTCTTAAATTATTTTATTCTACTAATTTTCTGTGGAAAAAAATTATTATGCTCAGATCCATCAGTTTTGGCTAATGAGGGCTGCACTCCACAGTTTGAAAAGTTTAGGAAATTCCCGGCCTGGTGTGGTGCCTCATGCTTGTAATCCCCGTACTTCCAGAGGGCAAGGCAGGCAGATTACTTTTGCCCCCAAGTTTGAGACCAGCCTGGGCAACGTGGCAAGACCCTGTTTCTAATAAAAAGGTAAAAATGGCATATCATCCATGGCCTTTTTACTTTTCCAACACAGCCTGGGAAATTATTAATAACAATAAAATCTCTACAGAGTACTCTTTCCTAATTACTTTGAATATTTTCCTTTCTCACAATGTCATTGAGACACAAGAAGGTATTATTCATCCACCAAAAATGAGAAACCGGACATACAGATAGGTCATGCACTTTTTTTTTTTAAATGGAGTGTTGCTCTGTCACCTAGGCTGCAGTACAATGGCACGGATGTCCACTCACTGCAACCTCTGCCTCCTGGGTTCAAGCGATTCTCCTGCCTCAGTCTCCTGAGTAGCTGGGACTACAGGCGCATGCCACCACACCGGCTAATTTTTTGTGTTTTTAGTAGAGACGGGGTTTCACAAATTGGCCAGGCTGGTCTCAAACTCCTGACCTCGTGATCCGCCCACCTCGGCCTCCCAAAGTGCTGGGATTACAGGTGTAAGCCGCCACGCCCCGCCTAGGTCGTGCACTTCTAAAACTCACAGTAAGTGGGAGTAGATCTAAAATGAGAAAGTGGATCTCTCTGCTGACTGGGTCTCTTGTCCAGGCTTTTTATCCACAATAAGCTTTCTGGTTAATGTAGAGAATGTGGAATGCTCATTAATTGCTCTTGGAAAATGAACCTGTCTCTTCCTCCCTTCCTACTTCAAAAAAACACACACACAAAAACACAGAAAAACAATAATACCCTCACTTTACTAAATGAGCAAGAGGAAAAAAAATGAATCTGGCCAGGTGCAGTGGCTCATGCCTGTAATCCCAGTACTTTGGAGGCTGAGGCAGGCGGATCACTTGAGGTCAGGGGTTCAAGACAAGCCTGGCCAACATGGTGAAACCCTGTCTCTACTAAAAATGCAAAAATTAGCTGGGCGTGGTGGCACACACCTGTAATCCCAGCTATTCAGGAGGCTGAGGCAGGAGAATCACTTGAACTTAGGAGGCGGAGGTTGCAGTGAGCCGAGATTGCACCACTGCACTCCAGCCTGGGTAACAGAGTGAGACCCTGTTTCAAAAAAAAAAAAAAGGAAAATCCACAGTAGGCGCCGTCTGGAATGGCTCAGGTGATAGCCAGTCACCTGGAGCAGAGAAAAAGCTGTGGTCACTAGTAATTTCAGTATTTCAGTGATGTTTCCCACCACCAGCTGTCATCACAATTTCCAGAAAAGCTGCCAAGAAAAAGCAGGAATTCGCATTTCACACAACCCTAAACACACACACACACACACACACACACACACACACACACACACACACACACACACACACACAATGGATCTTCCTGACTGCTCTTTGCCCTCATATCTTCCTTCCCTCAAGCATTCCAGATAAACAGGTAAGGTACTTGACTCACCTGCAGCTGAATAACTCAGTACTCTTGAAGGCGCCTCCCTTCTGCCAGCAATCCTTACTCAGTTATTCTTTCCTTCCCTAATCTGGATTGTTTCCTTGAAACCAAAAACCCCAGTAATAGGCGCCTTATCCCTACTTCCCCTTTTTCCTTTCTCCTCTTGCCATCCCTCATTCCAAACAATACACTCAGGTCTGTAGCAATCCAGGCTCTTATCACACTTAGGAGGTAACTGGCTATTGAAGTGCTTATCTTTATTTTTACAATATGTGATATGTTTATGTTCTATTCCAATCCAGCACAGTGTCTGCCCCATTGTTGGGACTCAACAAATGTTTGTTGAATAGAACTTGCCTAAATTGGCCTCAGGCACCTCCTAAATTTCACAGTATGCTGAGTTCCAGGGAAAACTAGACCGACTAAGCCAACTGCTCCCTTCCTGTCTGGGAGGACCCACCCACAGAGCAGAAAGGGGAAGCTGCACCTCTGCAGACAGAGAGGGTTTGACTGATGTCCCTCCTCCGCCTGTGATCCCACCCCATTCTCCTTCCTCTGTCACAGGCTAAGGCAGTCCTGGAACGCCTCCCCCCACCCCAACCCCCCAGACTGATCCAGGCCATTTTATGTGGCAGAGCTGCTAATAGAACAGGCTGTGTATTAGATAGGGTTCAGGGTAGAGATCAGAGCCTGAATTTTATTGTAGGGATCACTAAGAAAGTTAGATTAGTTTGTGTTGTTTTTTGCTTTTTTTTTTTTTTTTTTTTGAGGCGGAATCTCGCTCTGTCCCCAGGCTGGAGTGCAGTGGCACGATCTCGGCTCACTGCAACCTCCACCTCCCAGGTTCAAGTGATTCTCCTGCCTCAGCCTCCCGAGTAGCTGGGACTACAGGTGTGTGCCACCACACCTGGCTAATTTTTGTATTTTTAGTAGAGGCAGGGTTTCACCATGTTGACCAGGCTGGTCTTGAACTCCTGACCTCAGGTGATCCTCCCGCCTCAGCCTCCCAAAGTGTTGGGATAACAGGCATGAGCTACTGTGCCTGGCGTTAGATTAGAATTTGATATGAACCTAAGTAGACTAGTCTGAGATGTGTCTGTAGGGATTGAGAGTGTGAAGCTCTAGAGACCTAATGTCTAGGTTCAAATAGTGTCTGTGCAACTTTTTAACCATTTGTTACACATTTAACCATAAGTTACACAAGTTACTTAACTGCCCTATACCTCAGTTTCTTCACTCATGAAATAGGGATAATAGGCCGGACGTGGTGGCTCACACCTGTAATCCCAACACTTTGGGAGGCCAAGGTGGGTGGATCACCTGAGGTCAGGAGTTCAAGACCAGCCCAGCCAACAGGGTGAAACCCCGTCTCTACTAAAAATACAAAAATTATCTGGGCATGGTCGGGGTGTGGGGGCGCCTGTAATCGCAGCTACTTGAGAGGCTGAGGCAGGAGAATAGCATGATCCTGGGAGGCGGAGGTTGCAGTGAGCCAAGATCGCGCCATTACACTCCAGCCTGGGCAACAAGAGCGAAACTCCATCTCAAAAAAAAGAAAAAGAAATAGGGATAATAACAGTACCCGCATCACAAGATTGTCCAAAGGATTAAATGAGTTAAAACATGTTAGTGCTAGGGCTGGGTATTGTGGCTCACGCTTACAATCCCAGCGATTTGAGAGGCTGAGGCAGGAGGTTTCCTTGAGGCCAGGAGTTCCAGACCAGCCTGGGCAACATGGTGAGACCCTGTATCCACAAAAAATTTTGACAAAATTAACTGGTCATGGTGGCATGGGTCTGTAGTCCCAGCTACTCAGGGGGTTGAAGTGGGAGGATTCCCTGGGCCCAGGTGGTCAAGGCTGCAGTGAGCCATGATCGCACCACTGCACGTCAGCCTGGATGACAAAGTAAGACTTTGTTGGCTGGGCGCGGTGGCTCACACCTGTAATGCCAGTACTTTGGGAGGCCAAGGAGGGCGGATCACGAGGTCAGGAGATCGAGACCATCCTGGCTAACACGGTGGAACCCCATCTCTACTAAAAATACAAAAAATTAGCCAGGCGTGGTGGCAGGAGCCTGTAGTCCCAGCTTCTGAAGAGGCTGAGGCTGGAGAATGGCGTGAACCTGGGAGGCGGAGCTTGCAGTGAGCTGGGACGGCGCCACTGCACTCCAGCCTGGGCGACAGAGCGAGACTCCGTCTCAACAACAACAACAACAACAACAACAACAACAACAACAACAAACAAACAAAAGGCTTTGTCTCAAAAATAAAATAAAATACACTAAAAATAATTTAATTTAAAAATAAGGATAAAACCATGTTAGTGCTCAATATTATTACCGAGGAGAATGGCTCTTGAATAGCAGCAAGTTTACTATGTTGAGGTTTGTATTTATTTTCTTTTATTTTTTTTTTGAGACAGAGTCTCGCTCTGTCGCCCAGGCTGGAGTGCAGTGGTGGGGTCTCGGCTCACTGCAAACTCCGCCTCCCAGATTCAACTGATTCTCCTGCCTCAGCCTCCAAGTAGCTGGGATTACAGGCACACACCACCACACCCAGCTAATTTTTTTGTATTTTTAGTAGAGATGGGGTTTCACCATGTTGACCAGGATGGTCTCTATCTCTTAACCTTGTGATCCACCCACCTCAGTGTCCCAAAGTGCTGAAATTACAGACATGAGCCACCGTGCCTGGCTCTTTTATTTTATTATTATTATTATTATTATTATTATTATTATTATTTTGAGACAGAGTCTTGCTCTGTTGCCAGGCTGGAGCACAGTGGCACGATCTCGGCTCACTGCAACCTCTGCCTCCTGGGTTCAAGCAATTCTCCCGCCTCAGCCTCCCAAGTAGCTGGGATTACAGGCTCCTCCCCCTACCATGC
The DNA here is from genome assembly GCF_000001405.40 of Homo sapiens. Classification (NCBI taxonomy): domain Eukaryota; kingdom Metazoa; phylum Chordata; class Mammalia; order Primates; family Hominidae; genus Homo; species Homo sapiens. The sequence continues at coordinate 47,509,444 of NC_000017.11, read as the reverse complement.
CCAGCTAATTTTTTATTTTTAGTAGAGATGGGGTTTCACCACGTTGGCCGGGCTGGTCTCGAACTCCTGACCTAAGGTGATCCACCCACCTTGGCCTCCCAAAGTGCTGGGATTACAGGCGTGAGTCACTGCGCCCAGCCCCTTATTTTATTTTTTGAGATGGAGTCTTGCTCTATCACCCAGGCTGGAGAGCAGTAGCGTGATCTTGGCTCACTGCAACCTCTGCCCCTCGGGTTCAAGCAATTCTCCTGCCTCTGCCTCCTGAGTAGCTAGGATTACAGGCACACACCACCATGCCCAGCTACTTTTTTTGTATTTTTAGTAGAGATGGGGTTTCACCATGTTGGCCAGGATGGTCTCTACCTATTGACCTTGGGATCAGCCCACCTTGGTGTCCCAAAGTGCTGAAATTACAGACGTGAGCCACCGTGCCCAGCTCTTTTTTTTTTTTTTTTTTTTCCGAGATGGACTGTTGCTCTGTCGCCCAGGCTGAAGTGCAGTGGTGTGATCTTGGCTCACTGCAACCTCACCTCTGGGGTTGAAGCGATTCTCCTGCCTCAGCCTTCCCGAGTAGCTGGGATTACAGGCACCTGCCACCATGCCTAGCTAATTTTTGTATTTTTTTCAGTGGAGACAGGGTTTTGCCATGTTGGCCAGGCTGGTCTTGAACTCCTGACTTCAGGTGATCCACCCACCTCGGCCTTCCAAAGTGCTGGGATTACAAGCGTGAGCCACCACACCTGGCCTAATTTTTGTGTTTTTAGTAGAGATGGGGTTTCCCCCATGTTGGCCAGGCTGGTCTTGAACTCCGGACCTCAGGTGATACACCTGCCTCGGCCTCTCAAAGTAGTGGGATTACAGATGTAAACCACTGTACCTGGCTGAGGTTTGTATTTCTTTTTCTTTTCTTTTCTTTTTTTTTTTTTTTGAGACAGAGTCTTGCTCTGTCGCCCAGGCTGGAATGCAGTGGCACGATCTCAGCTCACTGCAACCTCCACCTCCTGGGTTCAAGCGATTCTCCTGCCTCAGCCTCCTAAGTAGCTGGGATTACAGGCGGGCGCCACCACACCCAGCTGCTTTTTGTATTTTTAGTAGAGACCAGGTTTCACCATGTTGGTCAGGCGGGTCTCAAACTCCCAACCTCAGGTGATCTGCCCACCTCGGCCTCCCAAAGTGCTGGGATTACAGATGTGAGTTACTGCGCCCGGCGCAGTTGATTTAAAAAAAAAAAAAAAACTAAATGGGCTGGGCATGGTGGCTCACGCCTGTAATCCCAGCACTTTGGGAGGCCGAGGTGGGCACACTTGAGGTCGGGAGTTCGAGACCAGCCTGACCAACATGGAGAAACCCCATCTCTACTAAAAAAAAAAAAAAAATTAATTGCACAGGTAGGAGTAGGACTGGTGTGACAGTATCTTGTGTGAAAAAGGTTCAGGTCTCACGAAACCCAATGCAGTCAGAGTTTCATGAAAAGACACACTGTCAGATCCAGAGAGAGAATAGTCTCCCTGCATTTTAAACTGACTGGTTCTGACTGTCCCATATTAAGAAAGATATTGAGGGCTGAGTGTGGTGGCTCACGCCTATAATCCCAGCACTTTGAGAGGTTGAGGTGGGCGGATCACCTGAGGTCAGGAGTTGGAGACCAGCCTAGCCAACATGGCGAAACCCCATCTCTACTAAAACTACAAAATTTAGCTGGGCACGGTGGCACACACCTGTAATCCGAGCTACTCGAGAGGCTGAGGCACAAGAATCGCTTGAACCCAAAAAGCGGAGATTGCAGTAAGCCGAGATTGCGCCACTCCAGGCTGGGTGACATAACGAGACACCATCTAAAAAAAAAAACAGGCCAGGTGTGGTGGCTCACACCTGTAATCCCAGTACTTTGGGAGGTTAAGGCGGGTGGATCGCTTGGGGTCAGGAGTTCGAGACCAGCCTGACCAGTGTGCTGAAACCCGTCTCTACTAAAAGTACAAAAATTAGCTGGGTCTGGCGCCTGTAATCCCAGCTATTCGAGAGGCTGAAGCAGGAGAATCACTTGAATCCAGGAGGCAGAGGTTGCAGTGAGCCGAGATTGCACCAGTGCACTCCAGCCTGGGCGACAGAGTGAGACTCCCTATCTCAAAACAAACAAACAAAAATCAAACATTAAAAAGAAAGAAAAATATTGAGGAACTAGAATATGCCTAAATATGAGATCATATTTGAAAAAGATCTCATAACTTTACCAGGTGAGAAAGAATTTGATGGAGTTTGGAGATATTATTGATGGGGAAGAGAAGACTAATGTCCTCAAACAGGTATAATAAGGCTGACAATATAAAACTGTCAATGTTCAACTGTTTTGATCTATAAAAATAGCAATTTCATTTGGTTCAACCTAATAGAAGAGGATGTAGACTTATTTTTTAATGCTGCAGAGGGCAAACCAGAATCACTGGGTGAAAGAGGGAAGCAAATGTTACATCAATATAGGAAGGAATTTGTCACAATCGGATGCTCAGAAACAGAATTAAGTACCTTACAAAGATCTAGGTTCTTTGTCTGAGAGAGCCCAGGCAGAGCTGGGTGACAGTGTGTTGGGGATATTTAAAATATTCCGCATTCAGTGGGAGACTCTCCATGATCCAGCCTGCATTTGCACCCCGGCCAACTGGACCCCACAGTACAGGGACAACATACCAGACCACTTAGGGCACCCTGGCCATCCCAAGTTCCCAAGTTGTTTTACACTGCCGTGTCTTCATGCATGTCAATCCCTTTGCCTAGAATATTTATTTATTTATTTTTATATGTTTTTTATTTTTTTTGAGACGGAATCTCGCTGTGTCGCTAGGCTGGAGTGCAGTGGCGCGATCTCGGCTCCCTGCAACCTCTGCCTCCCGGGTTCAAGAGATGCTCCTGCCTTAGCCTCGTGAGTAGCTGGGACTACAGGTGCATGCCACCACGCCCCACTAATTTTTGTATTTTTAGTAGAGACGAGGTTTCACCATGTTGGCCAGGATGGTCTCGATCTCTTGACCCCATGATCCGCCCACCTTGGCTTCCCAAAGTGCTGGGATTACAGGAGTAAGCCACCGCACCTGGCCAGATTTTTATTTTTATTTATTTAATTAATTAATTTATTTATTTTTTGAGACAGAGTCTCACCCTGTTGCTCAGGCTGGAGTGCAATGGCACAATCTCTGCTCACTGCAACCTCCGCCTCCCGGGTTCAAGCAATTCTCCTGCCTCAGCCTCCCAAGTAGCCGGGATTACAGGCACACACCACCATGCCCTGCTAACTTTTCTATTTTTAGTAGAGATGAGGTTTCACATGTTGGCCAGGGTGGTCTTGATCTCTTGACCTCGTGATCCGCCCACCTCGGCCCCCCAAAGTGCTGGGATTACAGGCGCAAGCCACCATGCCCAGCCCCTTGGCTAGAATTTTATTTCTCCCTGCAAATTCCTGCTCATTTTAAGTGTGACTCAACTCCAGTGTGGCCCCACCTGAATTCTCAAAACGGTCTTTCATGCTGTCCTCTGCACCACCTTGTACCTTGTGCTTACTTCTGTAGTGGCTGTTATGGTTCTTTTGTTATTTTTGGTGTATTTTTCTCTTTCCTACCAAATATAAGCTGCTTGTGGACCAGAAACATTTCTCTTTCATTTTTATATTCCCCAGTGATTTCAGCAATATCTGCTACATGGCAAATACTCAACGAAAAATTCATTAAATGAATGAGGTTCGATATTTTGATTTTATATATATGTAACATCAAAAAGTTATAAATAAAAATTTTGAATCAAATATTATTAGTTAATAAAAAATTAATGTCTTTACTATGTGTGATGCACGATGATATTTTCTATTCTATATTCATTTTTTTAAATGTAAGTCATGACCTAGATTCCAAAATTAACTTGGGTTCCCAGCCTTATTCTGAAAAACACTGAACTGTATGGTCCACAGCAGGGATTTGAATGGAAGGTATGATCATGGAACCCTTTGAGAACCCAATGGAAGCTATGGGCCTTCTTGCCAGAAAGATGCATACGTGTACTAAAATTGACATTCAATTTCAGGGGCTCCTTGGACCCACCAAACTCCTTCTGAGAATCACAGGTTATGAGAAAGTTCCTTCTAACTCTATGATCCTATTTTTCTGAGAAGTATTAAAAAGTAGTTGGGCCTGCCTGGACAACCTGGTGAGACCCTGCCTCTACAAATAATAAAAGATTAGCTGGGCATGGTGGCATGTGCCTGGGGTTCCAGCTACTTGGGAGGATGAGGCAGGAGAATTGCTTGAGCTCGAAGTCAAGGCTGCAGTGAGACGGTGCTATGATTGTGCCACTGCACTTCAGCCTGGGAAACAGAGCAAGACCCTGTCTCAAAAAAAACAAAAAAAAATTAGGTAGCTGGGAGCTGGGCACGGTGGTGAGTACCTGTAGTTCCAGCTACTCAGGAGGCTGAGGTAGGAAGATCTTTTGAACGCCAGGAATATGAGACCAGCCTGGGAAATATAGCAAGAATCTCTCTAAAACAAAACAAAACAAAAAGTATTAGAAGTAGTCTTGGGGCTGGGTGCGGCGGTTCACACCTGTAATCCCAGCACTATGGGAGGCCAAGGTGGGTGGATCACTTGAGGTCAGGAGTTTGAGAGCAGCCTGACCAACATGCTGAAACCCCGCGTCTATTAAAAATATACAATTACCTCTATTAAAAATACAAAAATTAGCTGGGCATGGTAATGCGTCTGTAATCCCAGCTACTCGGGAGGCTGAGGCAGGAGAATTGCATGAACCCAGGAGGCGGAGGTTGCAGTGAGCCAAGATCACGCCACTGCACTCCAGCCTGGGTGACGGAGCGAAAGTCCATCTCAAAAAAACCCCAAAAAAGACCTAGTCTTGGAACCTCAAACCTCTATTAATCATCTATAGGGAGAGCACAAATTTGGAGGGGAGCTACATAAAGAACAAATAATGGAAAGAAAATTTTGAGGTGAGACAGGTAGGATAGATACGTACATGTGAAAAATCAAAGAGTGAAGAACAAAAGAAATCCCGACTAAGGGTTAGGTAGAGGGGAGAGGTGTGGCAATGCTGACCCAGGTTTTCAGGCCTGCAGTATCTGATTTTCTTTTCAGACTATTAGGCTTGGGATTGCAGCCCTGTAACGTTCTTCTTCCCTCCCTATGGCTCCCTCTCTCTTCCTCCCCTTTAGGCAGCCCTTATGGAAACTCTGAAACTCTTTCTCTTTTCTTCCAGATGGGGAGCTCTGGCAGAAAGAATGTTCTGGCCTGTGTGCAATGACTCTGTTTTCTCTGCCAACAGATAAAGCTAAAATCTGCTTTCTTGGAAACCAGCTAATGTCTTTAGAAGCATGACCCTAGTTAAGGAGAGACTGGGACCTTTTTTTTTTTTTTTTGAGATGGAGTCTCGCTCTGTCGCCCAGGCTGGAGTGCGGTGGCGCGATCTCGGCTCACTGCAACCTCTGCCTCTCATCTTCAAGCAATTCACCTGCCTCAGCCTCCCGTGTAGCTGGGATTACAGGTGCCGGCCACCAAACACGGCTAATTTTTGTACTTTTAGTAGAGACTGGGTTTCACCATGTTGGTCAGGCTGGTCTCAAACTCCCGACCTTAGGTGATCTGCCCGCCTCAGACTCCCAAAGTGCTGGGATCATAGGCGTGAGCCACCGTGCCCAGCTGAGACTGGGATCTTTTTTTTGAGACAGAGTCTCTGTTACACAGAGTGCAGTGGCACAATCTCGGTTTACTGCAACCTCCAACTCCCAAATTCAAGTGATTCTCATGCTTCAGCTTCCCGAGTAGCTGGAATTACAGGCGTTTGCCACCATGCCTGGCTAATTTTTGTATTTTTAGTAAAGACAGGGTTTCACCATTTTGGCCAGGCCGGTCTCGAACTCCTGGCCTCAAGCAATCCACCTGCCTTAGCCTCCCAAAGCCCTGGGATTACAGGTGCGAGCCACCACACCCAGCCCAGATGGGGACCTCTGAATAAAGGGAGGGTAAGAAAATAATTTTCAGCATCTACTGGTACAGTGACTCATAAAGATATGAGGATCTTGAACAGCAACAAATGATTTAAAAATGGAATATTCTGTCTCTGAGATCTAACCTTAGGATCACATTGGTCTTCTTTGAATCTAAGAATAACATCTAAAGTGTTTTTGGCAACCCGTCCAGGAGGCAACAAATATATATCTCACGTTTTCTACAGGACAAACTGTGAAAGAGATACATGTGAAGCCCAGAAGCATCACAGAATCAGCTTCCTATCCAACCCTCAGGAATTTGACAATTACAAGAACTTTGGTAAAGTCCAGAAAGCCCAGGACATTACTGTAGTCCATAAGTAACTAAGCTGAGGGAAAGAATGGAATTTGGGGTGGGGTTAGGAAACCTGAGTTATGTCCCTAGTTAGGCCCCTGATTCACTGTGTGATAATCACCAGTCACTTCCTGGTTCAGTGTTTCAGTCCCTTCCCCTGCCCAAGTAAAATAAAATAATGATTTTATTCTTTTTTTTGAGAAAGTTAAGCATGATTGTTTCTATAGAGAAATCTGGAAAGTAGCCAATCTCTTAGTGTAGCTCTATGGGATGATTTTGGTCATTTTATAAGCAATGTAACCTGTAAACCTCCTGGTTGTTGTTGGGACCCTCAGAAGGGAATGAGATAAATAGGTAGTCTGCTTTCCTCCTGCGTCTTCTGTCTAGGATGATACTGTTGTGTTGCTAACAGAGGGCCCTGGAGAGAGATTTAGGAGATAACTGGGTAACACCCAACTAGGTCAGGGAATGAGTCAGGGCTCAAGGACTCGATACCAACCTCTCCCACTCCTGCCAGGAAACCTCTGGGTGAGACAGATGAGAGAGAAGCCGAGGGGCGGGCCTCACGGCTGCCTGCCCTGGGTCCTCTGGCTTGTGGTTTCACCCTGGTTTGCCCTGCAGCAGCTGTAACGTGTCTGCTGACACGCAAGCCCTGGACATGGCTGTCCCTCCCCCTTTCCCAAACTTCTGCTCAGTTTCAGAAACAGATGGCACATTCCACCCCAGAAGTGACTGTTGGAGAGATGAGAGGAAAAAGGCAGAGCAGAGCTAGGTGGAGATGTGACACTTCAGAAAGCACAGGGCAAAACACCATACATGAGACTTTTCATCCAGGAGGCGAGTAGGAAGTAGAAACTAAACTCACCTCCAGAGAAATCAGGATGGGAAAAGGGCAGAACCACATGGCTGGGCTGTTGCAGATGACAGAACACAGCTGAAGGATAAGGCTGGGGTGTGCCCTGCAGCGCTAGCCTGGAAACCTGCAAGCCTTAAGAGCAAAATGACAAAAGGTCACGTCTCTTGTTTGGAGGTATTCAGTGCCTGCAAATCCATCTTTCTCTCCTCAACATCTCAATTCCCAGTTTATAATAGGCCAGTGCAAAAACGGTTTTAGGCACCTACAATCTACCAAGTTACCTGTTTCCATATATGATTTTACTTACGTTCACAACTCCTCTATGAGGTAAGTTCTCTGCATTTCAGTGTACCCATCTGTGAAATTATCTCCATTCCACAGATGGGTTTGCACTGAAATGCAGATGACTTAAGTAATTGGCTAATAAAGTTTGGAAATAGTGGAGCAAGATCTACATCAGTTGCCAGAGCCCCCACGAATTTCATTATGCCAAGCTTTCTTTGATTTGAAGTAATCAAAATGAAGAAAGCAAAATGATGTCCAAATAGTAGAGACTTCTTAAAAGCTTTTCAAGGGGCCGGGCGCGGTGGCTCACACCTGTAATCCTAGAACTTTGGGAGGTTGAGGCAGGCGGATCACCTGAGGTCAGGAGTTCGAGACCAGACTCAACATGGGGAAACCCCGTCTCTACTAAAAATACAAAATTAGCCGGGCGTAGTGGTGCATGCCTGTAATCTCAGCTACTCGGGAGGCTGAGGAAAGAGAATTGCTTGAACCTGGGAGGCCGAGGTTGCGGTGAGCCGAGATCGAGCCATTGCACACTAGCCTGGGCAACAAGAGTGAAACTCCGTTCTCAAAAAAAAAAAAAAGCCTTTTTTGAGATGGAGTCTCGCTCTGTCGCCCAGGCTGGAGTGCAGCAGCGCGATTTCGGCTCACTGCAAGCTCCGCCTCCTGGGTTCACGCCATTCTCTCGCCTCAGCCTCCCGAGTAGCTGGGACTACAGGCGCCCGCGACCACGCCCGGCTAATTTTTTGTTTTTGTATTTTTAGTAGAGACGGGGATTCACCACGTTAGCCAGGATGGTCTCAATCTCCTGACCTCGTGATCCGCCCGCCTTGGCCTCCCAAAGTGCTGGGATTACAGGCGTGAGCCACCGCACCCGGCTGAGCAATTTTTTAAAATTAATTTTTTTTATTTCAATAGCTTTTGGGGTACAAGTGGTTTTGGTTACATGGATGATTTGTATAGTGGTAAAGTCTGCGATTTTAATACACCAGTCACTCAAGTAGTGTACACTGTACCCAATATGTAGTTTTTTATCTCTCGCCCACCTCCCACTGGTAGTGAGGAATTAATGGAGATCCCTGAATCTCTCAACATAGGTATTTAAACATCCAGGAATTGGGTTTACACAGGCCTCCCTGCAGTCTGAGATCCGGTGCAGCCTTGGTACCCTCTAGTGGAAGTTTTCTGCATTCGCACAGCTTCCCTGTTTCCAATCCCAAAGAGCTGAGAAGGAAGCCTTCACCCAGCCACAGGAGAGCATCCCAAAAGAATGGTCAGCTGGAAGATAGACTTTTTTTGTTGTTTTTTTTTTTTTGAGATGGAGTCTTGCTCTGTTGCCCAGGCTGGAGTGCAATGGCACGATCTTGGCTCACTGCAACCTCCGCCTCCCAGGTTCAAGCAATTCTCCTGCCTCAACCTTTCAAATAGCTGGGACTACAGATGCACGCCGCCATACCCGGCTAATTTTTTGTATTTTAGTAGAGATACGGTTTCATCATGTTGCCCAGGCTGGTCTTGAACTCCTGAGCTCAGGCAATCCACCTGCCTCGGCCTCCCAAAGTGCTGGAATTACAGACGTGAGCCACCGTGCCTGCCCGGAAGGTAGATTTTTGTATAGCAGGGTCATGCAGGGTAGAGGAAGGAATACAGACTAGAGAAAATGTGTGCCAAGCACTTGGTTCACAAGGGACCCCCAAAATGAGTCACTGTCAGTATATAAATGAGCTTAGGCCTTTGTACATTATTAATAGGGGCTCAATATACATAACACAGGACTGGAGGCCTTTAGGGCTCTAGAGGGAGACTTTTTTTGAGACGGAGTATCGCTCTGTTGCCCAGGTTGGAGTGCAGTGGCATGATCTCGGCTCACTGCAACCTCCACCTGCCGGGTTCAAGTGATTCTCCTGCCTCAGCCTCCTGAGTAGCTGGGACTATAGGCACATGCCACCACGCCCAGCTGTATTTTTAGTAGAGATGGGGTTTCACTATCTTTGCCAGGCTGGTCTCAAACTCCTGACCTCGTGATCCACCCGCCTTGGCCTCCCAAAGTGCTGGGATTACAGGTGTGAGCCACTGTGCCCGGCTGAGACTTTTTTTTTTTTAATGGAGAAAATTAGTGATCAGAGAACAAAGTGACTTTGGGCAAAGCGATTTGCCAAAGGCCAAAGAGCAAATCAATGTCGGCAATGGTGGTACTAGAATCCATATCTCCTGTCTCCCAATCCAGAGGTGTTTCCACTCTATCGCACTTCCTTATTTGTGGTTGACTGATTTTAGCCATAAATTGGTGTGCATACAAGGACATAAAGGTTGTAGGTATAACAAGGAAATTGTTTCTGCCTTCATCTGCCCACAATCCATACATTTTTCATTCTTTCATCCAATAGGCACATTTATAGAGTGCCTATTCTTGCCACACTAGGCATTGCTTTTCAAGTTTGTGGACCCTTTTACAGGGTACTCCAGCATATGAGAAGAAGTTCCCAGGCTACTGGAACCCCATGCCTACAGCCCTCCAAGGCACTCCTGGAGCTTCTTTCCCAAGTTTCTAGCACTAAATTGTTAGGTTTATTTCTGTCTCCCTCCCCCTGGAGAGGTAATCCCTGGGAATGGAAGTGGGTTAGAAACAGATTACTCTGATCCAAGGGCTTTGCTCTCTCCTCCCTAAACGTGGTGTGGGAGGTGGGGGATGTGGGGAGTTGAAAATAGCCTGAAATTCCCTTTTAGGATTATTGCTTGATTTAGCCATCTGGGGTGAAAGTGGAGCAAGAAGAGGTGAGGGATTAATTCTAGACCTAGCTTGAGCAATGGGATGCATGGGCTTCTTTTCTGGCTCAGCCAAGGTGAGCAAGCAACATCTCTTCTGAAACCTGTCTTTAGAATAAGGAATCTAGGGCAAGCAAGCAGAAAGAGGTAAAGGAAAAGGATTTGTCCCCAGCAGCAGGGGTGAGTGGAAGGATAGATGGGAAAGAACAGCAGCTAAGAGAAGAAAGACCTTCAGCACAGGAATAAGGAATGACTTTTGGGCTTGGAAGCTACCTGCATTTCAGTGGTCTTAGCTTCAGCAAAGGCGAGAACTGCTCTCTAGGGGAAGAGAGCTAACGCTCAGGGCTTCCTGTGGACTTCTTGTTCATCCATCCAACAGGAACTCTCCTGCTTTAGGCACGCTGCACTGGGGTGGACTCTGGGGGCAGGGATGTTATCTGTGTCCAGCACAAAGAGCAGTTACACTTTCCAGGTTTCTGCTAGGCTCCTTATATCCCTTTCAGGGCTATGATGGGGCTTGGAAGCAGTAATTATAACTAACCAGAGTGGGACCATATATGAATTCACTTTATGAGTTAATAACGATTCTACTTAAATTCTACTTAATAACCCCCTTCCTTTCTTACTTTTTTTTTTCCTTTGATACAGAGTCTTGCTCGGTCGCCCAGACTGGAGTGCAATGGTGCGATCTCGGCTCACTGCAACCCCCGCCTCCTAGGTTCAAGAGATTCTCCTGCCTCAACCTCCCGAGTAGCTGGGACTACAGGCACATGCCACCACAGCTGGCTAATTTTTGTATTCTTAGTAGAGATGGGGTTTCACCATGTTGGCCAGGCTGTTCTTGAACTCTTGACCTCGTGACCCACCCACCTCAGCCTCCCAAAGTGCTGGGATTACAGGTGTGAGCCACTGCGCCCAGCCCCCAACTTTTTCTTTTTTTTTTGAGACGGAGTCTCGCTCTGTCGCCCAGGCTGGAGTGCAGTGGCACGATCTCAGCTCACTGCAACCTCCAACTTCCAGGTTCAAGCGATTCTCCTGCCTCAGCCTCCTGAGTAGCTGGGGCTACAGGCATGCACCACCACGCCCAGCTAATTTTTGTATTTTTTAGTAGAGACAGGGTTTCACCATGTTGTCCAGGATAGTCTCAATCTCTTGACCTCGTGATCTGCCCGCCTTGGCCTCCCAAAGTGCTGGGATTACAGGCGTGAGCCACCGCGCCCGGCCAATAACCCCCTTTCCATAGGTGAGGAAAAAAGGTGAAGCTAAGATGTAAACTCAGGCACTATAGCATTCTTAACCACTTTCACTATGTGAAAGCCATATACAGTCAACTCGAGTGACAAACAAGCTCTAATAATATTGCTAGCTAAAGATCAGCTGAAGCCGAGCGTGGTGGCTCACGCCTGTAATCCCAACACTTTGGGATACTGAGAGGGGAGGATTGCTTGAGCCCAGGAGTTTGAGACTAGCCTGGGCAAAATGGCAAGACCTTGTCTCTACAAAAAAAAAAAAAAAAAAGCTGGATATGGTGGCATGCTCTTGTAGTCCCAGCTACTAGGGAGACTGAAGCAAGAGGATCCCTTGAGCCCAGGAATTTAAGGCAGCAGTGAGCTGTGATGGTACCACTGCACCTCAGCCTGGGTGCCAAAGCGAGACTCCATCTCTAACTAACTAACTAATTAACTAAAGCTCAGTTGAGAATATTTCTTAGAAAGTCAGGATCCTTGTTTCTTCTACGGCACCTTATTTTGGACAATTCACTTATTTTGCTCTCCATAGTCTCACTTTAGGGAAGGGAAGTACAATATAAATACATGGCAAGCCTGGTACTTGCTTCAATTCTAGTATCATATTGTTTAGAATTGGGTTCTTCCCAGATCTCCAGAAGAATTTTCCTGGTTCAAATCAGCTGTGCTTCTCCTAGAAAGTAGGTCACTACGCAGAATTTCTGAAGTTTCCATCTCTGATGTCATCTGCCACTGGGAGGGGAAAAAATGTAAGTGTGTGCTCCACTGCTTACATAGGAAGAGTCTCATTCTCTTTGGTCTCCATTTATTTATTTATTTTTTGAGACAGAGTCTCACTCTGTCACCCAGGCTGGAATGCAGTGGCACAATCTTGGCTCACTGCAGCCTCTGCCTCCCAGGTTCAAATGATTCTCATGCCTCAGCCTCCCAAGAAGCTGGGACTACAGGCTCATGCCACCATGCCCAGCTAATTTTCGTAATTTTAGTAGAGATGGGGTTTCACCATGTTGGCTAGGCTGGTCTCGAACTCCTGGCCTCAAGCAATCCGCCTGCCTCAGCCTCCAAAAGTGCTGGGATTAGAGGCGTGAGCCACCACACCCAGCCCTCTTCGGGCTCCATTTAGAAATTTCAATAGGACAACAAGGGATTCCAGTAACCCACTTCACTGGGAAAAACAGGAAATCAACTTTTCCTTCTGCCTCATTATATTTCTTTCCTTCTTTTTTTTTTTTTTTGAGATGGAGTGTCGCTTTGTCGCCCAGGCTGGAGCGCAGTGGCCAGATCTCCGCTCACTGCAAGCTCCGCCTCCTGGGTTCATGCCATTCTCCTGCCTCAGCCTCCCTAGTAGCTGGGACTACAGGCGCCTGCCACCGCGCCCGGCTAATTTTTTGTATTTTCAGTAGAGATGGGGTTTCCGTGTTAGCCAGGATGGTCTCGATCTCCTGACCTCGTGATCCACCCGCCTTGGCCACCCAAAGTGCTGGGATTACAGGCATGAGCCACCGCGCCCGGCCTGCCTCATCATATTTCAACTGGAATTCTTCACATCTGCTTATTGTATAAATAAATATTGGAGTGTCTACTATGTGCAAGAGTGTTCTTTGCAAGACTGAGCCCCTAACAATCGATTCCTTCCTCTACTTGCACAATGAGTTCTCTTCTCTTGCTCCCATCATCGTGACAAGATCTTTTTATCTTGCTTTTTCTGAAATGTGAACTACGAAGATTGTAGGATTAAGAAATACCCTTTTTGGCTGGGTATGGTGGCTCATGCCTGTAATCCCAGCACTTTAGGAAGACGAGGCAGGTGGATCACCTGAGGTCAGGAGTTCGACACCAGCCTGACCAACACGGTGAAACCCCATCTTTACTAAAAATAGAAAAAATTAGCCAGGCTTGGTGGCGGGCACCTGTAATCCCAGCTACTTCGGAGGCTGAGGTAGGAGAATCACTTGAACCTGGAGGCCGACGTTGCAGTGAGCCAAGATCGTCCCACTGTACGCCAGCCTGGGCAACAAAGCGAAACTTCATCTCAAAAAAAAAAAAAAAAAAAGAAAAGAAATATCCTTTTGGTGTTACTTCTCTAGCAGACAGCTCCCAATTTTCTTCTCTCTCTCTCTCTTTTTTTTTTTTTTGGGCGGGGGGACTGAGTTTTGCTCTTGTTGCCCAGGCTAGAGTGCAATGGCATGATCTCGGCTCACCGCAACCTCCACCTCCCGGGTTCAAGCAATTCTCCTGCTTCAGCCTTCCGAGGAGCTGGGATTACAGGCGTCCGCTACCATGCCCGGCTAATTTTTTGTATTTTTAGTAGAGACGGGGTTTCTCCATGTTGGTCAGGCTGGTCTTGAGCTCCTGACCTCAGGTGATCTGCCTGCCTCAGCCTCCCAAAGTGCTAGGATTACACACGTGAGCCACTGTGCCTGGCTAGCTCCCAATTTTCCATGAAGCTGATGAGGTAGGAAGATATGAATTTTCCAAAACAGTAGCTCATCAAACAACAACAAAACTCACTTATAGCTCATCTCTAAGCAATTAAATGATATTGACTCCCCTATCATTATTTCATCCAGGCTGATATGGAACAAGTTTGTATTAACTGAGAAACTGATCAGAGGGTGGGCAGAGATGATGTGGGATGTGTTGGCTACTGTGTGAGGCTAACATAAAACTCAATGGTGGAGGAAGTAATCTAAGATAAATTATATTAATGTTCTGCATTAATCAATAATCTTGGCCAGGCGCGGTGGCTCACGCCTGTAATCCCAGAACTCTGGGAGGCCGAGGCAGATGGATCACCTGAGGTCAGGAATTAGAGATCAGCCTGGCGATGTGGTGAAACCCTATCTCTACTAAAAATACAAAAATTAGCCAGGCATAGTGGCAGGCACCTGTAATCCCAGCTACTCGGGAGACTGAGGCAGGAGAATCGCTTGAACCCGAGAGATGGAGGTTGCAGCGAGCCAAGATTGCGCTATTGCATTCCATCCTGGCTGACGAGTGAAACTGTCTCAAGAGAAAAAAAAAATCATGTTTTATTTTGTAGGGATTAGAGTAGATGGACAGGAGTCTGTTAAATAATCAGATATAGCTTATTTAAATGCTTAATAACATATATTCTATTTTTTTCTTTTTTCTTGTTTCCCTATGCTTCTATAGGCACTGAATAGCTCTGTTGCCCAGGCTGGAGTGCAGTGGTGGGATCTTGGCTTACTGCAACCTCTGCCTCCTGGACTGAAGCCATCCTCCCACCTCAGCCTCCCCAGTAGCTGGGGCCACCATGCCCAGCTATTTTTTTTTTTTTTTTTTTGAGACGGAGTCTTGCTCTGTCGCTCAGGCTGGAGTTCAGTGGCACAATCTCGGCTCACTGCAAGCTCCGCCTCCCAGGTTCACTCCATTCTCCTGTCTCAGCCTCTGGAGTAGCTGGGACTACAGGCGTCTGCCACCATGCCCGGCTAATTTTTTTGTATTTTTAGTAGAGACGGGGTTTCACCATGTTAGCCAGGATGGTCTCAATCTCCTGACCTCGTGATTCGCCTGCCTCGGCCTCCCAAAGTGCAGGGATTACAGGTGTGAGCCACCGCACCTGGCCTAATTTTTTAATTTTTTGTAGAGATAGGGTTTTGCCATGTTGGGCAGGCTGGTCTCGAACTCCTGGGCTCGAGGGATCTAACCCACTTCCGCCTCTCCAAGTGCTGGGATTACAAGTGTGAGCCACCCCACACGACCCCACATACTCTTCAACACATACATACAGCACTAATTTCATGACACTATTAATGTGTCGTGCTATAGGTTCAATACTGTGGCTGGAACTTGTAGGGAAATACTTACCACAGAAGAATGTACGATATAGCTGCGAAGTCAAGCTTTAAAAAACGCCTGTAATCCTTGCACTTTGGGAGGCCGAGGTGGGCGGATTGCCGGAGCTCAGGAGTTGGAGACCAGCCTGGGCAACACGGTGAAACCTCGTCTCTACTAAACTAGAAAAAATTAGCCGGGCATGGCAGCGTGCACCTGTAATCCCAGTTACTCTGGAGGCTGAGGCAGGAGAATCGCTTGAACCTGGGAGGCAGAGGTTGCAGTGAGCCGAGATTGTGCCACCGCACTCCAGCCTGGGTGACAGAGTGAGACTCCGTCTCCAAAAACAACAACAACAACACGTGATCTCCAAACCCAAAAGCAATCTTTCAGTTCCTCTGATAGTCCCCAGCACTTTGCTTCGACCTTTGTAGCAATTCCACTTCAGCCTGAAATTTCTTGTATGTACAGCCTGTAGCTCCTAACTTATTGCAAAATATTGTAGATAAGAACTCTGTAAGCTGTAATTGGCAGAATAATAACCAACGGCTAAGTGTGGAAAGTGTCTGCCTTTCAGCAACGTTTACGCTACTGAATTTACCAGGGTGATCCCAACATCACGAATCCTTTAACAACTCAACATGAAGCAGCACGTAGCAGTTACCTGCATGGGTTCTGGAATTAGGCTGCTTAGATTCGAATCTCGGTTCTGCCAGTTATCACCTATCTAACCTTAAGTAAATTACGTAATTGCTCTGTGACTCTTTTCCGAAATGACAAATCACAAATGTTTTTGTCAATTCACGTGTCTTCTGCTTTAGTAAACATAGTAGAAGATAGTAGTCAATCTCTTTTTTTTTTTTTGAGACAAAGTCTTTCTCTGTCACCGAGGCTGGAGTGCAGTGGCGGGATCTCGGATCACTGCAGCCTCCGCCTCCTGTGTTCGAGGGAGTCTCCTGCCTTAGCCTCCCAAGTAGCTCAGACTACAGCCGCCTGCCACCAAGCCCGGCGCTCTCTTGCTGGCGCATGACAACCGTGCGTTCCACCCTACGACTAATTTTTTTTTTTTAGACGGAGTCTAGCTCTGGCTGGAGTCAGTGGCGCGATCTCGGCTCACTGCAACCTCTGCCTCCTGGGTTCAAGCGATTCTCCTGCCTCAGCCTTACAAGCAGCTGGGACTACAGGCGCGTGCCACCACGCCCAGCTAATTTTTGTATTTTCGTCATTTTGGCCAGGCTGGTCTCGAACTCCTGACTTCAGGTGATCCACCGGTCTCGGCCTCCCAAAGTGCTGGGATTACAGGCGTGAGCCACCGCGCCCGGCCTCCTTTTCCTTTTTTAACTAATGGAATAAACGGCAATGTGCCAAGCATACAGCAATGCCCATTCCCGGCCTTCAGAAAGCCTCGGGCGCAGGCGCAGCTCGCGTTCAAGCGCTCTCTCGCTGGCGCGTGACAACAGTTGGTTCCACCCTACGCCCAACATTGTCTCCCTGCGCACGCGCGGCCGTACTCCGCCCGCCTTACTCCACCCTCCCCCACTCCCGCGAGCACGTGCGCGTCCTCGCGGCTCACATTTCGGCGGAGGGCGCGCTCCCTGGAAAATTCCACTCCTGTGCTAGCTCCACCCTATGCGGCTTTTCTCCTACCCGACGCTCTTCACTCTCAGCTCCCTTCCCGGCGGCCTTTGCGGGAACAAGATGGCAGCCCTCATACCTCAAGGGTTCTCTTGTTTATCGAGGGTTTTGGGCTGGTGGTCTCGGCAGGTGGGTAGGGACGGGGCCGATAGGACCCTAGGGGCTACAGGAGGAGGACAGAGTCGAGGGAAATACTCTCTGTGCAATTGTCCTTGGTGAGCTGGGACAATACGAGTCATACCTAGGCCGGGGAAGAGGCTTAGGTGGACAGGACCTAGCTGCGGAGCTCAGTGGTCGAATGGGGATAGCCTAGACAGGGCCATGAGAGCGAGTGAATTAACGGGTATTAAGTTTTTCCGGATTGGTTTGGGTCTGTCTGGCGAGGAGATATTAAAGGAGAGACAAGTAATGGGTTGGAAGGTGGACTCCCTAATCTTCGATTCTTATAAGTGAACTACGTTGAAGAGTAGCCGAAAATGAGGGCGTCCCATATTGTCACCGCCCCGTCTGAGCAAACCTCATGATCAGAGAGAAAAGGTCTCCTGGTCTTTCGAGGGTTTATTGGTCAGTTGGGTGCTAAAACGACAGAATAAAGTTTACAGCGAGACTCCCGATAGGATGAGCAAAATATCACGAGTACATATGGAGCAGATGCCTACAAGAGGACTTTGCTTATGCTTTAAGCATAGCATTCAGGGCCAGGCGCGGTGGTTCACACTTGTAATCCCAGCACTTTGAAAGTCCGAGGCAGAAGGATGGCTTGAGCCCAGGAGTTCGAAATGAGCCTGGGCAACATATAAGACCTGGTCTTTACAAAAAAATTTTAAAATTAGCCGGATGCGATGGCGCACTCCTTAGTCCCAACTACTTGGGAGGCTGCGGTGGGAGGATAGCTAGAGCCCAAGGAGGTCAAGGCTGCAGTGAACCGTGATCGTGCCACCGCACTCCAGGCTAGCGATCTGCCTCAAAAAATAATAAAGAATAGTATTCTGCCCATTTCAGTATTGAGTTGGTGTTTCCCCATCACCATCAGTTTTTGAAACTTGCTTTGATCAACTCAGTATCCGTAGGTGTTAGCATAGTCCTGTACTGTGGGAAGTTCTAAAGGAAAGCCTTTAGTAAATGTGATGTTAATAAAGGTTGCTAACTGTCTTCTATTTAGAGACACCCATAAGTATTAAGGTCCTAATGCATTTTTTCCCTGTGATATTGTTTTATAATTGTTCCTGAAGCATTCTTTGGATATTCCCTCTCTATAGTGCTTTGCTTAGAGTTTGTAAAAGATAGTAGATCTTTTTTCTAGGTTCCTAACCTTTCCTTTACCTTCCAGCCAGTTCTGGTGACTCAGTCCGCAGCTATAGTTCCAGTAAGAACTAAAAAACGTTTCACATCTCCTATTTATCAACCTAAATTTAAAACAGAAAAGGAGTTTATGCAACATGCCCGGAAAGCAGGATTGGTTATTCCTCCAGAAAAATCGGACCGTTCCATACATCTGGCCTGTACAGGTGAGGTATTTCTGGGACCCTGACCTGGGATCCTTCTGTCAGAGATCTTCTGGAACTTGGGATGACTTGGACTATGATTGATAATATTTAATTAAGCACGAAGTCAGTTCAGCCTCAATAATGATTAACCTTATATACACTATATATCATGAAGTTGTTCTTTGAACTTACTTTCACACTGTCCCTAGAAGGCAAGAGTGAAATTTCTCCATTTTGTGGAAGTAGAAACTGAGGCTCTGAGAGAAGACTTAAATCTTTCTGGCTTTTTTTGTTTTGTTTTGTTTTTTGAGACAGAGTCTCGTTCTGTCGCCCAGTGGCACAATCTGGGCTCACTGCAACCTCTGCCCCCCTGGGTTCAAGCGATTCTCCTACCTCAGCCTTCCAAGTAGCTGGGATTACAGGCACCTGCCACCATGCCCGGCTAATTTTTGTATTTTTAGTAGAGATGGGGTTTCACCATCTTGGCCAGGCTGGTCTTGAATTCCTGACTTTGTGATCCGCCCGCCTCGGCCTCCCAAAGTGCTGGGATTACAGGTGTGAGCCACTGTGCCCGGCCTTGTTTTGTTTTTTTCTAGTGTAACATAGTTCTCTCTACATGGAAGTCTGTTTCATTAGTCTACTTCATATCCACAATCCTTCCCAATTTTACATTACTTCAATTTTATGAGTTTTTCTCAATCTTTCAACACTTTCTTAATTTTTTTCTTCCTTTATTACAGCTGGTATATTTGATGCCTATGTTCCTCCTGAGGGTGATGCACGCATATCATCTCTTTCAAAGGAGAGATGATAGAGAGAACTGATAGAGAGAACTGAACGAATGAAGAAGACTATGGCATCACAAGTGTCGTAGGTGTCTGAGACAATTGGGTATTGGTATTAGAATAACAATTTTTTGTTGCTACTTTATCCCAAAGAGACCTTTTTGGGTTAATTGGGTTGGGTGTCATTCTCTTAATAACATGATGGTATTTTCTCCTTTGTACTAGAGTCTGTATTTAATGCAGAATAATGTGGGCTTCCTGATTCTCAGCATCCCTGCCTTTATTGGTAATTTTTGTCATATCAGTTAGGGAGTTGACTTTGGAGTGTATAGGATCCTTTTTTAATCATATATTTAATTTTTTTTTTTTTTGAGATGGAGTTTCGCTCTTGTTGCCCAGACTAGAATGCAATGGCACGATCTTGGCTCACCGCAACCTCCGCCTCCTGGGTTCAAATGATTCTCCTGCCTCAGCCTCCTGAGTAGCTGGGATTACAGGCATGTGCCACCATGCCTGGCTAATTTTGTATTTTTAGTAGAGATGTGGTTTCTCCATGTTGGTCTGTTGGTCAGGCTGGTCTTGAACTCCTGACCTCAGGAGGCCCGCCTTGGCCTCCCAAAGGTGCTGGGATTACAGGCGAGAGCCACCACGCCCAGCCCTTTATTTATTTATTTATTTATTTATTTATTTATTTATTTATTTATTTTGAGACGGAGTTTCACTCTTAACTCACCGCAACCTCTGCCTCCCGGGTTCAAGAGATTCTCCTGCCTCAGCCTCCCGAGTAGCTGGACTACAGACGCATGCCACCATGCCCAGCTAATTTTTGTATTTTTAGTAAAGACGGGGTTTCACCATGTTGGCCAAGATGGTCTCTATCTCTTGACCTCGTGATCCACCCACCTCGGCCTCCTGAATTGCTGGGATTACAGGCGTAAGCCACTGCGCCCAGCCGACCTGGCTAATTTTTAAAAGAAATTTTTGTAGAGACGGGGTATCACTATGTTGCCCAGGCTGGTCTCGAACTCCTGGGCTCAAGCAGTCCTCCCACCTCAGCCTCCCAAAATTCTGGGATTACAGGTGTGACCCGTCACACCCAGCCAGTCTAGCTCTGACTGTATCTATCTTTTTTTTTAAATTTGTACTGTTCATTGCAGAGCAGGGCTACCCCATAGGCCAGTGTGCCCAGAGTAGCCGCTGTCACTATATGTAAATCATGTATAGGTTTATGTGCATAAGTATATTGAGTAAGTATGAATTCTTCACATGGCCATGACTTATTTCTCTACATACAGATTTTATTGGCTGGGTGCGGTGGCTCACGTCTGTAATCCCAGCACTTTGGGAGGCTGAGGTGGGCAGATCACCTGAGGTCAGGAATCGAAAACCAGCCTGACCAACGTGGAGAAACCTCGTCTCTACTAAAAATGCAAAATTAGCCGGGCGTGGTGGCACATGCCTGTAATCCCAGCTACTCAAGAGGCTGAGGCAGGAGAATCGCTTGAACCTGGGAGGCGGAGGTTGCGGTGAGCTGAGATCGTGCCATTGCACTCCAGCCTGGGCAACAAGGGCGAAACTCTGTCTCAAAAAATAATAATAATAAAAAAGATTTTATCATATCACCTTCCTGCTTAGAACTCTTTTATGGCTTCCTGTTAACCAAAGAATAAAATCCAGATATCTTCAGTGGTATACAAAGCTTTTATAATCTGGTCCTTGCCTTTTTCTCCACCATCATTCTTTGTCCTTATTCCATTTTTCTCATCCTAAATTTTAGCATTTCCAAACTAATTGCCAATTCCTTGCCAGTACTGTACCATTCCTCTTTGTCTTTGCACATCCTTTCCTTTGCCTGAAATGTCTTTTTCCCCTCCTACTTTTTCTTCTTTTTTTGAGATGGAGTTTTACTCTTGTTGCCCAGGCTGGAGTGCAATGGTGCAATCTCGGCTCACCACAACCTCTGCCTTCTGGGTTCAAGCGATTCTCCTGCCTCAGCTCCCGAGTAGCTGGGATTACAGGCATGTACCACCACGTCCGGCTAATTTTGTATTTTTAATAGAGACGGGGTTTCTCCATGTTGGTCAGGCTGGTCTTGAACTCCCGACCTCAGGTGATCCGCCAGCCTCAGGCCTCCCAAAGTGCTGGGATTACAGGCGTGAGCCACCACGCCGGGCTATCATGTTTGTTTCTAAGGCCTCCATGACTATTTTTGGTGCTGCCTTTGCTGTGATCGTAATTGCACACTTGTATTTATTTCTCCTAATACTCTGTACTGCAATGTTTCCTCTCATGTATTTCTCTCCTGGACTGTGAGCAGGGTCCATGGTGATGATGAACAAAGCACATACAGTTTTACCATGCAGTTCTCTTCTAGGGGAGGAAAACAGTCATTAAATACTGATCGCACACAAATAATTATAGGTGTAGTGAAGTAGGAGTGCCGTGGGAGCATATGACAGGGAAAGATAATGGCCGGGCGCAGTGGCTCACGCCTGTAATCCCAGCGCTTTGGGATGACGAGGCGGGTGGATCACGAGGTCAGGAGATCGAGACCATCCTGGCTAACACAGGGAAACCCCGTCTCTACTAAAAATACAAAAAATTAGCCAGGCGCGGTGGCGGGCGCCTGTAGTCCCAGCTACTCAGGAGGCTGAGGCCGGAGAATGGTGTGAACTCAGGAGGCAGAGCTTGCAGTGAGCCGAGATTGCACCACTGCACTCCAGCCTGGGCGACAGAGCAAGACTCTGTCTCAAAAAAAAAAAAAAGATAACTTGGTCTGGGAGATCAGAGAAGACTTGCCTGAGGAAATGATATTTAAAGTTGGGATGGTGGCTGGATGCGGTGGCTCACAACTGTAATCCCAGCACTTTGGGAAGCCAAGGCTGGCGGATCACCTGAGGTCGGGAGTTCGAGACCAGCCTGGCCAACATGGTGAGATCCCATCTCTACTAAAGATACAAAATTTAGCCAAGCATGGTGGCACATACCTGTAATCTCAGCTACTCAGAAGGCTGAGGCAGGAGAATCGCTTGAACCCAGGAGGTGGAGGTTGCAGTGAGCCCAGATTGCACCACTGCATTCCAGCCTGGGCAACAGAGTGAGACTCCATCTCAAAAAAAAAAAAAAAAAAAAAGTTTTTTTTTTTTTTTTAGAGTTAGCCAGGTGGAGAAGTGTGGTGAGGAATAGCATTCTAGGGAAACAGAACAGTACAAGCAAGGCTTTGAGGTTAAAAGAGTATAAAGGGGTGTCAGATTTTGTCAAATGCTTTTGTGTGTCTATTGAGATGATCATGTGATATTTGTTCTTTATTCTGTTGATATGATGACATATTAATTGATTTTCTTTTCTTTTCTTCTTATTTTTGAGATGGAGTCTTGCTCTGTTACCCAGGCTGGAGTGCAGTGGCTCCATCTCGGCCCACTGCAGCCTCTGCCTCCCAGGTTCAAGTGATTCTCCTGCCTCAGCCTCCCGAGTAGCTGAGACTACAGGTGTGCGCCACCATGCCCCACTGATTTTTGTATTTTTAGTAGAGACAGGGTTTCACCATGTTAGCCAGCCTGGACTCCTGACCTCAGGTGATCCACCTTCCTGACCTCCCAAAGTGCTGGCATTACAGGCGTGAGGCACCGTGCCCAGCCTTATTAATTGATTTTCAAATATTAAACCAACCTCACATCCCTGGGATAAATTCCTTTAACACACTTAAATTAATACTTTGATTAAATCAAATTCTCTATATTGTTATGACTTGGAAAAATGCTGTTGACAGCTGAGTTATATAGTATATTATGAACACTTTTTCTTTCCTGCATAATATATTTTTTTTTTCTGAAGTGTAGTGTCTTAATTTGCTCATTTGCTTATGGAACTATGGGTTATGTAATTTCCTCTCTGTGCATTCAAAACATTAAATTTTTTTTTTTTTTTTTGAGAGGGAGTCTCAGTCTGTTGCCCAGGCTGGAGTGCAATGGTGTGATCTTGGCTCACTGCAACCTCTGCCTCCCGGGTTCAAGCAATTCTTCTGCGTTAGCCTCCCCAGTAGGTGGGACTACAGGTGTATGCCACCACACCTGGCTGTTTTGTATTTTTAGTACAGATGGGGTTTCACCATATTGGCCAGGCTGGTCTCGAACTCCTGACCTCATTATCTACCTGCCTCAGCCTCCCAAAGTGCTAGGATTACAGGTGTGAGCCACCACGTCCTGCAACATTAAATATTTTATTAATTTCATCTTTTTCAAGAAATCCTTCCTGGAGTCTTCTTACCTGTTTTAATCTGGACTAGTTGCTCTTAAGGCCAACTGTATGTCTTAGGATCTAAGATTCCTCTTGCCTCCGTCTTCTTTTCTTTTTTTTTTGAGACTGAGTCTTGCTCTGTTGCCCAGGCTGGAGTGCAGTGGCGCGATCTCAGCTCACTGCAACCTCCGCCTCCCGGGTTCAAGCGATTCTCCTGCCTCAGCCTCCTGAGTAGCTGGGATTACAGGCACGCGCCACCACGCCCAGCTAATTTTTGTATTTTTAGTAGAAATGGGGTTTCACCATGTTGGTCAGGCTGATTGCCTCCCTCTTACGTTGTATTCCCTGTTGCTTGGATCCTATGTCTTTATGTTTTCATAGTCTATTTCATTACTTTGGTGGAGCACATTTTCTAGCAGCTGCCTGAGAAAGGCTGCATGGTGGATAAATAAGATCTTGCAAGTCTAAAAAGAAATCTTTCTTTTATTTTCCCACTTCATTTATAATTTGCCCAGGTATTTAATTCTGTGATAGAAATAATTTTTTCCTCAATTAAAAGTACTGCTCAAAGTCTGGGCGTGGTGGGTCATGCCTGTAATCTCAACACTTTGGGAGGCTGAGGCAGGAGGATCACTTGAGCAGGAGTTGAATACCAGCTGGGAAACACAGTGAGACCTTGTCTCTACAAAAACTAAAAAAAAGTGAAAATTAGCCAAGCGTGGTAGTGCACACCTGCAGTTCCAGTTACTTGGGAGTCTGAAGTGGGAGGATTGCATGAGTCCCAGAGGTCAAGGCTGCAGTGAGCCCTGATGGCGTCACTGTACTCTAGCCTGGGTGACAGAGTGAGACCCTGTCTCCGTGAATGAATGAATGAATGAGTGAATGAATAATAAAAGCACTGCTCTGTTGTCTTTGTAATTACTTTTTATTTTATTTTTTTTTTTTTGAGACGGAGTCTCACTCTTTCGCCCAGGCTGGATTGCAGTGGCGCGATCTTGACTCACTACAACCTCTGCCTCTTGGGTTCAAACAATTCTCCTGCCTCAGTCTCCTGAGTAGCTGGGACTACGGGCGCCCGCCACCACGCCCAGCTAATTTTTGTATTTTTAGTAAAGACAGGGTTTCACCATATTGGCCAGGCCGGTCTCGAACTCCTGACCTTGTGATCCGCCCACCTTGGCCTCCCAAAGTGCTGGGATTACAGACCTGAGTCACTGCGCCCGGCCGTAACTTCTTTTTTTTTTTGAGACGAAGTCTCGCTCTGTCACCCAGGCTGGAGTGCAGTGGCAGGATCTCAGCTCACTGCAACCTCTGCCTCCTGGGTTCAAGTGATTCTTCTGCCTCAGTCTCCCGAGTAGCTGGAACTACAGGCATGTGCCATCACGCTTGGCTAATTTTTTGTATTTTAGTGGAGACGGGGTTTCACCATGTTGGCCAGGATGGTCTCGAGCTCCTGACCTCATGATCTGCCTGCTTCGGCCTCCCAAAGTGCTGGGATTACAGGCGTGAGCCACTGCACCCGGCCTGTCTTTGTAACTTCTAATGTTGCTGTTAGGAAGCCCAGTGTTGCCAGGTGCCATGGCTCAGGCCTGTAATCCCAGCACTTTGGGAGGCCGAGGCAGGCAGATCACAAGGTCAGGAGTTCGAGACCAGCCTGGTCAGCATGGTGAAACCCCATCTCTACTAAAAATACAAAAATTAGGCGGGCGGGGTGATGTGTGCCTGTAGTCCCAGCTACTCGGGAGGCTGAGGCAGGAGAATTGCTTGAACCCAGGAGGCAGAGGTTGCAGTGAGCCGAGATTGCGCCACTGTACTCCAGCCTGTGCGACGGAGTGCGAGACTCTGTCTCAAAAAAAAAAAAAAAAAAAAAAAGAAGCCCAGTGTTATTCTGACTCTTTTTTTTGAGATGGAGTCTCGCTCTGTTTCCCAGGCTGGAGTGCAGTGGCGCGATCACTACCTCTGCCTCCTAAGTTCAAGTATTCTCCTGCCTCAGCCTCCCAAGTAGCTGGGATTACAGACAGCACCACCATGCCCAGCTTTTTTTTTTTTGAGATGGAGTCTCACTCTGTGACCCAGGCTGGAATGTGGTGGTGCGATCTCTGCTCACTGCAACCTCCGCCTCCTGGGTTCAAGCGATTCTTGTGCCTCAGCCTCCGGAGTAGCTGGGATTACAGGTGCGTACCACCATGCCCAGCTTATTTTTGGATTTTTAGTAGAGATGGGGTTTCACCCTGTTGGCTAGGCTGGTCTCAAACTCCTGACCTCAAGTGATCTACCTGCCTCGGCCTCCCAAAGTGCTGGGATTACAGACATGAGCCACCGCACCTGGCCTATTTTGACTCTTGAGCATTTGTATGAAACCCGTTTTTTCTGTTTTTAGTGCATATAAGATGTTATCTTTGATTCTAGAATTCTGAAATTTCACTATGAGAGAAGTCTTAGTCTTTCTTTAGAGTGCTTAATTTAAGAGGGAGAAGGTTGAATTTCCAGGACTTGACACATTAAAAAATCAATTATTGGCCGGGCGTGGTAGCTCACGCCTGTAATCCCAGGACTTTGGGAGGCCGAGGCGGGTGGATCCTGAGGTCAGGAGATCGAGACCATCCTGGCTAACACGGTGAAACCCCGTCTCTACTAAAAATACAAAAATTTAGCCGCGTGTGGTCGCGGGCGCCTGTAGTACCAGCTACTCAGGAGGCTGAGGCAGGAGAATGGCGTGAACCTGGGAGGCAGAGCTTGCAGTGAGCCGAGATCATGCCACTGCACTCCAGCCTGGGTGACAGAGCGAGACTCAAAAAAAAGAAAAAAAAAAAAAAGCTAAACAATTATTGAGTAAGTGGATGGACATGAATGGAGGTCAGTGTAGGCTGTGAATTATGGAATTGTAAGACCTTTAGAAGTAATACTCAGGCTTAATTTTACAGAATCCGGAGGATAAAAGACTATGATGCCAACTTTAAAATAAAGGACTTCCCTGAAAAAGCTAAGGATATCTTTATTGAAGCTCACCTTTGTCTAAATAAGTAAGTGAACTCCCTACCTTTACCCATTCTGTTCTCAGCAGTTAGCTATTATTTTAGGCACAGTTTTTTGTTTGTTTGTTTTTGTTTTGCACAAATTTGTTTTCTGCCTTCAGGTAAGAGATCTAGAGTGAGAGAACTTCCTATATTGGAAGTAATTAGTGACTGAAGCTGTCTTTCACTCCCCTCTCTGCTTCTGGGAATTTCTACCATTTGGTCTGTCTCAGTTCCACCTGCAAGTGTTGGGACCTTGTGCCAGAATAGCTGCCTTTTTCACCCCATCTGATCCCTGAATTCATCCTGATCTTTTTTGTGTGTTTGTCTTATGTATCTTCATTTCCCTTTCCTTGGTTATTTTGAATATATTTCTTGTGAAAATTTCCAGCTCTCCCTCCACTTTTATTTTTTTTTTTTATTTTTTATTTTGAGATGGAGTCTCGCTCTGTCGCCCAGGCTGGAGTGCAATGGCTCAATCTTGGCTCTCCGCAACCTCCACCTCCCTGGTTCAAGCAACTCCCCTGCCTCAGCCTCCCAAGTAGCTGGGATTACAGGTGCACGCCACCACATCCAGCTAATTTTTTTGTATTTTTAGTAGAGACGGGGTTTCATCATGTTGGCCAGACTGGTCCCGAACTCCTGACCTCAGGCAATCTGCCCGCCTCGGCCTCCCAAAGTGCTAGGATTACAGGCGTGAGCCACCATGCCCGGCCCCCTTTTTTTTTTTTGAGATGGAGTCTCACTGTTGCACAGTCTGGAATGCAGTGGCATGATCATGGCTCACTGCAGCCTTGACCTCCTGGACCCAAGTGGTTCTCTCAAGGAATCTACTTAGTCCGTCAAGTAGAGCTGGGACCACCAGCATCTGCCACCACACCCAGCTAATTAAAATAAACTTTTTTTTGTAGAGACAAGGTTTTGCTGTGTTGCCTAGACTGGTCTCAAATTCCTGGGCTCAAGCAATCCTCCTGCCTTGGCCTCCCAAAGTGAAGAAATTATAGGCATGAGCCACCATACCTGGCCACCCAGCTTTTTCTTGATTCATCCAAGTTAGGGCTGCTAGGAAGATGAAGAACCAACATTAGGAGGCTGGAATATCTTAAGTACTAGCCGTGGACTGTTGCTGGCATTCTTTGATCTGTGGCTGCTGTGGCTAGGCTTCAGGTGGGACCCAAAACCTGTAGTCTAAAATCCATTAATTATTTCATTTTACTTTTATTTCTTTAAAAAAAAATTATTTATTTTGAATAGAGATGGGATGTCGCGATGTTGCCCAGGCTGTTCTTGTTTTTGTTTTTTGTTTTGAGACGGTCTTGTTCTGTTGCCCAGGCTGGAGGGCAGTGGTGCAATCACAGCTCATTGCAGCCTCAGCTCCGGGGCTCAAGCGATCCTCCCATCTCAGCCCCTTGAGTAGCTGGAACCTCTAGGGGTATACCACCACACCCTGCTAGTTTTCATATTTTTTGTAGAGATGGGATTTCACCATGTTGCCCAGGCTATGCAAGCCAGTCATTTTTTTTTTCCCCTTTTTGAGATGGAGTCTAGCTCTGTCATCCAGGCTGGAGTGCAGTGGTGCAGCCTGTGCCTCCTGGGTTCAAGCAATTCTCCTGCCTTAGCCTCCCAAGTAACTGCATGCCACCACACCCAGCTAATTTTTGTATGTTTAGTACAGATGGGTTTTTACCATGTTGGCCAGGTAGTCTAAAACTCCTGACCTCAGGTGATCTGCCTACCTCAGCCTCCCAAAGTGCTGAGATTACAGATGTGAGCCACTATGCTCAGCCTTGTTTTATTTCTCAAAACATTGTTTTTTTGTTTGTTTGTTTGTTTGTTTTGAGATAGACTCTTGCTCTGTTGCCCAGGCTGGAGTGCAGTGACGTGATCTTGGCTCACTGCAACCTCTGCCTCCCAGATTCAAGCAATTCTCCTGCCTTAACCTCCCAAGTAACTGGGATTACAGGCACGCACCACCACACCTGACTATTTTCTGTATTTTTAATAGAGACAGATTTCACCATGTTGGCCAGGCTGGTCTTGAACTCCTGACCTCAAGTGATCCGCCCACCTCGGCCTCCCAAAGTGCTGGGATTACAGGCGTGAGCCAACACGCCCGGCCTAATTTTTGTATTTTTAGTAGAGATGGGGTTTTGCCATGTTGGCTAGGCTGGTCTCAAACTCCTGACCTCAGGTGATCCGCCCTCCTCAGCGTTACTATTGTTTCTGTTGAGAAATTAACTTTTTTTTTTCATTTTGTTAAAGTTTATTTTTACTTTGTGTGCTTTTATTTATCTTTTTTTTTTGAGACAGAGTCTCGCTCTGTTGCCAGGCTGGAGTGCAGTAGCGCAATCTCGACTCACTGCAACCTCCGCCTCCCAGTTTGAAACGATTCTGCTGCCTCAGCCTCTTGAGTAGCTGGAACTACAGGTGCCTGCCACCACGCCCAGCTAATTTTTGTATTTTTAGTAGAGACAGGGTTTCACCATATTGGCCAGGCTGGTCTTGAACTCCTGACCTTGTGATCTGCCCACCTTGGCCTCCCAAAGTGCTGGAATTACAGGTGTGAGCCACCGTGCCCAGCTGACTTTGTGTGCTTTGAAGATTTTCTCTCAGGCTGGGTGTGGTGGCTCTCGCTTGTAATCTCAGCGCTTTGGGAGGCCAAGACCGGTGGATCACAAGGTCAGGAGTTCGAAACCAGCCTGGCCAATGTGGTGAAACCCTGTCTCTACTAAAAATACAAAAAAAAAATTAGCCAGGTGTGGTGGTGCATGCATGTAATCTCAGCTACTCGGGAGGGGCTGAGGCAGGAGAATCGCTTGAACCCAGGAGTCAGAGGTTGCTTTGAGCCGAGATCGTGCAGCTGCACTCAAGCCACGACAACAGAGCAAAACTCCGTCTCAGAAAAAAAAAAAAAAAAGATTTTTTTTCTTTCTTTTTAGTATTCAGCAATTTACTATGATTTATCTATGGGTATCTGTCTTCTTAAATTTTTATTTTTTTTTTAGTTTTTTTTTGTAGAGACAGGGTCTGGCCTTGTTGCCCAGGCTGGTCTTGAATCCCTGGCTTCAAGCAATCCTTCCACCTCAGACTCCCAAAATGCTGGGATTATAGGCATGTGCCACCACACTGGGCCATGTGTGTGTCTTTTATCCTGCTCTGGGTTCATATTGCTTCTTAAATCTTTAGGTGCTTTTTTTGTCAGTGTTGGAAAATTCTCAGTCAGAACTCATCTCTTCAGATGTTGCTTCTGCTCCACTTTCTTGTCTCCTTGTGTAGTTCTGAATACACATATGTTAGATCTTTCACTGTGTGCCAAATGTGTCTTCAGCTCTTTTCTATATTTTTCCAACCTTTTTCTTACCCCTCCAGCTTTAGTCTGGATATTCTATGAGCTATCTTCCTGTCCTCTTTTCAGTTGTAGCTAATCTGCTGTTAACCTACTTATCGAGTTCTTAATTTTATATTTATTTATTTATTTTCTGTTTTTTGCTTTTAGAATTTTCATTGTTGTTTTTTTTTTTTTTTTTTTTTTTTAGTGTGTCCAGATCTCTGGTAAAATTCTCCATTTTGTCATCTAATTTCTTGAACATACTAATCACAGTTATTTTAAAACCTGTGTCTGATAACTTCAAAATCTGTGTCTTCAATAGGTCCATTTTCTCTTGTCTTATTTGTTTCTTTTGGGTTTTGGTTAGTTCTTGTCATTTTTGTTTTTGTTTTTGTTTTTGTTTTTTGAGATGGAGTCTTGCTCTGTCACCCTGGCTAGAGTGCAGTGGTGTGATCTCCGCTCACTGCATCCTCCACCTCCCGGATTCAAGGAATTCTCCCTTCTCAGTCCCCGGAGTAGCTGAGACTACAGGTGCACGCCATGACGCCCAGCTAATTTTTGTATTTTTAGTAGAGATGGCATTTCACCATATTGGTCAAGCTGGTCTCGAACTCCTGACTTCAGGTGATTCACCTGCCTCAGCCTCCCAAAGTGCTGGGATTACAGGCATGAGCCACTGCACCTGGCCTTGTTTTTGGTTTTTGAGACAGGCTCTTGTGCTGTCACTCAGGCTAGAGTACAGTGGCTCGATCACGGCTCACTGCTGCCTTGACCTCCCAGGCTCAAGTGATCCTCCCACTTCAGCCTCCAAAGTAGCTGGGACTTAGTACATGCCACCATACCTGGCTAATTTTTAAATTTTTTGTAGAGACAGGGTCTTGCTATGTTGCCCAGGCTGGTCTCAAACTCTGGCCTCAAGCAGTCCTCTCACCTCAGCCTCCCAAAGTGTTGGTACAGTTTTCTTGCCATTTTGTATTCCTGCATTTTTTTTTAAACAAATAGATATTTTAGAAAAATCTAAGACAATCATTTATTTTAAAAATCATAAGATTAATAATAGCTTTTATATATTTATGGTAAAATACACATAATATACAATTTACCATTTTAATCATTTTGAAGTATATAATTCAGTGGCATTAAGTACATTCACAATGTTGTACAATTCTTACCACTATCCATTTCCAGATTTTGTTCATCTCAGACAGGAATTTTATACCCATTAAGCAGTAATTCCCCATTGCCCTCTTCCCTTATCACCTGGTAACCTCCATTCTACTTTATTTCTCTCTGAATTTACCCATCCTGATGCTATGGTCTGAATGTTAGTGTCTCCTGAAAATTCATTTGTCGAAATCCTAACCCCCAAGGTGATGGTATAGGCTGTGGGGGGACCCCTGGGAGGTGATGAGGTCATGAGAGTGGAGCCCTCATGAATGGGAATAGTGCCCTTATAAAAGAGACCTGGGGATCCGGGTGTGGTGGTTCACGCCTATAATCCCAGCACTTTGGGAGGCTGAGGCAGGCAGATCACGAGGTCAAGAGATCGAGACCATCCTGGCCAACATGGTGAAACCCCGTCTCTACTAAAAATACAAAAATTAGCTGGGCGTGGTGGCATGCACCTGTAGTCCCAGTTACTTGGGAGGCTGAGGCAAGAGAATTGCTTGAACCCAGGAGGTGGAGGTTGCAGTGAGCCGAGATCGCGCCACTGCACTCCAGCCTGGCGACAGAGCGAGACTTCGTCTCAAAAAAAAAAAAAAAAGAGAGACCTGAGGGAGCTTGTGCACCCCTTCCACCCACTGATGACACAGCAAGAAGTCAACATCTATGAGGAACAGGCTCTCACCAGACACCAAATTTGCCAGTGTCTTGATCTTGGACTTCCCAGCCTCTAGAACTGTGAGAAATAAATGTTGTTTATAAGCCACCTGGTTTATGATATTTTTGTTATAGCATCCTGAACAGATGAAGGCATCTAGGTACCTCACATAAGTGGAATCTTACAGTTTTTGACCTTTTGTGATTGGCTTAGTTCACTTAGCATGATGTCTTCAATGTTCATATATATTGTAGCATGTGTCTCCTTAATTTTATTTTTATTTTTTTTATCTTTTTTTTTTTTGAGATGGAGTTTCACTCTTGTCACCCAGGCTGGAGTGTAATGGCTCGATCTCCAGTCACTGCAACCTTTGCCTCCTGGGTTCAAGCGATTCTCCAGCCTCAGCCTCCCAAGTAGCTGGGATTACAGACGCCCACCATCAAACCTTGCTAATTTTTGTATTTTTAGTAGAGACGGGGTTCACCATGTTGGCCAGGCTGGTCTCGAACTCCTGACCTCAGGTGATCGCCTGCCTCGGCCTCCGTAAGTACGGGGATTACAGGTGTGAGCCACCGTGCCCAGCCACATATGTCTCCTTATTAAGGCTGAATAATATTTCATTGTATGTATATACAACACATTTTGTTTATCCATTCATCTAGTGATGGACATTCAGGTTGTTTCCACCTTTTATTGTGGCATAATGCTCCTGTGATTGTTGGTGTACAAGTATCTGTTTGAGCTCATGCTTTCAATTCATTTGGGCATATACTCAGAACTGAAGTTGTTGGATCACATGATAACTCTATGTTTAACTTTTTGAGGGGCTGGGTGGTGGCTCATACCCATAATCCAGCACTTTTGGAGGCCGAAGTGGGAGGATTGTTTCTGGGCAGCAGAGTAAGATCCCATCTCTATAAAAAATTTAAAAAATCATCCGGGCATGGTGGTGCATGCCTGTAGTCCCAGCTATTTGAGGTGCTAAGGCAGAAGGATTGCTTGAGCTCAGGGATTTTTGAGGCTGTGGTGAGCTATGATTGTGTCACTACACTCCAGCCTCAATGACAGAGTGAGACTGTCTTGAAAAAAAAACCCTAACTTTTTGAGGAACCACCATATGGTTTTCCTTAGCAGCTACACTGTTTTACATTCCTACGACCACTGCACAAGGATTCCAGTTTCTCTACATCCTCACTGATACCTATTACTTTCCTTTTTATTGTTTTTTTTTTTTTTTGAGATGGAGTCTCGCTCTGTTGCCCAGGCTGGAGTGCAGTGGCACAATCTCGGCTCACTGCAAGCTCCGCCTGCCAGGTTCAAGCCATTCTCCTGCCTCAGCCTCCCGGGTAGCTGGAACTACAGGCACCTGCCACTACGCCCGGCTAATTTTTTGTATTTTTAGTAGAGATGGGGTTTCATGTGTTAGCCAGGATGGTCTCAATCTCCTGACCTCATGATCCACCCACCTTGGCCTCCCAAAGTGCTGGGATTACAGGCGTGAGCTATCACGCCCAGCCACTTTCCTTTTTATTTAAAAAAAAAAAAAATATATATATATATATATATATATATATATGAGAGATGGGGTCTCACTGTATTGCCCAAGCTGGTCTCAAACTCCTGGGCTTAAGCAATCCTCTTGCCTCGGCCTCCCAAAATGCTAGGACTACAGGTGTGAGCCACCACGCCCAACCTTTTTCTTTTTATAATAGGCATCCTCATGGGTGTGAAGTGTAGTATCTCATTATGGTTTTGCTTTGTATTTCCCTAATAGCTAGTGACATTGAGCATCTTTTCATGTGCTATTGGCCTTTTGTACGTCTTCTTTGAAGAAAGGTTTTTTTTTTTTGAATTGAAGTCTTGCTCTGTCGCCCAGACAGGACTGCAGTGGCACAATCTCGGCTCCTAGCAACCTCCGCCTCCTGGGTTCAAGCGATTCTCCTGCCTCACCCTCCTGAGTAGCTGGGATTACAGGCATGCACCACCATGCCCAGCTAATTTTTGTATTTTTAATAGAGACGGGGTTTCACCATGTTGGCCAGGCTGGTCTCAAACTCCTGACCTCAGATGATCCACCCACCTCAGCCTTCCAAAGTGGTGGGATTACAGGCGTGAGCCACTGCACCCAGCCCAGAAAGGTCTATTTTTAAATTAGGCGGTTATTTTGTTGTTGAGTTATAGGAGTTCTTTATATATTTTGGATATTAATCCTTTATCAGATATATGCTGTGCTAATATTTTCCCCCATTTTATGGTTTGTCTTTTCACTCTTTTATTATTATTATTTTTTGAGATGGAGTTTTGCTCTTGAAGTCCAGGCTGGAGTGCAATGGCGTGATCTCGGCTCACCACAACCTCTGCCTCCTGGGTTCAAGCAATTCTCCTGCCTCAGCCTCCTGAGTAGCTCGGATTACAGGCATGTGCCACCATGCCTGGCTAATTTTGTATTTTTAGTAGAGACAGGGTTTCACCATGTTGGCCAGGCTGGTCTTGAACTCCCGACCTCGGGTGATCCACCTGCCTCGGCCTCCCAAAGTACTGGGATTACAGGCGTGAGCCACTGCGCCTGCCGTCTTTTCACTCTTGATAGTATCCTTTGATGCAAAAAAGTTTTAAATTTTGATGAAATCCAGTTTTTCAAGTTTTTTTCTTTTGTTACCATATCGAGTTTTTTATTTTGGTGTCATATTCAAGAAATCATTGCCAAATCCAGTGTCATGAAGTATTTCCCCTTCCTTTTTCTCTAAGATTTTTATAGTTTTAGCTCTCACATTTAGGTCTTTGCTCCATTTTGAGTTAGTTTTTGTATATAGTGAAAACTATGTGATGTTTTTGCTTTTTTTTTGCATGAGAATATTCATTTTTCTAGCACCATTTATTGAAGAGACTGTCCTTTCCCATTAAGTGGCCAGGCTGGTCTCAAACTCCTGACCTCAGATGATCCACCCGCCTCGACCTCCCAAAGCATTGGGATTACAGGCATGAGCCACCGCCTGTCCTCAACAGTGGTTTTTGCAGAAATAGAGAAACACAGCCAGGCGCGGTAGCTAGTTCAACCTAGTTTGAATAATATCAATTTAGTTTCAATAATATACAAACGCTCTGCTCCTATATGTCTCTCCCTCCCACTTCATTATGGCATGAGCCACCGCATCCAACCTTATGATGCATAATTTTAGAGATTGCTTTTTTAGACAAATATTGAACTCATGTATTAAACAGTTTAATGAAAACTCAGACTCTATCTGAATATGATCTCTTTTACTTTTATTCTTAAGTTATACGTGTTTATTATAAAAATATTCAAATTAGTAGGGAATTTTTAAAAATGTAAAATTATCTTGTTCATCCTAAATCCCATTTTTCAGTAGTAACTACTGTGAACACTTTTTGGGAGGGGGGAGGGGACAGGGTCTCACTCTGTCACCCAAGCTAGAATGCAGTGGCACGGTCTTGGTTCACTGCAGCCTCCGCCTCCTGGGTTCAAGAGGTTCTTGTACTTCAGCCTCCCAAGTAGCTGGGACTATAGGCGTATGCTACCATGCCCGGCTGATTTTTTTTTTTTGTATTTTTTTGTAGAGACAGGATTTCGCAGTGTTGGCTAGGCTGGTCTCAAACTCCTGACCTCAAGCAATCCACCCACCTTGCCTCCCAAAGTGCTGGGATTATAGGCGTGAGCCACCGTGCCTGGCCTGTTAACAGTTATGTTGTTACCTTCCATATCTTTATCTATGTGTATACAAACTGTCCTCTGTAACCCATTTTGTACATATTTTTTATTATATAATTTATTTTTAAAAAAATTCTTTTATAGGATACTTTTTCACACTAAAGATTCTCACAGTAGGAAAATAACAATTTATTACTTATATTTTTATATTTGTGGACAGATTGTTTTAGAACAAGTAAAACACATTTGAGAATTAAGTCTCAGTTTGGAATTTGTAATATTTTGATGCATCTACAAGGAGGACCTAGTCCTTAAATGGAACTTCTGTATATTCAGAAGCTCTTTAAGCTTTTCTTCACAGGATTTAGAAATTCATAATGTGAGAAATCAGCATTTCCTAATTTTAAACTTTACCTAGTATATGTAGTCATCAGTAGCTGGTATCTACTGAACAGAGGGAAGTTTTGGAAAATTAAACACTGGCTAATTTTCTGCAAAGTTTTTGTTCATTAATTAACAGTATTTCCCTTTGTCCATTTTTCCCAGGGCAAATATAGAAGCAGTTTGGTCATGTACTGGCAGTAATAAAGCTGGATTCTCTTTAAGAGATTGATCAGGTCGGGCGCGGTGGCTCATGCCTGTAATCCCAGCACTTTGGGAGGCCA
Organism: Homo sapiens; assembly: GCF_000001405.40. NCBI lineage: Eukaryota > Metazoa > Chordata > Mammalia > Primates > Hominidae > Homo > Homo sapiens. The sequence continues at coordinate 47,473,515 of NC_000017.11, read as the reverse complement.
AGGCAGGCAGATCACTTGAGGCCAGGAGTTAAGAGACCAGCCTGGCCAACATGGTGGAATCTCGTCTACTAAAAATACATAAATTAGCCGGGTGTGGTGGCAGTTGCCTGTAATCCCAGCTACTCGGGAGGCTGAGGCAGGAGAATTGCTTGAAGGTGGGAGGAAGATGTTACAGTGAGCCGAGATCGCGCCACTGCACTCCAGCCTGGGTGACAGAGCGAGACTCAGTCTCAAAAAAAAAAAAAAAAAAAAAAGGAAGGGGGGAAATCATACGTTTGCATCTGTAATGTCGATGTATCATGGACTCTTCCCTAGACTAGACTAGTGTCATCCAGTGCAGCAGCCGCTAGCCACAGGTAGCTATTGAAAACTTGAGGCTGGGCGTGGTGGCTCATGGCTATTATCTCAGCACTTTGGGAGGCTGAGGCAGGAGGATCACTTAAGCCCAGGAGTTCAAGATCAGGTTGGGCAACATAGCCAGACCCCATCTCTGCAAAAAATTTTAAAATTAGCCAAGTGTGGTGGCATGCACCTGTAGTTCCAGCTACTTGGAAGGGTGAGGCGGCAGGATCATCTGAGCCTGGGAATATCAAGGCTGCAGTGAGCCATGATGGCACCACAACACTCCAGCCTGGGTGATAGAGTGAGACCCTGTCTTAAAAAACAACAAACAAACAAAACCATAAAACAAAATCTTGAAATGTGGCTAATCTGGATTGAATTATGCTGTAAATGTAAAATACACATCAGATTTCTAAGACTTAGAATGTAAAAGAGAATGTAAAATATCTCACCAGTAATTTTTTAATTGATCACATGTTGCAGTGGTAATATTTAGGGGTATATTGGGTTAAATAAAGCATGTTATTAAATTAATTTTAGCTGGGCATGGTGGCACATGCCTGTAGTCCCAGCTGCTGGGGAGGCTGAGGTATTTTTTAAAGTGAGTGTTGGCCAGGTGCAGTGGCTCACGCCTGTAATCCCAGCACTTTGGGAGGCCGAGGAGGGTAGATCACCTGAGGTCAGGAGTTCGAGACCAGCCTGACCAACATGGTGAAACCCCGTCTCTACTAAAAATACAATAATTCGCCAGGCATGGTGGCACGTGCCTGTAATCCCAGCTGCTCCAGAAGCTGAGGCAGGAGAATCGCTTGAACCCAGGAGGCGGAGGTTGCAGTGAGCCAAGATTGCACCATTGCACTCCAGCCTGGGCAACATGAGTGAAACTCTGTCTAAACAAACAAACAAACAAACTGAGTGTTATGGATTGCTGGAGCCCAGGAGTTCAAGGTCCAGTGAGCTATCATCGTGCCATTCACTGTACTGCAGCCTGGGCAACAGAGCAAGACCCTGTCTCTTTAAAAAAAAAACAAAAAACAAAAAACTATGTTGCCCAGGCTGGAATGTAGTAGCTATTCACAGTATTCACAGGCACAATCATGGCATGCTACAGGCTGGAACTCCTAGGCTCAAATGATCCTCCTCTTCAGACTCCCAAATAGTCGGAACTACAAGCCCTCATTAGCATGCCTGAATTTTTTTTCTTTTTTGAGATGGAGTCTCACTCTGTCACCCAGGCTGGAGTGCAGTGGTGCGATCTCAGCTCATTGCAACTTCCGCCTCCTGGGTTCAAGTGATTCTCCTGCCTCAGCATCCCCAGTAGCTAGGATTACAGGCACGTGCCACCACACCTGGCTAATTTTTGTATTTTTAGTAGAGATGGGGTTTCCCCATGTTGGCCAGGCTGGCTGGTCTCAAACTCCTGACCTCATGATCTGCCTGCCTCAGTCTCCCAAAATGCTGGAATTACAGACATGAGCCACTACACCCAGCCAAGCCTGAGTTTTTAAAAAGACCTGGGTGTTTATCTGGGATGTGAGCCCCTGTTTCCTTTTACTATTTTTAATGTGACTGCTAAAAATTGTAAACTACACGTATGGCTCACATTATATTTCCATTGGACCTCGCTGCTCTGAACTAACAGATGAGGACAATAACACTGGCTTTAAAAATTACATAATATGGCCCGGCACAGTGGCTCAAGCCTGTAAGCCCAGGAATTTAGGGGAACTTGGCTGGGCACTGTGGCTCACGCCTGTAATCCCAGCACTTTGGGAGGCCGAGGCAGGCAGATCACTTGATGTCAGCAGTTCAAAACCAGCCTGGCCAACATGGTGATACCCCGTCTACTAAAAATACAAGACAATTAACTGGGCCTGGTGGTGGACACCTGTAATCCCAGCTACTTGGGAGGCTGAGGCAGGAGAATCACTTGAACCTGGGAGGTGGAGGTTGCAGGGAGCCGAGATCGGGCCACTGCACTCCAGCCTGGGTGACAGAGCAAGACTCTGTCTCAATAAATAAATAAATAAATAAATAAAGGAACTTGGAATGGGAGCCGTGGGGGAGTGGTGCTGGGTACGAGGCCTGTGTGTCTTGTTCCAGGGCTATCTTGAGTCACGGTCCACCTGCATGGGCTGCTGTCATCTCAACAATGGCCAGGTTGTAGATTAACTGCTTTGAGGTAATCTCTGGAATTTAGCAGTTGGGTCTTCATGCCTGATGTGTTTCAAAATTAGCCCCTGGAATTTCTAAATAAGTGCATAATTAGATAAGTGAGCACTGTGCACAAGAGTATCTGGTGGGAAGGGAGAGAAACAAAGAGCTTTATTTATTTATTTATTTATTTATTTTCGAGACAGAGTCTCACTCTGTTGCCCAGGCTGGAGTGTAGTAGCATGATCTCTGCTTACTGCAAACTCCGCCTCCCGGGTTCAAGCGATTCTCCTGCCTCAGCCTCCTGAGTAGCTGGGATTACAGGCTTGCACCACCACGCCTGGGTAATTTTTGTATCTTTAGTAGAAATGGGGTTTCACCATGTTGGCCAGCTCTTGAACTCCTGGCCTCAAGTGATCCACCTGCCTCAGCCTACCAAAGTGCTGGGGTTACAGGCATGAGCCACCAGGCCCAGCCAACAAATAATTTCAAAGTATGTTTCAAGGCTAAATGTAAGAAAGGAAAAAAGTTTCAAAATGCATTTTGAAGCTGAGCTACTTGGTTACATATTGATGCTTTTATTTCTGTAGGATAGATTTCCCAAACACACTGCTAGCTCAAATGTTATTTTCCAAATTGGCTGTAGCAATTTATATTCCCACCAGCATGTATGAGTGTCCTTTGTTTATGCTTTCAGTATAAGGTATGATTACTCTTTTTATTTGTTTGTTTGAGACAGGGTTTCTTTCGCTCTGTTACCCAGGCTGGAATGCAGTGGCATGATCTCAGCTCACTGCAACATCCACTTCCTGGCTCAAGTGATCCTCCAGCCTCAGCCTCCCAAGTAGCTGGGACCACAGGCATGAGCCACCATGGCCAGCCCATTTTTGTAATTCTTGTAGAGATGGGGTTCACCATGTTGTCCAGGCTGGTCTCGAACTCCTGAGCTCAAAGTTGTCTGCCTCCCTTGGCCTCCCAAAGTGCTGAGATTACAGGCATGAGCCACCGTGCCTGGCGCAGATATGGTTACTCTTTATAATTTTTGCCAGTTATTGAAAAGTGGCATCTCTTTTTTGTTTTAATTTGCTTTTTCCTGAATGAGGCTGAGCAGTATCTTTTTATATGTTTATTAACTATTTGAATTTCCTCTTCTGCAATTTGCCTATTTGTAGCCTTTGTCCATTTTTCTATTTGTCATTAGTTTCTTTCTAATTAATTTGTAGAAACTATTTATATGTTACAGGCTTTCATTCATATGTGTTACAAATATTTTCCCAATCTATTGTTTTTTTCTTAATTTCATTTACACTTTCACGATGGAAAAAACTTAACTTTCATATAGTCACTTTATGATTCCTCTTAATCGAGTTCTCTTCATACACACCTCCTCACTTTTATTTTTATTATTTTATACTTAGATATCTAATGCATTTCAAGTTATATTATCTTACATTATATGACATAGTGGCTGATTGCCCCAAATTTGCAATCAGCTCTATATAATAGAATCTCTACTACAATGCCTTAATCAAATAGGGGCTGGGCGAGGTGGCTCATGCCTGTAATCCCAGCACTTTGGGAGGCCGAGGTGGGTGGATCACCTGAGGTCGGGGGTTCGAGACCAGCCTGACCAACATAGAGAAACCCCATCTCTACTAAAAATACAAAATTAGCCAGGCGTGGTGTTGCATGCCTGTAATCCCAGCTACTTGGGAGGCTGAGACAGGAGAATCACTTGAACCCAGGAGGCGGAGGTTGCAGTGAGTGGAGATCATGCCATTGTACTCCAGCCTGGGCAACAAGAGTGAAAGTCTGTCTCAAAAAAAAAAAAAAATCAAATAGGGCTTTTTTTTTTGCTTTGTTTTTTCATGTAACAAGAAGAATAGAAGTAAAAGATCAGGACAGGTGTGGTGGCTCTACCATGCCATCAAAGATCCAGGCATCATCTCCCTTTCGGTTCCACAATTCAGGGATTCTTCTTTTTCTTTTTCTTTTTTTTTTTTTTTAAGATGGAGCCTTGCTCTGTTGCCCAGGCTGGAGTCCAGTGGTGTGATCTCGGCTCACTGCAACCTCTGCCTCCCGGGTTCAAGTGATTCTCCTGCTTCAACCTCCCGAATAGCTGGGATTACAAGTGCCTGTACCTCGCCCGGCTAAATTTTGTATTTTTAGTAGAGAGGGGGTTTTGCCATGTTGGTCAGGCTGGTCTCGAATTCCTGACCTCAAGTAATCTGCCCACCTCGGCCTCCCAAAGTGCTGAGATTACAGGCATGAGCCACCACGCCCAGCCTATTATTTTCTTTTTCAGGCAAGCCAGTTTCTGTACTAAAAGGGTCACATTTACACGTTATGGGCAGGAAGAATATAGGGTGAAGGACACCCTTCTTTTCTTTTTATCAAGAAAACAATAGCTTTCCTGGAAGCTCTACCCATTAGACTTCTAATTATGTCTCACTGAGTGGGACATGGCCACTCTTATTTTCAAGAGAGTCTAGGTGGTAAATAGATTTGTCTGGGCACCTTGCTGCCCTAAACAAAATCAAGATTCTGAATGAAAATTGGTTAGGCAACTAGCGGTGTCTGCCATAGGAACTAGCTTTATTTTCTTCTAGTTGTATACTCAATTATGCTAGCACCATAAAATAAATAAAGTAAAAAATAAATTAATAAAATAATAAAATAAATAAAATAAAATATAAATAAATAAAAAGTCATCTTGGTCCTTGTATTAGTCTGTTCTCATGCTGCTATAAAGGGCTGCCCAGGACTGGGTAATTTATAAACGAAAGAGGTTTAATCAACTCACAGTTGCACAGGGCTGGGGAGGCCTCAAGAAACTTACAATCATAGTGGAAGGGGAGGCAAACACATCCTTCTTCACCTGGTGGCAGGAAGAAGTGCTGAACAAAGGGGGAAAAGCCCCTTATAGAACCATCAGATCTCGTGAGAACTCACTCACTATCACTAGAACAGCATGGGGGTAACTGCCCCCATAATTTAATTACCTCCCACTGGGTCCCTCCCACAACATGTGGGGATTATGGGAACTACAATTCAAGATGAGATTTGGGTGGGGACACAGCCAAACCATATCAGTTGTTTATTAGATTGCCATGTAGTTTGATCAGTTTTGGGTTTCTGTTTTTCTTTTTTTAAAAAATAGAGATGGAGTCTCATTTTGTTGCCCAGGCTGGAAGTATAAAGGCATGATCATAACTCACTGCAGCCTTAAACTTCTGGGCTCAAGCAATCCTCCCACCTCAGCCTCCTGGGCAGCTGGGACTACAGGCACATGCCAGCACGCCCGGGTAACTTATTTGTTTTTATTTTTTGTAGAAATGGGGTTTTGCCTTGCTGCTCAGGCTGGTCTCAAACTTCTGGGCCTCAAGTGATCCGTGATCTACTCTCTTGGCCTCCCCAAATGCCGGAATTACAGGCATGAGCCATCACACCCGGCCTAATTTTTAAAATTTTTATAGACACAGGGTCTCACTTTGTTGTCAAGGCTGGTCTTCAATTCCTGGCCTCAGGCTGGGCGTGGTGGCCTGTAATCCCAGCACTTTGGGAGGATGAGGCGGGCCGGAGGCCAGGAGTTCAAGACCAGTCTGGCCAACATGGTAAAACCCTGTCTCTACTAAAAATACAAAAATTACCTGGGCATGGTGGCGGGTGCCTGTAGTCCCAGTTATTCGGGAGGCTGAGGCAGGAGAATCACTTGAACCTGGGAGGTGGAGGTTGCAGTGAGCCAAGATTATGCCACTGCACTCCAGCTTGTGTGACAGAGCGAGACTCCATCTCAGAAAACAAAAAAAAGAATTCCTGGCCTCAAGCCACCCTCCCGCCTTGGGCTCCCAAAGCTCTGGAATTACAGGCATGAGCCACTGTGCTATTTTCTCTAATGATCTAGATGTCTATTCCTGTGCCAATATCATACTGTTTTATTTACCATAGCCTCATTTTAAGTTTAATATATGATAAGACAGGTCCCCTTTGTTGGTATTCCTTTCAAATATTCTTGACCATCTCATTTATTCTTCTATATGAATGTTAAAATTACTGTCCAGTTTTTAAAAAAATTGATGTATTCTGATTCTAATTGCACTTATATGCTAATTTGGATTCATATGTTACATTTATATGTTAATAAAAGAATTGGCACCTTTATGATATTAATTCTTCCTATTCAAAAACAGAATGTTTTTCCTTCATTTAAAGGTGTGATTTTTATGTCTTTTAAAAAGGTCTAAGTCTTGAATTTTTATGTAGCCAAATTTATAAAAAGTTTTTTCCTTATAGCTTCTGAATTTGGTAACACGTGCTTTAAAAGGCCTTTTTCACTCCAAGATTAGAAAAATATTCATCCACGTTTCCCTTAGTACTTTTGTGGTTTCATATTTTGTCTTCAATTTTTGATACATATGTAGTTTATTTTGGCATAAAGTAATGATCTGGGTTTTTTTTTTTTTTTTAAGTCTAACCAGTTGTCTCATTACATTTATTGCATAAGCCATCTTTTTCCCACTGATCTGGAATGCTAGTTTTATCATATCATGAATTCAGTGTGTATTTGGGTCCACTTTTTGTTTTTGCAATTTGTTCTGTTTCTATACTAATACAATAAACATTTAGCCTCTTTGGAGTGCTAAGTGATTTCATCAAAACATTTAGTGTTCAATTCCCTGTGAATTCCACATTTTTCTTCCATTTTGAGATAAGGAAAGTGAATCTAGAGAAGGTAAGTTAATTGACCGGGCATGGTGGCTCATGCCTGTAATCCCAGAAATTTGGGAGGCCAAGGCGGGCGGATCACCTGAGGCCAGGAGTTCAAGACCAGCCTGGCCAAGATGGTGAAACCCCATCTCTACTAATAATACAAAAATTAGCTGGGTGTGGTGGTGCACACCTGTAATCTCAGCTACTCAGGAGGCTGAGGCAGGAGAATCGCCTGAACCCGGGAGGTGGAGGTTGCAGTGAGCCGAGATTGCGCCACTGCACTCCAGCCTGGGCGACAGAGCGAAACTCCGTCTCTAAAAACAAACAAACAAAAAACAAAAACAAAAAGAGAGAGAGAGAAGTTATTTCTCATGCGTTTGGATGTGGTCTCTTGTACTTTCTCCAGGGAGAGCAGCTTGTAGTCTTCATTACTTCCAAGCTGGGATGAGCATTCACATTAGAAGACATGGATGAGGTTCCGAGGTTATTATTATGGTATTGATCCAGGGACCAAGTAATGCTTAGGTCCCTGGGTGCCCTCTTCTCTTTGGCATTCCAGATCGAGGGAGCTACAGAGAGGTATACACAGGAATGGAAATCCAGTACCTCCCCCATGCAGCTCTGTTATATTCGATGTTTTCTCTCTTCTCCCTGAAACTGACATGATACAGACTGCAGAGGAGGCCTCTATAAGAGAACAAAAGAGAAATAAATAAGGCCCAAGGAATGCCTTGGACTCTGACCAATCATATTAACTACTCCTCCTAGGAGCTGAGGGGCCTAGGAAAGCCTTTTTGGGGCGGTAGTCCTGAGAAAATGGAGCAGAAATGTTCTCTCCCAAGATCTGCAAAGTTGAACCATATACCTCTAGTGTAACCAAAGGGCTACTGAGATTAAAAATTGAGGTGGGGTTGATGGTGGTTATGGTTAAGAGTCATTGTTTCCTTAGTGTTTTTATGTTCTCAGCCTATGAGTGTTTGCCAGTTCTACAGACCCCAGTTCTTCGGAATTTCTCATTAGAAACCTCAAGAATTACCTAAAGGGTATGTGAACTCCTAGCTGCTGGTATCTTCCATCATCCAATAATTGAAAAACATATCATTGTTTCAAGATCTCTTTTGAAAAATAGTTTCGCTAGGATATAATTCCAGTTTGACAATGATTTTCCTTTCAGATGTTAGGGGTGTTACTCTGCTATCTTCTGGCTTCTTCCGTTGGTGTTGAGAAATCTGCTGTCATTTTCATTTGTTTCTTTGTAGGTAAGATATATTTCTCTCTAGCTGTTTTAGGATCGTTCTCTTCAGTTTTCTGTAGTTTCACTCTGATGTGTCTTGATGTGGATTTCTTTTTATTTTTCTGGATTGCAGTTCACTGAGTTTCTTTAAGAATTTGGGTCTCATTAATTCTTGAAAATTCTCAGTCATAACCTTTCAAATATGGCCTCTGCCCCATTTTCTCTATTTCCTCCTTCTGGAACTCCAGATATACGTTGGATCTTTGCGCTTTATCGGCCATGACCCATGATCTTTCATGCTTTCTATTTCTTTGTCTCTGTGCATTCTGGGTAACTTCTTTGGGGCTATCTTCTAGGTCACAAATTATTCTTTCATACTATTCATCTGTTTAATCTTTCCATTGATTTTCTACTTTCAAATATTATAATTTTCTTTTTTTATGTTTTGCCTCTCCTAAAATCAGGTGTTACTTTAAAAAATTATTGTTATTATTATTATTTTGAGACCGAGTCTCGCTCCGTTGCCCAGGCTGGAGGAGTGCAGTGGCCTCATCTCAGTTCACTGCAACCTCCCCGTCCCCAGCTCAAGCAATTCTTGTGCCTCAGCCTCCGGAGTAGCTGGGACTACAGGCCTGTGCCACGACACCTGGTTAATTTTTGTATTTTTAGTAGAGGCAGGGTTTCACCATGTTGGCCAGGCTACTCCTGAACTCCTGGCCTCAAGTGATCCACCCGCCTTGGCCTCCGAAAGTGCTAGGATTACAGGCATGAGCCACTGCACCCAGCCTTGTTATAATAATTTTCATTTCAGAAGTTGTTTGATTCCCTAATCATTACGTACTTTCATGCCATGTTTTAACCTAGTCAAACTGCTGGTCTCATATGTTTTGTTTTTTGTCTTTGAGACAGAGTCTCACTCTGTCACCCAGGCTGGAGTGCAATGGCATGATCTCAGCTCACTGCACCCTCTACCTCCTGGATTCAAGTGATTCTCCTGTCTCAGCCTCCTGAGTAGCTGGGATTACGGGCATGTGCCACCACATCTGGCTTTTTTTTTTTTTTTTTTGAATTGGAGTCTTGCTCTGTCACCCAGGCTGGAGTGCAGTGGCTTGATCTTGGCTCACTGCAGCCTCTGCCTCCCCCGTTGAAAGGACTCTTCTGCCTCACTCACCTGAATAGCTGGGATTATAGGCACACGCCACCAGGCCCAGCTGACTTTTTAATTTTTAGTAGAGATGGGATCCACTCACCTCAGCCTCCCAAAGTGGTGGGACTGACTACAGGCGTGAGCCACCAGGCCCAGCTGACTTTTTAATTTTTAGTAGAGATGGGATCCACTCACCTCAGCCTCCCAAAGTGGTGGGACTGACTACAGGCGTGAGCCACCATGCCCAGCCACAGTTGTTGATCTTTTTAGTTTGATTTATTGGAGCATTCATAAGGAGCCCCTTATATGTTATTATGCTGTTTTGATATGAGTTGGACTAATTTTTGCCCATCTGGTTAGTCTTTATTTATATTGTGCTTTTTAAAAAGTTTGTTTACCATGCATGGGTTTTTTATTTTAATTTTGTACAATTTATTAGTCTTTCATGATGTCGGTATTTGGAGTTATTAGTTTGAAAGGCCTTCACTATTCCAAAGTTTTGTTTTTTTTAAGTGACAGGTTTTCATTCTGTTGTTCAGGCTGGAGTGCAAGTAGCAGGATCCTAGCTCACTGCAGCTTTGTAGTCCCGGGCTCAAGTGATCTTCCTGCCTCAGTTTTGAGAGTGTTGGTATTACAGGAATGAGCCACTGCACCTGGTGTAAGCCTTCCATCTTATTAAATGTTTTGTATTTGTCTTTCCTATTCTGGTTTGTTCCACTCGTTCCATTCTACCCTCTCTATTAGCTTTTTAAAAAGTTAATGTTACTATGTGCTTCTTTCCTCTTTCTGAATCCTCTGAAACTCTTAGGATACTGTAAATTCATTTGTCCATCTCCTGACGTATGTTTTATTTTTGTCATGTACTTTCATTCTCTGTTTCGTTAAGAATTATAATGGTTTTGGGCCAGGCGCGTGGTTCACGCCTGTAATCCCAGCACTTTGGGCGGCTGAGGCAGGCAGATCACAAGGTCAGGAGATCGAGACCATCCTGGCTAACACGGTGAAACCCCGTCTCTACTAAAACATACAAAAAATTAGCCAGGTGTGGTGGCAGACGCCTGTAGTCCCAGCTACTTGGGAGGCTGAGGCAGGAGAATGGCGTGAACCCGGGAGGCGGAGCTTGCAGTGAGCCGAGATCGAGCTACTGCACCAGCCTGGGCGACAGAGCGAGACTCCCATCTCAAAAAAAAAAAAAAAAGAATTATAGTGGTTTTGTCAGGTGTTTGTTGAGGATTATGCTAGTCACTTAAAATGAAACAGTTTGTGTAAATTTCATGTTATTTTTCTTTGAATTCTATATAGAACTTCGTGAGCAACTGAAACTTTTCTGGGAAAATTTTTGATAAATTCATTTTTTGGCAAAATTATAGGGACATTCCTTTTTCCCTCCTTTCTCTTTTTCTTTTCTTTTCTTCTCTTTTCTGTCCTCCCTCCCTGTCTCCCTCTCTCTCTCTCTCTTTCTTCCTTTTTTTTTTTTTAACAGTGTATCACTTTGTTGCCCAGGCTAGAGTGCAGTGATATAGTCATAGCTCACTGCAGCTTCAAACTCCTGAGTTCAAATGATCCTCCTGCCCCAGCCTCCTGAATAGGTGGGACCACAGGCACACCATGCCTGGCTAATATTTTTTTCTTTTTGTATTTTTTGTAGAGACAAGCGGTTTCGCTTTGTTGCCAAGGCTGGTCTCGAACATCTGGGCTCAAACTATCCCCCTGCCTCATCCTCCCAAAATGTTGGGATTACAGGCATGAGCCCTTGGGCCCGGCCTATTTGTATACACTTAAGTCAATTTTGGTGCGCTCTATTTTTCCAAGAAATTTGACTACTTTGTATAAGTTGCTGAAATTTTTGGACTAACATTGCCAATAGTATTTATTTATTTATTTATTTATTTATTGGGATGGAGTCTTGCTCTGTCACCCAAGCTGGAGTGCAGTGGCATGAGCTCGGCTCACTGCAGACTCCACCTCCCAGGTTCAAGTGATTCTCTGCCTCAGCCTCCCGAGTAGCTGGGATTACAGGCGGGCACCACCACACCCAGCTAATGTTTTTTATTTTTAGTACAGAGAGGATCTTGCCATGTTGGCCAGTCTGGTCTTGAACTCCTGACCTCAGGTGATCCACCCGCCTTGGCCTCCCAGAGTGCTGGGATTACAGGCACAAGCCACCGCACCTGGCCGTCAATGGTATTTTATTATTATTTTGTTAATTTTGCTAGCATTGGTGGTTATTACCCCATAGTTATTCCTGATGTTGGTATTTTTTTTTTTTTGATACCGAGCCTTGCTCTTGTTACCCAGGCTGGAGTGCAGTGGTGGGATCTCGGCTCACTGCAACCTCCGCCTCCCTGGTTCAAGCAATTCTCCTGCCTCAGCCTCCTGAGTAGCTGGGATTACAGGCATGCGCCATCACGCCTGGCTAATTTTCTGTATTTTTAGTAGAGACGGGGTTTCACCATGTTGGCCGGGCTGGTCATGAACTCTTGACCTCAGGTGATCCACCCACCTTGGCCTCCCAAAGTGCTGGGATTACAGGCGTGAGCCACCACACCCGGCCAGATGTTGGTGATTTGTATTCTGGTTTTTCTTTGTTTTTATTTTTATTTTTTTGACCAGTCCAAATAGAATCATTCAGTTGTGTTGACCTTTTAAAGAAGTTTTGGGCTTTGTTAATTTATTATGCCATCTCCCTGTTTTCTATTGTGTTAAACTTCTGCTCTTTACTATTTCCTTCCTACTACTTACTATGTGTTATATTTTCCTCTTCTTTTCTAACTTATAAAGGTGGAACCTTAGGTCTTTTATTTTAGATATTCTTTTCTAATGAAAATATATATGCTGCAAGTTCCTCTCTATTTTATTGAATCCCACAAGTTGTGTTTTTTTGTTTTTGTTTTTGTTTTTGCCGTTGTTGTTGTTTTGAGACAGGGTCTCAATTTGTCACCCAGGCTGGAGGGCAGGGGTGTGATCTCGGTTCACTGAAGCCTCGACCTCCTGGGTTCAAGCGATCCTCCTACCTCAGCCCCTCAAGCAGCTGGGACTACGGGTGCACGCCACTTTATCTGGCTAATGTTTTTGTATTTGTTGTAGAGACAGGGTTTCACCATGTTGCCCAGGCTGGTCTCAAACTCCTGAGCTCAAGCGATTAACAGGCGTGAGCCACTGTCCCCAGCCTACGTCTCAAGTTGTGATAAATTTCATGTTTGTTGCCATTCCGTTCAAGACATTTTCCAGTTTCCCTTGTGACTTTCTCTTGACTGCCTTAGTCTACCTTGGACAGAAGTAGAAGTCTTCTGCTGTTTGTTCTTAACATTGATTTTCCCTCTTATTTCTTATTTCTCTTCTGTTCTTTTTGTGATTATTTTTTAGTGCTGTATTTTAATCAGTTTAACAATGCAACTAGATAGTATTGCATTTAAACTTAATTAATTATATTAAGTTGCCTTAAAATGCCTTTTTGGCCATATCTCTTCCTATTTATATAAGTATTTATATTTATCTATATAGTGGTTGCTGTAGGGATTATAATTTTCTTATCAGTAAATTCAGTCTACTGAGTGTACCACTTTTTTTTTCTTTTTGAGACGGTGTCTTGCTGTGTCGCCCAGGCTGGACTGCAGTGGCACTATCTTGGCTCACTGCAACCTCCACCTCCCGGGTTCAAGCAGTCCTCCTGCCTCAGCCTCCTGAGTGGCTGGGACTACAGGCACACACCACTACACTCAGCTAATTTTTGTATTTTTAGTAGAGACATGGTTTCGCTATATTGGCCAGGCTGGTCTGAAACTCATGACCTCGAGTGATCTGCCCGCCTTGGCTATCCAAAGTATTGGGATTACAGGGGTGAGCCACCGCATCTGGCCTGTGTGTACCACTTAACACGAAATGCAGAATGAAACCATATAGACTTCTTTTACCTGTTCCTTTTCGAGTCTTTGCTGTAGTTTTATAGGAAAGCTACATACATCCACAGACCGTACCAGTGTTTTAATATTTAGTGTAAGTGGTCATTTGTATTGTAAATGAGTGTGAAGGCATTGTTGTTTTATATGTGCATTATATATTAAATGTACCTACATGTTTGTCGCTCTTTATATTTTTCTTCAGTTCTGAGCTTCCTTCTGGAGTCATTTTCCTATTGCCCAAGGAAAATTATTTGGTGTTCCCTTTAATGGAAATCTTTTACATAATGTTTTCTGGCTTTATTTAGTTATCTAGTTTTTCGTTTGATAACTTGCCTTTTGTTTTTAAGATTTTCATTTCTTTCCCTTAGTTTTCTGTAGTTTTATTAATGTTCCTTAGTGTATTTATTTACTCTGATTTATAGTGGTTCTTCAGTCAGTGGCTTTGGGTCTTCTGTTCTGGAAAATTTTTAGGCATTATCAGTTCAGATACTGCTTTCATGCCATTTTCTCTCTCATACTTCTCCGAGACTCTGATTACAGGTGTGTTAGACCTGCCTGCCTATTACATTTTTCATGTGTCTTATTCCATTTTTTGTATTTCTTACTTTTGTGCTAACATTCTGGATTTCTTCTTCTGACCTGTTGTGTTCCTACTAATTCTCTTTTCATCCATGTCTAAACTGCTGTTAATCCCACCCACTGATTTTTTTTTTCTTGAGATAGGGACTCTGTCACCCAGGCTGGATTGCAGTGGCACAATAATCGTTCACAACAACCTCCAACTCCTGGGCTCAAGCAATCCTCCCACCTCAACCTCCTGAGTAGCTGGGACTATAGGTGCATGCCGCCGCACCTGGCTCATTATTTTTTTTTTTGTAGAGATGGGGTCTCACTTTGTTACCTAGGGTGGTCTTGAACTCCTGGTCTCAAGCGATCTGCCTCAGCCTTCCAAAGTACTGGGCTTACAGGCATGAGCCACTGTGCCTGACTGATTTCTAAATTTCCGCTTTACTTCTGGAATTTTAATTTATTATTATAGTTTTTGGTTCTTTGCATCAATTTAGAATTTTGTCTTGTGTGTACTTGATCATAGTAAGCATACTTATTTTAAAATCTTTATCTGATAACTCCAAAATACTGATCTGTTTTGATTTTTGTGTTTCTCCTTATTCTCATTCATATTGTCTTGTCTGTCATGTGTTTGGTACTTATTATTGTGCTGGAAATTATATGTAATTAAGAAATTTTAGGCTGGGTGTGGTGACGCATGTCTGTATTCCCACCACTTTGGGAGGCTGAGACTGGTGGATCACTTGAGGTCAGGAGTTCGAGACCAGCCTGGTCTACACAGTGAAACCTCATATCTACTAAAAATACAAAAATTAGCCAGGTGTGGTGGTGGGCACCTGTAATCCCAGCTACTTGGGAGGCTGAGGCAGGAGAATTGCTTGAACTGGAAGGAGGAAGTTGCAGTGAGCCGAGATCACGCCAGTGCAGTCCAGCCTGGGCCATAGACCAAGGCTTTGTCTCAAAAAAAAAAAAAAAAAAAAAAAGGTAGAAATAATTTGTAGCCAAAATGATACTATTTTCTTTTAGAGAGGATGTATATTTGCATCTGCTTCGTGCCTTGGGGGTTGTAATTTCGGATTACCTTCATCAAATTTCAGAGTTTGAGATGGTCAGAGCCCTGGTGTCCTCTCTTTGAGGGTCTATGTACTTTTTTTTTTTTTTTTTGAGATGGAGTCTTGCTCTGTCGCCCAGGCTGGAGTGCAGTGGCGCGATCTCGGCTCACTGCAAGCTCCGCCTCCTGGGTTCACGCCATTCTCCTGCCTCAGCCTCCCGAGTAGCTGGGACTACAGGCGCCCGCCACCACGCCCGGCTAATTTTTGGTGTTCTTAGTAGAGTCAGGGTTTCACCGTGTTAGCCAGGATGGTCTCGATCTCCTGACCTCGTGATCCGCTCGCCTCGGCCTCCCAAAGTGCTGGGATTACAGGCGTGAGCCACCGCGCCCGGCGAGGGTCTATGTACTTTTAGTGTATTCTCACCCCTGGTTTGCCATTCAGTGTTGCATCTGAAAGGAGGAGAGGGGTTTACTTGTTCTCTTTTTCTCTTGGTTGTTTGTGAATGTACATCCCTGTACTGTGGGGCCTCTGAGTTTGTCAAAAGTACCCTTCAGGCCGGGCGCGGTGGCTCACGCCTGTAATCCCAGCACTTTGCGAGGCTGAGGTGGGCGGATCACCTGAGGTCAGGAGTTCGAGACCAGCCTGACCAACGTGGAGAAACCCCACCCCTACTAAAAATACAAAATTAGCCGGGTGTGGTGGCGCATGCCTGTAATCCCTGCTACTCGGGAGGCTGAGGCAGGAGAATTGCTTGAACCCAGGAGGCGGAGTTTGCAGTGAGCCAAGATCACGCCATTGCACTCCAGCCTGGGCAACAAGAGCGAGACTCTGTCTAAAAAAAAAAAAAAAAAAGAATTGTACCCTTCATCCTCACCACCGCTTTCTCTGAAATAGGCAAATGTTCCCTGGGCAAAAGTGGCCAAAAACTGTACCTAGGACTTACATTCTTTTCCAGTTTTAGCCCAGAAATTCCTCACTATCACATCAGCTCCTTAATACCTTCAGTCAGGAGACTGAGGCAGGAGAATTGCTTGAACCCAGGAGGCGGAGGTTGCGGTGAGCCGAGATTGTGCCATTGCACTCCAGCCTGGGCAACAAGAGGGAAACTCCATCTCATAAAATATATATATTTAATACCAAATTTAAAACTTGTCCAATTAAAATAGTGAAATGATTATTACTAATATTAAAAATATTGACACCAAGATAAAAATAATTTCATGTTGACATTTAAAAAGATTAAGATAATTAAATTTTATCATAAGTATTAAACTTTAAAAACCTCCTTTTATAGTGGTTGTCATTAGTAGTGTTGATCTGAATATTTAGTCTGCCTGTATAAGAAGTGTTAGTGCCAAGAACTGAATTTATAAATGTTTCCCTTTATTTATGCTTGTGTACATCATAACTGGGGAAATGATTAAGAATGCTTTTTTTTAGTAGTGGTTTGAGTATTCTCAAGCAATGGAAGTAAGACAGCAATGAGAATTTGTTAATGTCCTTGTTGTGCATTTGTTTCAATAGACATTGTAGGGATCTGTTAAGGAAGTTAATGATGTTAATTTGCTTTTGATAAAACTGAAAAGATGACATTTATTTATTTATTTTTAGGTTGGGCCCATGAGATGTGTGCTCTGTATATTCCGGAGGTACAATTTGCCAGTGTTTCCACAATGGAACCAATTGTTTTACAGTCTGTTCCACATGATCATTGTAATAAGGTACAGTGGATATTATTTTATTACTGTTTGAATATCACTGCTGGGAAATAGAAAGGAAGTCTTTGTATTTTTAAAATTATAGTTCTCCCCAACCTGGCTAATACGGTGAAACCCCGTCTCTACTAAAAATACAAAAATTAGCTGGGCATGGTGGCGGGCACCTGTAGTCCCAGCTATTCGGGAGGCTGAGGCAGGAGAATGGCGTGAACCTAGGAGGCAGAGCTTGCAGTGAGCCGAGAGCGCACCACTGCACTCCAGCCTGGGCAACAGAGCGAGACTCTGTCTCAAAAAAAAAAAAAAAAATTGTAGGTCTCCATCAAATTCAGGGAGATGTGGAAAAAAATTACTACACCAAACTACAATTATTAAAATGTTATTAATATGTTACTAAGGTCACAGGAGTACAAAGCAAGCAAAACTGTGTTACCTTTCATAGTAACCTAGGTATTTAGTATTCTACGATTTACAGGATATTTTAATCCTTACAGATTGGCCCTTTATGAATTACTGACCTCTTTTGCTCTTTCAGGTATCAAGAGTCTGGTAAATTTGAATTAATTATTATTTTGCATAATATTCATTACAATGTATCATACATTCTTTTTTAAAAAACAGTCCTATATTAGAATGTTACTTGTCCCCCCCCTCAAGTTATTTGTACCCCAAGATACGGTTTTTATTGTTGGCCTTAAAAAAAAAACTTAATGTTTGCTTTTTTCCTGTATGTTTTTCTTCATTTAGTATGTTATTGTTTTATTCTCCTCTGCATTTTAGGTTTCACCATTACCCAATGTGCCTTTAAATACAGTTTTACCACTTAATTGAAGGTACACATTCCAACTGTGGAAGAAATTGCAGCCAGCTTTAAGATTTTAAATGTTTTTGTGCAAAAAAACTTTTTATTATGTAATTAATATTTATTTTATTTTATTTTATTTTACTTTTTATTTATTTATTTTTTTTGAGACAGAGTCTCACTCTGTCACCCAGGCTGGAATGCAGTGGCATGATCTCGGCTCACAGCAACCTCTGCCTCCCGGGTTCAAGCAATTCTCCTGCCTTAGCCTCCTGAGTAGCTGGGATTACAGGTGCCCACTATCACGCCCGACTAATTTTTCTATTTTTTAGTAGAGACGGGGTTTTTTCTGTGTATTTTTGCTTATAGTATATACTTACGAAAAAGTTGAATCGTTTTGCTTATATTTTTTGTTTGCTTTTGAAAATTACACAGCATCTTTTGTGTGTCAATAAATTGTGTTTCTGCTGTATTTTTAATAGATACTTGGTCTGTAATACAGAATATCATGAGATTCAACAAACTGTAAATTTAATTAAGCAACCCTTTGTGGTTGAAGGGCCTAGTTTGGTGTCTGGCATTTAGTATACACTGCTAGCATCTGTGTAAAAGTGTGTGAACATTTTGGAAGCTTCAAGAAATACATTGTGTGAAATTGTCCTCTAGAACTTACACTGTATTAGCTGTATGTGAGATTGCTCATAACTCTATATTTTGTTAGGTACACTGTGTTACCCTTAAAAAAATCTTTGCTATTCTTTCTAGTAAAAAAAATATTAAAATGTTTGAATGAGTTTCTTTGAGTACTGGTAAGGTTGGTTATTTTAAAGTTTTTTTTTGAAGATTATTCATGTATGTTAATTGACCTTCCATATCTGTTTATTTTAATATTATAATTTTTTTTACAAAGTGTTTTATATTAGAGATCATATTCTTTTGTCTCGTATATTTGCTGTGTGTGTTTTTTCCCATAGTTTAACGTTTGGTGTTTAATTTTATTATGTCTTCATAGTTTTTGTTATTGGGATTCTAGCAGGTTAATTTTTTCTAATGCACAAGTTTACATTTTTGAGGTAATTTATGCAAATGCTCTTTATTGTTTCTGCCTTTGATGCCGTGCAAAGAAAATCTTTATATTAATGCACTTTTTTTTTAGTGCTTTGGAAGTTCATTTTTAAAAACCTTGTTTTTCTTTTTAATTTTAAAAGCGTTAAAACTTACAAACAGGTTGCAGGAATAGTACAAAAGAACTCTTCCTTCCCTAAACCATTTGAGAGTAACTTACCAATATAATATGCTGTCACCCCTGAATACTTCAGAATTTCCCATAAAGAAGAATATTCTCCTGGGAATATACAATATAACATCAAAATAAGGAAATTAACAGCGATGCATTATTCCTGTCTGATCTTTGGAACCCATTCGTGTTTTTGTAGACATATTCTTTATAGCAAAAGGATCATAAACTGCATTTTGACTCTTTGGTCTTTTTATTTATTTTTCTTTTTATTTTTGTACAGAGTCTCGCTCTGTCACCCAGGCTGGAGTGCATTGGCGCAATCTTGGCTCACTGTAGCCTCCACCTCCTGGGTTCAAGTGATTCCCGTGCCTCAGCCTCCCCAGTAGCTGGGATTACAGGTGTGCACCACCACGTCCAGCTGATTTTTTTGTGCTTTTAGTAAAGACAGGCTCTTGCCATGTTGGCCCGGGTGGTCTCGAACTCCTGGCCTCAAGTGATCTGCCTGCCTCAGCCTCCCAAACTGTTGGCATTACAGGTCTATGCCACCACACCCAGTCCTCTTTTGTCTTTTTAAATCTCAAATAGTAACTCAGTCTTTCCCTGAGTTTCATAACTTTGATACTTCTGAATATTACAGGTCAGTTATTTTGTAGAATGACCTCCTATTTGGATTTGCCTGATGTTTCGTCATGATTAAAAGCAGTTATGTTTTTAGCAGGAGTATCACATACGTGATTCTGTGTTTTTTGTTTGCATCCTATCAGGTGGTACATGATTTCAGTTTTTCCTTGACCACTTGGTTAAGGTGTGTCTTTTAGGTTTCTCCACTGTGAGGTTAATCTTTTTTCTCTTTATAGTCAGTATGGATTTTGTGGGGGAAGTACTTCGCCTATAAACATCTTGTTCCTTGCGCCTTTTCCTCACTAATTTTAGCATTCATTGATGTTTCTTGGCCTAATTTATGACCAGGATTGATGGCAAGTAGTGATTTTCTAATTTCACCTTTTCTTTCACATTCATCAGTTGACGTTCCGCTGTAAGGTGAAGCTTTCTTTACTCCCTGATTATTTGTATTAGTATGGACTTATGCTATTTTATTTTAATGGGTCATATTCCACTAATGTCATTTATTTTGATTTACATACTGTCTCAGGTTTTCCTGGTGGGACCTCTTTAAGCCGGCTTCTGTGTCTTTTGACCTATCATTTCAGAGAAGCATTTCTCTACTTCTGACACAACAGTATAATCTAGGCTCATCTTATATTATTCCTGCTGTAGTTCTGAAATCACCATTTCTCTGAGGAGCCTTGATTCCTTTTAGGTGAGAATAATATTTAGAAGCCAAAGTGGGTGCTAGGTGTGGGTTATTGCTACTCTCAGTCAGCATGGCTAGGAAATTGTGTGTGTGTGTGTGTGTGTGTGTGTGTGTGTGTGTATTCCTACAGAGATACATGTTTCTATAAATTCACATCTTATATTGTTTTTATATCTAAGTAGAAAACTGTGGGCCAGGCACGATGGCTCACACCTGTAATCCTAGCACTTTGGGAGGCCGAGGCCAGTGGGATGACTTGAGGTCCGGAGTTCAAAACCAGCCTGGCTAATGAAACCCCATCTCTAATAAAAATACAAAAATTAGCCGGGCATGGTGGGGCACGCCTGTAATCCCAGCTGCTTGGGAGGCTGAGGCATGACGAGAATCACTTGAGCCCTGGAGGCAGAGAGGGTGCAGTGAGCCAATATCACACCACTTCACTCCAGCCTGAATGACGGAGTGAGAGTCTGTCTCAAAAAAAAAAAAAAAATTGGCTGGGTCCAGTGGCTCATGCCTCTAGTCCCAGAACGTTGGGAGGCCGAGGCAGGTGGATCATGAGGTCAGGAGTTCAAGACCAGCCTGGCTAAGATGGCGAAACCCCGTCTTTACTAAAAAATACAAAAATTAGTCGGGTGTGGTAGCAGGCACCTGTAATCCCAGCTATTCAGGAGGCTGAGGCAGGAGAATTGCTTGAACCCAGGAGGCGGAGGTTGCTGTGAGCCAAGATTGTGCCACTGCACCTCAGCCTGGGCGACAGAGCAAGACTCCATCTCAAAAAAAAAAAATTAGCTGGGCATGGTGGTGGACGCCTGTAATCCCAGCTATTCGGGAAGCTGAGACAGGAGAATTGCTTGAACCTGGGAGTCGGAGGTTGCAGTGAACCAAGATTGTGCCACTGCACTCCAGCCTGGGTGACAGAATGAGACGCTGTCTCAAAAAAAAAAGAGAACAAACTGTGAGGTCACAATACTTTTGATTCATTATGTGAATATACATACACACTCACATCTCTATTACTGTATCCATCTCTATATATTGAACTCCATATGCTCATATTAACTTCGCCAAATCCAACCCAACAAAACAGGATTCATTTTAATTTTTCCCCCCATATTTATGATTCTCAGACAGAAACCTGACTCTCACTATTTTTAATAGTTTACTTATTTGATCAATTTCTCCTGTTTTGACATACCTTCTGTTGCTGCTCCACCTAAGGCAGATGCTGTTCCAACCCAGTTCAGGGTTGCTGCTACTTTCCTGCATGCCAGTCCTTTTCACCCCTCTTGGGATTTGATATTCAGCCTCAGTTCACTGCTTCAACTTTTGTTGATCTTTTCACCTTGCTCTGAGATTGTCCTCACCCCTATCCCCAACCCCTTAGGGAAGCCAGCCTTATTCAGGCTCTTATACTAGTATTGTACTGCCCCCTCCAATATCCATGACCCCCTCATGGATAATTACTATGCTTGAACTCACCTCATGGCTTTTGGGTCTCATTTTGTCACCCAGGCTGGAGTGCAGTGGTGCAGTTTTGGCTCACTACAGCCTTGACCTCTTGGGCTCAAGCAGTCCTTCCACTTTAGCCCTCTAAGTAGATGGGACTACAAGGTGCACCCATCCCACCCAGCTAAGTTTTCTGTATTATTTGTAGAGTTGAGATTTCATCATGTTGCCCAGGCTGGTCTTGAACTCCTGAGTCAAGTGAACTGCCTGCTCTGGCCTCCCAAAATGCTAGGATTACAGGCATGAGCCACCATGCCTATGCTAGGATTACAGGCATGAGCCACCATGCCTATGCTAGGATTACAGGCGTGAGCCACCATGCCTAGCCCCATCTCATGGCTTTAAGACTAAAGTGTTGAAGCAGAAAAGGAGCGAGGGTAGACCAAAGAAGGAATTATTTAGATATAAATATTTTATTAGCCTAGAATTAATTTTAGAATATGGTAAGATACGTGCCCAACTTTCCCCTCCCACCTGGTTAGTCAACTTTTTCAACACTATTGCTGAATAATCTATGTTTTCCATTGTGATTTGAAATCTTGTTTGAATCATTACTAAATTCTTGAATACTTGAGTATGTTTCTGGACTTTTTATGTGTTCCATTGGTGTGTCTATTTTTATCCTGGTGCCACACTATTTTAAATTATTATAGCTTTATATACATTTTAGTATATGGTAAGACAAATATTGTCATCTATTTTTCTAGATGAACATTAGGACTAATAAGCACACAATTTAGACTATATTAGAGTTACAGTGAAATACTGTTTTAGGGATGAATATATTTTTACAATATTGAATCCTTCCTTCCAGAAGCGTGGTGTATCTGTTTATCAAGTTTATTTTTTTCTTCTTTCTATTTCTTTCCTTTTTACAGCTTTTCTTATATGTGATTGCTTTATGTTTGTCGGATTTTTGTTGTTGATGATTTGTTTTGTTCTACTTAGGGTTAGAATAGGCTCAGTGGCTCATGCCTATAGTCCTAGCACTTTGGGACGCCCAGGCAGGAGTATCACTTGAGCCCAGAAGTTTGAATCCAGTCTGGACAACAAGCAAGACCCTGTCTCTACAAAAAAGAATAAATTTAGCCAGGTGTGGGGAGGCACATGTGTCTGTAGTCCCAACTACTCAAGAGGCTGCGGTGGGAGGGTCCCTTGAGCCCAGAGGTCAAGGCTGCAGTGAACCGTGACTGTGCCCTGCACCCCCACCTGGGCAACAGAGCAAGACCCTGTCTCAGAAAAGAACAGCAAGCAAAGAAACACAAAACAAAAAAGAAAGAAAGTTAATGGACCGGGTGTGGTGGTTCACACCTATAATTTCAGTACTTTGGGAGGTTGAAGTGAGAGGATTGCTTGAGCCCAGGAGTACCAGACCAGCCTGGGCAACATTCTGAGAACCCACCTCTGCAAAAAAGAAAAACAATTAGCCGGGCATGGTGGTGCTCGCCTGTAGTCCCTCCCAACTACTCGAGAGGCTGAGGTGGGAGGATCTCTTGAGCCTGGGAGGTCAAGGCTGCAGTGAGCTATGATTGTGTGACTGTACTCCAGCCCAGGTAACAGAGTGAAACCCTGTTTCAAAAAAATAAAAAAAGTTAATAAGGTTTTGTTCATATAAATTATTTATGCCTAATAATGGGGCATGCAATTCTGAAATGACAGGAATGATTGGAAAATGGGCTTGAAGACATCAGTCCTTAATGGATGGTAGGTAATAAAGGATAAGTTTGGGAACATTTATTTACTGGGCATTTACTATGGACCTACTTTGTATCAAGTGTTGTGTTAGACACCAGGAATTCAAGGATAAATAAAATAGGGGGTTTCCTCCTCAAGTAGGAAGACAAGTCAATAAATGTATGAAAATTAAAATATATGTTACATAATAATAAGGCTGAATGGAGTATTATGGGCAAATAATGAGAAATTATTCTTGTCTCAGGAATTGAGTAAGGCATACAAAGAGCTTCTAGGGCTTTGCAGAATAATTAGGCATTTGACCTTTGCAGAAAATGATCAACTAAAAATTCCAGACAGAGAAAGTGACGTAACCTAGGGTAGCAGGTGCAAAGGGAAGAGGTGGCAGGTAGGCATGTTCAGAGAATAAGAAATACTCCTATGTGGCTAGAACATTGTGGAATTTAGAAAAAAATGAAATTTTGTGAGTACTGGGAAAAAATTTACTAGAATATCTTTATTGTATATCTAAATAGCAAAGAATTTACTGTATTGACCTGTTAAATTTTCTACATGTCGTTAAATATGTAATGGCCAGTTTTAAAAATACTTATTTCTTTATTTATTTCAGTAGGTTTTTGGGGAACAGGTGGTGTTTGGTTACATGACTAAGTTCTTTAGTGGTGATTGCTGAGATTTCGGTGTACCCATCACCCAAGCAGTGTACACTGTGCCCAGTGTGTAGTCTTCTGTCTCTCACCCCATTCCCATCCTTTCCCCCAAGTCCCCAAAGTTCATTGTGTATCATTCTGATCCCTTTGTGTCCTCATAGCTTAACTTCCTTTTATTTATTTCTTTGTTTGGTTGGTTTTTTTTTTTTGAGACAGAGTCTTGCTCTGTCACCCAAGCTGTAGTGCAGTGGTTCACTCTTGGCTCACTGCAACTTCTACCTCCTGGGTTTAAGCAATTCTCATGCCTCAGCCTCCCAAGTAGCTGGGATTACAGGCATGCATCACCACTCCTGACTAGTTTTTTGTATTTTTAGTAGAGACAGGTTTTCGCCACATTGATCAGGCTGGGCTTGAACTCCTGGCCTCAAGTGATCTGCCCGCCTTGGCTGCCTCCCAAAGTTCTGGGATTACAGGTGTGAGCCAGTGCACCTGGTCTATTTATGTTTTATAGAAAAAGATCTCCCTATGTTGCCCAGGGTGGTCTCTAACTCTTGGTCTCAAGGAATCCTCCTATCTCAGCCTCTCAAAGTGCCGGGATTACAGTCGTGAGCCAGCATCCCTGGCCAGTGGCCAGTTTTTGTACAATTTAAATCATTGTATCCTATTTTTATATTTTTGACTGCTAATATTTTCTTCTGTAACGTGTTAACTCATCATTTCACTGACATGTTTTGTTAAAATTACCTTTTAATAAGTTTTCAGAAATGTGAAGATTGTGGCAACAAAGGGACTTGTGAACTTTTTTGGGGTAGAAGCTTGTATTCTTCAGAGTCAAGGAAGCATTCATTTTAGAAAGCTACAATTTGCATAGAGAGTAGTTAGCAGATGATGAGTATATCATATGTATATGTGTATATATGTATATATATATATATATATATATGCTTTTTTAATAGTCCTTCTTTATTGGATAGCCCTGAAGTAAAGATTATTTATAAGTATAGGAAGGATGATCATAGGCCAAAGAAACAAACAAAAACAGCAAAAAACATGATGTCATCTAATTGTAAGATTAAACCTAATGGAAGGCTTAGAAATTGCTAACCTGTCTCCCCCTTATTTTTTTCCAAAAGTAATAGTAGTGGATAGCAATTAAGTTTTTATCAGTATATTTAGCGTCTGTGTGAAAGATTTTTTTTTTTTTTTTGAGACGGAGTCTCGCTCTGTGGCCCAGGCTGGAGTGCAGTGGCTCAATCTCGGCTCACTGCAATCTCCACCTCCCAGGTTCAAGCGATTCTCCCGCCTCAGCCTCCCAAGTAGCTGGGACTACAGGCCAGGATGGTCTCGATCTCCTGACCTCGTGATCCACCCACATTGGCCTCCCAAAGTGTTTGGATTACAGGCGTGAGCCACTGCGCCTGGCCAGGACTTTTTTTTTTTTTTTTTTTTTGAGGTGGAGTCTCGTTCTGTCGCCCAGGCTGGAGTGCGGTGCTGAGATCTTGGCTTACTGCAACCTCCGCCTCCCAGGTTCAAGCGATTCTCCTGCCTCAGCCCCCGAGTAGCTGGGATTACAGGCATCCACTACTACACCCAGCTAATTTTTTTTTTTTTAAAGGCAGATTCTCACTCCATCACTCAGGTTGGAGTGCAGTGGTGTGATCTTGGCCCAGTGCACCCTCTCTGCCTCCCAGGTCTAAGCGATTCTCGTCATGCCTCAGCCTCCTGAGTAGCTGGGATTATAGGCGGGACCACCATGCCCGGCTAATTTTTGTATTTTTAGTAGAGATGGGGTTTTGCTATGTTGGCCAGGCTGGGCTCGAACTCCTGACCTCAAGTGATCCAGCGGCCTTAGTATCCCAAAATGCTGGGATTACAGGTGTAAGCCACTGCACCTGGCCAAGTAAAAGATATTTTTGAAAGCACCAAATATTCTTTATGGGTTTTAGGACTTCCAAAAATGAGGTTTCAGGTAAATAAGGAAGCTAAACATTTCATCTATCTGCCCATTGATCTCGTCCTCATTTCTGGCATGTCCTCTTATATGTACCAGGTCTGTATGGTGGATAGACGTGCATCAATCGGTGATTGTTAAACAATAATATGTGCAAGGATTTTCGAGGTACAGTGAATGTCCACCTAACCTTTAACAGGACTGAGGAAAGAGGGAGGAGGTATCTTAGAAAAGGTCGCAGTTTTTCCTAAGAGTAAGAAACCTCCAGGTGCTGGCTGTGAAGAGAGGAGAAAGGAAGGAACACATGAGTGGCTGTTAATTTTACAGATTGAAGGAGCAAAAGCTTTGAAGTGGGAAATAACAAGGAGAGTGGTGAGCAGGGGGAGGGATTTGGGATGGTGGCAGGGAGAAGGGTGGTATTGTTAGGACCCTGAATGTGCTAGAATGCTGAGAGGGACTGTCAAGGGTCAGATGTTCAAGCACCTCATGCATAATGTTAAGGAGCCTAAAGTTTATCCCTAAAGTTATTGAAGGGTTTTTATGTTCAGAAAGGATATGCTTAGGTCTGTCATTCTAATGGATTGGGGGAAGGAGGATTGGGAGATGGAAGATAGACGAGACAAGAGACCTAGAATCTATTTAGACTCTGACAGTGTCCCAGACACTGGAATGAGGATCTGAAGTAGTAGGAACAACGGGACAGAGACATTCGGTAATATGTAAGAGCTTCAGCTGACCAGCCTGGTGATCAGTTTAATGTGACAGAGAAGAGGGAGGAAGAAATATCAGAATGGGATTTTCATTTCAAGAATATAAGTACTAGGCTCATCACCACCACATGAGATAGAAAACATACACAAACACACACACACACACACACACACACACACACACACACACACACACACACACAGTGAGTTAGCTGAAACATTTCTTAGAATGAAGAGATAGACACTAAGTTTTAAATTCCTGGCTTACGTTCATGGAACATATTACCCAGTTTGTAAAACAAGTCTTGTGTCTACAAATTGTTCACTGGCATATATTAACAAGATGATAATAAGGCCCCCAGATATTCACATTTGTACGAAAGCATTGAATATATTTGCATTTGTCTATATCTAATAAATGTTTATTTTTGCTTGGCACTTTATACTAGTTACTTAGATGAGTGCTTAAATTAATTTTTCTTTTCTGGAGAATTGAATCATTTTGGAAAGCTAAATCTTGCAGTTCTATCGGTAAAAAAATTATTTTGCTCTTTTTTATACATCAGCTGATTCTCATTTTGAAATTTCCTATTTGACTTCTCTCTGTTGTCTTTGTGTGCTGTCTCTCTCCAGCCCGCTCTCCCCAACCCTAGTTACACATTCTCTTACATTTGGTATTCTCTTTTTCTCAGGAATAGTAAACTATTATTCATTATATTTGTTTCTTGTGGTCTCTCCTCCCCTTCCCCTCCCCTCTTCTTTTTTTCCAACATGGTCTTACTGTTCCCCAGGCTGGAGTGCAGTGGTGCAATTACAGCTCACTGTAGCTTCGACCTCCCAGCCTCAAGTGATCCTCCCACCTCAGCCTCCTGAGTAGCTGGGACTACAGGCATGCACCATCATGTCTGGCTACTTTTGTTTTTATTTTTTGTAGAGATGGGATCTCATTATGTTGCCTAGGCTGGTCTTGAACTCCTGGATTCAGACAACCCCCCTGCCCTGGCCTCCCAAAGTGTTGGAATTACAAGCTTGAGCCACCATGCCTGGCCTCTTTGTGTCTTTTGTGCTTGTCAACTTTATATATTATTTGCTTTCTTACTCTCAACAATTCCAAGACTCAAAGGCCTATTTATTTGATAAGGACTGTGGAAGAATGGCACTATAATATCCCTCATTGTTATTTCTTTTCTCTTAGCTACCAAAGGCAGCAAACATTCCAATCTAAACTTTTGGAAATGGGAGTGTATAGTAGCTAACTTAAAATTGTTCATGAGATTAAAATCTATAATCTCACTTACCAACATTACCTATCTCAGTGCTTTTCTTTTTGTAATATTTATTTATTTAGAGACAGAGTCTATTAGTCCGTCACCCCAGGGTGGACTGCAGTGGACAATTATGGTTCACGATAGCCTCAAACTCCTGGCCTCAATCAATCCGTCCTCCCACCTCAGCCTCTCAAGTAGCTAGGAGTACAAGTGCCACCACCACACCCAGTTTTTTTTTTTTTTAATATTTATAGAATTGGTAGAGAGACAGCGTCTTGCTATATAGCCCAGGCTGGTCATGAACTCCTGGCCTCAAGTTATCCTTCCAACTCAGCCTCCCAAAATGCTGGGATTACACTCAGCCACTATGCCTGGCCCTATCTCAGTATTTTTTTTTTAATGTTCATTTGGCTTCTGGAGTACTCTAGATGATAGGTATTTATATAATATAATCTGATAAGAAATTGATTAGGAGATTTTACAAAAACTGATACTTAAGGGGAGGTTACATTGCTGGGAAACATGGTATCAAAATAAGACAGGTCAAATTTGAGAAATCTCTGATTCTACAGGTTACCCTACAGGTAAGTGACTCAATGTCTCAGTCCTAAATTTCCAGGAGAGCAATTCTGATGTAAGCACCTGGATTTAGAAGCTGTTTTCACCTAGACAAACATGAGTACCTAGGCACCATTCCATTATTAGAAATTGAGCATAGATGCTAATTTCTAGAAAAGAGAGCTGGGTTGTCCAGGTGGGCAAGAAGTTGCAGTTTTGATCAGGCTGCTGCTGCTGCTAATTTTTTTCCAGTTACAAAGTTCCAGGATACACAGTTTGCCTCTTTCTCCCCTACCCCCGGCTGGCCCCCCCATTATAGGTCAAATTTATTTATTTTTTAAAGTTGATAGCATTGACGTATCCTGGAATTGTGACCATTTAAATTCCCAGATAATACACCATGTGATCATCTTTTTATAGGGTTATGTCAAGAACCTTTTGTATGTACCACCTCTTCCCCACAGTGATGAAGAAACAAAGAATGCATGTTAGTTGCAAAAAGTCTGAGTGAAGTAGACTCCTAGATTAACGTGTCTTATGTGACACTAGGAGCATATAGATCATTTTTAAGGGCATATAAGTAACCGTGATGATTAATGTTTACAAATTGGTTTTAATTTTTTGAAACTGTTGTTGTGCCATGTAATCCATTATGGTTTTCTTCACAGAAACATTTAAATGGAGTTTTTTCCTTTATCTAAACTCTTAACCAAAAAATTTTTTTCTTTTGTTTTGAGATGGAGTCTCACTCTGTTGCCCAGGCTGGAGTGCAGTGGTGCAATCTTGGCTCACTGCAACCTCCTCCCCGCGAGTTCAAGCCATTCTTTCAGGTACACATGGAACATTCACTTAGATAGACCATAACCAGGGCTATAAATAAATCTTAATTAATTTAAGAATTTAAATCATGCAAAATATATTCTCTGGCCAAATGTATTAAATTAGAAATCAGGCTTGGCACAGTGGCTCACAACTATAATCCCAACACTTGGGGAGGCCAAGGCAGGAGAAATGCTTGAGCCCAGGAGCTCAAGACCAGCCTGGAACACAAAATGAGACCCCATCTCTACAGAAAAAATGTTTAAAATTAGCCAGGTGTAATGGTGTGTGCCTGTAGTCCCAGTTACTTGCAAGGCTGAGGCAAGAGGTTGCTTGAGCCCAAGAGTTGGAGGCTGCAGTGAACCATGATCATGCCACCTGCACTCCAGCCTGAGCAACAAGCAAGACCCTCTCCCTAAAAGAAATAAATAAATTAGAAATCAATAATAATTAAGATATCTAGAAAATGTCCCAATATTTGGAAATTAAAGACTACATTTCTAAATAACCTACACTTCAAAGAAAAAATCATTAGGTAAATTAGAAAATATTTTAGTAAATGATAAAAAGCACAACATAACAACGTTTGTGAGATGCAATGAAAGACATATTAGGGGAAAATTTGCAGTTTTAATGTTAGAAAAGGATAAAAATCAGTTATCTAAGCTTCTATCTTAACAAGCTAGCAAAGAAGGGTAAATGAAGCCCAAAGTAAACAAAGACCAAATGATAGTAACAATAAAAATATAAACCAATGAAAAAGAAAAACAAAAGAGAAAAGTTAACAAAAATTAACAAAATCACCATTTGTGTAAAATTATTAATAAATTTAATAACTCCCTAGCAAGACTGGTTACAAACAAAAAAGAGAAAATAGAAATTACAAACATCAGGAATGAAAAATAAGACATCACACTATAGACATTAAAAGGATAATAAGGGGATATTATGAACAATTTCATGACAATAAACCTGACAAATTACATAAAATAAACTTTGACAAGACACAGTTCCACTTATAGAAAGTATATTTCTTCTTTATGATACTTACAGAAAGATATAGTGACAACTACAGAAAGATTTAGAAGAGGGAGGCTCTAAAGAGCTATATATCCATTGAATAAATAGAGCTCAATATTTTAAATCTTCAGGAATAGATGGTGAATTCTACCAAACATTTAATGAAAACAATAATCCTAATCATAATCATAAACTGATATGGTTTGGCTGTGTCCCCACCCAAATCTCACCTTGAATTGTAATAATCCTCAAGTGTCAAGGGTGGGGCCAGTGGACATAATCGAATCATGGGGGCAGTGTCCCCATAAGTGAATAAGTCTCACGAGATTTAATGGTTTTTATAAATGGGAGTTCCCCTGCACAAGCCCTCTTGCCTGCCGCCATGTAAGAGGTGAATTTGCTCCTCATTCGCCTTCCACCATGATTGTGAGGTCTCCCCAGCCATATGGAACTGTGAGTCAGTTAAACCTCTTTCTTTTATAACTTACCCAGTCTCAGATATTTCTTTATTAGCAGCATTAGAACCAACTAATGCACAAACTCAACCAGAAATAAAAAAGGGAGGGAAGACTTCCCAACTCATTTTATGAGGTCAGCATAACCCTAACAAAAAAATCTGGAAAAGACACTAAAAGAAAACTATAGACCAATATCCCTCATAAACATACTCTCAAAAATCTTTAATAAAATATTAGAAAATCAATAAGGTTAAGAGCTCTGTTGTATAACATGGTGACTACAGTTAATAACAATGTATAATATTTTTGAAAATTGCTAAGAGAAAAGATTTTGTGTTCTCATCACAAAAATAGGTATGTGAGGTAAAACACGTTAATTAATTCAATTTAGCCATTCCACAATGTATGTACATATTTTGAATCATGCAATATACAGTACATACAATTTGTATTTGTCTATTTAAAAATTAAAGGGTGACTATAGTTAATAATGTATTGAATGTTCTCACTACAAAGAAATGATAAATGTTTGAGCTGATGGTGTGAAAGGAAAATAAATCTCGGTATCCCAAAATCACTAAGCCAAAGGGAAAAGTCAAGCTGGGAACTGTGTCAGGCAAACCTACCTCCCATTCTATTCCTAAAGGAGATAGCAACAGAGATAAAAAATAAAATAAAATAAAATAAAATAAAATAAAAGAAGAAGCTACATTAACTCCCTCACAATTTGCCCATAAGGAAATTCCCCGCTTCAAATTGTCTTTCCCCTGCCCTTCTGGCCAATGTACATCTTACATGTATTGATTGATATTTCATGTCTCCCTAAAATGTATAAAACCAAGCTGTGCCCCAACCACCTTAGGCACATGTGTCAGGACCTCCTAAGTCTGTGTCATGGGCACACCCTTAACCTTGGCAAAAATAAGCTTTCTAAATTAATTGAATCCTGTTTCTGATATTTGGGGTTCACAATGGGTTGCTACTTACACTGATTTGATTATTATACAATGTATAAATGAAAGTACAATTATGTATCAATTTAAACATTTTTTAAAACACTTCTAATGTGTAGATTAACTTCTTCATTTATATTTAAATATGAATCTTCAGCAAAATAGCAAAAGTAACCATCTTGATTTAATGTCCTAGTATTTTCTTCCAAAAAATGAATTGTATAACCTTAGGTGAGGACAATAAAATCAGTTAAACTGTAAGTTTAGAACAGATCTGAGGGATAATTTTGCACAGCAGCTTTACTAATGGTACATTGTTGATTCAACAAAATGTTGGTTACACATACACACACACACACACACACACACACACACACACACACACACACAACTTAGTGGGAAACAAACAGCCAAAGGGATCAGTACCTCAACTTTGGGGGTCCTCAAATAAAGCTTTATTTGGAATTTGTAATACTGCAACCAGAACCAATCAGAATCCATTTTTTCTAGGGAGGGTTGGTAGTATAAATGAGAGTATAAACAAAGTAAATTCAAGGTATATGCATGCAATGACTGCCAAACTCAAACCACTTCATATTTAATCATTTACATGATATTCCACAAAAGGCAAAACTAGAGGGACAAAGAATGAATCAGTAGTTGCCAGGGGCTCAGGGTAGAGGAAGAAATGGATTACCAAAAGGGCATAAGAGACTTCTGGGGGATAATATAGTCTATATGTTGTGTATAGTAAGGGTTACATTACATTATTTTTAAGAATCCAAAGAACTGTATACCTAAAAAGAGTGAATTTTGCCATATGTACATTATACCTCAAAAAGCATGAATGTTTAAAAAGTGTGATCAAGAGAGTCGCTGAAGATACATGAGAACATAACAGATAGTGATAAAAATTCTACTGGATTTGTCAAAAGTTTTAAAAATTATTTTCTAATAATTTCAGAAGTCAAATATGCATACTGAATAATATATAATCTAGTAATTTTCTAGCACTATCAAGTAAGACTACCTAAAATTTTGAGTTTGGGTTAAGCTTAGCAATATTTGCCTTAGAATTCAAACAGAAGTTATGTAAACTAATCTTGTGTTGTTTTATATTCATATTGTATTGCTTCTTACTTACCTGTGCTTTAACTATCGAATCCTGTATTGTTTTTAACATGTAAACCACTGCTTGCCTTTCTAGATCTGGGCAATAAGTACATATTAAATAAAACTTACCTGCAGCTTTAGGAATTGTCAATATATCGGATAATTTAGTCATAAATTCTTGAATGCTAACCTTGCCACTTTCTGTAAGGCAAAGCATAATTTACTTAAAAGAAAGAATTATTGTTTCAGAATTAAATAATATAGCTGAAGCTAATAGTCAAATTATAACAGAAGTTAAAAGCTTGAGAGTAAGGCTGGGCTATTTCTTCTCCCTTACCTCTTGCATGCATATGATTATCAATTTCTGCTCATTTTATTTCCAAATACTTCTTGAATTTACTACTGCATTAACTAATACCTTTATTATTACAATGGCATCTTTAAAAACCTATGCCACCAGTCTCATCTTCTATTTATTTTCCACAGTATGTCAAGGGATGTATTCCTCTTTAAAAAAATTGATTATTCCCATGCATAAAACCCTTCAGTAGCTCCTAATTGCCTACAAAACTACAGAATAAATATAATACTGAGGAGGTGAGGGAGGGAAATTATAGACCAATATTACTCATACATGTGTTAAAGTATAAGTAAAATACTACTTATAGGATTCGGCAGTACAACAATGAAAAAAAAATTCAAGATACTTTCAGAACATACATTCTCATTGAGAGTGATACTGCTCTCAAGGGGTAAAACTGGTTCTTAGGAGAAAAAAAAAATCTCAGATATTACAATAGTTTCTGGCCATAGTACTTAAACAGATATATGGTATATCTGTGGTATTAAATTTTCATGGGGGTGGGGGATAATTAGGAACTAAAATGTCTATAAAGGCTTCTTAGGGGAGCAAGAGAAAAAAAGGTTAGAAACACTGCTTTAGTATGACAGTAGACACATAAATTTAATCTCTCCACGTGGTCTCCAAAAATCCATACAAATTAACAAGTAAGGCAAGTAAAATAACCTATAGTCCATGCCTACAGTGTAACTAAGAGGCAGAATATTAAACATTTGTATTTGCATATAAGTCAGGAAATAAAAATTTAGGACCAGCGCAGTCAGCTTCAGAGCCTACACCAAAGAGGAAACTCAGGCCAGACATGGTGGCTCATGCCTGTAATCTCAGCACTTTGGGAGGCTGAGATGGGCAGATCACTTAAGGTCAGGAGTTCCAAACCAGCCAGGCCAACATGGTGAAACCCCGTCTCTACTGAAAATACAAAAATTAGCCAGGGGTGGTGGCAGGAGCCTGTAATCCCAGCTACTCGGGAGGCTGAGGCAGAAGAATCGCTTGCACCTTCAAGGCGGAGGTTGCAGTGAGCCGAGAATGTGCCACTGCACTCCAGCCTGAGCGACAGAGCAAGAATCTGTCTAAAAAAAAAAAAAAAAAAAAAAAACAAAACAAAGAGGAAACTCAGGTGGCAATTTCATAGAAGAAAGAATAAGGAAATATCTTTATAATACAGAACATGGATAATATCAATGAGAGTTTACCCATAAGAAGAGAGTCCCCTTGCTGTGTAGGGAAATACTAAGAACAAGTCAGAGAGCTGATGGATGAAAGCCTTAACCTCTGGGGAGATAAAAGAAAGAAGCTTGGAAATACAGGAGGCCAAAGATAGCAGTCTTGAGATGGTATATGAGGGAAGCAGAAATTAATATTAGAACCTGGGTACAGGACAGATTCTGAAAGTGAATAGTATTACATAAAGCTTGGTAGGAAAATCGCACTAGTTCACCAGTAATGGATCCAAACCAAGAAGAAATCCCTGATTTACCTGAAAAAGAGTTCACGAAGTTAGTTATTAAGCTAATCAGGGAGGGACCAGAGAAAGACAAAGCCCAATGCAAGGAAATCCAAAATATGATACAAGAAGTGAAGGGGGAAATAGTCAAGGGAATAAAGAAAAAACCATCAAAAATTCAGGAAATTTTGGACACGCTTTTAGAAATGCAAAATGCTCCGGAAAGTCTCAGTAATAGAGCTGAACAAGTAGAAGAAGGAAATTCAGAGCTCGAAGATAAGTTCTTCTAATTAACTCAATCCAACAAAGACAAAAAAAAAAAAAAGAATAAGACTATATGAAGAAAGCCTCCAAGAAGTCTGTGATTATGTTAAACAACCAAATCTAAGAATAGTTGGTGTACCTGAGGAAGAAGAGAATTCTAAAAGCCTGGAAAACATATTTGGGGGAATAATCGAGGAAAACTTCCCTGGCCTTGATATCCAAGATGCTAGAGACCTAGATATCCAAAAACAAGAAGCACAAAGAACACCTGGGAAATTCATAGCAAAACAATCTTCGCCTAGGCACATTGTCATCAGGTTATCCAAAGTTAAGACGAAGGAAAGACTCGTAAGAGCTGTGAGACAGAAGCACCAGGTAACCTGTAAACGAAAACCTATCTGATTAACAGCAGATTTCTCAGTAGAAACCCTACAAGGTAGAAGGGATTAGGGCCCTATCTTCAGCCTCTTCAAACAAAACAATTATCAGCCAAGAATTTTATATCCAGTGAAACTAAGCATCATATATGAAGGAAAGATACAGTCTTATTCAGACAAATGAATGCTAAGAGAATTCATCATTACCAAACCACCACTACAAAAACTGCTAAAAGGAGCTCTAAATCTTGAAACAAATCCTGGAAACACATCAAAACAGAACATTTTTAAGCACAAATTACACAGGACCTATAAAACAAAAATACAAGTTAAAAAGCAAAAACAAAAAACAAAAAACCAAAGTACTCAGACAACAAAGAATATGATGAATGTAACCATACCTCACATTTCAATACTAACACTGAATGTCAAAGGCCTAAATGCTCCACTTAAAAGATACAGAACTGCAGAATGGGTAAGAACTCACCAACCAATCATCTGCTGCCTTCAGAAGACTCACCTAGCACATAAGGACTCAAATAAACTTAAAGTAAAGGGGTGGAAAAAGGCATTTCATGCAAATGGACACCAAAAGTGAGCAGGGGTAGCTATCCTTACATCAGACAAGCAAACTTTAAAGCAACAGCAGTTAAAAGAGACAAAGAAGGACATTATACAATGCTAAAGGCCTTATCCAACAGGAAAATATCACAATTCTAAACATATATGTGCCTAACACTGGAGCTCCCAAATTTACAAAACAATTACTAATAGACCTAAGAAATGAGGTGGAGAGCAACACAATAATAGTGGGGGACTTCAATACTCCACTGACAGCACTAGACAGTTCATCAAGATAGAAAGTCAACAAAGAAACAATGGACTTAAACTATACCTTGGAACAAATGGACTTAACAGATGTATGCAGAACATTTCATCCAATAACTGCAGAAGACACATTCTATTCACAGCTCATGGAATTTTCTCCAAGATAGACCATATGATAGGCCATAAAGCGAGCCTCAATAAATTTAAGAAAATTGAAATTATATCAAGCACTCTCTCTGGCCACAATGGAATAAAACTGGAAATCAACTCCAAAAGGGACCTTCAAAACCATGCAAATACAAGAAAATTTGAATAACCTGCTCCTGAATGAGCATTGGGTCAAAAATGAAATCAAGATGGAAATTTTAAAATTCTTTGAACTGAATGACCATAATGACACAACCTATCAAAACCTCTGGGATACAGCAAAGGCAGTGCTAAGAGGAAAGTTCATAGCCTACATCAAAAAGACTGAAAGAGCACAAACTGACACTCTAAGGTCACACCTCAAGGAACTAGAGAAGCAAGAACAAACCAAACCCAAACCCAGCAGAAGAAAGGAAATAACAAAGATCAGACCAGAACTAAATGAAATTGAAAAAAAAAAATACAAAAGATAAATGAAACAAAAAGCTGGTTCTTTAAAAAGATAAATAAAATTGATAGACCACTGGTGAGATTAACCAAGAAAAGAAGAGAGAAAATCCAAATAACCCCACTAAGAAACAAAACAGGAGATATTACAACTGACATCACTGAAATACAAAAGATCATTCAGGGCTACTATGAACACCCTTGCGCACATAAATCAGAAAACCTAGAAGACATGGATACATTCCTGGAAAAATACAACTCTCCTAGCTTAAATCAGGAGGAATTAGGTATCCTGAACAGACCAATAACAAGCAGCAAGATTGAAATGGTAATTAAAAATTACCAACAAAAAAAGTCCAGGACCAGATGATTCACAGCAGAATTCTACTAGACATTCAAAGAAGAATTGGTACCAACCCTTTTGACGCTATTCCACAAGACAGAGAAAGAAGGAACCCTCCCTAATTCATTCTATGAAGCCAGCATCACTCTAATACCAAAACCAAGAAAGGACATAACCAAAAAAGAAAACTACGGACTGATATCCTTGATCAATGTAGATGCTAAAATCCCTAACAAAATACTAGCTAACCGAATCCAACGACATATCAAAAAGATAATCCACCATGATCAAGTGGGTTTCGTACCAGGGATGCAGGGATAGTTTAACATATGCAAGTCAATAAATGTGATACACCACATAAACAGATTAAAAGCAAAAATAACATGACCATGCAGAAAAAGCATTTGACAAATCCAGCATCTCTTTATGATTAAAACCCTCAGCAAAATAGGCATACAAGGGACATACCTTAATGTAATAAAAGCCATCTATGACAAACCCACAGCCGACATAATACTGAATGGCAAAAAGCTGAAAGCATTCCCTCTGAGAACTGGAACAAGACAAGGATGCCCACTCTCACCACTCCTCTTCAACATAGTACTGGAAGTCCTAGCCAGAGTAATATGGCAAGAGAAAGAAAGGCATCGAAACTGGTAAAGAGGAAGTCAAACGGTCACTATTTGCAGATGATGATTGTTTACCTCAAAAACCCTAAGGACTCCTCCTGAAGGTTCCTAGAACTGATAAAAGAATCAGCAAAGCTTCCAGATACAAGATTACTGTACACAAATCAGTAGTTCTTCTATACACCAACAGTGACCAAGTGGAGAACCAAATCAAGAACTCAACCCCTTTTACAATAGCTGCAAAAAAAACAAAAACAAAAACAAAAAAATCTTAGGAATATACTGAACCAAGGAGTCAAAAGACCTACTTGTAGTTTTTTAAGGAATCTCCATGTTGTTTTCCATAGTGGTTTTATTAGTTTACACTCCCACCAGTAGCGTAAAAGTGTTCCCTTTTCACCACATCCATGCCGACATCAATTTAATTATGGCCATTCTTGTAGGAGTAAGGTGGTATCTCACTGTGGTTTTAATTTGCATTTCCCTGACAAATAGTGATGTTGTGCATTTTTTTCATATGTTTGTTGGCCATTTGTATATCTTCTTTTGAGAACTGTCTATTCATATCCTTTGCCCACTTTTTGATGGTTTTGTTTTTTTCTTGCTGACTTGTTTGAGTTCTTTGTAGATTCTTGATATTAGCCCTTTGTCAGATGTAGAGTTTGTGAATATTTTCTCTCATTCTGTGGGTTGTCTGTTTGCTGATTATTTCTTTTGCTTTGCAGAAACTTTTTAGTTTAATTAAGTCCCATCTATTTATTTTTGTTTTGGTTGCATTTGCTTTTGGGTTCTTGGTCATGAACTCTTTGCCTAAGCCAATGTCTAGAAGAGTTTTTCTAATGTTATATTCTATAATTTTTATGGTTTCAAATCTTTGATTTAAGTCTTTGATCCATCTTGAGTTGATTTTGTATAAGGTGAGTGATGAGGATACAGTTTCGTGTTTCTACATGTGATTTGCCAATTATCCCCACACCATTTGTTGAATAGGATGTCCTTTCTCTACTTCATGCTTTTGTTTGTTTTGTCGAAGATCAGTTGGCTGTATTTGGCTTTAATTCTGGGTTCTCTATTCTGTCCCATTGGTCTACATGCCTATTTTTATAACAGTACCATGCTGTTTTGATAACTACTGCCTTGCAGTATAGTTTGAAGACAGGTAATGTGATGCTCCAGATTTGTTCTTTTTGCTTAGTCTTGCTTTGGCTATGCAGGCTCTTTTTTAGTTCCATATGAATTTTAGGACTTTTTTTAGTTCTGTGAAGAATGATCATGGTACTTTGATGGGAATTGCAGTGAATCTGTAGATTGCTTTTGGCAGTACGGTAATTTTCACAGCATTGATTCCACACATCCATGACCATTTGTTTGTGTCACTGATACTCTCTTTCAGCAGTGTTTTGTAGTTTTCCTTGTGGAGATCTTTCACCTCCTTGGTTCAGTATATTCCTAAGTATTTATTTATTTTTTTTTTGTAGCTGTTGTGAAGGGGATTGAGTTCTTGATTCGATTCTCAGCTTGGTCATTGTTGGTGTATAGCAGTGCTACTAATTTGTGTACACTGATTTTGTATCCTGAAACTCTACTGAATTCATTTATCAGATCTAGGATCTTTTTGGATGAATCTTGAGGGTTTTCTGGGTATATGATCATATCATCGATGAAAAGTGACAGTTTGCCTTTCTCTTTACTGATTTGGATACCCTTTATTTTTTTCTCTTGTCTGATTGCTCTGGATCACAACAGACAGCAACTTTTAAACTGTGGTATTTGACAAAGTTTTGACATTTGTAAACACAAATAAACAATAATCACAATAAAATAATGAACATACTTATCACACCAAAAGGATTTTATATCATTTTGTCATATTTGTTTTGCTATTGTCTAAGAAATTGAGTAATTTTTAAAGTAAAAAATCCAAGAGAAAAGGAAATATGGAACAGGTGGCTGAAATAGAAAGTACTAGTAAAATGGTAGATTTAAAGCCAAATACTTTAGTAATCTCATAAGTGTAAGTTAACCACATGGTTTAATTAAAAGACATATTACTAATTAATTAATGGGAGTGAAGGAATAAATCGTCCCTGCCGAAGAATTTCAAATAATTTTAAAATGTAGAAGGAATGAGGGAAGTAGAAAATCAACATTAGAACAACACAGTAATAATTGCTACAGGCTAGCAATTCATCTGCCAATGAATGCTAAAATTAGTGGGAGAAACTTAGAGGAGAAACAGAATACTTGCACAGTCTCAAAGTATCTCCTCCAAAATATTTATTAATTACTGTGGTTATTTTAACACACGTCCCCAAATTCTTTGATACTCCTCCCTCTAGAAGAATAGCTTAATTTTCTTCTTGAGCATGGGGCTAAACTTTATGACTTGCATCTAACAAAAACTTTGAAAGAAGGAAAAACAGTAACTTTACGACGAAAAAATATGGCAGACACCACTTCAAGTGATCAAGGTTAATATCATCAGTAACAAATCATGTTAATATAATGCATTATATGTTGCAATAAAAAGGGCACTTTACCTTCGGGGTATTCATCCCAAAAGCGCATAACCCCAGGCTAATCATGAGATAAACCCAAACTAAGGGTTTATACAAAATACCTGACCAATACTCTTCCAAAGTGTCATGCTCACTAAATAGAAGGAAAGACTGAGAAACTGTCATACACTAGAGAAGGCTAATAAGACATGACAGCTAAATGCATCATGGTATCCCAGACTAGATCTGGGACATTAAAGAACATTAGTGAAAACAAGTGAAATCCAAATATATTCTGTAGTTTAATGAATGGTACTGTCCCAATATTAATATCTTTGTTTTAATAAATGTTACATGGCTATGTATGATGCTAACATTAGGGGAAGCTGGGTAGGGTACACAGGAACTCTGTACTATCTTTAAAACTCTTCTGTAAATGTAAACACTTCAAATAAAACATTTTTTAAGACACTAACAGGCTGGCAAAGCCATGTACTATTCATGAGATACATCTAAAATATAAGGATACAGGAAGAATGAAAGTAAAATGACAAAAAAGATATGTTATCCCTAAAAAAAAGATAGCCAATGTTGCTATACTAATATCAAGGTAGATGTTAAGAAAAAAGCATTATTAAAAACAAATATGAATACTTTATAATGAAATGTTCTATTAATTTGGATGATTTATCTGTTTTTTTGAGACAGGGTCTCACTTTGTCACCCAGGCTGGAATGAAGTGGTACGAATACAGCTCACTGCAGCCTCAACCTCCTGGGCTCAAGCAATTCTTGCCTCAACCCCCCAAGTAGTTGAGACTACAGGCTCACGCTATCACACCGAGCTAATTTATTTATTTATTTATTTATTTATTTATTTATTTATTTATTTTTGAGATGGATTCTTGCTCAGTCGCCCACGCTGGAGTGCAGTGGTGCAATCTCACCTCATTGCAAGCTCCACCTCCCGGGTTCACACCATTCTCCTGCCTAAGCCTCCCAAGTAGCTGGGACTACAGGCGCCCGCCACCACGCCTGGCTAATTTTTTGTATTTTTAGTAGGGACGGGGTTTCACTGTGTTAGCCAGGATGGTCTTGATCTGACCTCGTGATCCACCTGCCTCGGCCTCCCAAAGTGCTGGGATTACAGGCATGAGCCACCGCACCTGGCCCACACTGAGCTAATTTTTGTAGTTTTTGTAGAGACACGGTTTCACCATCTTGCCCAGGCTAGTCTCGAACTCTTGAGCTCAAGTGATCCGCCTGCCTCAGCCTTCCAAAGTGCTGGGATTACAGGCATGAAACACAATGCCCAGCCTTAATTCTAAGTCAGCATGTTAACAACATGGGCTAAAACTATAGACAGCAAACACTGACAGAATTAAAAGGAGAAGTAGACAAATACATAATCATGGTATAAAATTGTAGAAGATTTTAGAACAACTGTTTCAGTAACTATTGAACAAAGAAATAAAACATCAGTAAGAATATAAAAAAATTTGAATTTGACAATAAATCTGATCTAATATATAGAACACTCTCACCCAACCCAACTGCAGACTATATATTCTTCTCAATCACATAAAATATTTACTAAAATTATCATAGTCAATAAATCAAGCCTCAACAAACTTCAAAAGACTAAAATCAGAGTATGTTCACTGACCACCACAATGCAATTAAACTAGAAATTAATAATGTAATGACTATAAAACCTCAAATTTTTGGAAATTAAGAAACATACCTCTAAAACCATGAGTTGAAGAAAAAATGACAACAGAAATCAGAAAAATTTTGACCTGAACAATAATTAAAATACTATATATCAAAACTTGTAGGATGTAGTTAAATGAGTACTTTGAGGAAAATTTGCTGTGAGGTATGTATTACAAACAAAAAAAAAATCCTTAAAATTATTGAGCTAAATATTCATCACTAGAAATTGGGATATATTCACCCTAGGGAAGCTGACTGAAAAAAGGAAAAAAAAGAGTTAAAAAAAAACAAAGAAAAAATAGATGTTAGGATATAGGCGGAAGGAGATTAAAAAAAGGGGTTGGTTAATGGGTACAAAATACAGTTAGAAGGAATAAGATCTGGTGTTCAGTAGCACAATACAGTGACTATAGTTAATAATTTATTTTATATTTCAAAATAACAAAGAGTGAAATTGGAATGTTTCTAACACAAAGAACTGATAATGCTTGAGGTAACAGATAACCCAACTATCCTGATTTGATCATTATATATTGAATACTTGTATCAAAATATCACACATACCCCATAAATGTGTATAACAATTATTTATCCATAAAAATTAAAAATAAAAGAATTGTAATAAGTCAGCATATAGTAATCACTTATCAGCCTTTTGGCTAAGATCAAGTATAGACATTATAGTAAAGATAAAAGCAAAAATAATAAAGAGGAAATAAATTTTTAAAAGGGTCAATCAAGATAAAGGTTGAATTTTTTAAAAGATTAATAAAATTGAAAACTGTGGAGTTCAATCGAGAGTAAAAAAAAGAAGCTACAATCCACTAATTTTGAGAATTAAAATGAGGATAGCATTACAGCTATGTCAGATGTCAAAAAGAGAACAACTTTATTCAATACATTTGAAAAGGCAGATCTAATGAACGAATTCCTCTAAAAACATAGCTTGCCAAAACTAACAAGAAAATAGAATACCTTGTTAATCCTATTCATTTAAAGACATTAAATAAATAATCCAAAGCCTTTCACAAAAAAACTCTTGGCCCACATGGCTTCACCTATGAATTCTACTCAACATTCAAGGAAGAAAAAAGTCTCTTTTAAAAAACAAAACAAAAAAATACTCCCCAACTCATTTTAAGAACCCATCATGGATAATATTCAGCTATACCTGTCATTAAAATAGTAAAATTATTTTTTATATTTATAAATATCTGCTGCCCTGAGCCACCACTATGTGCAACACCCCCTGGTATCCCTGGATATCATCATAATTTACCTTCCAAAAACCAAAAGGGCCTCCAGGACCCTGTTTTACTCTATGGATGGCATTCTGATTGACCACTGTGCATGTCAGTCAGTTCACAAAATAATCTCACCTCCTAGGTACTGTCAGTGGACTCACACAGGGATAAGATGAGC
The DNA here is from genome assembly GCF_000001405.40 of Homo sapiens. Taxonomy (NCBI): domain Eukaryota; kingdom Metazoa; phylum Chordata; class Mammalia; order Primates; family Hominidae; genus Homo; species Homo sapiens. The sequence continues at coordinate 47,430,153 of NC_000017.11, read as the reverse complement.
TCTGACTTCCCCATTTGTTTGGCCCCATGAAGCTCAGGGTTGGCACACCTGTAGGGGCAGTACCAGTGTCCAGCAGTCATCCCACCTCAGCTTCCACAGGATACCCTCCATCCCTGCATGTCCTACCCATAGACCTTCCACCCCTGTGGTAGAGGATGGTCCTTATAAGATAGACGCATTGAAACTACTAACCATGTTCAGGTACATGTCTTAACATTACAGTAAGTATAGCATTAGCTGTATGAAGGTCCTTGTCCATCAATAATGTCTTGAGGTCAGAGACATCAACTAGATCATTCTGGAGAATTTGGGTAGTAGCTAAGAGTATCTGTGTAGCTGCAAAAGGAGAGCAAAAGCAAATGTTTCAACAGCAGAAATAGAGCATATGTTATTAGTTATCACTTAATAGCCTCAGGTTGCATAAAATATGAAGATCTGATTCTAGAATTGTACATGGAACTATTTGTATAGTTTTAAAAACCAGAGTGTATTACAATAGCTAACAGTCACAGGGCACTTGCTAAGTGCTAGACACTGTTTTAAGCAATTTCACTTTACCAGATTACAAATGTCTTTATAATAATCCCAAGATAGGCATTTTCATCCCTGTTTTTCAGATGAAAACACTGAGGTTAGCAAGATTAAGTGATTTACTAAATAATACATTGGCAGTAAGTGGCAGGGATGGGATTTAAGTAACAGACCCTATAGTTCCAAAGCCCATCCTCTTAACCACTGTGCCTTTCAAGTAGAAACATATAGGTAGTCAACCTTTATCCCTTGAGCCACATATTACTTCACATGTGGCCCTGAAATCATTGTGAAGCATTACTAATAAGCTTTAAATCAAAATTGTCTTTCATTATTTAACTTAAAGTTATGTTACCTTAAAATGATTAAACTGATGAATAACCTATAAGCATAATTGTTTTCTAAGAAATTCACTGGATATTAATATTGTGAAAAATAATTACTTCAGCCCTTTGTTGACATGAGTAGCTTCTTCTTCCAGTTCTTAGTCAAACTGGTCCCAGTTGAGAATATTGTATAAATAAAATAATTTATAGGTGAAATAGAAGGTATAGCTTGCTGGATGTAAGAGGACAAACCACGCTCCAATGTGATCCAACAATAATACTATCTTCCATTTATAAGGCAACTACCTTATACCTACATATTTTGTTTCTAAACAAAATTTTTTTATCTGAAATATCTGAATGTAAATAGCCAACAAAATGTCCCCTCACCATTAACTATATTATTGTGTTTTTTCTCCAATGAGAACATTCTCTTACATAATAACAATACAATCATAAAAATTCAGAAATTATTACATTGATATAATGTAAAAATGTCATCTAATTCTCAAACCCATTCACATTCTGCTATTTGTCCTGGTAATACCATTTTTAGCAAAATGATACATATTTTGTGAATGCTATAAAGAAGGCACCAAGATTAACTTTTTAATAAATGAATATTCAATTGAAATAACATCATTTATTTAAAAGGCCATCCTTTCCTTGCTCCATTGCAGTGGTACCTTTGTTGTAAAGGCGATGGGCATATTATGTGTAGATCTCTTTCTGGACTCTGTATTCTACTCTATTGGTTTTTGTGTCAATACCACACTGTCTTAATTACAGTAACTTTGTTATGATAACATGATAAGCACTATGTTAGAGACTTACCATTTAATACCTGGCCAAATAATCAAAGACAATAAAGGTAAAATATGGATATTGGGAAGCATTCAAAGACTCAAAAATTATATCTCCCATGCTGTTTTACTTTGGAACCTAATGCAAAATGTGCTTCAGTAAAATAAAGAGTAAATCATGACAGGGATTCAGTAAACATGTGAGCCATAGAACACTACTAAAGAGAAATCCTGGGATGACAGCTGTTTAGCGGGTGTAGGGGAGAAACAATCCAAATCAGAACATCTAAAGTACATAAAACTGTGTTTGAGTGTTTTGAAAATGTTAATATTCAAACATTTTTTATTATGATTTCAAAAATCATAGTCAATGTTTGACTAACATTTCAAACATGACTGTGTCAGAAATGTTTAAAGTCCAAGAAGTGAAATTACCTATGCAACATCATACAACCGGTCAGTAGGAAAAAAAAAATTCAGGTACCTAAAATATGACTACAATGTTGTTTTTCATATACACACACCACCAATTTGCAACCCTTTTTTAAAGCTTTTAAACATTTTTTTTATTTCTAAACAAACTCAAACTCTCAGAAAAGTTGCAAGTACCGTACAAAAATTTTTTGTCTGAAACATGGGAAAAAGTAATAGGTCTATAGGAAAACATATGTTTTTTAAAAAGATAATTGTTAACTCCAGAAGAAAGGGGAAGGGAGAGATTGCACATGCAAAGAGGCATGGAGGTAATGGGATGACTACTGACTCATCAATGAGCTAATTTGGATAGTCATAATACTACTAATTAAACACTGACTACTGATTTAACCAAAACCTGTGATATAATTACATTTTCACACACTTGAGTCTATAACTTTGTAATCTACCTAATACAGAGGCATGGTCTCAATTCTTACAACTTCTATAGAAGCATTATTAGCCTTATATCCTTTGGAGCATTAAGGTTCTCTTCTTTAAAAAAAGGAATTAACGCTATGAAGATTGGATCCTAAAGAAGCTAGCACACAAAATGGACCCAACTATGCCATTTGAATGAAAAGGATTCCAATGCCTGGATATAAAAGCAAAATGTGTTTCAAATTCCACTGATATTCTAAAGAAGAAAAGGATAATAAGAAAACTTAAATTATTTTTCCAGTATCACCCAGACAGTAATTACTATGGTAACCTATGCCATATAACAAAGTTATTTGCCAATTGTCTTCTAATTCTGAACCTACTCAATTTTTCAAAATGTAATATATAGGAGGCATAAAATTCAATTTACAGCACTGTATTTTGGAAAAGGCAGTCTATCAATTTAATAAAAACGTGATGTATTTACATTTTGCATCTCTTGACTTTGTAACTTTTTAATCAGTAGCTACTACAGGGAAATGCTCTCACTTAATTCTTACAACTATCATATGATATAGGCATTACTATCCTTATTTTGAGGAAAAGAAAACTGAGAATAAGAGAATCTATCTAATTTTCCAGGGCCAGTAATTTCTATAGTAATCCACATTATATAATAAGGTTATTTATCCATTAAATTCTTATGATAGTAAACTATACAACTTTTTAAAATGTGAAATATTTAAGGCAAAAAATTCAATTTACATCACTGAACTTAGAGACTTTTGAGACCAAACCACTCATGTGGAAAACGAATCTAAAATCCAAAGAAGTGAAATTACCTAACAAAATCCAGGTACCTAAAATTTAACTACAATGTTATTTTCCATATATGCATCGCCAATTGGCAACCCTTTTAAAAAAATTCTTTAACTTTTTTCTTTTTTTCTGTATAAAAGGGAAGTTTATTTTTAATACAAATACAAAATTTATTTCCATAGAAAGCAAAATTTATAAGTTAAATATAAAGATTAAAATAGTATTTGAAAAGCTCACTATAGTGCTAACAAACTAAATGAAAATAAGGCTATTTTGCATTTAAAACTGAAATACCTCTTAAAACAATTTGATCCCCAGTGTTTGCTCTTTTTGAAGTAACCGACTTACTCTTAAAAAGGATGGCTGCCAAGATGGAAAGTCTTATTGGGTTTTCATGTTAACCTATTCTTTGGACATAACTATGAATTTTGTATACAATGCATTTCATGAAAAGTTATGGCTCCCCCAGATTTCCCACAAGTGTGATCTTGAAGTCCTAAACATTTGTCCATGTAAGCTTCAAAACAGAGCCTTAACTGAGTTATTCAAGTAGCAGTACTTAAAGATATAATTTTTGAAGCAGTTTCAATGGTTTGTGATCCAAATAATCAGTTTCTGAACATTACTACTTCACGTAATAGAGTCCATCTTCAGTTTCTTCTCACTTTCTCTTTCCCTTTTGGGTTTCCTTTTTCTGGCCTGAGGCTACCAGTTCTTTGGGTACTATCAAGATACTTCCATCATGGGTACACTGAAGAGCATAGTGGTTTGGATTGACTGGCCTACCTTGGTCATCTCTTAATCTACTAAAAATATCATGATAAAGGTCATGCAGTTTGTTTCATTATGTTAATAGCTTTGATACATTGTGCTCGCTCTCTCTTAAGAGTTTCCTTCTTTGCTTGCAAGTTACATACATCATCTTCTAGATTCAAAATTATGTCCAATTTGCGTTTACGATAGTTCTGCGCAGCAACTTTATTTTTCCCTCTTCGTCTGATATCACGGATAAGTGAGACTTGTAGGTCTGTCAGATAGTACCTACTTAACATGCTATTGAATCAACAGGCATGCCGACAATTTCATCTACAGAAAAAAGGGATATGCAAAGCTTTAGCACGCCGTTCATCACGTTCAAGTTTCTATCTGTGTCTTCAAGGTACCTACTCCTTATCTTCTGTGACTTCCCAGGCCACGAAAAAGGTTCAGAAGTAGATTCTGGTGCACTTGGCTGCAAGTGGTAAGTGTGGTTATGAAATATGTGTTGAAATGTAAGATCCCCATGGAAACCAGAATCACTTTGATCCAAGTGACAAAGCTTACTGGGTTCTGGGTAGTAGCTGCCTACAGCACCTTCTAAGTCATGATGGGAACTAGATTCATGGTCAGTACAATAACCTATAGCACCTTCATCACACACAGAGTGAGAGGAATTAGACTTGATGACAGAGGTACTATTGTGACTTGAATCTAAAGACAGGTCAGAATCAGAATCTGATTCATCAAAAAGCTGAGAAACATCGATTGGATCAAAGTCGTCTTCTGTGGCCAATGACATTATCTCATCAAATATATTTACATCAAGGTCATACAGTAGGTCTTGGCTTGTTAGATTCCTCATAAGATTGTCAACCGGAGGGCCGGGCGCGGTGGCTCACGCCTGTAATCCCAGCACTTTGGGAGGCCGAGGCGGGCGGATCACGAGGTCAGGAGATCGAGACCATCCTGGCTAACACGGTGAAACCCCGTCTCTACTAAAAATACAAAAAATTAGCCGGGCGTGGTAGCGGGCGCCTGTAGTCCCAGCTACTCGGGAGGCTGAGGCAGGAGAATGGCGTGAACCCGGGAGGCGGAGCTTGCAGTGAGCCGAGATCGCGCCACTGCACTCCAGCCTGGGCGACAGAGCGAGACTCCGTCTCAAAAAAAAAAAAAAAAAAAAAAAAAAGATTGTCAACCGGAGAAAGAAATCCTGTCAAATTAGTTCCAGGAAGGGTTTGCTCAGGATTGGTGGTATGAGAATTTAACTTTAGAAACGGTTCTTGTGACTGTGAAGTCCTTGCTATTGGATCTCTTCTAAATGTACTGTTGGCACAAAGCAAGATGGCCTCATGAAGATTCACATCATGACTTATAGCCTGGCTGAAGTTTACGTGATAATGTGCTGAAGAATTCATGCCATCACTGATACTGCCTGGAAGAGGAATATCTCCCAATGAGAAGCCCTCCGTGAATTTTCAGGCTGTGATGAAAGCAACTGGAATAAGTCTTCCAGAGAGAAATAAGTATCTGTCCCATTCAGATGTCTCTCATTTCTAGATTCAGTGGTCTTTTCTGCCTCCCAATCAGGTTCCTCTGCTATTTTGTTTTCATCATCATTATTCTGCTGAAGTGAGTTCTCCTTCTGGGCTGACACCCTTTCTTCATTTTCCTCACGCTGGGAACTATGATCCACAGCTTCGTGCTTTTCTCTTAGTACCTCGTTCTCCCCGCTCGCACATCCGCCAGCGTCCGGCACCTGAGCCGTCGGTTCCGCGGGTGCCTTCTCCTCTTCCCCGGCGTCCAAGGGGCCACTCCGAGCCGCTCGGGAGTCCCCGCAGCCCCCCTGCACAGCCTGGCTGCCGCCGTCCACGCTGGCGCCGGCTCCTCCGGTGGACTAGGCGGCGGCGGCGCCGAGCAGCCCGTGGGCCTCGTCCGCTCTCCTGGCAGCCACGCTGTGCACCAGCCACGCATCCACCGGGGTGAGAGGGATGAAGGGGACCCCGAGCGCGCACCTCCCGGAGCAGCGGGCCCTCGGGCGGCGCGGCAGAGTCCAGCTCCCGGCCCTTGGGGTGCAACTGGCCCGCGCGCCCCCTCCCTCCCGAGGCCGAGAAGGGGCTGAGCGCGTAGACGGAGCTGGCCGGGCCGCCCAGGAACAGCAGCTCGTCCCGGAGCAGGGTGGGCGGCGGCAGTAGCAGGTAAAGGTCTAGGTCTACACGGAGCCCAGCAAAGCTCAGCAGGAGGGTAAGGTGCAGGAGGGTGAGGTGCAGGAGGCCGCCGCTGGCCGACCACCACCGCTTCAGGTGCTGCACCGCCGCCGTGCGCCCGGGAACGCCCCTGCCGGCGCCCGCGGGTCCCGGCGCCCCAACCGCCGGGGTGACACGTCGTGCGGACCCCGCGCGCCGCCCGCACCTACCTGGAACCCAGAGAAGCGAAACAATGGACCGGGGCGCGCGGCGGCCGTCGCGGGTTCCCAGGACCGGGCACAAAGGCGTTCCCTCGGCAGCCGGCACCGTGCCTGGCACGGCCGGGGATCGGGAGAAGCGAAGGAGGAGCCACCTGCGCGCCGAGCCCGTTCGCCCGGCCGCCCGCAGCCAGGCGCGGTGGCCAACTCCGCCCCGGGCCGCGGGCGCAGCCGACGGGAACACGCCCCCTCAACTTTTTTATTTTTAAACAATCTCAAACCCTCAGAAAAATTGCAAGTACAGTACAAAATTTTTTTATCTGAAATATCTTAATGTAAATAGCCAACAAAATGCCCCTTCACCATTAACTATATTATTGTGTATTTTCTCCAATGAGAACATTCTCTTACATAACAATACAATCATAAAAATTAGGAAATTATTACATTGATACAATGTAATAATGTCATCTAATTCTCAAACCCATTCACATTCTGCTATTTGTCCTGGTAATATCATTTTTAGCAAAATGATACATATTTTGTGAATGCTATAAAGAAGGCACCAAGATTAACTTTTTAATAAATGAATATTCAGTTGAAATAACATCATTTATTTAAAAGGCCATCCTTTCCGTGCTCCATTGCAGTGGTACCTTTGTTGCAACTTTATAACTTTGTTATAAATCTTGATGTAAAGTAACGTGAGTTTTACAACTTTGTCTTCTTCAACTTTGCCCTGGCTATTTTGGCCCTTTGCATTTATTCTCATATTTAAAATCAGATTGTCAGTTTCTATAAAATTATGCTAGACTTTTGATTGGGATTGCATTGAATATATAGCTCAAATTGGTGAGAACTGAAAGCATATTGAAACTACAAAACATAATATATCTCTCCATTTATTTAGGTTTTTCTTTAAATTTTGTCAAAATTGTTTTGTAGTTTTCTGTTTAAAAATTATAAACTTGTTTCACTAGTTACTCCTAAATGTTTACTTTTTTGTATCATTGCAAATCATATCTTTATTTTCATTTTATAATTGTTTGTGGCAAAATACAGAAATACAATTTTTGAACATAGAATTATATTAAATTGATCATGTGTCAAGCAGCTCTGATAAATTTGCTCATTAACTGAAATAAAATAATATAATAACCAGTGTATAGATTCATATTTTTTCTACCTATTAATTATATTGGCAATGAGTAATGGAAATTCTATTTCTTCCCTTTTAATCCTTATCTTTCTTATTCTGTTTTGCCTGTGATACTGGCTAGGACTTCCAGTACACGGTTGAACAGAAGTGATGATAGTAGACATTCTTGTCTCATTCCTAATCTCTGTGAGCAAGAATTTAAAATTTTCCTTCAAACATGATTGTTGTAGGTTTCTGTAAGTACCCCTTAACATGAAAAGGTGTTGAATTTGATCAAATATGTTTTCTACATCTATTAAGATGATTTTTCTTCCTCCTTTATTTTGTAATATGAAGAATTATTTTTATTTTTGTTAATTAATACCAATATTGCACTCCTAAAAAGAATTCAACTTGTGATATATCTTTCCTTTTTATATATCACTAGATTTCATTTGATCCTATTTTATTAAAGCTTTCCCCATTTGTGGTCATGATGGGGACTGAATTATAATTTGGTGCCCATGTAAGGTTTTTATATGAAGATTACATAGGCCTCATAAAATGAGGTTGGAAATGTTCTTCCTGCTTCTAAACTCTGAAAGAGTTTATGTAAGAGTGATACTATATCCTTCTTAAATTTTAAAATAACTTACCAATGAAGCCGTCTGAACCTGGAGTTACTCTTCAGATTTTCTAATTATTCTTCAGCTACTTTGGTAAGTTGAGTTTTTCAAGGAATTTATTCTTTTCATTAAAATTTTCAAATGCATTGGTATAAAAGTATAAGATCCTCTTAGTATCTTTTTTATGTCTGTGTATGCTGTAGTGATGTCCCTTTTTTCATTCCTGATATTGGTAACATTTCTTTTTTTTTTTTCTTTCTTTCTTTTTTTTATTGCTCATTCTTGGGTGTTTCTCGCAGAGGGGGATTTGGCACGGTCATAGGACAATAGTGGAGGGAAGGTCAGCAGATAAACAAGTGAACAAAGGTCTCTGGTTTTCCTAGGCAGAGGACACTGCGGCCTTCCGCAGTGTTTGTGTCCCTGGGTACTTGAGATTAGGGAGTGGTGATGACTCTTAAGGAGCATGCTGCCTTCAAGCATCTGTTTAACAAAGCACATCTTGCACCGCCCTTAATCCATTTAACCCTGAGTACACATGTTTCAGAGAGCACAGGGTTGGGGGTAAGGTCACAGATCAACAGGATAAGAATTTTTCTTAGTACAGAGCAAAATGAAAAGTCTCCCATGTCTACCTCTTTCTACACAGACACGGCAACCATCCGATTTCTCAATCTTTTCCCCACCTTTCCCCCCTTTCTATTCCACAAAACCGCCATTGTCATCATGGCCCGTTCTCAATGAGCTGTTGGGTACACCTCCCAGACGGGGTGGTGGCCGGGCAGAGGGGCTCCTCACTTCCCAGTAGGCGCGGCCGGGCAGAGGCGCCCCTCACCTCCCGGGCGGGGTGGCTGGCCGGGCGGGGGGCTGACCCCCCCACCTCCCTCCCGGACGGGGGGCTGACCCCCTCACCTCCCTCCCGGACGGGGCGGCTGGCTGGGCAGAGGGGCTCCTCACTTCCCAGTAGGGGCGGCTGGGCAGAGGCGCCCCTCACCTCCCAGACGGGGCGGCTGGCCGGGCGGGGGGCTGACCCCCCCACCTCCCTCCCGGACGGGGTGGCTGGCCTGGTGGGGGCTGACCCCCACCTCCCTCCCGGATGGGGTGGCTGCCAGGCGGAGACGCTCCTCACTTCCCAGACGGGGTGGCTGCCGGGCGGAGGGGCTCCTCACTTCTCAGATGGGGCGGCTGCCGGGCGGAGGGTCTCCTCACTTCTCAGACGGGGCGGCCGGGCAGAGACGCTCCTCACCTCCCACACGGGGTCGCGGCCGGGTAGAGGCGCTCCTCACATCCCAGATGGGGCGGCGGGGCAGAGGCGCTCCCCACATCTCAGACGATGGGCGGCCGGGCAGAGACGCTCCTCACTTCCTAGATGGGATGGCGGCCGGGAAGAGGCGCTCCTCACTTCCTAGATGGGATGGCGGCCGGGCAGAGATGCTCCTCACTTTCCAGACTGGGCAGCCAGGCAGAGGGGCTCCTCACGTCCCAGATGATGGGCGGCCAGGCAGAGACGCTCCTCACTTCCCAGATGGGGTGGCGGCTGGGCAGAGGCTGCAATCTCGGCACTTTGGGAGGCCAAGGCAGGCGGCTGGGAGGTGGAGGTTGTAGCGAGCCGAGATCACGCCACTGCACTCCAGCCTGGGCACCATTGAGCACTGAGTGAACCAGACTCCGTCTGCAACCCCGGCACCTTGGGAGGCCGAGGCTGGCGGATCACTCACGTTAGGAGCTGGAGACCAGCCCGGCCAACACAGCGAAACCCCGTCTCCACCAAAAAAATACGAAAACCAGTCAGGTGTGGCGGCGTGCGCCTGCAATTGCAGGCACTTGGCAGGCTGAGGCAGGAGAATCAGGCAGGGAGGTTGCAGTGAGCCGAGATGGCAGCAGTACAGTCCAGCTTCCGCTCGGCATCAGAGGGAGACCGTGGAAAGAGAGGGAGAGGGAGACCGTGGGGAGAGGGAGGGAGAGGGAGAGGGAGAGGGAGAGGGGACATTTCTTATATGTAGATCTCTTGGTAGTGAACTTTGTTTTTTTTAAAAATATTATTTCATTTTTAAAACATACTTTAATATAGAATACAATGTTCACAGCCTTTTAAAAAAGTTTAGTATTCAATGTTATTCCATTATCTCTGGCATTCATCAGAGATGGACCACAGCATTCTGAAAGACAGTGCATTTCACCAGCACTGTAACTCCTGAACAGTAATAACCAATAAACTATTGACTCATGAACTAAGCTAGGCTCCTCCAATGATAATTTTGTAAACATCTTTTGTAAAGAAAGCTACAAATATTTATTATTATTATCATCATTATTATTTAGAGATGGGATCTCACTCTGTCACACTGGCTGGAGTGCAGCAGCGTGATCACAGCTCACTGTGGCCTTGAACTCCTGGGCTCAAGTGATCCTCCTGTCTTCCTGAGTAGCTGGGACTACAGTCATGTGCCATCACACCTGGCTTATTTTTAAATTTTTTGTAGGGACAGGGTCTTGCCATGTTGCCCAGGCTGGTCTCAAATTCCTGGCCTCAAACGATCCTCCCCCAATGTCCTCCCAAAGTGCTTATAGACATAAGCCACCACACCCAGCCATCAGTATTTTTTTGCTCCTTAGAAAATAATGTATAACTTTTCACTGGTGGCTTTTAGGATTTTCTCTTTGTAGTTGGTTTTCAGCCATTTTACTCTCATGTTCTTAAATGTGGTTTTCTTTGTGTTTATCCTATGGCCCCACAAATCCTGACAGGCTTGGTTACTGCCCATTGCCCTTAAACAGTTGTGGTGATTGCTTATGTTGCTTAATTTTTACTAGATTTTATAGTTATTCTATAAAATACAAGCTACTTCATCATATACAGATAGAACCAGGTGAACCAGCTTTACGGGTAATTCTAGTTACCCTGCTCTGGTTAAAAATTACTGTTTAGGTTATTACTTTAAACAAAGCTATAGCAATCAAAAGTATGTGATATTGATATAAGGATAGAATAAATATAAAAGGAATAGAATTGAGAGTCCAGAAATAAACCCATACATCTATGATCAATTGATTTTCTCTAAGGGTACCAAAATCATTCAGTGGAGAAAGAACAATGTTTTCAACAACTGATGCTAGGACAACTGAATATCTGGAACAAAAAAGATAAAAATGGACTGTCATCTCACACCACATACAAAAATTAACTCTAATTTATTAAGGATTCAAATAACAGAGCTAAAACTAGAAGAAAACTTTGGTGTAAACCTTCAGGAGTTTGCATTATCTTTATGACATCAAAGAAGCAACAAAATAAAATATAAATTGAACTTTACCAAATTCAAAATCATTTATGCTTCAAAGGACATCAGGAAAGAAAAAAGACAACTAACAAAATGTGAAAAAATATTTGCAATTATCTACCTGATAAAGGTCTAGTATCCAGAATATATGAATAACTCTTAAAACTCAACAATAAAAAGCCTGATTTTAAAATGGGCAAAGGATTTGAATATACATGTATCCAGAAAATCACTGAGGAGAAAGTATGTATCCCAGAACAAGTTTTTAATGCAGACAAAAGTGCCCTATTCTGGAAAATAGTGCCAAAAAGGACATTTATTAGTAGGGAAGAGAAGCAAGCACCAGGATTTAAGAAGGGTAAGCTAGCTCTAATGTTTTGTGCAAATGCTGTTAGGTTTAAAATCAGGACTGCCCTTATCCATAAAGCTGCTAACCCTCAAGCCTTGAAGGGAAAAGATAAACTCCTGCTGCCATCTTTTGATTGTATAACAAGAAGATTTAGAAAACCAGAATTCTTTTTCTAGATTGGTTCCATCAATGCTTTGTCCCTGAAGCAAGGAAGAGACTGCCTTTTAAAGTTCTTTTGATATTGGACAATGCCTCTGGCCACCCAAACTCTATGAATTCAACACCAAAGGCATTGAAGTGGTCTACTTGGCTCCAAATATGATATCAGCCTCTACATTAGGGGGTCATAAGAGCCTTTAAAGGCCCATTACACATGGTACTCTATGGAAAGAATTGTCAACACTGTGGAAGAAAACCCTGACAGAGAGAACATGAAAGGCTTCAGTAGGATGCCACATCAAGCCCCAAACAATAAACTCCTGCTGGAGAAAGCTGTGTCCAGATGTTGTGCATGACTGCACAGGATTTATAACAGAGCTAAACAAGGAGATCATGAAAGAGATTGTGGAAATGGCGAGAAAAAAAATGGTGAAGGGTGAAAGGTTTCAAGATATGACTATTGGGAGAAATTCAAGAGTTAATATACACCACACCAGAGGAATTAACTGAAGATGACTTGATAGGGATGAATGCTTCCAAACCAGTGCCAGATGGTAAGGAAGAAGGCATAGAAGAAGCAATGCAAGGAAACATATTGACATTAGACAATCGGGTAGAAGAGTTCCAATTATTCATGACTGCTTTGACTTATATTATGACATGGACCCTTCAATGATATGGACACTGAAACTAAAGCAAACAGTGAAAGATTGGTATCATAGAGAAACATTCTTAGAGAAATGAAAAGCCAATAACGTCAGACAAGAAATTATGATGTATTTCCATAAAGTTAAACCAAGTGTCCTTGCCTCTTCTGCCTCCTCTTCCACCGCCTCCACCTCTTCCATCTCTCCCACTCCTGAGATAGCAAACCAACTCCTCTTCCTACTCAACTTGAAGATGGTGAGGATGAGGATGATGATCCACTTACACTTAATGAAGAGTCAACATATTCTATCTCCCTTATGATTTTATTAACAATATTTTCTTTTCTCTAGCTGTGTTATTGTAAGAAACAGTATTATATAAATATGCCGTAAAGATATGTGTTAATCAATCATTTATGTTATTGATAAGGCTTCCACTCAACAGTAGACTATTAGTAATGAAGTTTCGGGGGAGTCTGAAATTATACATGAATTTTTGACAGTGTAGCCACTCGTTTTCCAGCCAGTCTCTTGAAGCAAAAGTATCCACTTACCCTTGGACTTTTGGAAATGTGGACTTTCTTTCGTTTTCATTAAGCAATCTTTTAAATCCAACTCCATATTATCTAGAAGGTGCCCCTAACCCCCACATTGTTCAAGAGTCAATTGTACTAATTCATGCTATAATATAAATGAACTTTGAAAACACATGCTATCAGCATGGATGCAGCTGGAGGCCATTATCCTAAGTGCATTAACACAGAAACAGAAAACCAAATACTGCATGCTCTCACTTATAAGTGTGAGCTAAACACTGGGTACTCATGAACAGAAAGATGGCAACAATTGAAAGTGGGGACTACCAGAGGAGGGGAGGGGGAGAAGGGGAAAGGGTTGTAAAACTAACTATTGCATACTATCCTCAGTACCTGGGTGATGGGATCATTCATATCCCAAACCTTAGCATCACACAATATGCCCAGGTAACAAGCCTGCACATGTACCCCCTGAATCTAAAATAAAAGTTGAAAAAAAGAGAAAGAAAGCATATGCTGTATAAAAGAAGTTAGACACAAAAAAATACAATATGATTACATCTATATGAAATGTTCAAAATAGGCAAATTCATACAGACAGAAAGTAGATTCATGGTTGTCAGTAGCTGGAGAGAGGTGGGAATGGAGAATAACTGCTAACAGGTACAGAGTTTCTTTCGGAGTCATGAAAATGTTTTGGAATTAGAAAGTTGTGATGGTTGCACAACTTTCTGAATATACTAAAAATCACTGAATGGTACACTTTAAAAGGGTGAAATTTATGGTATATTAATTATGTCTCAATTCTAAAAGCTACATCTGATTAAAAATACTATAAGGCATCCAATTTTAGAGATATTAAAATGTAAAAAATGTGATACAAAGACATTTGTTTCACCAAAGCATTTAGAAATACGCCATTGATAAGGGTATCTGCATCCATGAAGAGTTCTTTGGTAGGTGTTCTCTGCAGATGTGGGAGTCAGGAAAATATGTTGGTGTTGAAATGGTCTCCCTAATTTCAAAAAGAATAAGACGAACCTCAGGGACAGAGGCCAAGCAGAAGTCTTTAAATAGCAGGGACAAAATGATGTGGTTAGGCAACATAGATAGTGTGGTATTAAGAATAATACAGGGATTGATACTGCGAGGATTTAGAAGGACTGATTAACTGAAGTTAGGATTTCTATAACTGAAATAGATGGGCAGTCCAGTTGTGAACATCTGAAAACTCCAGAGGCATGACTTAAGATGTCACAAAAACTGGTGGTCCCTCATCCAATTCCACACATGATTTAATTCATAGATCCACAAGTCATTGAAGAAAAACCTAACTACCTTTGAGAAAGGACCTTGCACATATTAATCTTTTTAACCTTACCTTGTTTTCCCCCTCATTATATCTTTGCCCAATTTTCTTCACTTATTTTTATATTATATTATTTATACTATACATCATAAGTGGCTTGAAATCCTTTTTAAAATTAGAGAGACTAAAAATTAAAAACCTGAAATCCAGATAGTCTTTTTTTTATTATTATTATACTTTAAGTTTTAGGGTACATGTGCACAATGTGCAGGTTAGTTACATATGTATACATGTGCCATGCTGGTGTGCTGCACCCATTAACTCGTCATTTAGCATTAGGTATATCTCCTAAAGCTATCCCTCCCCTGTCCCCCCACCCCATAACAGTCCCCAGAGTGTGATGTTCCCCTTCCTGTGTCCATGTGTTCTCATTGTTCAATTCCCACCTATGAGTGAGAATATGCGGTGTTTGGTTTTTTGTTCTTGTGATAGTTTACTGAGAATGATAATTTCCAATTTCATCCATGTCCCTACAAAGGACATGAACTCATCATTTTTTATGGCTGCATAGTATTCCATGGTGTCTATGTGCCACATTTTCTTAATCCAGTCTATCACTGTTGGACCTTTCATTTTTAAATGTCATTTTTAAATATTTATTTTCTAGCCATTCTCTTGAACAAGAAGTATTCACTTACCCTTGGACTTTTGGAAATGTGGACTTTCTTTCATTTTCATTAAGAAATCTTTTAAATCCACCTCCATATTATCTGGAAGGTCAAAGTAAAAAATGCTGACATTAAAAACCTGATACTGAATTGGCACATGAAATAAAGACCGATTTACAATAGTTAGCTAAAATTTCACTCTAGCTCACTTTTCTGTCTCAAATGATTGAAACTATTTCAATAGAACTTTTAACACTTTTTAAAACCACCCAGTGAATAGTTAATAATATTACTAGCAAACAATAGCTAACATTTTTGAGTTCCTTATATATACTAGGAACCCTTTTATGGTGTTTTACATATATTAAATCATGTAATCGTCATAATAATTCTGTGATGTGCATACTCTTCGCATGCCTATTTTTTTTTTTTTTTTTGAGATGGAGTCTCGCTCTGTTGCCCAGGCTGGAGTGCAGTGGCGCAATCTCTGCTCACTGCAAGCTCCGCCTCCCAGGTTCTGCATGCCTATTTTTGAAAGATGAAAGCAAATGGAAATTAAATAACTTGTCCAGGTCACAAAGTCAGGAAATGTTAAGAGGTTGTATTTTAATTGATGCAGTCTAAGGCCAGAGGAGACAATGTTATTAGAATACACACATACATGCACATGTACATGTACACACACACACACGCACGTGCACACACACACATACACAGTCACAAGTGAAGTAAGGTGCAATAATGTGACACAGCAGACAATCTAGGGCTATAATTATATTAAGGAGACTTTGAGTTTAAACAAAATGGCAGACCTGGGTAGCACAGAAACCATCCCACTACAAACCCCTAGAGATGCTCTATGACATATAACATTCCATGGATGTGTGACTGAGTCATATGAAGGAAATAACAAAAAGTTAACTGGGAACTGAGGTCCAGAATGCTAAGCATTGAGTACTAACACCAAAACTATCTTTGGGATAGAGATGAGACCCAGAAATGGCTAGGTGCTTGATTTAAATGTTCATACAGAGTCAGAAAAAAAGATTCGAGCCCATAAAAATAAGGTTAGGAACTTAGATATCAAATAAAACTGAAATGCTTAAAGGGTTTCAATCCTGGTTTTTTAAAAAAGAAATTAAAATACTATATTTATTGACTCAAATAAACAAGGAGGCCTAAATCTTCCCAATTCTGAAAGACAGTGGAAAAAAAAAATCTCTTGTGAGAAATTGAAGGCCCAGCATGCATCTCATGTGGGTGTGAAGTCTAAATTTATACCACTCTGATGATGTGAGAAAACTGAGATCAAAACATAAAAATTGATCTAGGTGAATAACAATCTGGGGAACCTGGCAAAATCAATAACTAAACTGTACTGGAGAGGTATTCTTAAACCTAGGACTCACAGGATTCCCAGACACAAATTGGTTAAGATAAGCCCAAAATAAAAGTTCGCCAAAAACCAACAGAACTCAGCAGCTTCTAGAAGTACTCTCAAATGATTTGACTTCCTAAAAGTAAATGTGTATAGGAAAGGAGATCAAGTACATATTACATGAAGTCAAAGACAGAAAACAAAGGTAAATATGGACTACTTGAAAACAATCACTAAAACTAAATAACTTATTTTTAAATGTAGTGAGCCCTCCCACATTTTATTTGGTTAAAAATCAAAATGGAGCAAGTACTGTAAAAAAAAAATGAAAGCAGATCTCCTCTGAAAAAGATTGCATATCAAAATAAGCTGCTGTTGTCATGTTTTTATTATACAATTTATGGTATTTTTCCACCCATGCTTATAAGTAATGAATGGTAATTAAATAAGCACATATAGTATCCATATGAGTATGAATAGATATGTTCAATAAATATTTAAATTAGTAGAGTGGTTTGGCTCTAATTTGTATCAACCTAAGCCTCCAAAAGAAAAATGACTCCCATTAGCATCTTATCCTTATAGGTACACTCTAAGACTATTTTTCATAAGTAGAAAAAAAATGAAAAGAATCTCAGGCCAAAAAAATGCTCACCACTGACGTTACAACAGTTAAGGGCTTCATTGAAGTCCTCCTCAGTTAAATTAACATTCAAACATTTCAAGGCATGCTCCAAATCAGGTATACCAATCTTGCCATTATCGACATGTGACAAGATGTTAGCAGCTTCTTTAATCTCTACAAAGA
Organism: Homo sapiens; assembly: GCF_000001405.40. NCBI lineage: Eukaryota > Metazoa > Chordata > Mammalia > Primates > Hominidae > Homo > Homo sapiens. The sequence continues at coordinate 47,412,763 of NC_000017.11, read as the reverse complement.
TAAATGTACACAAGCTATTATGGTGTAAAAAACATTCAAAATAATTTGTCCAAAATCTACCATAGGTAAACCTCAAATTAAATATTTATCTGAATCAAAATCTCTCCAAAGGAAACACAATATTTTCTATTTGTAACTGATGGCCCACTTCCCTCAAGCAGCACTTGAAACTAAAAAACATTATGGCAAAGAGAATAATATGATGGGCTATTGACATGTATTATAATAAGACTTTGTCTTCATTCATTCATCCATTAAAAACTGAATGAGCTACATGCCTCCCTGTACATGTAGATCTAAAGATTTCTACCACCTGATGATGTAAACAAAGGCTAAAATTTGAGATTGAAGCTCTTGATCCCCAGGGCCTCAGATAGTTCATACTGTGCTTTTGTGTGAATTGGGAAAAGGCACCTCCTCTCTATGCATTAGTTACAAAAAAGGGTACCTTTCACTAGGCAACTGCAATCCAGCACAGAGGTTCAAGGCTTGGAGTATGAACTGCATTTCAGCCTCCACTTATGCTCTCTCAACAGGCACCTTTGTGCAAAGCACAACTCACATAACCAAACGGGGCAGTCCTGTTGATCTCACACCAATTTAAAATATAAAACATAATCATTATGTGCTTTTTAATTTTTCTGGTTTTTGTCTGTTTGTTTTTGTTTTTGAGATGGAGTCTCACTCTGTCACCCAGGCTGGAGTGCAGTGGTGCCATCTCAGCTCACTGCAAACTCTGCTTCCTGGTTCATGCCATTCTCCTGCCTCAGCCTCCCAAGTAGCTGGGATTACAGGCATGTGCCACCATACATGGCTAATTTTTTAAATATTTTTAGTAGAGACGGGGTTTCGCCATGTTGGCCAGACTGGTCTCGAACTCCTGAGCTCAAGTGATCCACCGGCGTCAGCCTCCCAAAGTGCTGAGATTACAGGCATCAGACACCAAACCCAGCCTAATTTTTCATCTGTACCATTTCTCAATCAATTTCTCCCTCAACCTCCACATGAAGTTGTCTATGTTTCCATATGCTGAAAATTGTTGCATTACACCAGGAGATCTAAGCCTTCATGGAGATCACTTGGAAAGAACACCATAATATCATCTTAGACCTACATTCATTCTACTAACAGTTATTTTACAGCTTCTAAGATCAACAATAAAATATTCAGTCCCTCGTATCAAAGAGTTTCAAGTAAATTCCTTGATAAGGGAGACTAAATCTGTCATATCTATAAACAAAATTATAATATATCATATAGTAAGTGATATGAGAAAAATACACACACAAAATTATGGAAGCACTGAGAAGGTTCACCTAACCTAGATTTAAAAAGTGATGAACTCTGGGAAGGAAGTCTTATGGCATCAGAAATGACATTTGAACTGAGTTTGGGGGGGAAATGTCAGTTTGTCTGTCAGGGAATGTATCCAAAGGAAACAGTATATGCAAATAAATGCAAAAGCAAATAGAGCCAATTTAAATTGTGCTAAGTAGTATGACTACAGAATAAATACAAATGCAGAAATGATAAACGGTGAGTCTGAAGAGATAAGAAGACAAATCTATTCAGTCATTCATTCAAAAAATATTCATGATTATGAGTTAACAACAAAAGATTTGGAACAATAGCATAGTAAATATTACATAAGTATCAGATGTTAATATTAGTTAACCTTAAGAGTCTAATTAAAGAGCCAGGACTCTGCTAGGTCCTGGAGATACAATGGAAAGCAAAGAGGAGACATATTCCTTGGCCCAATGATACCAGGCAAGTGGGAGGAAGAGATATTAATCAAATAATCGAAAACAGAAACGGATATTTATAATATGAAATAAGTGCTATGAAATGGACAGAATTTAATAACAGCATATAACAAAGGAAACAAAAAATTCTGACCTATACTAGCCACTGATGATAGGCTTTTCTATAATTGACTCATGGAGTCAAAAGAGATTATTCTCCAGCTTTCAGACTTAATGTTGTTTTCCCTTTTTGGTTTCGGACTTACTTGGGACCAATTATCCCTTTCTTCTCACTCATTTCTCCCTCTTGGAATGGATATGTCTATCCTATGCCTGTGTGTTTTGGAAGCATGTAACTTGCTAACTTCACAGACTTACTGCTGGAGGAGAATTTGCCTCAAGAAGAATTGTACCTTGAGTCTCACCCATCTGATTAAGATGAGACTCTGGAATTTGGACTTTTGAGTTGGCACGGGAACAAGTTAAGAGTTTTGGGGCTACCAAGATGGAATGAATGTATTTTGTACATGAAAAGGGCATGAATTTTGAGGGCCAGGGATGGAATGCTATGGTTTGATTGTGTCCCCCAAAGTTTATGTGCTGAAAACTTAATCCCCAATGCAACAGTGTTGACAGGTCAGGCCTAATAAGAGGTGATTAAGTCACAAAGGCTCTGCCCTCATGAATAGATTAATGTCAGTGATTTAGTTATTGCAAGAGTGGGCTTATTATGAAAGTAAGTTCAGTCTCCTCTTGCTCTCTTGCTCTCTCAAACTTTCTTGCCCTTCTGCCTTCTGCCATAGTATGACACAGCAATAAGGCCCTCACTAGATGTGGGCCTCTTGACCTTGGATTTCCCAGCCTCTAGAATTGTAAGAAATGAATCTCTTTTTTTTTTTTATACAAATTATCCAGTCTGTGGTATTCTGTTACAGCAACACAAAACAGACTACAACAGTAGGCAAAGAGGATCAGGGAAGAATATTCCAGGGAATAGAATATGCAAAAGTCTTGTAGTGGGAGGAAAGGGGAGTATCTAAGGAACTAAAGTAAAGCCAATTTAGTTGAAGTACAGAAAGCAAGGATAATGGTACAAAATAACGCTAGAAAGATAGGGCATGGAGGATTTTAATTTTTATCCTAATAACAGGAAATGTTTGAAGAGTTATAAATAGGGGGAGGTAACATGATCAGATTACTATTGTGGAAAAATAGTAATCTGGCTGAAGTCAGCAGGAAAAATGAGAAATACATTGGTACTTGGCAATTATTCTAAAAAATATCTCTTATTATTGAAAATTTTCTCATATACAAAGTTCTTACTCACCGTTTACCTTTGGTAATTTTAGATTTGAAGCCTCTTTCCTGAAATCTGCAAATTTAGAGAGAGACATTACACAATGAGGAATGGCATCCTGATCTTACCCTGTTTGAAAGGAAACCAATGGATAGATTGAATACTTCTTTTCCCACTAACATTTATCATTGATAACCATTCCCTTCTTCTCAAAAGTTGTTCCCTGGCTCCCAAAATATCCATTCTCTCCTCACTCTTTGCTTACTACTTGGGCTCCTTCATGGTTATCTTCCACCAACTCCTTAAATGTGGCAGTTTCTAATGTCACAGATGCTTCCTTTCTCCCTAAGGGGAGAAGTTAATCCCCAGCCGGTCTATTCAATAAAATCCTTAATTATTAGTCTAAATTGTCCTTCTTGATCTCTTACCTACCTATATACTATCTAGTCCCAGAATTTTTCCTAAGAACATTATACCCATTACTTAATTAAATGTAATTAATGAATGGGTATTACATTATACCCATTCACTCCACATACTTCCTACAGAGATGCAAGTTGGTGTAGAGATCTGAGGAACAAACGATAGAAATAAAATCTGTCCATTTGCATAGATGGACTCTATTGTATTAAAGAACAGTTTAGAATAACTCACAGCTAGCCCAGGTATTACCCTGAAACAAACAGAGGTTAGAATACACATAAATTATATTTGCCTTAATTTGTATTTTTGTTTTAAGCAGGATAAACAAAACAAATAACCTATAAAAAGTACTTTCAAAATAATAGGTTTGGGCAATTTTACATGATAACTCTAAACAGGATTGCTGAACCTAGGCACTATTAATATTTTTGGCCAGATAATTATTGGGGGGGGCAAGGGTATTATCCTGTAAATTGTAGGATGTTTAGCAGCAACCCTTGCCTCTATTCACTAGATGCCAGTAGTCCTCTCCCATCAGTTGTGATAACCAACACTGTCTCTAGATATTGCCAAATATTCTCTGGTGTGAGGTGGGGGGCAATGGGGGATTTGATTATACTTTTTATTTTGTATTTATTTATTTACTTGAGATGGAGTCTTGTTCTGTCGCCCCGACTGGAGTGCAATGACGTGATCTTGGCTCACTGTAACCTCTGCCCCCTGGGTTCAAGCATTCTCGTGCCTCAGCCTCCCAAGTAGCTGCAACTACAGGCATGGGCCACCATGCCAGGCTAATTTTTGTATTTTTTTAGTAGAGACGGGATTTCACCATGTTGGTCAGATTGCTCTCAAACTCCTGACCTCAGGTGATCTGCCCGCCTTGGCCTCCCAAAGTGCTAAGAGTATAGGTATGAGCCACTTCCCCCAGCCTGATTACATTTTTCAGCTGAAGCTAAATTTAAAGGCAGGAAATGGCTTTCTAAATATGGGGTAAACTCTATCTCAGTACATCCAAGCTGAGGCTATATAGATGGATCAGGTAAATTCTTTGTAAATAAAGTAAACAACAACTCGACACTTACAACTGGCTATAGAAATAAACATTAATTTTTCAACAATACCTTGCACTTCTCAAAGGGCCTTTCATCCAAAAACAGAAAGCTACAAAACCATTAAGACCTCTCTAAAACACATAAAAGGAAAAGGATTAACTTTGAAATAAAATTATTCTTCAAAGCCATGCCACAAATATATAAATACTCTGAGATCAATTTTACAATCCAGGTCATCAGATCACCCAGAAATTTGATACTGTAATGACTAAATCTCTGTGGGCACATATAACACATAGACCTGAATATGGTCTACAGTAAAGTGTCCAACAAGTTTATGGTGTGATTTAGGGGCCAAGTATTAAGACTTAAATAATACTTGGTAAAATAGTTTGAAATCCTTGGATAAAAATTTAGAAGAACAGTAATATCAAACATTTGGACCAGAAAGCCCATGGCTGACCTCCCTAAATTAAAAAACAAAAAACAAACAAAAAACAAAAAACTAAATAAAATTCAGAAGAAATTTTTTATACAAGCTGCTGGTTGTCTGTCAAATCAACTCATCTTCAACAAAGGAGTCATCCATTACTTCTTGAAGTATGTCATCAGTAAAAGAAAGCCTATCAGTGTTTTCAAGTACATCTGGATTTTTGTCTTTGTCAAACTGACAATTTTCTTTCGTGGAGTCCAATGTATTGATAGTCTCATTCAATGCTACAAACAGAGAATATACATACAACATGTAATTCAGTCCATGGATCTAAGTCTTTTGAGCATAACAATAAAATTGATGGCCTCTTTGAGATCTACACTGTCGAATAAGGCAGTCACCAGTCACATGTGGCCATTTAAATATTTAGAGTGGTCCATTCTCCACTCTGATAATTTTCTATAACTCTACTTCAATAGTTTTCTCCACTCCAATAGCTTTCTATTTGTAGCTCTAATAGTTAAAAATAACCCTTTTCTTTATTCTTAAAATTGATTTGTTAAATGTCTGGGTTTGAGGTGAGCTATTCTGCTACAGACAAAAGTATGCTAAAGTTTCCCTAGTTATTCTGTTAATAAGCGCACCATTTCAGTAAAGTCCCCTTCATTCCTCATAACTCCTCCTAAATGCCAATTTTTCTCTTTCCTTCCCTGCATCCCTTGTTCCTGTCAGCTAACTTCACCCATTTTAGAGAATCATCACAGCCTCTTATGTTTAGCACAGTCACAAACATTTGGACTAAGAAGACCATGGCTGACCTCCCTTGATTTAAAAAAATGTTAAAAGTTCACATTTCCAAAGTATATTCCTAAAAAGGCATCTCTCAGGATTTTGTTCTATGATATAGTCATTTGTCATTGGTAAGAAGTTTCAAAAACAGGTCAGTGAAGAAGAGTTGAAGGGATATTTGAGTCTAGAGAGAAGATTCATTTAGTGGGAAGGAAAGAGAACATGTGAGTTATCTTGACATTTCTGGAAGGCTATTAATGGGAGGAAGAGTCCAAATGTCAAATATGGTTCCAGGAAATTTCCACCAAATATGTGGAATAATGTTCTAGTTCTATAGCTGTCGAAAATTATAGAATGAGCTACTTCAAAAAGTCATAAGGACTTCCAAGACAAAGAGTGAAATGAGTGAATGTACCTTACCTAGCGTATCCCTGCAACCAACTAATTTTATTTTGATTGTTAAATAGTAAATATAAAAGTTGAGGGAATTCTGTCTCTAATGAACTAGGGAACTATCAAACCGTCTATTACAGACCTCATTCTCTGACCACAATAAAATACAACTAGATATAAAAAACAAACTTAAGGCAACAATGACATTTAAATTGCTTTGAAATTTGGCCGGGCGTGGTTCATGCCTGTAATCCCAGCACTTTGGGAGGCCGAGGCGGGCAGATCACAAGGCAGGAGTTCGAGACCAGCATGACCAACATGGTGAAACACTGTCTCTACTAAAAATACAAAAATTAGCCAGGCATGGTGGTGTGCACCTGAATCCCAGCTACTCAAGAGGCTGAGGCAGGAGAATCGCTTGAAACCGGGAGGCAGAGGTTGCAGTGAGCCAAGATTGCTCCACTGCACTCCAGCCGAGGCGACAGAATGAGACTCCGTCTCAATAAATAAATTAAATAAATAAATAAATTGCTTTGAAATTTAAAGTTTCCTCCTAAATAACTCTCAGACCAAGGAGAAAATCAAAATGCAACTGGAAATATTTATAAAATAACCATAATAATAGCCTAACAAGTCAAAGACTGTTAGATACACCAAAGTTTCACTAAAATGAAAATTGACTGCCTTAAACATGTTTATTACCCAGTAAGAAAAAAAATAAAGTAAATAAATAATTTAAACAAGAAATTAGAAAAACTATTAAATGAGTATAAGGGAACAATATAAAGGACTTACTAAAGGTAAAATCAGAAATTAATTTTTAAACTATAAATAGAAACGCTAAAGATAAACCCAAGAGCTAGTACTTTAAAAACAGAGATAATAGAACATTCAGTAGCAAAGAAAAAAGTTATATATATACCTATATATATAAATTTAAGAATGAGAAATAACCATATATACAAAAAAATGAAAAGAATTAGAAGTGCATAGGGCTGTCCTAATAGTCTAAGTCATTTTAACCTCAATACAATTTAAAATTTCCTGGAAGAATCAAATTACCAAACTGACAAAATGAAACAAAAGATGGCAAAAAGCAATCCATCAAAGTCAAAAAATCAAAAATAAACTAGAAAAAAATGTGAAATGGGTAAGACAAAGTATTAATGCTCCTATCAGAATTTTAAATAAATAATACCCCCTGTTGATAAAAGTGTGAATTTCCACAAATCTTTAGGAGGGTAATTAGGCAGTAGCTTGTTAACATTTTACATCTAAAAATACTTTGGCCCAGCAAGTCCACTTCTAAGGAATTTGCCCTACAGAAAAATTGTGTGCAACGTGCACAAAGATATATGTACAAGGATACTCACCAAATGTTTGTAATAGTAAAAAAATGGCAATAACCTAAATATTTATTAAAAGTATTGTGGACAAAATTATAGTTCATTCCTCTAGTATAACATTATGCAGTCTTTTAAAAGAATGAGGTAGGTTTACATAATATAGTGGAACACAGAATTATATCTAAGATATACTGTCATATATTGCACTCAAGTTGTGCAATATTATGGACAGATGTAAAGAAGAAAGCCTAAAAGGATATTTACCAAAGCTTCATAGGGATATTTCTGAAGGGTAACATTAATGTTACAAGAGACTTGCACTTTATACTTCTTACATTCCTGGTCATTTAAGTTTTTTACAGCATTAAAAAGAACTATTCATTCATATAATAAAGATGTCTTATTTTAACTATTGGAAAAGATCATACTCTTGTTATTTTTCCCATCTCCAATCACAAATGTACAATTCTTAAATTTCAAAATAAAATGTAGGAAGTTCCCCATAACTGAAAGTGTTCAAGTACACATGAAGCAAACATTTGGCACAGATACTATAAAGAAGATTTAAACACCAAATTTAGGGTTTTACTAGGTGAACTTTGAATAAGTTCTGTATCATTGCCTTCTAACAGTATTACCATAAAGCTCTTACCAATATAATTGGAAAATTTCTGGGTGTCCCTCAAAGCCCTCATACAGTCTTTAATGTTCACCATGTTATCTTCTGCAAGGAAAAGAGAGAGATGACAAACAAGAACCCCTAGACAAAGTAATACTTAAAGGCTAGTATCAAAATCAGCATATGACTTATATATTTCTCGAACATTTTATTTACAAGGTACTTTTAGATTCATTTTCATCCATTAAGCCTCGCAATAACCCTACAATGTTGTAGGTATACTAAGTTCTGATTCTACCTATAATGGGAACTGAAGTACAAAGAAAGCCCCAGTAACTCTGACCAGTAATTTGGTCAAAGGTGGCAAAGCTAGGATTTCTATTCACAGAACTTGAATTCCTAAGATGTTTTTCATTCGCTAAATCAAGATAGCAATGAGGACAGAGCATTCTAACAAGCCCACTTCCACAAAATCTAGACCCGCTTGTATAGAAGTATTCTCATAACTGCAAAAGAGGAAATTAAGAGGAAAGGCTCCGTTTCAAAGATTACATTTATAGTAACATAAGCAAATACCTATAGACCTTGCACATCTTCTTTACTCCTACAAAAAAAAAACCTGAGAGTAATATTTAAAATGCTTACCAGAAACAAAATCTGATTGAAGAATTTTCTCTACCTCTTCTTTAGGTGACTTAATCCCAACATTTCTTAGAAAGTCTTCCAAGTTCTTCCCAGCTATCATGTCACCTTCCAGCAAATCAGCAGCTAAGACAACTTCCTGTAACTCTATAAATAGAAAAAAAGTTAATTAATAAAAAGCAGTAGCCATCACTCAAGACATTTGTTAGTGGAAATCCATAGTTTATTATTGTATCCTGAACTGAGGAATAAGAAATCTCAGAGAGAAATTCTCCCCTCATAGAATTCTATGGCCAGCAGCACAATGTGCAAAGAGTTCTCTTGATCTATCACGTTTCTCTGGTGCGTTTATAAAATTTGCACAACCAAAATCACTCATATAGCTGAATTTTTCACTGCAATTATACAAAGTAATTATTTTGCTGTGGACCTCTAATGATATCAAATAAAATTAACTCATCAGATATAGGCAAAATAACTTTCAGAATTATGAAAAACGTAAAATATGAGACAAGATTTACAAGGGCTCATTCAGTTTTCCTTTTCAGTTCCACCAGGACCCAATTGTACCCTAGTGTCTGGAATGTTGCTTTATTTCCAGCACTGGTTAAGTCAGACCAGCATTCAAAGTCTGGCTCCAGGATTTGTAACCTGGAACTGTGCAACTGTGAGCAAATTATTACTACTTAATGTCTCGTCTAAAATGGGATAATACTATCTGCCTCACAAGGTTGATGTGGAGAGTAAATATAACAATGTATAAAAAGTACTTAAGATAGCATTAGACATATAATGCCTCAATAAATGTCATATTTATAGAATAAAATTAGTTTTATTATTATTATTAAAGTCAACAGAAACTAGCTGCAAATAGTAATCACAGTTTAAGTCTTATGTCCTGCCTCACTTTCTATTCCTCTAACATCACTGGGATGCAACTACAGATGGCAATCTGAGCTTTGCTGACACCCAGAAAACCTGTATCAGCTCTGCTTTCTTGCCTTAGCACTTGATTTCCTTCAAAAACAGTTTCTTTGCACAACCACCTTGAGTAGAGTCTGCTCATCCTCCCATGCTCCACATACTGTAAGACCAGGAAGCAGAATAGCATTTTCCTGTCTTTCTGCTGCTGCTATCAGGCCATTTTAGTTCCACCTTCAATCAAACCTTATCCCTCTCCCATGAGGCTCAGGCCTGTTATTCAACTATGCCACTCTCCTGACAACAGTATTGATTACTGTCTGATCACTCCTTCACATTCTCTGAGGATTTTGGCACTTTGATCATAATCCTCCTTCTACCTCTCATCCCAATATCATCCAATGATAATAAGGATGAGCCTGGCCTCAGAGCACTTTGACCTCTTAACTTCAAAAGGCCTTTATTTCCTTTCCAAAGTCATCCACACCAATGGCTACCCTTAATCCTTATCATTACCTAGAATTGTCTATTCCACCTCTAAAATCTTAAATTGCAAGGTCAGACACTGACCATATTCCCTTAAAATTACATGTGTAGATACTGAAAGAAGGCATAGAACTTCATACTATGCCTATTCTCTTGGCTCCTCCAAGTTCTTTAACAAATAGTCTAGACAGAGTAAACCAGCTTTATCAGTTAGTAATGAAGGATACATTCTGAAAGCCAAGTTCCTATATGCCAGCCAATGTTTAATCAAAACCAAGTTTCATCTGCGTATAAACATATCAATGCCAACATGTTAACCAGAAATTAGGTGAACACACAGCATTAAAAACAAAAACAAAAGCAAGTCCTTTCAATAAAAGTAAATCTAACCGTTATAAATAATTCAGTACTTACCTTCTAACCTGGCAGCATCACGCATATTCCTTACTACTTTTGCAAATTCTTCAAATTGTACTTTGTCACCTTCTGTGAGAAAAAACACTTTTAATAGACCAACCTCATTACGCAAAAGTCAGATCCAATAAAGCAACCTATAAAAATGTAAACCATTTGATGCACTCCTAAGAATCATATTTCCTTTTCATATTTTTGAATAACCAAAGGATTAATTTTATGGGATTAATAAATATTAAGACTATAGAAGTCAGGCTGATGGCTGGGCGTGGTGGCTCACGCCTGTAATCCCAGCACTTTGGGAGGCTGAGGTGGGTGGACCATGAGGTCAGGAGTTCAAGACCATCCTGACCAATATGGTGAAACCCCATCTCTACTAAAAAATACAAAAATTAGCCGGGTGTGGTGGCATGCGCCTGTAGTCCCAGCTACTCGGGAGGCTGAGGCAGCAGAATTGTTTGAACTGGGGAGGTGGAGGTTGCTGTGAGCCAAGATCTCACCACTGCACTCCAGCCTGGGCGACAAAGCGAGACGCCATCTCAAAAAAAAAAAAAAAAAAAAAAGTCAGGCTGAGTTCTCAATTTCAATCAATCAATGGAAACAATATAATCCATATTCCCAAAATATAAAACCAAGACATATTCCTAGACAAAATTAAGAGACATACCTCAGTCTTAGTTTTGTCTTTCAATTGTTTGAAGATAAAAATTCTACACCAGAAAACTTTAAAGACGTCTTTCAGTGCCTGATAGGCCTATGACTACAATTTCTGATATGTGTTTACACCCATTTCTTACACAGTACACAAGTACTAGATTACAAAGTTAAAGTGATGAACACAGGAAACAGAAGCAGCTTTGTTTTCCCAGCCAGGAATAAGGAAGCTTAGGATTTAGAAATATTATAGTTTATTATCATAGACTAGAACAAAGCACAACAAGCAAAATGTGTCACCAGCAGATAAAAGCCTGAACAGGGCTTAAGTATATAGCTACAATTAACAATGTCTCACCTTCTATCTACCTTAGCTTTAAATTGACACTTGAACTTTTAGGAACTATTCTCTAGAGTAAAAACGCATGTCTTTTTGCAGTATTTTTGCTGCTTCTGTCATTTAGTAGAGTCCTATATATCACTAACTGTAAAGGCTCTGTCCCTGAATCTGTGTTCTCTCTCTGATGGGAGAAACGGTAGAGAAGGATAGAAGTGTTTGTACATTCCATTCCTCATGCTTCTTTTATACTTTTATAATACTCAGGATGGCCTTCCACTAGCTTCACATCAGTCAACAAGGTTACATAATCAAATATTCTAAGACCATGTTATATAAAGACGCTCTTAATTAAGTGTCTTCAATTTACAGTAGCTTAAAGCTCAGCTTAAAGTAGGCAACGGGTACTGTAATTCAGTCACCTAAATGGAGTCCCCTCTGAATCTAGTTCTTGGTATGTATAATCAAGTAGAACTAAATCACAGCTACTTACAATTCTGGAAGGAAGGGAAGGGAAGGGAAGGGAAGGAGAGGGAAGGGGAGGGGAGGAGAAGGGAGGGAAGCAAAGGAGGGAGGGAGAGTGGGAAGGGAAGGGAAGGGAGGGAGAGAGGCAAGGAGGCAAGGAGGCAAAGGAAGAAAGGAAGCAGGGAGCCATCTGACGTCAACAGGTACTGATAACACTAACAAAATCTACAGCTAGCTTTGGACCTGTTTACCAAGGGACCCAAATCTGTAAGCATGACCTGTGATCTCATTTGATCCTTAGGTTCATACAACTTGCTGAAATAGAATAGCAACTACCAATATTAGGAAAGATTTCCTGGATATCTTTAAATAAATCCTGTGAAAAGAAATGTGGATGGATAGAGCTGCTGTCAAGAATTTGTAGCTCAATTATTCTTTGCTAAACCACCAAAACAGGATTAATCACAGCTGATGCCAGGTTGCAAAGTTAGAGCCTGAAACAAAGATTCAGATCTGGCTTCAATGGATATTGCATAAAAAGTCATGAAGATAAGTTCAGAGTCTTGCTGCCAAGCCGAAAAGAAAACAAAGTTATTAAGCTAATTTCAAACACATCAGATATCAGAGTCAGGAGAAACAGAGAATATCAGTTTAAGTTTAAAAATCTAAAACAAATAAAGCTAGAGAAACCACCAGCAGAGAAGAGATTGTCCCAGGCCTTAAATGCCTAACAACACCTATTAATGATTTCCTCTAATTCTTCGCCTATGGATTCAATGTCTCACATTCACCTTGACCATTTTCCATACCCTCTTACACATTTTTGCTCAACACCAACTTTCTTCACTCAGGTCTTTCAGAAGAAACAAGAGAGCTCATAAGCTACATGACTAGATATTTGGGAAGTATTTCTGAATATGCCAAATGATAAATTACCTTTTCTATTTTTCAATGCTTTTTTTGTAATCATCATAAAATTATTTTTTAATTTTAAATATATTTTAAAATATTAAGGAGTCAACATGGAATACCACCAATAACCAAGAACTCACTCTTCAATTTCACTAGAGAGAATCTGAATCAGTTGTTTTTCAGGGTTTTTTTTCTTTTTAACATAACCTGGTCAAAATAATACCCTAGATCAGTAATTTTAAGTTCTTTCTTATATTTCTAAGGTCTTATGGAGCTGTTTCAGCAGTTCACTTGGTCATTTCTCCCACTTTGGTCAGAGAAGCTCAACTTTAATATTTTATATATTAGGATACTGTATAAGATTTAATTTGGAAAAAAAGCATTCTGCTTTAACAATATCAAATATAAACAAAAATAACAAATCTCAAAATTTTGCAAACCACTGCATTAAAATAAGAACTAAATACCTTTGTACTAAGTGCACAATGTTAAAAGAAGAAATGATATGACAAATGGCGTACAGATACAGTTTTCAATATCATGTGTATATTTAGGCTTAAATTGTAAAATCTGCATTTTATATACTGTCTTTTGCTTCATAAGTACAGAATAATAAACACAGGCCTGGTGCGGTAGCTCATGCCTGTAATCCCAGCACTTAGGGAGGCCAAGGCCAGAAGATCACCTGAACTCAGGAGTTTGAGACCAGCCTGGACAACATGACAAAACCCCGTCTCTACAAAAAATTAGCCAGGCACAGTGCTGTGCACCTGTAGTCCCAGCTACTTGGGAGGCTGAGGCAGCAGAATCGCTTGAACCGGGAGGCAGAGGTTGCAGTGAGCCGAGATTGCGCCACTGCACTCCAGCCTGGGTGACAAAGCAAGACCTTGTCCCCTCCAAAGAAAGAATAATAAACACAATATATGAGTTTTTATTATCATAAAAAATACTTTTCTAGTTATTTTATTTATTTATTTATTTATTTTTATTGATTATTCTTGGGTGTTTCTCGCAGAGGGGGATTTGGCACGGTCATAGGACAATAGTGGAGGCAAGGTCAGCAGATAAACAAGTGAACAAAGGTCTCTGGTTTTCCTAGGCAGAGGACACTGCGGCCTTCCGCAGTGTTTGTGTCCCTGGGTACTTGAGATTAGGGAGTGGTGATGACTCTTAAGGAGCATGCTGCCTTCAAGCATCTGTTTAACAAAGCACATCTTGCACCGCCCTTAATCCATTTAACCCTGAGTGGACACAGCACATGATTCAGAGAGCACAGGGTTGGGGGTAAGGTCACAGATCAACAGGATAAGAATTTTTCTTAGTACAGAACAAAATGAAAAGTCTCCCATGTCTACCTCTTTCTACACAGACACGGCAACCATCCGATTTCTCAATCTTTTCCCCACCTTTCCCCCCTTTCTATTCCACAAAACCGCCATTGTCATCATGGCCCGTTCTCAATGAGCTGTTGGGTACACCTCCCAGACGGGGTGGTGGCCGGGCAGAGGGGCTCCTCACTTCCCAGTAGGGGCGGCCGGGCAGAGGCGCCCCTCACCTCCCGGGCGGGGTGGCTGGCCGGGCGGGGGGCTGACCCCCCCACCTCCCTCCCGGACGGGGCGGCTGGCCGGGCAGAGGGGCTCCTCACTTCCCAGTAGGGGCGGCTGGGCAGAGGCGCCCCTCACCTCCCAGACGGGGTGGCTGGCCAGGGGGGGGCTGACCCCCCCACCTCCCTCCCGGACGGGGCGGCTGGCCGGGCGGCGGGCTGACCCCCCAACCTCCCTCCCGGACGGAGCGGCTGGCCGGGCAGGGGCTGATCCCCCCACCTCCCTCCCGGACGGGGCGGCTGGCCGGGCGGGGGGCTGACCCCCCCACCTCCCTCCCGGACGGGGCGGCTGGCCTAGCGGGGGCTGACCCCCACCTCCCTCCCGGATGGGGTGGCTGCTGGGTGGAGACGCTCCTCACTTCCCAGACGGGGTGACTGCCGGGTGGAGGGGCTCTTCACTTCTCAGACGGGGCAGCTGCCGGGCGGAGGGGCTCCTCACTTCTCAGACGGGCGGTTGCCAGGCGGAGGGTCTCCTCACTTCTCAGACGGGGCGGCCGGGCAGAGACGCTCCTCACCTCCCAGATGGGGTCG
Source organism: Homo sapiens (assembly GCF_000001405.40). NCBI lineage: Eukaryota > Metazoa > Chordata > Mammalia > Primates > Hominidae > Homo > Homo sapiens. The sequence goes on along the minus strand of NC_000017.11, from coordinate 47,397,701 downwards.
CGGCCGGGTAGAGGCGCTCCTCACATCCCAGGCGGGGCGGCGGGGTAGAGGCTCTCCCCACATCTCAGACGATGGGCGGCCGGGCAGAGACGCTCCTCACTTCCTAGATAGGATGGCGGCCGGGAAGAGGCGCTCCTCACTTCCTAGATGGGATGGCGGCCGGGCAGAGATGCTCCTCACTTTCCAGACTGAGCAGCCAGGCAGAGGGGCTCCTCACGTCCCAGACGATGGGCGGCCAGGCAGAGACGCTCCTCACTTCCCAGACGGGGTGGCGGCCGGGCAGAGGCTGCAATCTCGGCACTTTGGGAGGCCAAGGCAGGCGGCTGGGAGGTGGAGGTTGTAGCGAGCCGAGATCATGCCACTGCACTCCAGCCTGGGCACCATTGAGCACTGAGTGAACCAGACTCCGTCTGCAATCCCGGCACCCCGGGAGGCCGAGGCTGGCGGATCACTCGCGGCTAGGAGCTGGAGACCAGCCCGGCCAACACAGCGAAACCCCGTCTCCACCAAAAAAATACGAAAACCAGTCAGGCGTGGCGGCGCGCGCCTGCAATTGCAGGCACTTGGCAGGCTGAGGCAGGAGAATCAGGCAAGGAGGTTGCAGTGAGCCGAGATGGCAGCAGTACAGTCCAGCTTCGGCTCGGCATGAGAGGGAAAGGGGGAGGGGGAGGGGGAGGGGGAGAGGGAGAGGGACGTTATTTTCATATCTCATAAAATAATACTTTGTTGGTCTGGTTCAAATAAATGCTATCTATTACTTTCTGTGGTACATGTTGCCTATAAATTCCATTAACTTTAACAAAAGAACCTGAAGCACTGCCACAGAGAAAAAGGGAAGAAAATCTATATTATTGGGTAGAAATTAGCCTTCTATTTTTCATCAACCCTTTTCACCTCAAATCTTCCAATAAAATAATCAATACATTTAAAGCCCAAAACTTCTAGCCTCAACTAAATGGAAGCTTAATGGATGAAAAGGATAATAAATGATTACAGAAAAAGACAGTTCTTTGACAAAGACCCCTGACAGCATGCTCGTGTTACTAATCTAGTTCTGTATAAACATTCCACATAAAAGAATATAAACGTACTAGGTACATTTTTAACTTCTAGGCACTAAGACTATGAGAGAGTAGAAATGTCTACCTGTAGGCTGGGTACTCTCCTTCCTGCATGTAGAATATGAGCAGTAAATGATGGAGACTTACTTTACATTTTTTAGTCTATAGTCTTTGTTATACAATACTTTTTTGAACTTTGTTTTTATTTTGTTTGCTTTTTTTTTTAACTTGCTAAATAGAGGTGGTAGCTATCAGCAGGTGTGTTTTTCTACCAAATTAAATAAAAGCCTATTTCAACAAAACAGTATGAATATTCCAAGTACTGTTATTATAAAATTTGAATAGATCTCTTAACATTTCCTAATCATGCCCTCTGTGTTCATTGGGATATGCCATTTTCCAGTAACATACCACACAACTTGAAGGTACTCAATGCATATTTGATCAATTTAGAGCAATAATAAATTACATAATAATATTTTTATATTGAATAGCCAAACAATCTGAACTTTCTTTATACAATATTTCCTAAATGCATATGTTGGCATTTCAATCATATTCGAACACTCCGTCTCGCCAAGTACAAGATACAATGACAAGAGTTGACAGAAAATAAAGTAATATCTTGGTATACTTTTTAATTTTAGTATTTGTAACACTCACCATCAACTGTCACTAGTTCCAATGCAGCTAGAAATTCATCCTTTTTTAAATTACTATTCAAACTAGACAGAGTATTCCACAGGTCAGAAACACTCATCGTCTCCTTTCTGAGATCGTCGAGGGTTTCAATAGCATCAGGCAATACTAAAGGGTAGATAAAACACAAGTTTTACGAATGCTTATGCAAGAAGTTAATACAGTAAACTGTCATCTGGAATAGACAAAAATTAAGGTTTTTATGGTTTAAAAGAATAATAAATATAGCATAAATGAATTGCCAACTTTCAAAAATGAAAACATAATAAAATATTTAGCCTAAAATATAATGTATTTTTGAGGATCTTGAAATATTTTAAGAACTTACAGTGCCCCAACCCTGAATAAACATTATAAATAATAATTTTTATTGAAGTTAGATTTTTAAAAGTGTGAATTCAGAAACATTTTCAATTGATAATACAATTAAGTAGCTTTTGTTCTATATCTCTCCCTAAAATTCTCCTCTGGCTCCTACTTCCTCTTCAATCTACCACTGTAGACAACAAAAAGAAGACTATTTCAATGCAAAATCCTGGAGCATCTTAAACAAAGGAGTGCAATTATCTTACTACAAATTTGTAAAAAGTCACTGTGCTGCTATATAGAGAATGGATTCTCAGGAAGATTAGACAGTTAGGAAGAGCCAGCAGATATTAGTGACCAAGATTTTGTTTATAACCTGTACAATCTTCTCAGCTGTGTGATCTTCTCCAGAAATGCTGTCAGACACAAGAAGGAAGGTAATTGGGTTCATTCGGGGTTGAGAGTTTTGCCAGATAGGTGCAACAAAAGTACACGGAGGCAAGACAGTCTAGGGTATTAGGTATATATAGATAAGATAATTTAAACTAAATAAGGAAGAAAAGTGAAAACAGGAGGAGACTGATGGATTAGGAGAAAGCGGAGGGGTAAAGGGATATAAGGTCCCAATGAGGTATATGGAACCAATAAAGAAGACATGCTTTGAGCAGTCTAATGAAGAAAAAAGAAAAAGAAGTAAACATAAACATGCAATATTAACAATGAGATATAAAATACAATGACAGAGATAGATTAGGTAATATACTATATAACTCTGTGCTAATAAAATTTTAAACTCCATAAAAGTGAATTTCCTAGGAAAAATGAAGTAACTGACAATCTCTTTCTCTGTATGATATACCCCTATATAGGAGACAAATTAAATCTTATATTGTAAGGTAAAAAGAGCTGCTACTTAAAATCTACTGTTACCTAACATGTAAGAACAAAATAATACGATGTTACTTTCAGCCCCAATTTTTAGAATGCATACTAACTTCACTCCATTAAAAATATACACATGTGACCTTACACTTCTTTATGGTGAACTTCTGAGTGGCAAAACTATCTTTTCCATATTACCACACTTACAGCTTAACATAAAGCCTAGTACATATTAATGGTTCATAAATGTTACTGAATACATTGGAAGATAGAAAGAAATGGGGACAGATGTAACCAGAAATTCTCATATTAGTACTCAGGCACTAGAAGGCATCATTTTTCCTAAGTTGAAAGACATTTTAAATCTTTTCCCCAAAACGAATGCTATACATGGTTCTAGCCCTCTATAAGTGCGCTAATGAAAAATAAAATTATGATAGCTTTTAATTCACTTGCATGTAGAAGACATTCTAGAATTAGGGGTCATTAGAGGAGATTAAAGCCAAATATAGCAGCAGGAAGCCAGGCATTTATTTGTCGGATGACCTGCAGGATAACTAGCTCTATAAGAGACTAAAAGAGTGTTTACGCTCTTCTAAAATCTGTCAAACTATTTGGTCCACAAAAAGCAGAAGACATGATATTCTTACGTACCTAATTTTTCAGAGAAGCATTCCGTGTTGCTCATCATAGTATCAATGAATTCTTTAAAATTCACTTTTTTTGTTTCTACAGGAAAAAGAAACACATTTTTTTGGCATCTTTTAAGTATTATTATGAAAAATATTGAATTATATAAAATACGTTATATATTCAGAAATATATAATTATATCCATCAGGTAATACTAACCAATAAAAATATATGGGTATAAAGGGGAAAAGCAAATCAATTTACAGTAGAGAAGTAAACGCTGAAAAACACCAAGAAAACGGGTCAAAATTCTTCCAGTCCCTCTCAAGCATACATAATATTTTTAACTTTTATTTATTTTTATTTTTATTTATTTATTTATTTATTTATTTATTTATTTATTTTTGAGAAAGAGTCTCACTCTGTCACCCACGCTAGAGTGCAGCGGTGCAATCTCAGCTCACTGCAACCTCCACCTCCCAGGTTCAAGCGATTCTCCCACCTCAGCCTCCCAAGCAGCTGGGATTACAGGCACGTCACCATGCCCAGTTAATTTTCATATTTTTAGGAGAGATGGGGTTTCCATTATATGAATACACAATGGTGTATACCACAATTTATGTATACATTCTGTGGATGAATATCATGCTGCTTTCTTTCTCCTTTTTTGCCATTAAGATCAGTGCTGCCATGTACATTCTTGAATATGCTTCCTGGTACTTAAGTCCAAGAGATTTTCCAGGATTTATAGCTAAGAATAGTATTTCTAAACCATGGGATATGCAAATGTTACAAGATACTACATATTATTTTCCAAAGTGGTTTTACCACTTTCACCATATTTACCAATACTTAGAATAACATATTTCTTACTTTTTCCCAATTTTAGTGGATATAAAAATGTATGTCATGAGCCAGGCATGGTGGCTTGTGCCTTTAGTCCCGGCTACTCAGGAAGATGAGGTGGGAGGATTGCTTGAGCCCAGGAGTTTGAGGCCAACAGATCCCTCTTTTTTTTTTAAGTATCTCATTATGACCTAAACTTTGCACTTCCCTAATTACTAAGGATGTTGAGAACCTTTTCATGTGATTATTAGCAACTTGTGTCTTCATGTGGAAAACTTCTATAATATCTGTTGAGTTGTTGGTTTGTAAAAGTTGCCTATATATTCTCTACGATAATCATCACTGTTGTAAGTGTTGCAAATAACCAGTGTGTGGCTTGTATTTCATTCTCTTTGTTGTATCTTTTAACAAAGAGAAGTTCTTAATGTATGCAAATTTATCAATCTTTTCTAGTTTCTTATTTCATATCTTAAAAAATCCTACGTCAGAAAATTTTTCTTCCCTTTGTTTTTTCTAAACCTTAGTTCTCACACCTGGAAATTATTGAATACGGAGTGAGACAGGGATCTAACTATTCTTTCCATTTGAATAAGTAATTTTTTCAGTACCATTTATTAAATGGTCCTTCTTTCCCCAGTTATCCACCACTTTATCATATATGTTGCCATGTATGTTTGTGGATATGTTTGGAAGTTCCTTATCTTGTCCTATTGGTAAATTTCTCTATCCCTTTGCCATTCTCACACTCTTTTAGTCACTACGGCTTTATAAGGAGATTTGATATCCAGGAGAGCAAGTTCCTCCCAACCCCCACCCCCCAACACACACATATCTCCACAAATGTTCTTCTTCAAGAGTGCTTTAGCTATTCTTAGCCTTTAGTCATTCATATAAATATTAGAATTAGCTTACAAAAAAGTCAGGGTTTTATTAGAATTGCTTTGAATAAATAAGTTAATTAGAGAATTGACAGTCTTGGGTCTCTGAATCTACAGACATGGGATACATTCTTATTTATCTAGATTTTAATGTCTTCACATAGTCTTATTTTCTCTATACAGGTATCATACAACTTAGACATATTCCTTTTTTTACTTTTTATTATGGAAAATGTTAAATATACACAAAATAGAATAGTGTAATATGTTCATATACTATCTCTAGCGTCAACAATTATCAACTCATAGACAATATTATTTCACCTATAACCCCAGTCTCCTGTCGAGCCACTCTCACCCTTTCCTTTAGAAGAGCTGCTGCTAGGTTATATGGGCACAGATACTCAAAAATGGTTTAACTTTATTGTGAATTGTAGGTTTTGACATAATAATGAATCCCTATTTGCCCCAATTTAATGCCTTTTGTCCTGACTTCTACCTTGTCAGACAGCAATACCACAAATTCTGCTTTCTTTTTGTCTGCATTTTTGCCTAGGAAAAAAAATCTTGAAAAGATTATTTAAAGAATAAATAAATAAAATTTTTTTTTAATTAAAAAGACTATTAATACTGGTTATTCCTAAATAACAGGCTTTTGAGTGTTTTCTTGTACTTTTGAGTATTTCCATACTTTTTGTATTAGTTTAATTTTAACTTTTTATAATAAAAAAATTAGTCATTTTTCTAAGAAAAAAATAACAAATTGACCCTCCTTCCAGATGTGTCAATGCAGTTTGCCTGAAAATATATCACTCACCACCAGCTTCAGTCAGTTCTGTGATCTTCTTAAATTCTGGCTTAGAAAGGTAAATACCAAAATTTTGAAGACAAGTATTTAGATCCTCATAATCCACATTTTTATCTTTAATTTTATCAATGGCTTTAATGACACCAGGCAACGCTAAAAATAAAGGAGTATGCTAATAAGTATTAAATATAAGTCAAAAATAAAACACCACTAACAAGATGAATTTTAGTTCTAACACTAAATTAACAAAAATATAAATCACTTCAGCAGTGTTATATACTAAAAGCATATCTAGAATCTTTAATAAAAAAAGTAAGTATCAAAATCAAAGTCAAAAATATATTATTCTAGGCCACACACAGTAGCTCACACCTGTAATTCAAACACTTTGAGAGGCCAGGCGGAAGAATCACTTGAGGCCAGGGATTTGAAAGCAGCTTGGGCAACAAAGCAAGACCCCTGTCTCCACAAAAAAATAAAAAATTAGCTGGGCATAGTGGTGTGCACCTGTATTCCTAGCTACTGGGGAGGCTGAGGTAGGAGAATTGCTTGAGCCCAGAAGATGAAGGCTGAGGTGAGCTATGATAGTACCACTGTGCTTCAACCTAGGCAACAGAGCAAGACCATCTCAAAAAATATATGATAGATAGATAGATAGACAGATAGATAGATAGACAGACAGACACACATACACATATATATTATTCTACTATACTATAGTCTCTGAACCTAAGGAAGCACCAATTTAATTGCACTGATAGTACCATAACTGAAATACATAGGAACAAAATATTATATAATTTCTCCATTTAATTCAACAATTTAAAATTCTTTGTACTCTGCTTCTCAGTAGCAGAAATACAAGCAGAAAATTTTCAATCCAAAATGATAAACTTGGATAATTTTGTGGCAATACATGGCTCAGTCTTTGGTAAATTCACCTTAGTTTATCTTTCTAAATATACATATTATTACTTAGGAATAACTATTCTACATCTCTTCTTATAATAACTTGGAATTTACTCTTCATAAATTTGGTCAGTATTTTCTCCACAAAATTTAAACTGATAAATTTTTACTGCAATTAAAGCATTCTTAAAGGAAATTACTTACAAATATACTGAACTCTTAAGAAGGTTGGCTAACTGGAATTCATCTGGTTTAATCAGAAAACTTCAAAGTAGAGGTGGCACCTTAAATCACTTGAAGAAAAAGATGAAAAAACACAGAGAGAGAGAGAGAAAGTGTGTGTGTGTGTGTGTGTATGAAAAAAACAGAGGTTGTGTATGCGTGTATATTGTGTGTGAATATTGTTTGTGTATATTGTGTTTGTATATTCTACCCCTCTCTCAATAAGTTTTATAATATACAAACACACACAATATATACACATACACACATATACACACACAAACTCTAGAACAAATTAAATAGGTTTTCTCTAATTGATTAGGATAGGTAAAGTAGGAAGCTAGGCAGCAGAGGGCATTAAAGCCATTACCAGGTATAAACTTTAAGTAGTCACTGGAAATCATTATGGCTTTCTAAACAAACAAGTGATGATCAAACTGATGTCTGAACTTGATGATTCTTAAAATGATTATTTAAAAGATGATTCTTTTAAAGAAGATGTGTAAATAGTACATACAGCAAGATACATGTCCCTATCTTGTGAAAGAAATTTTTAAGTGAACAAAATTCCCATTTAAAAATTAAAAGCTCTTTTTTAATTTTACAGGTAGAAACAGCAAGTCACCTTAAGCAAATTTGAGATAAAATGGAAAATCATTTGCAGCCACTGTAGGGGTAGAATAACAGAAACATTTTTCTTTCATCAGCTCAGCTTCTATACATCCAATACCACATGGAATGCAGAAATCTGGGGAAAGGGTGGACCATTTATACAAAAAGCCCAGGTAAAAGAAGAGAATGAGTTTCCAACTATTATTCTTGAGATTCAAAGTTAGCATAATCTGTCAGAGAGGGATAGGGTAAAAAAAAAAAAAAAAAAGATGAAATGAGGGGCCTGGTCACTGTATTGAGTCAGCAAGGGGAAAGATGGTTCTAAATTCATGAGGTGGCTGATAAGAACTCTATTCTCACCTAACCCTCTAAGACTTGGGATTGTAAAGTGGCTGCTGAGTGAATATAAAGAGCTGTACCTTTGAGAATCTTGTTTAGTTTGTCATGGGGCTTTCTTGCTTGAACTCACACAATGCTTCCTTGATGCAGGTCCATATAAAGAGCTATACGCTTGGGAGTACAGTGGCTCACACCTGCCATCTCAGCATTTTCAGAGGCCAAGCGGGGAATTGCTTGATACCAGGAGTTCAAGACCAGCCTGAGCAACACAGGGAGACCACATCTCTACAAAAGATTATTTTTAAAAATTAGCTGGGCTGAGTGGCATGTGCCTGTGATCCCAGCTACTTGGGAAGCTGAGGTGGAAGGATTATTTGAGCCCAGGAGGTCTAGGCTGCAGTGTGCAATGATTCAGCCATTGCACTCCAGCCTAGATGACAGAGCAAGACCCAGTCTCAAAAAAAAGATTATGAATGGCTAGTAAGCATGTGAAAATATGCTTGACATCATTACTCATTAAGGAAATGCAAAACTAAAACCACAGTGAAATACCATTTCACACCTATTATAACAGTTATAATAAAAAAAAAAATCAAGTGTTGAGAAGATGTGAAGAAACTAGAATCCTCATACATTGTTGGTGAAAAATGAAAATGTTATAAACACTTTGGAAAACAGTTTTGACAGTTTAAGAGTTAAACATAAATTCACCATATAGACTAAAATTCTTCTCTTAGGAATCTCCCCAAGAGAAATAAAAGTGTATGTCCAGAGGAAGACATGTATACAAATGTTAATTTCAGTATTATTCATAACAGCCCCAAACTGGAAATAATCAAATGTCCATGAGCCAATGGACCACCAACAAAGTAAAGAATATCCATACAATATAATATAGATTTATTTAGCCTTAAAAGGGGATGAACTACCGATACATACTACATAAATTAACCTTAGAAACCAGAAGTGTGATGTCACCAAAATGGCAGAACAGAAGCAATCTGGCTTCATTCTCCCCTACTGAAAACCAAAAACAAATATCCAGTGCCAAGATTAACACCAGTAATATCCCAGAACTCACATCTGAAGCTGAAATGACTCCTGGGGGCACAGAGAAGTGAAAATCTCCAAGCAGATGTTAAGAAAAAAGGACTTCTATATCCACAACACCCCTCCCCCAAACTGCCAGGTACCATGAGGAAAAGTCCCCCTGAAATCTTCATTTCTACAGTGGAAAAAGTGAGACCATGGCAGTCAGCCAGCTTCCCCACCATCTTGGGTTCCTTTACAGGAAAACCATTCCTGAATCAACCCAAAGGAAGTATTATGAGTGCCTATAGGCAATAAACCCCCTGAGGGCAGCTAGAAACTAAAAGAGAGGTGGGACCAGCAACCCCAGGCCACAAAATTCTGCTCTTTATCTCAGCCAAAGGAGACACCAAATCAGAGTGGCTGTTCAGCAGTACCACACTGTAGGAAGGCACATGCCATGGCTCCACTCAGCATGAACCTATAGACAGCCTTCCCACACAGCTAGAGTATCGCTTTTGAGACCTCCCCATTTGAGACATGCAGGACTCTGAACAGTTGTGAAGCCAAGGCAAATCTGGGTTTAAAATACAATCTAGTAACAAAAAGATGCAGTGATCTAGGGTTAAGGTGACTCAACAGGCAAAGTGCAAAAATCCTCTAAGCATATATACCCTGGGAAGACCAAAACAAGCTAGACAGCAAAGACTGGAATAAATAATTAATGGTTCAATGACAAGATATAGACATATGTCCACAAGGAAGAACAGCAAACTAGGAACCATGACCTCCTCAGATGGACAGAGTAAAGAACTAGTAACTGACCTTAATAAGACAGCAATGTGTGAGCTCTCAGATAAAGAATCCAAAATAGTGGTTTTAAGGAAATCTCATCAAAGACTGTAGAGACAAAGAAGGTCACCAAGTAATAATAAAGGGGCTGATCCAGTAAGAGGATATAACAATTATAAATATGTATGTACACAACAACAGAGGACCCAAATATATAAAGCAAACATTAATAGACCTAAAGGGAGAGAGAGACTGCAATGCAATCCTAGTAGAGGACTTCAACACACCATTCTCAGTAATGGACAGATGATCCAGAAAGAAAATCAACAAAGAAACATCAAAGTTAAACTACACTCTAGATCAAATGAACCTGACATTTGCAGAACATTTCATCCAACTGCTGCAAATACACATTATTCTCATCAGCACATCGAACATTCTCCAGGATAGGCCACACGTCAGGCCACAAAAGAAGTCTCAACAAATTTTAAAAAGTCAAAATCATATGAAGTACTTTTCTGATCCCGATATAATAAAACTAAAAATCAATAACTAAGGAATTTTGGAAACTATGCAAACACTGAGACTGCTGGCAAGATGGCTGAACAGGAACAGCTCCGGTCTGCAGCTCCCAGCAAGACCAACACAGAAGGCCGGTGATTTCTGCATTTCCAACTGACGTACCCTGCTCATCTCATTGGGACTGGTTGGGCAGTGGGTGCAGCCCATGGAGGGCGAGCAGAAGCAGGGTTGGGCATCGCCTCACCCACGAAGTGCAAGGAGCAGGCGGCGGCGGGGAGGGGGTGGGAGGGCTCCCTCCCCCAGCCAAGGGAAGCCTTGAGAGACTGTGCTATCTGGGCCAGATACTATGCTTTCCCCACGGTTTTTGCAATCCACAGACCAGGAGATTCCTTCGCGTGCCTACACCACCAGGGCCCTGGGTTTCAAGCATAAAACTGGGCGGCTGTTTGGGCTGACACCAAGCTAGCTGCAGGAGTTTTTTTTTGTACCCCAGAGGCACCTGGAATCCCAGCGAGACAGAGCTGTTCACTCCCCTGGAAAGGGGCTGAAGCCAGGGAGCCAAGTGGTCTCGCTCAGCGGGACCCACTCCCATGGAGCCCAGCAAGCTAAGAACCACTGGGTTAAAATTCTCGCTACCAGCACAGCAGTCTGAAGTCAAACTAGGAGGATCAAGCTTGGTGTGGGGAAGGGCATCTGCCATTACTGAGGCTTGTTTTCCCCTGACAGCGCTAAAAAGGCCTGGAAGTTCGGACTGGGTGGAGCTCAACACAGTGTGGCAAAGTGGCTGCAGCCAGACTGCCTCTCTAGATTCCTCTTCACTGGGAAGGGCATCTCTGAAAGAAAGGCACCAGCCCCAGTCAAGGGGTTATAGATAAAACTCCCATCTCACTGGACCAGCGTATCTGGGGGAAGGGGCGGCTGTGGGCACAACTTCAGCGGACTTTAAACGTTCCTGCCTGCTGACTCTGAAGAGAGCAGCAGATCCTGACAAGGAGGGCTCTCCCAGCACAGCGCTTGAGCTCTGCTAAGGGACAGACTGCCTCCTCAACTGGGTCCCTGACCTCCATACCTCCTGATGGGGAGAGACCTCCCAACAGCGATTGTCAGACACCTCATGCAGGAGAGCTCTGGCTGGCATCAGCCTGGTGCCCCTCTGGGACAAAGCTTCCAGAAGAAGGAGCAACAGCAATCTTTGCTGTTCTGCAGCCTACACTAGTAATACCCAGGCACATAAGGTCTGGAATGGACCTCCAGCAAACTGCAGCAGACCTGCAGAAGACGGGCATGACTGTTAGAAGAAAAAGTAACAAACAGAAAGCAGTAACATCATCAACATAAGGAACCCCCATACAGAAACACCATCCAAAGATCAAAGGTAGGTAAATCCATAAAGATGAGGACAAACCAGCACAAAAACGCTGAAAATTCCAAAAACCAGAATGCCTCTTCTCCTCCAAATGATTGCAACTCCTCTCTAGCAAGGGCACAAAACTAGACAGAGAATGAGTTTGATGATTTGACAGACGTAGGCTTCAGAAGGTGGGTAATAACAAACTCCTCTGAGCTAAAGGAGCATGTTCTAACCCAATGCAAAGAAGCTAAGAACCCTGACAAAAGGTTACAGGAACTGCTAATAGAACAACCAATTTAGAGAAGAACATAAATGACCTGATGGGGCTGAAAAACACGGCACAAGAACTTCATGAAGCATACACAAGTATCAATAGCTGAATCAATCAAGCAGAAGAAAGGATATCAGAGATTGAAGTTCAACTTACTGAAATAAGACATGAAGACAGGATTAGAGACAAAAGATTGAAAAGGAATGAACGAAGCCTCCAAGAAATATGGGACTATGTGAAAAGACCAAACCTACGATTGATTAGGGTCCCTGAAAGTGACAGGGGAGAATGGAACCAAATTGGAAAACACACTTCAGGATATTATCTGGGAGAACTTCCCCAATCTAGCAAGACAGGGCAACATTCAAATTCAGGAAATACAGAGAATACCACTAAGATACTCCTTGAGAAGAGCAACCCTAAGGCACAAAATCATCAGACTCTCCACGGTTGAAATGGAGGAATAAAAGTTGGCTGAGCGTGGTGGCTCACGCCTGTAATTCCAGCACTTTGGGAGCCCGAGGCGGGCGGATCACAAGGTCAGGAGATCGAGACCATCCTGGCTAACACGGTGAAACCCCATCTCTACTAAAAAAATACAAAAAATTGGCCAGGCGTGGTGGTGGGCGCCTGTAGTCCCAGCTACGTGGGAGGCTGAGGCAGGAGAATGGCGTGAACCCAGGAGGCGGAGCTTGCAGTGAGCGGAGATGTGCCACTGCACTCCAGCCTGGGCAACAGAGCGAGACTCCTTCTCAATAAAAAAAAAAAAAGTTAAGGGCAGCCAGAGAGAGAGGTCAGGTTACCTACAAAGGGAAGCCCATCAGACTAACAGCAGATCTCTCTGCAGAAAACCTACAAGCCAAAAGAGAGTGGGGGCCAATATTCAACATTCTTAAAGAAAAGAATTTTCTAACTGGAATTTCATATCCAGCCAAACTAAGTTTTATAAGTGAAGGAGAAATAAAATCCTTACATACAAGCAAACGCTGAGGGATTTTGTCAACACCAGGCCTGCCTTGCAAGAGCTCCTGAAGGAAGCACTAAATATTAAGAAGGGAAAAACTTTCTTAATATAAGAAAAACTTTCTTAATACCAGCCACTGCAAAAAAAAAAAACAGTCGTATATAAAGACCAATCACACTATGAAGAAACTGCATCAACTAATGTTCAAAATAACCAGCTAGCATCATGATGACAGGATGAAATTAACATAGAACAATATTAACCTTAAATGTGAAGGGGCTAAATGCCCCAATTAAAAGACACAGACTGGCAAATTAAATGTATTCAGGAGACCCATCTCACATGCAAAGACACACATAGGCTCAAAATAAAGGGATGGGGAACTATTCACCAAGCAAATGGAAAGCAAAAAAAAAAAAACAAAAAAAAAAAACTGGGGGTTGCAATCCTAGTCTGTGATAAAACAGCCCTTAAACCAACAAAGATCAAAAAAGACAAAGAAGGGATTAATGCAACAAGAAGAGCTAACTATCCTAAATATATATGCACCCAATGCAGGAGTACCCCGATTCATAAAACAAGTTCTTTGAGACGTACAAAGATACTTAGACTCCCACACAATGAAAGTGAGAGAATTTCACACCCCACTATCAATAGTCGACAGCTCAAGGAAACAAAAAATTAATAAGGATTTTCAGGACTTGAACTCAGCTCTAGATTAAGCAGACCTAATAGACACCTACAGAACTCTCCACCCCCAACCAACAATATACATTCTTCTCAGCACTTCATCGCACTTATTCTAAAATTGACCACCCCCAATCAACAGAATATGCACTCTTCTCAGCACTACATCGCACTTATTCTAAAATTGACCACATAATTGGAAGCAAAATACTCCTCAGCAAATGCAAAAGAATGGAAATCACAACAGTCTCTCAGACCACAGTGCAATCAAATTAGAACTCAGGATTAAGAAACTCACTCAAAACCAAACAGCTACATGGAAACTGAACAACCTGCTCCTGAATGACTACTGGGTAAATAATGAAATGAAGGCAGAAATAAATAAGTTACTTGAAACCAATGAGAACAAAGACACAATGTACCAGAATCTCTGGGATGCAGCTAAAGCAGTGTTTAGAGGGAAATTTATAGCACTAAATGCCCACAGGAGAAGGCAGGAAAGATCTAAAATCGACACCCTAACATCACAATTAAAAGAACTAGAGAAGCAAGAGCAAACAAATTCAAATGCTATCAGAAAACAAGAAATAACTAAGATCAGAGAAAAACAGAAAGAGATAGAGACATGAAGAGTACTTCAAAAAATCAATGAATCTGGAAGCTGGTTTTTTGAAATGATTAACAAAATAGACTGCTAGCAAGACTAATAAAGAAGAAAAGAGAAAAGAATCAAATAGACACAATAAAAAATGATAAAGGGGATATCAGCACTGACCCCATAGAAATACAAACTACCATCAGAGAATACTATAAGCACCTCTACACAAATAAACTAGAAAATCTAGAAGAAATGGATAAATTCCTGGACACATACACCCTCCCAAGGCTAAACCAGGAAGAAGTCGAATCCCTGAATAGACCAATAACAGGTTCTGAAATTGAGACAGTAATTAATAACCTACCAACCAAAAAAAGCCCAGGACCAGATGGATTCAGAGTTAAATTCTACCAGAGGTACAAGGAGGGGCTGGTAGCATTCCTTCTGAAACTATTCCAAACAACAGAAAAGGGGGGACTCCGCTCTAACTCATTTTATGAGGCCAGCATCACCCTGATACCAAAACCAGGCAGAAACACAACAAAAAAAGAAAATTTGGGGCCAATATTTCTTATGAACATTGATGTGAAAATCTCAATAAAATACTGGCAAATTGAATCCAGCCACACATCAAAAAGCTTATCATCACATAAACAGAACCAATGACAAAAACCACATGATTATCTCAATAGATGCAGAAAAAGCCTTCAATAAAATTAAGCACCCCTTCATGCTAAAAACTCTCAATAAACTAGGTATTGATGGAACACATATCAAAATAATAAGAGCTATTTATGACAAACCCATAGCCAATATCATACTGAATGGACAAAAGCTGGAAGGATTCCTTTTGACAACCGGCACAAGACAAGGATGCCCTCTCTCACCACTCCTATTCAACATAGTATTGGAAGTTCTCCCCACAGCAATCAGGCAAGAGAAAGAAATAAAGCGTATTCACATAGGAAGAGAGGAAGTCCAATTGCCTCTGTTTGCAGATGACATGATTGTATATCTAGAAAACCCCATCGTCTCAGCCCAAAATCTCCTTAAGCTGATAAACAACTTCAGCAAGGTCTCAGGATACAAAATCAATGTGCAAAAATCACAAGCATTCCTATACATCGAAAACGGGCAGGCAGAGAGCCAAATCATGAGTGAACTCCCATTTACAGTTGCTACAAAGAGAATAAAATACCTAGGAATACAACTTACAAGGGATGTGAAGGACCTCTTCAAGGAGAACTGCAAACCACTGCTCAAGAAAATAAGAGAGGACACAAACAAATGTAAAAAAATTCCATGTTCATGGATAGGAATGATCAATATCATGAAAATGGCCATCTTGCCCAAAGTAATTTATAGATTCAGTGCTATCCCCATCAAGCTACCATTGACTTTCTTCACAGAATTAAAAAACTACTTTAAATTTCATATGGAACCAAAAAAGAGCCTGTATAGCCAAGACAATCCTAAGCAAAAAGAAGAAAGCTAGAGGTATCACGCTACCTGACTTAAAACTATACTAAAAGGCTACAGTAATCAAAACAGCAAACAGCATGGTACTGGTACCAGAACAGATATATAGACCCATGGAACAGAACAGAGGTCTCAAATAGCACCACACAGCTACAACCATCTGATCTCTGGCAAACCTGACAGAAACAAGCAATGGGGAAATGATTCCCTATTTAATAAATGGTGTTGGGAAAACTGGCTACCCATATGCAGAAAACTGAAATTGGAACCCTTCCTTACACCTAATAGAAAATATAACTCAAGATGGATTAAATACTTAAATGTAAGATCTAAAACCATAAAAACCCTAGAAGAAAACCTAGGCAATACCATTCAGGACATAGGCATGGGCAAAGACTTTATGACTAAAACACCAAAAGCAATGGCAACAAAAGCCAAAATTGACAAATGGGATCTAATTAAACTAAAGAACTTCTGCACGCAAAAGAAACTATCATCAGAGTGAACAGGAAACCTACAGAATGGGAGAAAATTTTTGCAACCTATCCACCTGACAAAGGGCTGATATTCAGAATCTACAAAGCACTTAAACAAATTTACAAGAAAAAAAAACCCATCAAAAAGTGGGTGAAGGATATGAACAGACGCTTCTCAAAAGAAGACATTTAACTTTGGGAGGCTGATGTGGGCAGATCACAAGGTCAGGAGATCAAGACCATCCTGGCAAACATGGTGAAAACCTGTCTCTACTAAAAATACAAAAAATTAGCCAGGCATGGTGGTACGTACCTGTAGTCCCAGCTACTCAAGAGGCTGAGGCAGGAAAATCACTTGAACCCAGGAGGCAAAGGTTGCAGTGAGCCAAGACCGTGCCACTGCACTCCAGCCTAGGTGACAGAGTGAGACTTTGTCTCAAAAAAAAAAAAAAAAAAAAGAAGAAGCAATTTATGCGGCCAACAAAGATGAAAAGAAAGCTCATCATCACTGGTCATTAGAGAAATGCAAATCAAAACCACAATGAGATACCATCTCATGCCAGTTAGAATGGCGATCATTAAAAAGTCAGGAAACAACAGATGCTGAAGAGGATGTGGAGAAATAGGAACGCTTTTACACTGTTGGTGGGAATGTAAATTAATTCAACCATTGTGGAAGAAGTGTGGCGATTCCTCAAGGATTTAGAACCAGAAATACCATTTGACCCAACAATCCCATTACTGGGTATATACCCAAAGGATTATAAATCATTCTACTATAAAGACACATGCACATGTATGTTTATTGCAGTGCTGTTCACAATAGCAAAGACTTGGAACCAACCCAAATGCCCATCAATGATAGACTGGATAAAGAAAATGTGGCACATATACACCATGGACTACTATGCAGCCATAACAAAGAATGAGTTCCTGTCCTTTGCAGGGACATGGATGAAGCTGGAAACCATCATCCTCAGCAAACTAACGCAGGAACAGAAAACCAAACACCACATGTTCTCACTCATAAGTGGGAGTTGAACAATGAGAACACATGGACACAGGGAGGGGAACATCACACACTGGGGCCTGTCAGGGGGTAGGGGGCTAGTAGGGGGATAGCATTAGGAGAAATACCTAATGTAGATGATGGGTTGAAGGGTGCAGCAAACCACCATAGCATGTGTATACCTATGTAACAAACCTGCACGTTCTGCACATGTATCCCAGAACTTAAAGTATAATAAAATAGTCTATTTGCTTACAAACTGAACATAAAGGAACACTTTTTAAAAGAAATCGACTTGCTAATATTGTCTTCAATAAATCCAGACACTTCACCACTTACATCCATCAGAAATGACAAATGATAATGTAGCTTTTAACATAAGTCTCTTCATTTAAGTATAAAAGGCAATCTTGCTTTGGACTAATCTTTCCTTATCTGGGGAATTTTTTGGAAAGAGACAAAAAGCTTATCTTTCGTTTTTAGCATATGTATAAACAGAACAAAATAAAAACAGCAAGCCTTAATATCTTTCGTTTCTCATTTTAATCTTGCTAAAAAATATTTAATCATTTGTATAAAAATATTGCAAGCAACAAAAGCGTATTGTGGTAATAGTTCTACAACTCAATAAATTTAATAAAAATCAGTGGATGAGTGAATTTTATATACATAAATTATACCTTGATAAAGCTGTTTTTAAAAGTTCTAAATCAAAGGTGAACCAAACCAGTATTTCATTCAAACAAGTCCATGGGAAAAAAAAAAACAAACCATATCACCCATCAATTCCTAATCAATGTTGCTAATTACCTATTTGATCTCCGCATTATCATTATTACCATACATTTATGGCTCACTTTTCAGTTTGCAAAATTCACGTGACAACTCTGTGAGGTAAACAAGTTAGCTATTATTACTCTGATATAGCAAGTTTTTAAAAACTGGCAACTGACTTGCCTAAGAGTCACAGGACTATTAAGTATCCATCCAAAAGCAAGCCCAGTTCTGTTGAACCTAATTCTTCTCAACACACTGCTCTTCCCTCTAAATCATTTTAAAACAAATTTCCTACCTACCATTGCATTCAGGAAAACTTCGCTCCTTGGCGAGAGCATTTACAAAGTCATCTAACTCCACCATTCCATTCTCTGTTTTTAAAAAGAGTTTAGATTATACATTCTGGTGTATTTTTGCATAAAGGCAAATTTACATTTTAACACAACTATTTTTAAAATTTACTTGATCCTTCATTTCATCATCCTATTTCTCCTTCATATCATGTCTCATAATTCTTTCTAGATTAAGTCAGTTCATTTGAACAATTATTGAGAGCATATTAGTGCCAAGAACCATGCTAGGCACCGAGAATACAAAAATAAGAAAGACACAGTCCTTGCTTTCTCAATATCTATTACATGCAAAGGACTGAGTTAGATACTAATTTCTTAACAGATCTAGGAAAAAAGAAAGATGTCCATATAGATAGACCATGAGAGAGTTAAGGAGTCTATTTCATACCATCTTGAAAACCCACTCAATATACTATCCATTAAGACACCTTAACAATACTAACCAGCCCTGATAAAACCAAGGATTCCCATCTCTATCTCCCTAGTATCCATGTGGTCCAATGTTTTACCTATTTTTAGATATAAACCCTCAGAGTGATCATGTCAATCCTGATAAGCAGCAAAAAGGGCTCAATAATTTTAGTGCCACCCACTCTTTATATAATTTTTAATTGAATCTTCTTTCAGATTTGCCTTAGCTAAAAAATTGTGCCCAGATTCTGAGGATTCACTTCTAATGTTATTCTCCAATCAGTCTTTCCCCAAAATGTCACCTCTTTCCTCTCCTCAATTGAACTTCTGTTGTGGAAAATGCTTAGTTACTGATAAAAATAACTTCCCTAGTATAAAAACCCTTCCTAGAAACTTAAACTCTGCCTTTAACTTAGGCTAGTGACTGGGATATGCCACTCAACATCTAAATGTTAACTGCTAAGCATACCTGGCTCTAAATTCCCCCGTATTTTGTAATCTCCAATTATTAATCTTTGGATCCTTGGGCTATTTGTGCAGATATATCCATACCCCTTAGATATTGTGGTCTTGCCATCTGAACCTCGCTACAACTGGATCAGTCTCCCCAGCACTACCCTACTATTAATAGGCACAGATAGGGATAGTGATGAAGAGCTTTACTGAAATGATCTGGAAATACGAAAGGCTCCAAACCAATCCATTTGGTCAGAACTTAAAGGAATTTTTTTTTACTATTTTCCATTTTTATATCTGAATTTTCTTTAGAATGACCCATTCTGTCCCATTCCTAATTTCTAATTGAGAGGAATTCCTCCAATATTTAATACTATCCGATAAAAATATCTAACTTTCTCAGAAACTTCAGTGTTATCAGTCTCTCACCATTTCTACTAGTGTCTGTCACAATCTTCTGGAATTCTTCATCTAATAAATTAATTCCTGTTGAAGGCAAAATAGACTGAAGTTCTTCTGCTGCAATGTAATTTTCTTGAAGTTTACTGATAGCTTCACAGAAGTTTTCTAAATACACAAAATGTAGAGAACTATTAGGCAACAGAATTTATGTGTCAAAAGCAATAATACTCAAAATCTTTAGAAATTAGAGAACAAGTTTTATCTATTTTATATTACCTTATAGATTTTATAAGACTGCTTTTCTCTCCATATCTGTTTATATTACATTATATTTAATCTTTCTCTTACAGCTCAAACACAGAACCGTCCTAACATTCTATAAACATTTATAATCTACTTGTTTGGGGGAACAGCCTGTTCCAGTGGCCCAGCCAATGCTGCTTGCTTCTGATTAAAATAAAATTAATGGGGCCAGGTATGGTGGCTCCTGCCTATAATCACGGCACTTCGGGAAGCCAAGGCAGGTGGGTCATTGGAGGTCAAGAGTTTGAGACCGGCCTGGCCAACATGGTGAAACCCTGTCTCTACTAAAAATACAAAAATTAGCTGGGTGTGATGGTGCATGTGTGTAGTCCCAGCTACTCAAGAGGCTGAGGCAGAAGGATCACTTGAACCCGGGAGGCAGAGGTCGCAGTGCACTGAGATCGCACCACTGCATTCCAGCCTGAGTGTGTGTGTGTGTGTTTGTATGTGTATGTGTGTGTGTAAAATTAATGAGTCCAAGAAATAAAAATACCGAAGTGTTTTGTTTAAATTGAAGAATTCCAAGCAAAAATGTAGAGTTCTTCACCCTCCCATTAATTTACTCTACCATGTTTTCAGTTCATAACCTTCAAAAAATAAAATCTTAGAAGCAAATACACATAGACGTCATGTGCTTCTTACTGATGCACTGAGATGGGTACAATATCACTTCTGAGGTAATCTGACCAAAAATGCATAACCTGAATTTATTTGTGAAGGAATAAAAGAAAAATCCAAAATGAAGAGTATTATACAAGACAACTAGTCAATAGTCTTCAAAGTGTCAAGGTCATGAAAAATTGAGGAAGCATCCCAGACTGAAGGGGACTAAAGAAAAGTGACAACTAAATGTAATGGGTGATTCTGGATTAGATCCTGGAATTGAAAAAGAACATTCATGGAACAACTGACAAATTTGAATAAGGTCTGTAGATCAGTAACAGTATTGCATCAGTGTTAATCTCCTGGTTTAGATCATGTCCTAATGGAAATGTTTGTACTATTTTTGTGACTCTTAAGAATGTGAAATTATTTAAAAATGAAAAGTTAGAATTTTTTAATGTAAATCATACAGGCAGTCATATTCCATAAAAGTCCAATTACCATTAATTTGTTTTGGGAAGTTATGCCAGATAAACTATTTCATACTTCTCTATATTCAGAACATTAAGTATGGCTGTGGTAGATGACATCATTTTATTTTAGTGACACGAGAAAGGTAGATATCACTTTCTTCTGACAGCCTCTTCTACCCATGTCTGTCTGCTGTTTCATTATTCCTTTAACCAAGGTTTTAATTCTTTTGAAATAAAAATAACTCTCAGAAATTCAAATGAGGCACAAAGTAGCAGCAGTGCATTGGTAAAGGAATCAGAATCAGGATGATAATCACTGTGCCTCCTTAATAGATCACATTCCTTTTTTCCATTGAGTTATTTGAATTATGCACTAATGTATGAATCACAAAATTTTCACTAAACAATCATTTTATCTATTACATTAAATACTAAATGTGATATGACAGTAAGTTTTTAAAAGAGAATAAATATGACTTAAGTAACTTCAGCAGAGGACTACAGGAAGAAATCTTTAACTGGGTTCCACACACACTGCTTCTATGATGAAAGTAATACAAGGAGAGAAAATATATTGGTTGGGAAACCATTGCTCATCTTTGAGAAAAATCATAAAGACTTGGAGCCCTAGATATATAGTATTATTTTTTCCTGATATTCTCCTTCCATAAGAGATAATACCTGAAGTACTATGAATATTATATATTTAAATTACAGCACTCTAAGCAAAAATTTCACACAGATTTCCTACTTGTTTAAATGTTTAATAAATTACAAAATAAACGTTTCCAAAAGAAACCAGGCCTTCTACTTTCTAGGAAATATTAATGATTGCAATTAATCACTGAATAAGTTTCTCAGGAAAAGTTAAGCTCCTCCCTAAAGAGGGCATCTGGAAAGGAATTATCATCAAAATCACAATATTATATCCATTAGTCTATGTGTCAGAAGTGGCAGGCCGGACGTGGTGGCTCATGCCTGTAATCGCAGATCCTTGGGAGGCCAAGACGGGAGCACTACTTGGGGCCAGGAGTTCAAGACCAGCCTTGGGAACATTATGGGACCCCCGTCTCTATGAAAAAAAAAAAAAGTTAGCTGGGTGTGGTGGCATGTTCCTATGCTCCCAGCTACATGAGAGGCTGAGGAGGTGGGAGGATCACTTGAACACAAAAGGTCGAGGCTGCAGTGAGCTAGGATCACGCCACTACACTCCAGCCTGGTTGACAGAGTGAGATTCTGACTCAAAAAATAAAAAATAGACATACTATTCAGTGGCATTAATCACATTTACAAAGTTGTACCACCATCACTACTGTACATTTCCAGAATTTTTGCATAGGCATGGTGGTTCACGCCTATAATCCCAGCACTTTGGGAGGCCAATGCAGGAGGATTGCTTGAGGCCAGGGGTTTGAGACCAGCCTGGGTAACCCTGTCTCTATAAATAATTTAAAAATTAAAAAAAAAAGAAGTGGTGGTTACCCAGGGTGTTAACAATTGAAATGCTTACAACTATCTAATAATTGATTCATTCTGTTCATTTCTGTGATGACTGAAGAACTCAAGAACCTAGATTTTTACTTACCCAGAGTACTAATTGCAGTTTTTTCCGTAGACGAAACCTGTTTTTGGAGACTGGAATGCTTTCTTACAGCTGGCTTCTGAAGTTTTGGGATACTAGAAATATCACTTTTATCCAGAGACTTACTGAGGCTTGTACTACTCTTCAAGCTTTGTGGTTTAGACTTTGAGTCATGAATTTCACCCTTCTCTGAATGTTTTTTAAAGTTTATGCCATTCTTTGAATATGGTTCTTGGACTCCTACATTACTGCTGCCAACCCCACCCAGAAATTTTCTTATTTGCCAAGTATTTTTTGGTCTTTTAGATTCAAGGTCATCATTCTCCATAATTTTGCTATAATATTGGTTGCTTTTTTTATTTAACTTTTTGGATATTGAAGGTTCAGGGAGTTTGGAAGACAAACTATTTTTCTTCTTATATTTTAGATAGCATCCTGCTACACTTGATAACTTTCTGTCTGAAGTAATTTCATTCAAAGGTGATCCTTCTGTAATTGCTAAATAAGAGAAATATACAATTATTTCATTTACCTGTATAATTTGCAATACATTTCAAAAATAACAACTAAGTCCTCATGAAAACTATTCAAGAAATTATCAGTTTCTTAAACATATAAAACAAACCAAAAAAATTAAAGAACTGACAGTCAAAAGATTGGACTATTAACTAGGTCAAATGTAATGTGCTGCTTTAATATATTTACATATTCCCATCCAAAGCTATTTAAAGTTACAGTAAAACTAAAATGATAGCCTAATGAAGTATATGGTTCTCATTCCCCACTCCTTCCCAATTGACAAAGATAATAGATTAATAAGCTAATACAGATAGAAATTCCTTACTTATAAAAGGCAGAACTATGAGGAAAGGGGAGATTTTATTTATAAAATTAGAACTTAAGTAATTACTCTCCTAAATATTCTTGGTATTTGTGGAGGAAAAAATAACTTCATATATAAAACAACATCTTTAGAAAATTATTAACACAATGCCCCAAACTGAGACTTCATTTACAAAATTTATCTGATGTTTCAGAATCTTATCTTACATTTTAATAACACATTTTAAAGTATTTCAAATGTTATAATATTTGATCCTCAAAACAACTCTATGAGACTGTCACGCAGCAGCAATATAATCTCAACTATGAATAAATTTTGCCTAGAGGAAATAAAAAAGTTTCTTATCTTAGACTCTATGAGAATTAACAATTGAAAATAATTAAATGAAAATATTTTAATATTAAAGTCTGAAAATACTTAAAGATGGTGCTATATATGTATCTCTAAGTGCACTATGTATCAGATAAATAGGTTAGTGAGCAGGTAAAAATATAATCTTTGACACTTCTGATTTAGGCTTTTGGACCACACCAAACAGCCTGCCCAGAATCTCTGATTCTCACTGATTAAGGGCTTTCCCAGTCCTTCAAATGCAGAGACATCAACATAAGGCAACAAGAAACATGAAAAATCAAGGAGACATAATACTACCAAAAGAGCACAATAATCTCCTGATAGCTGACCCCAAAGAAATGAAGATACAGAAACTTCCTGACAGAATTCAAACTAATTGTCTAGAGAAAGTTCAGGGAATAAAATTAATGACATACAGAGAAAAAAATTCAGTGAAATCAGGAAAACAATAAATGACCAAAAACAGAATTTTACAGAGACACTGAAATTACACAAAAGAAAATAAATAAACAAAAATCAAGAGCTGAAAAGTGTAATGAAAGAAATGCAAAATACAATAGAGAACATCAACAACATAACTGATCAAGCACAAGAATGAATCTGTGAACCTGACAACAAGTTATTTGAAAATATATAGTCTGCGGTGAATAAAATAAAAAGAATGAAAAATAATGGGGAAAGCTTACAGGATTTATGGGACAGCATCCAAAGAGAAAATAGTCAAGTTATAAGAGTTTATGAAGGAGAAGAGAAAGACAAAAGAGTAGAAAACTTACATAAAGAAGAACAGAAAACAATCCAAATTTGGGCAAATATATAAATATCCAGGTACAGGAAGGCCAAATGCCTCTAATCAGATGAATTCAAACAAGACTACACCAAGACATATTATAATCAAACTGTTAAATATCAAGAACAAGAGGGAGATTCTGAAAATAGCAAAAGTAAATAACATATACGTTCCAATAAGGACAGCAAATTTCTCAGCAGACACCTTATGGGTCCATAGAGAATGGACTATATATTCAGAGTACTGAAGGAAATAAACTGCCAACCAATAATACTGTACCTAGAAAAACTGTCCTTCAGAAATGAAGATAAAGACTTTCCCAGACAAAAGTTGAAAGAGTTCATCCCCTATATTTGTCTTACATGAAATTTCAAAAAGTGTTCTTCAAGCCAAAAGAAAAGGATGCTGTTTAGTAACACAAAAAATAAATGTGTAAAACTCACTGGTAAAAGTAAGTACACAGTCAAAGTCAGAATACACTAATACTATAATGGTGGTGTGCACTTCACTTACATAGTATGAAGGTTAAAAATAATAAAAGCTACAATGATTTGTTAAGGGAAACAATATAAAAATCTGTAAATTGTGACATCAAAAATTATAAATGCAGAAGGAGAGATGAGGTAAAAGCATAGTTTGTTTATGCAAGCAAAGCTAACTTGCTATCAGCTTAAAATTGCCTGTCATAACTACAAGATATTTTGTAAGCTTCAGAGTAGCCACAAATCAAAAACCTACAGTAAATACACAAAAGATAAAAAAGTAAAAAAAAATCAACAGAGAAAAATCAGTCACAAAAGAAGAGAAAAATAAGGAAACAAAGGATCTATGAAACAAGCAGAAAACAATTAACAAAATGGCAGTAGTAAAATCCTTCCATATCAATAACTACCTTGAATGTAAATGAATTAAAATCTCCAAAGAAAAGACATAAAGTGCCATGTGGAACTGTGAATCAATTAAATGTCTTTCCTTTATAAATTACCCAGTCTCGGGTATGTCTTTATTAGCAGCATGAGAAAAGACTAATACAGCAACCAAAACAGTATGTATAAAAATAGACACAGAGGCCGGGCACAGGGGCTCACACCTGTAATCCCAGCACTTTGGGAGGCTGAGGCAGGTGGATCACCTGAGGTGAGAAGTTCAAGACCAGCCTGACCAATATGTTGAAACCCCATCCCTACTAAAAATACAAATATTAGCCGGGCATGGTCATGCATGCCTGTAATCCCAGCTACTCAAGAGGCTGAGGCAGGAGAATCGCTTGAACCCAGGACGCAGAGGTTGCAGTGAGCTGAGATCACGCCACTGCACTCCAGCCTGGGTGACAGAGCGTGACTCTGTCTCAAAAAAAATGGACACAGAGAGCAATGGAACAGAATAAAGAACCCAGAAATAAAGTCACATATTTACACCCAACTGATCAACTGTTGGTTTACACCCAACAAAGCAACAAAGCCAACAAAGCAGTCAAGAATATACACTGAGGAAAGGATACCCTCTTCAATAAATGGTGCTGGGAAAAGTGGATAACCATATGCAGAAGAATGAAACTAAACCCCTATCTCTCATCATATACAAAAAACAACTCAAGCTGGATTAAAGACTTAAACATAAGACCTGAAACTAAAAAACTGTTTGATGATAACATAGGGAGAAGTCTACAGGACATTGGTCTAGGCAAAGATTTTATGACTAAGATCTCAAAAGCACCAGCAACAAAAACAAACATAGACAAATGAGACTATATTAAACTAAAAAGCTTCTGCACAGCCAAAGAAATAACAGATTGAAGAGACAACATCTTGAATGGGAGAAAATATTTGCAAACTATTCATCTGAGAAGGGATTAATATCCAGAATTTATAAGGAATTCAAGGAATTCAAACAACAGTAAAAAAAAAAAAAAAAAAAAACAACCATTAAAAACTGGGCAAAGAGCCAGACGCGGTGGCTCACGCTTGTAATCTCAGCACTCTGGGAGGCTGAGGCAGGTGGATCACCTGAGGTCAGGAGTTCAAGACCAGCCTGACCAACATGGTGAACCCTCTCTCTACTAAAAATACAAAACTAGCTGGGCATGGTGGCATATGCCTGTAATCCCAGCTACTTGGGAGGCTGAGGCAGGAGAATCACTTGAGCCCAGGAGGCAGAGGTTGCAGTGAGCCAAGATCGCACCACTGCACTCCAGCCTGGGCAACAAGAGCAAAACTCCGCCTCAAAAAAAAAAAAAAAAAAAACAAACAACAACAACAACAAAAAACTGGGCAAAGAATATGCATAAACATTTCTAAAAAGAGGACATGTAAATAGCATTTTGAGTATTATATTTTATCTCCTTGATTTAAGAGGGTAAATTATTCAGAGAAGGTTTTCAAAACCCTTTATAAAATAAAACTTATAAATTAAGATTTAATGTAAAGACTTTAATTATAAACAAAACTTGTCATAGCAACAAGAGCTCACTTACAAACATCCTCATACTGTTCCTGTAGCTCATTCAAAGTAAATATAATATCCCCAATATCCACCATGTGGTTACCTGTAATAGAATAAGTTCAAATACTGTATTTACTTTTGAACATAGATATATCTGCCATCCTATTCTAATATGAAAACAACACAGAATGTGTGGCAAGTAGGAACAAAGAGCCAACTATTACAAAGTCTTGAATAAAATCTGAAATCATGAATTAATAACTCAGTACACGCCCAACATAAGAGTAAGACCATGGTCTTTTCTCCTTAATAAAAGAGTTTTTCATCAAAAGAAATAGTCATGTTTTAAGCTCTTATGCTAATCAGGATATTTTTTCATTTTACATGTTTTTTAGAGTTTATTACAGGTATTTATTTACTCTTTTGACTTCATTTCTAGATTGTGAACTCCTCAAGAACAGAGGATGTGTTTTTCCTTTGTTTCCCCAATGCCTCGCAAAGTACCTACTTCTTATCACTGAAAATTATTTTTGGCTGAACAAAATATACAGAAGGTGATTTAAAAAACAATGTAATGTCTACATAGTGAATAGCAAACAACGATTTACTTTGTACCTTCTCTGTGTCCAGCACTCTTATAACTTCCCATTATTCCTGCCCCTGCCCGCCTAAGACCATTTTACTTCTTGGATAATGCATGATTGAGGATGTGTTCAGATGCAGTCACCTTGAATAATGTCATTTCAATTGTGCACAGAGGTAGAAAATGCTTTGCCCAATAGTTCTTGCCTCCATATATTTGATTTTGCTTGCCATCCAAGATGAAAAAGACTGAAAATTTACTTATCTATAATAGTGATGGTTTTTTCTTCAGTCTATTCATAAGAAATCAACTGTTCAATAATATGCATAAGTGAAAACTGAGAGGAAGAAGCAAATTTTTATTGTTTTCCAGAAACAGGAAGATATGTTTATTTTACTGTCCAATTATTTCCTTTAAAAAGTTGAATGTTTGATAAAATAAACTTTTGGTACCATAGAAACCTTTCAACATCTACAATGACATATTATTACTATGCACAACTTCAAAAACAAATGCCTCCAGCTCCAAGTAAAGTGATGTTGAACATCCTGACTATAGTTCGGCTGTAGGAAATTTCTTGTATTGCCAATGGTTTCCTCGCCTTGGAAAAAAATACACAATTGAAAAATATAAATAAGACCTTCAATGAGTTGGGAATAATAAAAATGATATCTGAAGTTCAGTCATCTAGATCTTGGGAAGTTTGCAGTAGCTCTAAGGGTTCAACAAGCAAAATAAAACCCTGTGAATATTTAAACTTCAGTCATCCAGGAGGTCCTGTAGGTTCACAGTCGGTCTATCAAAAACAAAAGCTATTCCTGTTGTGGTAGAACTTGGTATCAGGTTCATATACCATTTTTCACCAGCTCATGAACTCCATTCTCATCGATGATTAAAGGTGCATGGAATTCTATATCTGCCACATAACTTTCTATTCCTTCCTCAGCATTAGAGATAAGAGGAGAGATTTCACACTGGATTGGTACATCATTGGCATCCTTTAAGTGGGAAATTGCTGGAAGATGATAGCCATTTTCATCTATAAAGTGACCCCTGCATTGAGAACCCAGCAATAATGAAAGTGTGCCTTGCGGTAGTAGAGTTGTCTTTCCCATTCTGACTGTCAGCATTCTTTAGTGTGGAAAAGTCATCTTCCCATAATATTTCATAAACCACAGACTTCTTTGTGAACTAGAAGATTTTTCTATACTTATTATGGAAAAGACAAATTTTTCCATACTTATTCCACTGGGTTTATCTGGCTTAATTAAGTGCTGTTGGGTATCCACATAAGGAATCTTCTTTTGAGCCACATGGTGCTACAACTGAGGTTCATAAACATTGACAACATCTCTCAGAAATGGTACAGTGAATAAATGGTTGGCAATATTCCCCACATTGAACAGCAGTCATCCATCTGAGCTTCATTTCTGAGCTGTTGCCAGGGAAATATCACTATATTCTACCACCTGGTAAAATCCATCCACTCGGCAAACCACTCCAACCAGTTCTGTAGGGTTTGTTTTCTCTACCACCTTTGCTCCACAGTCTGCTCCTTTCTGAATGCAAAATCCAATGAACCGTGGGTCTGCCACTTTTACTAATACACTGTCAACACAATAGACACGAATGTTCCAAATGCCTCTTTGCTCCATATCCTCCACAATATGCCAGGCTGCAAGAGCCTGACAAAGACCACCATTCTCATCTGGAGCCATAGAAACTTTGTTCTTCTCTTCCAAAATAATTTGCCCATCAAAACTCATGGCAGGGAGCATTCCTTACTGAAAAAAAGATTATATTTTCTATTTTTTTTAAACCAAAGTACTTGTGCTTGGTGAAGAACTCCTTTGTAGATTCTGCTGTTCTGCCACTGATCATTATATGGAATAATGCATTTGTTGCCATAATATTTTTCAGCTAACTGTTGTAGCTTCAGGATATGCTCTGCTTGAATCTGAAAAAGTGTCTTATGGGATGGCAAACCAACATCATACATCCCCTTTGGATATGCAACGAGTCTAGTCCCCTGCCCACCAGCTAGAACAACTGTGACTTTGTTCTCAGAAATCTGGAAAACTTTGCTTTCCCAGGCCTGGAGCTGATCTAGCTTCCCTGCAGCACTGCCCAGTACTTCTCGAGGGACAGGTTCCATTCACGCATCCACCTTTTCTTGATGAGAGGACTGGTTAAATCCTTCAATGGCCTTTTGGAAAAAGAAGTTCAGTTCCTGAAAGTCGATGGCCTGGAGCTCTGCATAAAGTTCTACCTGTCAGGCTTCTTCAAGCTCATTCCAGAAACGTAGTGGGTGTTCTTGCTCAGCTTTGGACAACCTGAGTTTAAGGTCATTAGTGTTCATAATGCTCTGATAGCCAAGCTTTGTGAAAATAGGGGTGCAATGCATGTATCTACAAAGCTTCCTCAGCGGGACCACAGCTCCACCCGGCTCCTTCTCTGCCGGCGTCCTACGTCCCCTCCAAATATATACCCTCATCCTGGGCCATGGCGGCGGGGTGGGGCAAGCCAGGACCAGGGCCAAGGGGAGTGGCCCAGCCATCCTGCCCCTCTTGCCGCCACGAGAAGCAAATATGTAAATTAAAGAATAGTATCATTTTGGTGTTGGGTCCACCTGATTCACTCTGATTCTCTGAAAATTGGTAAACTATGTATTTCAGGTGCAGGCCTTTAAATCACTGCAAAGCAAGTACTATGTGTTTGAACCAATCAAAGAAATGCTAGACAAAATTGGTGCTAAATTGCCTTCTGATTAGAGATTGCTTCCTACATTTTGGTTTCTTATTTCCTTGGTATTTATCCTCATTCTGGTTTTGATTATAGTTCTAACACTTCCCATAACCTCCCCAGTAACTGGCACTTGTGGTAGATTGATTCCATGTCCCATGTTCTTAGATCATGGCTTAAGTCCTAAGACAACTCAAAGCTTCAACCCTCAAGCTCTTGAATCTGATCACTGAAAAGTATTCTGTTAGACCATACATGTATTAATCCAGTGGAAAAGGCCATCTTGCTTTTACCTGCTCTTCATTTAGAAAACTCCTTTCTCTGAACAGAAGTCCAATGTCAACTAATAAGAGTATGGTAGTCAACCATGTTCACAGATTCATTAGCTCTTGCTCAAATTTATTCCTTGCATCTATGCAATAATAAACACCTATTATGAAACTCCCAAACAAATATTACCTACTTAAATAGTCCCTAGTGGCCAAAGACGCGTTCGAGAATCTGAAATGACTATCTTGGTCCCTATCTAACTTAGCAAAACCTTAAAGAATGATTCCTGGTTGAAACTAAGGCAATCAATATGGTCATAGGTATCACTTATTTCCTAAAGGGAGCTCAAAACAGCCTCCTACTCTAAGGTATATAATTCTGGAGGAAATTCATCCTGGAAAATGCAGCTACCTACTGTGAGAGGAAAAAAATGATCCTAATTATTAAGGTCATATATGCAAGGCAACGTTACTCTGAAGGTGCTAAGTGACCATTAACACTACATTTCTGTAATCTTCAGGTAGCTCCACAATATTGAAAGCCTCCTCTAGCAAAAACTGCACTAGTCACAACTTCCCACCCAGTTCAATTTCCAGATCTCTAACCTCCATGAGAGAAAAAAAAAAAAAACTGCTATACCAATACAGTATTTCAGAAACCAAAATACCTGACCCTCTAAGAACTGCCATCAGCTGATTTTCCATATGGCACTTCTTGCCATATCTTAATAAAGCAAATCCTCCTTGGACTTTCCTGAAAATTTCAGGGGGCTAATTCCTTCTCCCTCATTGCAAACATCTATAAAGATGAACATATTATCTACCTATCATCTCCAACAATATACCAAATGCAAAAATAAGATGCTGGAACAGTACCTGCAGTGCTATGTCTTCTTTTAGCAGGACTGTGTTATATTATTCCTTACTGCAAAATTCTGCTACAGAAAAATTAACATCTCCTACCTGGGTGACCCAAAATTTTTGGCATCCTGGGGTTAATGTTTCCTTTAATATTAAAATAGCTCAGACCCCAGAGCATATACTAACATAAATCAATACCTTGACCAAAATTTGAGGATTCCTGAGTCACTTGTGCTCTTTTTATTTTTGCTTTGTTTCTCTATTCCCATGGACTCTTGATCTCACTCACATTATTACCTTCTACAGGTACAATCCTCTTTCTGCCCCAAGCAGATCGAACATAGAACCTATAGGTCTTTATCCTTGAACTCTCCCCACCAACAATACTAATACAAGTCTATTGTATATAACCAACTTTTACTGGTAATTTGCAATTGATGGGAGTAAGGGAGTTCTTAAGAAGCACAGCAAGCAACTACATACTATAGTCCTAAAGTTCTATGGTTACTCTATCCTCACTCACTCTTAGGTTCTATCCATCTTCTTCCTCCACTACTGAGCCACTACTATATTTCAAATTCCTGTTGCTTTCTTATGTACAGTACTTTATCTTATCTTTTTGCTCAATCTAGGTGTTTCTCAGTATGTTTTAACTCTCATAATCTAACATATCTATTAAGATTATTTTCCTGGTCAAAAGATAAGGACCTTCCTTATGAGGAATTTTGCCTCAAACTACAGCCAGCTTATTCATATGATAAAATGAAGAACATTTTGTTCTTTCTGATTGGAAGATGTGGCATGAGGAATCAGAATTATTCATTCATTCAACAAATATTTGTTGAGCGGTTAATATGTGCTATAAGCACCACGCTAGGTACTGAAGATACAATATTAAGCTAAAGCAGACATGATATCTGCTCACCTGATGCTCAGTCTTATTTGAAATATCAATGTCAATCAAACAAAAATACAAATTTCAATTGCGAATAGTGCTATAAGAGTGTATAACATGAGAATCTGACCTACTCAGAGAGGTCTGGGAAAACATCCCTGAGGAAAAGACAGTTGAGTTTGGATCTAAAGTGTAAGTAGGAATTACCTAAGGGGAGAAAAAGGTTCAAGGAAGAGAAATGAACACATGCAACAGCTATTTGGCAAGAAGGGGCATGGTATATAGTTGAAACTCTAAGAAGGCACAGAGAGCAAGGAAGAATATGGTCTCAGATAAAGCTGAAGATCTGGGCAAAAGCCAGAACCCACAAGGCCCTGTAAACCACACTAAAAGAGTTATTTATCCCAAGAGGTATTATTAGATTTTATATGAGGAGAATAACATGATCAGACCCGTATTTGAATGAAGATCATTATGGCTGCAGTATAAAGGAACATAAGAGTGGACAGGGGTATACTTGTTAGGATGAACTGCAATGGTCCTGAGGAAAGGTTATGTGAACTTGGACTAAGATAGGGAGATAAAGAGAAA
Organism: Homo sapiens; assembly: GCF_000001405.40. NCBI lineage: Eukaryota > Metazoa > Chordata > Mammalia > Primates > Hominidae > Homo > Homo sapiens. Next base: position 47,364,598 of record NC_000017.11, on the reverse strand, counting down.
TAGATCACGTCTGTAATCCCAGCACTTTGGGAGGCCAAGGCAGGTGGATCAGAAGGTCAGGAGATCGAGACCATCCTGGCCAACATGGTGAAACCCTGTCTCTACTAAAAATACAAAAATTAGCTGGGCTTGGTGGCACGTGCCTGTAATCCCAGCTACTCGGAGGCTGAGGCAGGAGAACCACTTGAACCAGGGAGTCGGAGGTTGCAGTGAGCCGAGATCACACCACTGCACTACAGTCTGGCGACAGAGTGGAGTTAAAAAAAGAGAGAGAAATAGAAAGACTTAAGAGATATCTATCTTATATATAGAAAAAAGGAGAAAAGTTTTTAAAAAGATGTATCTAAGACTTTAAATAAGGGAACTATTGCATGAGGAATAGAGAAGTAGAGTTGCCAAGGATGACTCTCAGGTTTCTGCCTCACCCTTCTGTCTGTTCTAGGTGCCAAGCACTGTGATAAATGTTTATATTTAATTCCTATAACAATTCTATAAAATTAGTATCATTTGTCCAATATACCTCCCCAAATAAAGCAGGAGACCTGGAGACCCAGGCCAGAACTCCATAAGCCAAAAAGCAAGGTACTGCAGCTGTTTCATATATGATTTCTGTTGTTCCTGGTAGGGCATGCCCTAAAGGCTTAAGAATAGTCTTTAAAATCCCCATTTTACATTTTCATACCCCATCATATCCTTCCACTCATGCCTCACCCCAGAGCACACCATACCTGACTTCCTAAGAGAACTCCATGTGGCCTGATTCTATCTCCAGACCACATATCAGCAACCAAAAGCCCACTACAAAACCACCATTAATAAATGACAAAAACTAGTGGAAGCCCACTCAAAAAGATGTCATGTCTGATTATTTTTCTGCCATATTTACACAAACTGTTCCTTTGGCTTAAGATGTTTTTCTCACTCTTTGCTACCACCTTCAACTACTTAATTCATACTGATCCTTCAAGATTTAGCTCAGACATCAGCCCCTCTGATAATCTTTCCCTAAGGCTTCCAGTATGTATTAGCAGCCTATGTACACTCTATTATAGTATTTGCCATGGAGCATTTTAATTTTCGGTTTACTTGACTCTTTCCACACTTGAACGTGAGCTCCCTCAAAAAAAAAAAAAAAAGAAGTGTGTTTTATTCATCTTTGCATCACCTAGCACAGTTCCAGGCATAGTAGATATTAAATGACTGACTATCTGATTCATTAAGTGAATGAATCAGGCTGGGCCCAGTGGCTCATGCCTGTAATTCCAGCTACTCAGCAGGCTGAGGCAGGAGGATCACTTGCTTCCAGAAGTTTGAGACCAGCCTAGGAAACATAGCAAGACCTCATCTCTACAAAATAAAAATTAGCCTGGCATGATGGTGCACACCTATAGTCCTAGCTATTCAGGAAGATGAGGTGGGAGGATTATTGAGCCTAGGAGGTCAATATTACAGCAAGCTATGATCACAACACCGCACTACAGCCTGGGCAACAGAGTGAGACACTGTCTCTAAAAATAATAAAATAATTGTAGGGTCCAGCCCCACAGGGTCAGTGGGTTTTCTCCCCGTGTGCGGAGACGAGAGAGTGTAGAAATAAAGACACAAGACAAAGAGATAAAAGAAAAGACAGCTGGGCCCGGGGTACCACTACCACCAAGATGCGGAGACTGGTAGTGGCCCCGAATGCCAGGTTGCGCTGATATTTATTGGATACAAAACAAAGGGGCAGGGTAAGGAGTGTGAGCCATCTCCATTGATAGGTAAGGTCACATGGGTTACGTGTCCACTGGACAGGGGGCCCTTCCCTGCCTGGCAGCCAAGGCAGAGAGAGACAGACAGACAGACAGACAGCTTACGCCATTATTTCTGCTTTTAGTACTTTCACTAATTTGCTACTGCTATCTAAAAGGCAGAGCCAGGTGTACAGGATGGAACATGAAGGCAGACTAGGAGTGTGACCACTGAAGCACAACACCACAGGGAGACGGTTAGGCCTCCGGATAACTGCGGGCAGGCCTGACATCAGTCAGGCCCTCCGTCAGGCCCTCCACAAGAGGTGGAGGAGTAGAGTCTTCTCTAAACTCCCCCGGGGAAAGGGAGACTGCCTTTCCCAGTCTGCTAAGTAGCGGGTGTTTTTCCTTGACACTGACGCTACCGCTAGACCACGGTCTGCTTGGCAACAGACATCTTCCCAGACGCTGGCATTACCGGTAGACCAAGGAGCCCTCTGGTGGCCCTGTCCAGGCATAACAGAAGGCTCACACTCCTGTCTTCTGGTCATTTCTCACTATGTCCCCTCAGCTCCTATCTCTGTATGGCCTGATTTTTCCTAGGTTATGATTGTAGAGCGAGGATTATTATAATATTGAAATAAAGAGTAATTGCTACAAACTAATGATTAATTATATTCATATATAATCATATCAAAGATCTATATCTAGTATAACTATACTTATTTTACATATTTTATTATACTGGAACAGCTCGTGCCCTCAGTCTCTTGCCTCGGCACCTGGTTGGCTTGCCGCCCACAATAATAAAACAAATGAATCAATCAATTAATCACTAATTATGATAGGACATCCTCTGGTTACAAGTAAACATGTAATACAAAACACCTGCTAAATATTTTTATCATGTTTAAAGCAATCCACATTGTGCAGAGAGCAACTGAAGGGCATAGCAAAATTGTTTAATCAAAGCTACATAATAAAATTGAGAATTCAAGAAATTTAGGTCTTCTAACTTGTGGAGTCAATGCTCTTGATACTACAAGAAACTACTTCTCCACAAAGACCAGAAATGACTTGGAAAAGAGATGTAAGGCTGAATTTTTTAAAATTCATTTTATTCTTTAACCAAACATACCAAACTATAACAATTTTAGAAACCTCTCATTTAATTTTTCTAGACTATTTCTTACTATAGACACCAGTAAACAGTGTCAATGGCAAAAGGTAAGAATCAAGAGAAAAAAGGAGAAGCAAAGGACAGATCACAAAATTGATATCCGGAAAAAAATGTATAAATATATGCACATATATATGGACATATATATCTCAATGCAAATAACTCACTGTCAATATAGGTATGTTTTGTCACTTCTTCTAAAATTTCACGGTTTATAGGGATACCCATGCTATCCAAAACAGCAAACACGTCATCAGTTGAAACTCGACCACCTTTTATCCTACAGAAAATCTTCAAGGCATCCTGGAATGCTGCAAAAAAGAAATTATTATACCATGAGAATCAACAGCTTTTCTTGGAAAAGCAGTTGATTTTGTGTCAATAGCCTACTAAGGGAAAATAACTTTGTATAAGCACAGGGTTTTATAAATATTTATCTACAAGCAAACCACTGATATAAAATAACTTTATAATAGTGGTTAAAACATTGGTCTTTTATTTCTCCATAGGAATTTCATATTCTTATGTTAACAATCCTTAGCACATAAAATGAATTGAAAAGAACCTAGTCAGAAGGAAATATTCAGCATGGCCCTGACTAGCGAACCAAATCTGGGGGTCCCCAAGACATCTACTTTTGAATGTCAGAGTCTATAATTTTAAAACAATTTAACTAAAATAAATTAAACACTAAATCACTTTATCATTTTCTAAAATATTTAGAGTCACATCAGAGAGCTCAGTATATTTTTAATTTTAAAAAGAAAATATTCAGATAAATTATAATTTTCCACAAAAAAAACTTCCTTAAAAATTAAACAGATTGCTGGGAAAACTGGCTAGCCATTTGTAGAAAGCTGAAACTGGATCCCTTCCTTACACCTTATATAAAAATTAATTCAAGATGGATTAAAGACTTAAACGTTAGACCTAAAACCATAAAAACCCTAGAAGAAAACCTAGGCATTACCATTCAGGACATAGGCATGGGCGAGGACTTCATGTCTAAAACACCAAAAGCAATGGCAACAAAAGCCAAAATTGACAAATAGGATCTAATTAAACTAAAGAGCTTCTGCACAGCAAAAGAAACTACCATCAGAGTGAACAGGCAACTACAAAATGGGAGAAAATTTTCGCAACCTATTCATCTGACAAAGGGCTAATATCCAGAATCTACAATGAACTCAAACAAATTTACAAGAAAAAAATAAACAACCCCATCAAAAAGTGGGCAAAGGATATGAACAGACACTTCTCAAAAGAAGACATTTATGCAGCCAAAAGACACATGAAAAAATGCTCATAATCACTGGCCATCAGAGAAATGCAAATCAAAACCACAATGAGATACCATCTCACACCAGTTAGAATGGCGATCATTAAAAAGTCAGGAAACAACAGGTGCTGGAGAGGATGTGGAGAAATAGGAACACTTTTACACTGTTGGTGGGACTGTAAACTAGTTCAATCATTGTGGAAGTCAGTGTGGCAATTCCTCAGGGATCTAGAACTAGAAATACCATTTGACCCAGCCATCCCATTTCTGGGTATATACCCAAAGGACTATAAATCATGCTGCTATAAAGACACATGCACATGTTTGTTTATTGCGGCACTATTCACAATAGCAAAGACCTGGAACCAACCCAAATGTCCAACAATGATAGACTGGATTAAGAAAATGTGGCACATATACACCCTGGAATACTATGCAGCCATAAAAAATGATGAGTTCATGTCCTTTGTAGGGACATGGATGAAATTGGAAATCATCATTCTCAGTAAACTATCGCAAGGACAAAAAACCAAACACCGCATGTTCTCACTCATAGATGGGAATTGAACAATGAGAACACATGGACACAGGAAGGGGAACATCACACTCTGGGGACTGTTGTGGGGTGGGGGGAGGGGGGAGGGACAGCATTAGGAGATATACCTAATGCTAAATGACGAGTTAATGGGTGCAGCACACCAGCATGGCACATGTATACATATGTAACTAACCTGCACATTGTACACATGTACCCTAAAACTTAAAGTATAATAATAATAAAAAAAAAATTGAAAAAAAAATTAAACAGATTGAAAGCCGTGTCCAACTGCTAAATTTATATCCTCCCTGACCACTACACCCCTTAATTAGCCTTGACAAAAAAAAAAAAAAACACAATTCCCATTATCAATTTCAGACGGAAAATCATTTATAGTCAGACTAGATTTTCTTGAAATTCATCATATAATAAACTAATGATTACTAAGTTCTTTGATAAGCACAGTCAAGGAGGAAAAACTGGGCATTATTTGTTCATTCGATTAGTCTTTTTTTTAATTAATTAATTTTCTTTTTTAAAGACAGGGTATCTCTCTGTAGCCCAGGCTGGAATGCAATCACACGATCTCGGCTTACTGCAACCTCTGCCTCCCCAGCTCAAGCGATTCTCCCACCTCAGCCTGTTGAGTAGCTGGGACTACAGACACGTACCACTATGCCCCGCTAATTTCTTTGTATTTTTGTAGAGATGGATTTTTGCCATGTTGCCCAGGCTGGTCTCGAACTCCTGGGCTTAAGTGATCCACCCGCCTTGGCCTCCCAAAGTGCTGGGACTACAGGCATGAGCCACCATGCCTGGTCTCAACTAGTCATTATTGATCAAGTGAACAAAAATAGCAGAGGAAGGGACCTCCAGAAACCCTCTGCTCCATAAAAGCAATGAGAACTCTGGCAAAAATTATCAGAACCAACTTGTTTCAAAACTCTGAAAATAAGCCAAAGGCTTGCAGCTATCCGAGGAATTTCTTCAAGAAAAATGACTGAGTCTCAATAAGAACAGTGAGGTTTGTGGCATTTAAACTTGCCCTATTCCCATCTACCCATCTCCAGGTTCCCTGGAGCATTGAAAACCAGTACTCCACAATCATGATGAAAATGTATGTGTGTACTATTGAGGTGAGAAAGGCCTCTTTAAGCACAACTCAAAACTCAGAAGACATAAAGAAAAAATAATAAATTTTGTGATAAAATGTAACAGTCCCATTCCAAAAACCAAAGACACCAGTTCAAAATTAAAAGAGAAACAACAGACTAGAAGAAAACATTTGTAACATACATAACAAAGGATTAATAGCCAGAATATGAAAACTCCTACAAATCAATGAGATGAACAACCCAGTTTTTTAAATGAAAAGTATATGTGAAAAGGCAATTCATAGAAAAAATATATAAATGACCAGTAATTATATTAAAAGATTACTAATTTCATAATTGAGAAATATAATTAAACAAGATAGTTCCTGCAAAACAAGGTGGCAAAATTTCTTTTTCTCTTAAGAAAAAGATATTTGCATTTTTCCCTTTTATTTTTCTCTAGGGAGTCTCTTGATTTCTAACTGTATGCTTGATCTTTTTACTAGTTTCTATGAGACCTAGGTCCTTTGCTTCCACTCTGCCTAGTAATTGATAACTCATTTTGCCTTGACAAAACATAAATTATATGTATGTATGTGCATATAAAAAGAATTCTCAGGTCAGTATTAAACTGCAGCAATCTTGGGTTAAAGAAGGTCTTTCACATCTTTATACACATATATTGCTTGGATATTTTATTACAACAATATATTCAAGAATTATGTGTGTTCTTTTAAAAGGAACAAAAGAAACCTGAGAGTTCTTGATTAGTCTCAGAACACTGTCCACAAACAGAAAATAAGGTCAAAATAGGAAACCAGGACTTGAAAAATCAAGGAATATAGGGAAGTAAATAAGCTATTCTAAGTTGTGATTCAAAAAGTGGTCTCTACACGCTGCTCTGTCTGTCCGAGTGAAAGTTGCAAGTTAGTCCTGCCTCCTATCCATCATTTTTCCCTACTGTCTGGAACTCAACTTACATTTTTTTCTGACTATAGATTTATATGTGTGTTTGGACTCCTAAGTACTGACCACAGATACATACATATAATTTATGTTTTGTAGCAGGGCACAGTGGCTCACGCCTGTAATCCCAGAACTTTGGGAGGCCGAGGCAGGTGGATCACCTGAGGTTAGGAGTTCGAGACCAGCCTGGCCAACATGGTGAAATCCCACTTCTATGAAAAATACAAAAATTAGCTGGGCGTGGTGGTGTGCGCTTGTAATCCCAGCTACTCAGGAGGCTGAGGCAGGAGAATTGCTTGAACCAGGGAGGCAGAGGTTGCAGTGAGCGAGATCGCGCCATTGCACTCCAGCCTGGAGTATAAAATAGTAATTTATGCTTTGTCAAGGCAAAATGAATTATCAAAACGTCAAAATAGGAAACCAGGACTTGAAAAATCAAGAAATACAGGAAAGTAAATAAGCTATTCTAAGTTGTGATTTAAAAAGTAGTCAGTTAGTAGACACTCACATCGTGAACTTTTGCTCCAAGAACTACTGCAGGAACATATCAGGAAAGCCAAGAGAATCCAAAGACCCCTTCAAGGAGATGGATGCCCTTGCAGGCTCTGTGGGACAGGCAAGTAACTGTGAGTCGGCTTGCTTTCTCAGTGGGGAGGCTTGTAGCCTGGGACAAGCTCTCATCCCTGCTCACCGCCTGCCTGGAAATAAACTCGGTGCTACAGGTGAAGCGCAGTGGGAGTGAAACCAGTCTTTCAGACTGTGGGCTGCGTGGAAGCTGGGTGAGGCCTATCGCTGCTGGCTTTCCCCCACTTCCCTGGCGACCTGTCAGGCAGCAGAGGCAGCCATAATCCTCCCAGGAACATAACTCCATTGGCCTGGGAACCACACCTTCACCCCGACAGCAGCTGCAGCAAGGCCCACCCAAACAGAGTTTGAGCTCAGACATGCCTAACCTGCCCCACCTGATGGTCTTTCTCTACCAATCCTGGTAGCAGAAGACAAAGAACATAATCTCTTGAGAGCTCTATGGCCCTGCCCACCACCTGACCCTAGGGCAAGCTTGTAATCTCCCTATACTACTGCAGCTGATGTGCTCTTGAAAGTGCCACCTCCTGGCTGGAGGCCAACCAGCACACTAAACAAAAATACAACCAAGGACCCTAATAGAGTCCACTTCACTCCCCTGCTACCTCCATTGGTGCAGGTGCTGGTATTCACGGCTGAGAGACCTGAAGATGGAATACATCACAGGACTCTTTGCAGACACTCTCCAGTACCAGCCTGGAGCCTGGTAGCTCCACTGGGTGGCTAGATCCAAAAGAGAAATAACAATTACTGCAGTTTGGCTCTCAGGAAGCCCCTTGTCCAGGAAGCCCTATGTCTCAGGAAGCCCCTAGGGGAAGGAGAAAAGCACCAAATCAAGGGAGCACCCTGAGGAACAAAAGAATCTGAACAGCAGCCCTTGAGTCCCAGAGCTTCCCTCTGATATAGTCTACCCAAATGAGAAGGAATCAGAAAAACAATTCTGGTAATATGACAAAACAACGTTCTTTTACATCTCCAGAAGATCACACTCAAAAGCTTAGCAGCAATGGATCCAAATCAAGATGAAATCTCTGAATTGCCAGAAAAATAATTCAGAAGGTCAATTATTAGGCTAATCAAGGAGGCACCAGAGAAAGGTGAAGTCTAACTTAAAAAAAAAAAGATACAGGATATGTATGGGAAAATCTCCAGTGAAATAACATAAATAAAAAACAATCATAACTTCTGGAAATGAAGGACACACTTAAAGAAACGCAAAATGTGCTGGAAAGTCTCAGTAATAGAATCAAATAAGTAGAAGAAAAAACTTCAGAGCATGAAGAAAAGGCTTTCTAATTAACCCGAGGCAACAAAAACAAAGAAGAAAGCATTTTTTAAAATGAATGCACCCAGCACTGCTGGGTGCAGTGGCTCATGCCAGTAATCCCAGCACTTTGGGAGGCCAAGGCAGGCGGATCATGAGGTCAAGCAATCGAGGCCATCCTGGCCAACCTGGTGAAACCCCGTCTCTACTAAAAATACAAAAATTAGCTGGGTTTGGTGGCGCGCGACTGTAGTCCCAGCTATTCGGGAGGCTGAGGTAGAAGAATCACTTGAACCTGGGAGGCAGAGGTTGCAGTAAGCCGAGATCGCATCACTGCACTCCAGCCTGGTGACAGAGCGAGACTCTGTCTCAAAAAAAAAAAAAAAAAAAAATGAACAAAGCCTCCAGGAAGTTTGGGATTACGTTAAATGACCAAGCCTAAGAATAATCGGTGTTTCCAAAGCAGAAGAGAAATCTGAAAGTTTGTTAAAACATATTTGAGGGAATAATCGAGAGAAACTTCCCCAGCCTTGTCAGAGATCTAGACATCCAAATACAAAAAGCTCAAAGAACACCTGAGAAATTCATCGCAAAAAGATCATTGCCTTGGCACATAGTCATCAGGTTATCTAAAGTCAAGATGAAGGACAGAATCTTAAGAGCTGTGTGGCAAAAGCATCAGGTAACCTATAAAGGAAAACCTATCAGATTAACAGCAGATTTCTCAGCAGAAACCCTACAAGCTAGAAAGGATTGGGTCCTATCTTTAGCCTCCTTAAACAAAACAATTATCAGCCAAGAATTTTGTATCCAGTGAAACTGAGCTTCATAAATGAAGGAAAAATACAGTCTTTTTCAAACAAATGCTGAGAGAATTTGCCATTACCAAACCAGCACTACTGACTGCTAAAAGAACTGCTAAAAGGAGCTCTAAATCTTGAAACAAATCCTCAAAATACACCAAAATAGAATCTCCTTAAAGCATAAATTTCACAGGACCTATAAAACAATAACACAAGAAAAAAACACAAGATATTCTGTCAACAAATAGCACAATGAATAGAATAGTACCTCACATCTCAACACTAACATTGAATGTAAATGATTTAAATGCTCCACTTAAAAGACAGAGAATGGCAGAATGGATAAGAATTCACCAACCAAGTATCTGCTGTCTTCAAGAGACTCACTTGACACTTAAGGACTCACTCACATAAACCTAAGGTAAAGGGGTGGAAAAAGATACACCATGCAAATGGACACCAAAAGCAAGCAGGAGTAGCTATTCTTGTATCAGACAAAACAAACTTAAAGCAATAGCAGTTTAAAAAGGCAAAGAGGGACATTATATAATAATAGGACTAGTCCAACAGGAAAATATCGTAATCCTAAACATATATGCACCTAACACTGGAGCTCCCAAATTTATAAAACAGTTACTACTAGACCTAAGAAATGAGACAGACAGCAACAGTAGTAGGGGGCTTCAATACTCAACTGACAGCATTAGACAGGTCATCAAGACAGAAAGTCAACAAAGAAACAATGGACTTAAACTATACTCTAAAAAAAATTGATCTAACAGAAATTTACAGAACATTCTACCCAATAAATGCAGACTATGAATTCTATTCATCAGCACATGGAACATCCTCCAAGATAGACCATATGGTAGGCCACAAAACAAGCCTCAACAAATTTAAGAAAATTAAAATTACAGCAAGTACTCTTGCTACAGTGAAATAAACTGGAAATCAACTCCAAAAGGAACCCTCAAAACTATGCAAATACAGGGAAATTAAATAATCTGCTCCTGAATAATCACTGGGTCAACAATGAAATCAAGATGGAAATTTAAAAAATCTTTGAACTGAACAATAATAGTGACACAACCTATCAAAACCTCTGGGATACAGCAAAAGCAGTATTAAGAGGAAAGTTAATAGCATAAAATGACTACATCAAAAAGTCTGAAAGAGCACAAATTGGCAATCTAAGGTCACACCTCAAGGTACTAGAGAAACAAGAACAAACCAAACCCAAACCCAGCAGAAGAAAAGAAATAACCAAGATCAGAGAAGAACTACATGAAACTGAAACAAGAAAAAAAATGTAAGTCAAAAACCAAGTAGATAAAAGAGAACCAGGAAAATCCTAATGCCATGGAGTCTATCAAAATGCCAAAAAGAAAAAGCAAGCCAAGCATCATATCTATATTGTTCACTGCTGCATATATAGGCATATTAATGTTTATTACATAAATGAGTAAATAAGTATTGAAGAGTTTTTATTGCCCTTTACTTGCTAATCCAGTTCTATAAAGACTATCACATTCACATATCCTTGATTCTAACAAAATAAAATCTGGGCTGGGTGCAGTGGCTCACACCTGTAATTCCAACACTTTGGGAGACCAAGGCAGGCGGATCACTTGAGGTCAGGAGTTCGACATCAGCCTGGCCAACATGGTAAAACCCCATCTCTACTAAAAATACAAAAATTTAGCCAGGCATGGTGGTGCATGCCTGTAGTACCAGTTACTTGGGAGGCTGAGGCAGGAGAATCCCTTGAACCCGGGAGGCAGAGGTTGCAGTGAGCCAAGATTGTGTCACTGCACTCCAGCCTGCATGACACAGCAAGACTCCATCTCAAAAAATAAAAAAAAATAATAAATAAATAAATAAATATACAATCTGATTCACTATAAAAGGAACATACCTCAAAATAATAAAGGCCATACATGACAAACCCACAGCCAACATCCTACTGAATGGGGAAATGTTTAAAGCATTCCTCCTAAGAACCAAAACAAAACAAGGATGCCTACTTTCACCACTCCTATTGAATATATTACTGGAAGCCCTAGCCAGAGCAATCAGGCAAGAGAAAAAAAAGTAACAGGCATCCAAGTTGGAAAAGAGGAAGTCAAATTATGTCTGTTTGTTGATGATATAATCTTATACTGAGAAAACCCTAAAGACTCCTCCCAAAAAACCCTGAGATTTGATAAACAAATTTGGTAATGTTTAAGTAGATAAAATCAACATACAAAAATCGGTGGCATTTCTATACACTAGTATCAAGCTGAGAACCAATCAAGAAGGCAATGCCATTTAGCTTAGCTACAAAAAACAAAGTACCTAGGAATACATTTAACCAAAGAGGTGAAAGATCTCTACAAGGAAAACTACAAAACAGTGATGAAATAAACTATAGAGAACACAAACAAATGGAAAAACATCCCATGCTCATGGATCAAAAACTTAATATCATTAAAATGACCATACTGCCCAAAGCAATCTACAGATTCAGTGCAATCTCCATCAAAATACCAATGTCATTTTTCACAGAAATAGAAAAAATAATCTTAAAATTTACATGGAACTAAAGGAGCCCAAATAGCCAATGTAATCCTAAACAAAAGAACAAAGCTGGAGACATCACATTACCTGACATCAAATTATACTATAATAGTAACCAAAACAGCATGGTACTGCTATAAAAGTAGAAACATAAATCAGTGGAACAGAAAACAGAACCCAGAAATGAAGCTTCATATCTATAGCCACCTGATCTTTGACAAAGTTGACAAAAACATACACTGGTGAAAGGACACTCTTTTCAATAAATGGTAAAGGGAAAATTGGATTGCCATTCACAGAAGAATGAAACTGGACCCCTATCTCCCACCATATACAAAATCAACTCAAGATGGATATAAACTTAAATGTAATACTTGAAGCTTTAAGAATACTAGATGAGGCCGGGCGTGGTGGCTCGCGCCTGTAATCCCAGCACTTTGGGAGGCCGAGGTGGGAGGATCATGAGGTCAGGAGATCGAGACCATCCTGGCTAACACGGTGAAACCCCGTCTCTACTAAAAATACAAAAAAATTAGCCAGGCGTGGTGGCGGGCACCTGTAGTCCCAGCTACATGGGAGGCTGAGGCAGGAGAATGGTGTGAACCCAGGAGGCAGAGCTTGCAGTGAGCCAAGATCGCACCACTGCACTCCAGCCTGGACAACAGAGCGAGACTCCATCTAAAAAAAAAAAAAAAAAAAAACTACATGAAAACCCAAGGAAAACTCTTACTGACATTGGTCTAGGCAAAGAATTCATGACTAAGAACTCGAAAGCACAAGCAACAACAACAAAAAAAGACAAATGAGACAACTAAACTAAAAAGCTTCTGCACAGCAAAAGAAATAATCAACAGAATGAACAGACAACTTGAAGAATAGGAGAAAATATTTGCAAACTATGCATCCAACAAGGACTGATATCCAGAATGTACCAAGAACTCAAACAGATCAAAGACAACAAAAGCAACAAATAATCCTGTTAAAAAGTGGGCAAATGACATGAATAGACATTTTTCAAAAGAAGATATATAAATGGCCAAACGAGCATTATGAAAAAATGGAAAGCAGTGTGGAGATTTCTCAAAGAACTAAAAATAGAACTACTGTATGATCCAACAATTCCACTACTAGGTATATATGCCCAAAGGAAAAGAAACCATTATCTCAAAAAGATACCTACACTCATATGTTTATCACAGCACAATCCACAATAGCAAAGACATAAAATCAACCTAAGTGTCCATCAATGGATGACTGGATAAAGAAAACGTGGCGCGCGCGCGCGCGCGCGCGCGCACACACACACACACACACACACACAGTGGAATACTAGTCAGCCACAGAAAAGAATGAAATAACATATTTTACAGCAACATGGATGAAACTATTAACTATCTGACTTTCTGTTTCTGACTTGTTTCACTTAAGATAATGAAAGCCATTTATAGGTAGGAGCCAAATTTATAGGTGGGAGCCAAATGTGTACACATGGACATAGAGCATGAAATAATAGTTACTGGAGACTTGGAAGTGTGGGAAGGGGGTGAAGGATGAAAAATTACTTAATAAGTAAAATATATAACTATTCGAATAATGGTTACACTAAAAGCCAGACTTTACCAGGATGCAATATATCTTGTAACAAAACTGCATTTGCACCCCTTAAATTTATACAAATAAAAAATAAAATTATATAATTCCAAGGACCGAGCATAAGAACTTGATATCGCCTAATGGAGGAAGAGAAGAATTGCTAACATCAGGTCATGAACACCACAGATTTCATGTTTTTGGAGGTACTGTTTCTACCATTAATACGAATACCCTTTCCAACCACTTTATTTATAATGTATAGGTAATGTAAACTAAAGGTTACTAGGAGACCCATAAGTATCTGAAATTTTTAGGAAGAGATACAAACAAGACTCCTGGCAAAAGGAAGAAAGTACTGTTAAGGATGAAGAAGAAAACAGATGAGAGATTTCAACAGAAAAAAAAACACACACACACACACAAACAAAGGCGTGGGAGTAATAATTATATTGGCATGTATGGAGATTTATGACTAACGAGTATGTGGTTCTTGCCTGGGAAAGGTTCTGTGATAAAGGTAAGAGTGGTGAACAAAATTATGAAGGGGTGAGGAGGCTAAGCATGAGAGTTTGGCCTCTATAGATTCATTTGATAATAGGAAGAGCATCTAAATTCTTGAGCAGGAAAATGACATGGTGAAAATAGTATTTTAAGAGAATTAGTCTAGCAGTTAATGTGCAGGAAAACTAGAGATCAGAGATAGAATGTTTGAATATTGGGGCAGTATAATCCAGGTTTTGTAATGCCTTTTATGACAAAATTCACTCCTCATTTTTCTCAGCCCACACTAGTGGGAGATTTGTAAAATATAAATTAATTCATATATAAAATACCACCCCTCCCAACCCCAAAATCAGTTACAAAAGTATTATCTTCTATACTTTTGAAGAAGTCTTTTTTACCTGGATTCTGAGAGACCAAATAAGAAACATCAGGCCGGGCACGGTGGCTCACACCTGTAATCCCAGCACTTTGGGAGGCCGAGGCGGGTGGATCATGAGGTCAAGAGATCGAGACCATCCTGGCTAACAAGGTGAAACCCCGTCTCTACTAAAAATACAAAAAATTAGCCAGGCGCGGTGGCGGGCACCTGTAGTCCCAGCTACTCGGGAGGCTGAGGCAGGAGAATGGCGTGAACCCGGGAAGCGGAGCTTGCAGTGAGCCGAGATTGCGCCACTGCAGTCCGCAGTCCAGCCTGGGCGACAGAGCGAGACTCCGTCTCAAAAAAAAAAAAAAAAAAAAAAAAAAGAAACATCAGCCACAGCTTTAAGGAAATTTGAAAAATCCAGCATTCCATTAACTATAAAAATGGTTCCAAAACAGAAGTGAAAAAAACTCCATCAGCAAACATTATTAGCAAACTCACTAAGAACATAAGATAAAAGTGGCAACTAAAAATGTAAATAGAATTAACTAATGACATTAGAATACTATTATCTATACACAGAGCAGTCGACATTATATATAGAATGTAAAAAGAATATTTACCAGAAAAAAATTTACATATTGTAATTAGGTAGTAAATAGTGTTCCAGCAGTAATAAGAATGCTATGGGACTAGTACTGTAGATACTGCAGTGCTCTTTGCTCAAGACTAATTTTTATATTTGTAGTTCTTCAAGATTCTTCAAGTTAAATAACTATGAATTCATCTTCTCCTGTCATTAAATAAACGAGCCCAACTTTGACAGGGTTTATTTACATCAGTGATGTTATCTATGTCACGAAGAAAACAAGTATAAATCTATATTTCAATTTAATGTCATCTGAGCAGAAATAGCCTATAGAGGAATACTTCAGTGCTTCCAATTGTCTGCAGAGGAAATGACAAGGCTTGGTTGTTCTCACTTCCATACCACAGAAGCACTTTCTCCAATACTGAAAAGTCTATCAAGTTGTCTGTCTCCACTTCTTCAGTGTAACAACTTGAGAGTGGGTTCTCCTTTCTTTCAAAAACAGTGAAACATCTGTCCAAATTTTAATGAACTACTTTGACTTGTTTTCTGATATTGTTGTGACTTTGGGTTGGCAAAGATCTTTTAGATAAGATATCAAAAGCAATTCATGAAAGAAAAAATTGCAGACTGGACTTCATCAAAAGTATGAATTTTTCCTTTTCTAAAAACATTCTTAAGAGAATAAAAAGACAAGCAACAGAATGGAATAAAATATCTACGAATCACATATCCAATAAAGGACTTATATTCAGAATATATAAAGAATCTCAAAATACAATAAGAACACAATTTTTCAATGGGCAAAAAATATACAAATGGCAAACAAGCACATGAAAAGATATTCAACATTATTTAATCATTCAGGAAATGCAAATTAAAACCACAATCAGATAATAACCGTATATCTATTAGAACAACCATAATTTTTAAAGGCGATCAATTCAAGGGTGGCAAGAGCAAGAGCATACAAAAAAAGCAGTATACAACAATATGAATAAATCTTAGTCATATAATATTAAGGGAAAAAAACAAAAGATTATATACATAATGAAAAACTGTTTACTAAAGTTTTTTAAACAACTAAAATTTTTGAACTATTTTACAAAAATACCTATCCATAACAATAATACTATTTAAACAGAAAAATAAGAGAATAATGAATATAGGATTCAAGGTAATTCTTACCTCAGGTTGGGGAAAACAGAATAATAGGTTGCTTAGGAAAGTTTACAGTTGGATGTAAATTATTGACAAGGTCCTACTTTTTATTTTGGGTGGTTGGGTCAAGTATTTATTACATTATTTAAATTACGTAACTAAATAAGATTAGACCATGCGTGGAACAATAATGAGAATATGCCATAATCCAGTCTAGTAATTAATCAATCCAATTACATAAACCTGAGGCCAATTTTCAATATCATTATTGTAAGTAATGTTCTTGTAACATGTAAAAATGTTTTGTAACATACAATATGACCAAAAATGATGTTTTTACAATATATTTTAAGGTTTAGCTTTCCTATCATTTGTAATTAATCTGACAAACATATTTATGATTGCAGACCCTTAAACTAATACTGAAAAGATAAAACTTACCATCAATATCAACAGTCTTTAGTGCCTGTCGCATTTCTAAATCACTTATAGAAATTCTCAAGATGCAAAGGATCACTGGAAGATCATTCACATAAATCTTACCACTTCGAATTTTACTAAAAATTTTACAGGCTTTATGAAGTGCTGCACACACATAACAAAACATTTAGTTAGTTAATCAAAAAGAATAATTATCCTTATTCCCCCCACTCTCAAAAAAATAATAATCACTAAAAAGGGAGCCAATCTGTGTTTTCAGCCTTTCAAACTTGTTTCTTTTTTACCCCACCCTCTTCAATCTTTTAATATTCAAATCTTTCAACCTGTTTCCTAAAGAACTTTCAGAAACTGTCAGACAAGTCACACAAGGGCACATAGGCAAAGGCTTCCACAACTTGCCCTAGGAATGGTAAATTTTTCCTCTGTGTTCCCATAGCACTTACTATGTATCTCAGTGAAAGCCCTTGGTATTATGATTGCTTGCATGTCAATATCCCTCACTAAACTGTCAGCTTCTATGGAGCAAGATTTTTTCATTCTTCTGTTTCTAGTGCCTAATTAAGAAATTCTCAAAAAAATGTCTATTGAACTGAATTTTTTGGTTCAGTGGATACTACACTTTATTTTCAGAAAAGAGGCAATTGATGATAGTGCTATTTTTGTTTGTCTTTTTAGAGCCAGAGTTTCTCTGTTGCTCAGGCTGGAATGCAGTAGTGCAATCATGGCTCACTGCAGTCTCAAACTCCTGTCGCGAAATCCTGGGCTTAAACAATCCTCCTACCTCAGCCTCTCCAGTAGCTAGGACTACAGCTGTGTGCCAACATGCCCAACTAATTTTTTGTTTTTGTTATTTTTTGTAGAGATGGGATCTCACTATATTGCCCAGGCTGGTCTTGAACTCCTAGTCTCAAATGATCCTCCCACATTGGCCTTCCGCAGTGCTGGGAATACAGGCATGAGCCACCTCACCTAGCCCTAACAGTGATAAATACAAAATAATGACTAAAGAGTTGATAATAATGGCTTTAATAAAATAAGTTTTAGTAGAATTTTGGAGGTGGAAGCCAGATTTCCATGAAATGGGAAGTGAGAAAATTCAGCAACTAATGAAAACAACTCCTTCAAAAGGCTTCTCTGAAAAAATATTGAGTATAAAATTAGCAAAGCATAGGCCTTGAGAAAGCAGAAGAAAATCAAGAAATGAAAGGATTAGTCTGGTGAAAGGGCACCTTTTCCAATGAGACAAGATGAAAGGATATGAATGTTGTTTGTAGGTAAGAATATCAAGGAGTTTAGGAAGCTTCCCAACAGCCCTTACTAACTCTCTATGAAAAAGCAAAGCCACATGATCCAGTAATCCCACTTCTGGGTATTTATCCAAAAGAATTAAAACCAGGATTTTGAAGAGACAGTAGTACTCCCCTGTTCACTGCAGTACTATTCACAATAGCCAACCTATGGAAAACAATCTAAATATCTGTGGAAACAACCTAAATGTCAGATAAATGGGGGGGGGGGTAAAGTACGTTATATACATATGACAGAATATCAATCAGCCTTTAAAAAGAAGAAAATCCTGTAATATGTAATAACATGAATGAATATGAAGGACATTATGCTAAGTGAAATAAGCCAGTTACAGAAGGACAAATACTACAGAATTCCAATTATATAAAGCATCTAAAATAGTCAAACTTATGGAACAAAGAATAGAATTGTAGTTGCCTGGAGCAGGGGGTATGAGGAAATAGTGAGTTGCTAATCAGTGAGTATAAAATTTCAGTTACACAAGATGAATAAGTTCTATAGAAATACTGTACAATATTGTGCCTATAGATAAGAATAACTTACATTTTTAAAATCTGTTAAGAGGGTAGATCTCATGTTAAATATTTTTACCACAATAAAATTTTTTTCAAAAGAAATAGGGGAGAAAAGATTCAGTTTCATAGATTTCAGACTAGCAAGTTTTAATTTTATTTTAATTAAGTAAAACATTTTTAAATGTTTAAAGTTGGATAGGTGACATAATTGAGTATTTGAGGAGAGTAGTGAAGGTTTGGAATAGATACCAAAGGAAACAGGAGAGATCACACCAAAACTTAAAGGGAATACCAACTGGTGCTAAGGGCAGCTGAGGTTGGAAATCATACAATCATAGTGGCACCAAATGGAGAGGTCAAGGAAATAAAATTCTAAATAAAAAGAGCTGGAAGTATAAGAGATTGTGAGTGAAGAATAAGACGTTGACGTCTGAGATTTTCACATAATGACAATGTGTAATTTGTGGCCATCAGTGTTGGTCAGGAGAATCAAGGTAAAATTATTGGTTTTGAACGTGTGAAGCTCCAGAAGTATGAGTCACCCATTTGGACACTAAGATACACAATATGACAACCAGAGTTAAGGTAAAAGGAAAACTATGTGAAATTATTCCATAAGTATAAAGGAGAAACCCAAGATACGGGAGAGGTCAGTGTCATGAAGGAGTGAAGGGTAGTATAAGCCTTAATACTAAGATACCAAAGACTAAATTCCAGTGATATCAGTGACTCCAGCACTTACTAATTTATCCATGGGATGTAATATGCAGACATTTTTCCAAAAAATACATTTGAACTAGTATAAGCTACATATTATATTTTCCCTATCTTACCAATACAACCAAAGATATTTATGGATTAAACTATCTACTTTTGCTTCCTCACAGCCCGCAGCATTTGCCATACCATGTATTATCAGTTGATACCATAAGCCATTAGGAGTAGATGAAGAGGCACTAACTGCTGAAACAATTCCTAAAAAGCACATAACCAGGAAATGTATTCAAGAAATTTTAGAACCTCTTATTACCACTTAATTCTTTTGAGTGTAAATATCCATGGGTTACTTCATCATATAATGTCATGTAGAGGTTAGACAGCATTTCCTTTTCCCTGTCAAAGAAACAGCCATATTAGAAAGTGGCAATGAAAATATGCAAATTCCATTTTAAAATATTAGCAAACTTACCAATAGTCTGAGATTCATAAGAACCTTTCTTGAAGAACTGTCCAAGTTATGGAAAATTCCATATTCTTCACTTCAGAAGTCTCACCTTATTTCTTTTCGAGATATTTTTCTATAAAGCAGA
The DNA here is from genome assembly GCF_000001405.40 of Homo sapiens. Classification (NCBI taxonomy): domain Eukaryota; kingdom Metazoa; phylum Chordata; class Mammalia; order Primates; family Hominidae; genus Homo; species Homo sapiens. The sequence continues at coordinate 47,344,818 of NC_000017.11, read as the reverse complement.
ATTCACCCTAGTCTGCAAATAGTGCCCATGACCTACTATCCTTCGACTGTGGTCCAATTTTTCCTATTCTTAATCCAAGTCACAGCAAATTTTTAAGAAAGTTATTATAATAAAGCAAACAAGAACATCTTTAAACAGCCAAAGAATCTCAGATTCCATCACCTATCAGGAAAAATGTCTGGAAAAGATGATTTATCTAATACTATAACATGTAAATTGCTGAAATCATATAATGTTAGTGTTGGAAGACATCTTAAGAGTTCATTTAGTACAAGATCCTTATACAGATGTGGAAAGTGATGCCCAGAGATGTAAATTTTACAAAAGTCTAAGCATGTTAGGTCAATCGGACTCAAATCTAAGTCTTCCAATTCCATATACAGTGCTCTTATCTCTACACAATCCTAACAGCATAATTAGCATAAACTACTTCATATTCTTTATGTGGAAGGGATAAATGATTCTGGAGAGAAACACCCAAGTCTGAACCCAACATTTAAAAAATAGAGTACAAGGATTTAAATACCGAGTAATTGCAGAAGATGTACAAAGAGGTGATGAAGTCTTGTGAACGCTGTACTGATTCGGCAACTTGCATAAAGAGTTTTCTTTCCTTGTCACCTTCTCCTTTGACAGCTTCAGAAAAGGAGGGATAATCTAGAGCCAAATGCAAGTATGTTGGTGCCTGAGGTGAGTGACACTGGTAATTCAGCATTCTTGGATGATACAACTCTTAAAAGATAATTAATCATACCTTGGCTCCTCATTAATTATGCTTCTGGTGTAAAATTGCCTTTTGTAATTAAATTACATTTAATATAAACTAAAATTTTAATAAACTATGCAATGTTCTCTTGCAAAGCCATGGTTTTCTTAAGTATGCAGTTAATCATGTCATTAATACTTGGTAACTATATAGTAATGGGTTTTACAAAGCAGGGAAAACCTATGGTATAGAGAGAACAAGAAGACTCAGCCACCAGACTCTAGGCTACATATAAAGGCTTTGACTTAAGTGCAATGTGGAGAATCAACACAGTTATTCAAATGATACAGGTAATTTTGTTTTCGATTATCCCTATCATTGAGTAAATTATCCACTTAAGATTGCATGTATAAACATGATTCCAAAAAGGCAAGCACTAGGTGGATAGGAAAGTAGCACTTTAGAAAAATAAGAATTCTAATTACAGGTGTCTTCACTTTTACATGGAACCCTGAGCATTGAGTTTTAATGACCATGCAAGATGTGGAAAAAAGACTCTCACGTTACACAAGATTGACAGGAATTGGTACTGAGATGCCATACGGAACCAAAATCTTCAAAAGACAATGTTTTCAGCAAGAGTGGGGAAGGAAAAAACTTATTCCCCAGTGAAAAAGTATGATTAAAACATGTCTCTATCCCAGCTCCAGGTTAGAAAAAAAGAAAGACTATTCCTCCTGATTAGTCATAATCATAACTCTACATACATGAGTTTGGAACTCAAATCTACACTAAATATATGGGCCAGGGAAACAGAAACCAAAAAATTCATTTAAAATGACCTCAGATTTGTAACACTTCTGAAGTGCATGGCAAAGACAAAAGCAAATTTTCTTTTTAAAAATTCTCTTGAAGAAGGGCAAACTGAAGATTCCCACAGATTTAGATCAACTATATATGAAAGAATGTACAAAATATATATAACACCCAAAGAACAAGTTAACATGAGTGAGAATCAGACAAAACAACAAACACAACATTTAGATCCCCCAAGAATTTCATACAGTGAATTGATCAGATACCAATCTTGAAATAACTATAGAATATGAGCAAAAAACATGACACAGGGCATATTTTAAGAACCATCAAATAAAATTTCTGGAGGTAAAAAATAGAATCACTGAAATTAAAATCTCAGAGGAAAGGTTAAACTGTAGATTAGATTCAGCTAGATAAAGAATAAGTGAACTAGAAAGTAGATGGGGAGAAATTACAAAGAACAAAATAGAGAGACAGAATAGACAAAAAATATGAAGCAATATTAAAGAATATAGAAAACAGGATGACAAAATCTAATACACATCTAACAGAAGATACAAAGGGACAGTAAAGAGATTGAAAGAGGGGAAATATCTAAAAGATAACATATTAGAATTTTCCAGAATTGAAGAAAGGCATGCATTCTCAGATTTAAGAAGCACAGCAAATACTAAGACAGAGGGGAAAAAAGGATATATACCTCTAAGTATATCATAGTGAGTGACTACACAAAAAGATATTCCATGTTCTAATATCTGAAACCTGTGAATGTCACCTTATTTGGAGAAAATGTATTTGCAGATGTAATCAAGTTAAGATCTTGAAATGAAATATACAATGACAGACGTGCTTGTAAGAGAAAGGAAGGAGATGAGATACAGACACAGGAAAAGAGGCCATGTGAAGACTCATGGGAAGATGGAGGCAGAGATTGGAGTTATGCTGCCACAAACCAAAGAACACCTAGGGTTCCTGTTAAAAAAGCAAAAATGTTAGCAGAGAGCACAGTAAAAAAGACAAAAAATAAGTTTAATAGGGAAAAAACACAAATTTTTCATAAATTCCTGAAAAGATTCCTTGTTCTATTTTTTTTTTAAGGAGAAGAAAAAGGAGAATTAAGAACAGAAGAGGAGAAGCAAGACCAGGTAGTGATATTTAAGACTGTGACATTTCAACACTTGGACTAAAAAATTTAAGGGAATGTTTGAGGGCTAAGGAAAATATTTGAAGGTAAAAGAAAAATTTCCAAATCTTTATTTACCTCAGTTCTTTTACTGTGCTGTTGTACTTGTAAACTCTTTCTCCCAACTTTTTTTTCTCCTGAAAAATCAGAGGACTTTTCTTCTCCACAAAAGATTATTGATGTTTCAAATCTAAATGACACAGAAATTGGAATCATTCTTGAATTTCTTTTTACTTATTCTTTTCAACTTTTAATTATGGAAATTTTCTAACATATACAAAAGTATACAGAATCCCATCACCCAGTTTCAACAGTGGTCAATCCTATTCCATCTATATCCCATCCCTGTTCCCATCCCTTATTATTTTTGAAATAAATCACAGTATATTATTTCCATCTGTAAAGATTTTAATAGAAATCTCTACAAGGTGTCTTTTTTTGTAGAGATTGGGCTGGGTACGGAGGTGCACACCTGTAATCCCAGAACTTTGGGAGGCCAAGGTGGGCAGATTGCTTGAGGTCAGAAGTTCAAGACGAGCCTGGCAAACATGGTGAAAAACCCCATCTCTACTAAAAATACCAAAAAAATAGACAGACGTTGTGACACATGCCTGTAGTCCCAGCTACTCAGGAGGCTGAGGCATAAAATCGCTTGAACCTGGGAAGTGAGCTGAGATTGAGCCACTGCACTCCAGCCTGGGTGACACAGCAAGACTCCATCTCAAAAACAAAACAAAACAAAAAACACCATATGACAGCTAAAAATTAACAATTTCTTAATATCATCAAATATACAGGCACCATTCACATTTCCAGTTGTCTCGTAAATGTCATAAAATTTTTTAACATTTTGCATCAGGACTCAATAAAATCCCAGCATCATAATTGACTGAAATGTCTTTTTAACTTCTTTTCATCTATAAGTTCTCCTTCTATACCTTTTATTATCATTATAATTATTATTACTAGGTCATTCATCCTGTAGATTTTCCACAGTCAGGATTTTCCTGATTGTATCACCACGGTTGTAGGATTCTAGAGGCTTGAACATATTAACATTCAATAGTTGAGGGAGATGCAAAACCACTCTCTAGGTGGTGACGTTATTCCATCAGGAAGCACATAATGTCCAATTGGCTATTTGTGGTATTAGCAGCTACTTATACATAATAGATCCAGTAAATCATGAGAGACTGGCTGGGTATGGTAGCTCATGCCTGTAATCACAGCACTTTGGGAAGCCAAGGTGGGCAAATCACCTGAGGTTGGGAGTTCGGGACTAGCCTGGACAATATGATGAAACCCCGTCTCTACTAAAAAAAAAAAAAAAAAAAAAAAAAAAAATTAGCCAGGTGTGGTGGTGCACGCCTGTAGTTCCAGCTACTCAGGAGGCTGAGGCAGGAGAATTGCTTGAACCTGGGAGGCAGAGGTTGCGAGCCAAGATCGCATCACTGCACTCCAGCCTGGGTGACAGGGCAAGACTCTGTCTCAAAAATAAATAAATAAAAATAAAAATAAAAAATCATGAGAGACTGCAAAGTGGTTATATTATAAATCTATCATTCCTTCAATCATTAGCTAGAATATTTCTTTTTTTGTATGTGTAGAGATGGAATCTTGCTAAGTTGCCCAGACTGGAGTACAGTGACTATTCACAGGTGTGATTATAATAGACACTACAGTTTCAAACTCCCAGGCTCAAGTGATTGCCCCACCTCAGCCTCCTGAGTACTGAATTATAGGCACACACCACAATGCCTGGCTGCTAGAATATTTCTACAAATAGACACTTTCTCTCATGTACTATTGGGTTGCCTAGTGGTACCAGTTCATATAGAAAGGCAAGATATAGACAGATTCAACTGACTTTAAAAAAAAAAAAGAACAAGAAAGAAAGAAAGGTAAGATAATTGCTCTATTGTTTTCCTTTATTTACCACTTTTCATAACAAAGACTTGGCTCACTTATAACCTCTAAAAATGACAAAATAATTTTATACCATTTTGAACGCATAGACTTAAATATATTTGATGCAGTTTAATTCCCTGAAATTATTATACTTATTGATGCTCTAATTTTCTCATCTTTTATAGGAAAAGGTGGGAGACTCTTCCAGTAGGCTCTTGAGTCCTTCTGATGAATCCCTGATAGTAGTCTTTTTTATTAATAGTTTCCTTATCTCCGGAAGACAAGATGTTCCAGGCTTACTTTACATTTCCTTTCACAGACATGCAATCAGCATTTCTCTAAACAGCCTTTTAATAAGAAATGGTATTTCAAGATTAAAGTTTGGGCACTAGAAGCTGAACTTCTTTTTAATCAACATTCTTCTTTCTTATTGTTTGGTTTTCTCTTATTTCTCCTTTTTCCTCTTCTTATTGGACTGTCAAAAACCTTTTTTTTTTTTTTTTGAGATGGAGTCTCACTCTGTTGCCCAGGCTAAAAGCACAGTGGTACGATCTCAAGACCTTTCATAACATAAACATTCCACAAACCAGGGGTCCCCAAACTCTGGCCCATGAACCAAAACTCGTCTGCACAGTAGGAGGTAAGTGGCTGGCGAGTAAGCATTACCACCTGAGCTCCACCTCCTGTCAGATCAGCAGCGGCATTAGATTCTCATAGGGACACAAATCCTATTGTGAACTGTGCATGCAAGGGATCTAGGTTTTGCCTCCTTATGAGAAACTAATGCCTGATGATCTTCTGAGGTGGAACAGTTTCATCCAGAAACCACCCCTGCCTCCTCCCCATCCCCTCGTCCATGGAAAAATTATCTCCCATTAAACTGGTCCCTAGTGCCAAAAAGTCTGGAGACCACTGCCATAAACTACACAACAATAAGATAAAATGTAATTATGAATTACATTTGAATTAAATTTTAGAAGAGAAGACACATACTCTTAGAAAGTGCTTCAAGTAATCTAGGGTAGACTTAAATTTCAAGAACAACCCATCAGGACAGTGACTAACTAGATTATATCTACAACAGCTTCAGGTGAACTCAGCCCTAAGCAAAACTGTGACATAAAAAAATATATTATAATTCATGCCACTCCCTTTCTTTAGCAAGTACCTTGGCCTTTTTTTCCAATTTTATTTATTTATTTTATTTTAAATTGATAGACAAAATTATATATATTTATTGTTTCTTAAATTTATTTTTAATTGACAAATAAAATTGTATGTATTTATGGTGTACCCTGCTCTTTTTTACTGACTTATTTCTCCAAGAAAAAGTATCTTGCTTTTTTGACACACTATCCCTTTAAATCCAATCTCCCAAATTCATACCCTGTGAACCCCCATACTTTGCTCTTCACTTCCCTGAAGCTGCCATATGATTAGATCCCTCTGCAGTCCTCTAGTCTCAAAGCAAGGACTTTCAACTATTTTGCCTATGACCCACAGTCAAAAGTAAATTTTCTATTGAGGTACAATATACATATACAGAGATAAGAGGTGCAATAGAAAGCAAGGGAGAGAGAGGAGGAGGAAAAAGCACTCTAATGTTTTCAATTCTATTCTAACTTATTTATTTAAAAAAAAAAACTAGTAGTAAACCAGCTGCAGTGGCTCTCACCTGTAATCCCAGCACTTTGGGAGGCCAAAGTGGCAGGACTGCTTCAGGCCAGGAGTTCAAGACCAGCCTGGGCAATATAGTGAGACCTCACCTCTCCAAAAAATTTAAAAATTAGCCAGGCGTGGTGGTGCACACCTGCAATCCTAGCTACTCAGGAGTCTGAGGTAGGAGAATCCCTTAAGCCCAGGAGTTCCAGGCTGCGATGAGCTACGATCATGCCACTGCACTCCAGCCAGGGTGGTAGAGTAAACTCCTGACTCAAGAAAGAAAAAAAAAAAAAAAAACTAGTAGTGACCTCCTAACCTGATTTCATGACCCATTACCCATTAATGAGTCACAACCTGCAGTTTACTGGTGCTTTATATCCCCCATATATCCTTATTGAAGTTGAGCCTTCTTATTTCTAATATAATCATGACTTCCACTCCATTACATGACTTTTGATCTTTCATCTTTTTTCAAAAAATGATAAAGAAAATAAATTTTTAATCTGATGAATGCAAGACCTCTTTAAATTATCAGGCCCAAAGAGGCATTAAAATGAGATAGGAGTCACTGTCTCACATCCCCTTGAGCTAAGCAATTATTTCAAAGTTGCCTGCTATGTGGACTCTAGACTGTCACCAAGTAGCCACAAATTAACCTAACAATGCCATACACTGGATACTATAACTCATACGCTACAGTTCAGCAATATATAGCCAATCACTAATCAATGTTATTTCTGTAAGCCAGTAAGAATTCCTGAAAAACAACTTTTGTAATCAACCCATCTCCTGATTGGTTCCTTTTTTCTTTAAAATATTGAACCTCTCCTTTGTTCTTCAGAGTACCTCCCAGTGTTTCCCAGGCTGCAGTCCTCAACCTGGGCCTAAACAAACTCTCTACTTATATTAATTTTGCCTCAGTTTCCTTATTTAGGTAAACAAAAGTGTATTTTTTAATTATGAGCTACTTCACACATTTCATAGAATAAGGATGATTTGGTATAAATAATGAATAAGTAAAAACATTTGTCCTGTACCCCATTTTTAAATTTTTTTTATTTTTATATATTTAGAGGGTACAAGTGCAGATTTCTTACATGCACATAGGCATTGTGGTGAGTTTAGGCTTTCAGTGTACCCATCACCAAATTCAACCCTCACCCCTCCTCCTACATTTGTAGTCCCAATGTCTATTATTCTACTCTGTATGTCCATGTGTATGAATTGTTTAGCTCCCACTTACAAGGGAAAACATGCACTGTACCCCATTCTTTTGAGGCATGTGCTTCCCACAGTGCTAACCTATCTTGAAGAAAGCTAATGGAAGAAGGTAAAGGGATGCTCCCACGACCTTCCTTTTCTTCCTAACCTCCCACGACCTTCCTTTTCTTCCTAGGTAACAAGTTTTATTGTAGTCTTCTAGAAATAATTGCTTCATCTTTTGCCATCTAACAAACAGGAGTAGTGGTGAAAATGTTAGATTAAATAAAAGTGAAATACAGATTTCTGGAAGGTAGAGGAGATTTTTATTTAGGTGCCTCTCCAATCACAATGTGTAGGTAATTTCCAGTTTCACCAACAGGTAAGATGAGCATTTAGTTAAAGATAAAGTGACATAAGCTCTGAATGTTTTCCCAGAGGCTTTTAGATTTTTTTTTATTTTTTAGTCATTTTATAAATAATAAATACAGATTGAGTATTTCTCCTACATGCATTTAAAATGCTAGAACTTCTACGACTAACAAAAGGCAACCAGGCAATGCAGTATACAAGAAAGAACTGCTAAAAGATTCAAATAGCTTGGTCGGGTGCAGTGGCTCACGCTTGTAATCCCAGCACTTTGGGAGGCTCAGGCGGGCAGATCATGAGGTCAGGAGTTCAAGACCAGCCTAGCCAATATGGTGAAATCCCGTCTCTACTAAAAATACAAAAAAAAAAAAAAAAAAAATTGGCCAGGTGCGGTGGCTCACGCCTATAATCCCAGCACTTTGGGAGGCAGAAGCAGGCGGATCATGAGGTCAGGAGATCGAGACCATCATGGCTAACATGGTGAAACCCCATCTCTACTAAAAATACAAAAAATTAGCCATGCATGGTGGTGGTCGCCTATAATCCCAGCTACTTGGGAGGCTGAGGCAGGAGAATGGCTTGAACCCAGGAGGCGCAGCTTGCAGTGAGCCAAGATCGTGCCACTACACTCCAGCCTGGGCAACACAGCGAGACTCCATTTCAAAAAAAAAAAAAAAAATAGCCGAGTGTGACGGCGCACGCCTGTAGTCCCAGCTACTCAGGAGGCTGAGGCAGAAGAATCACTTGAACCCAGGAGGTGGAGGTTGCAGTGAGCCATGGCTGCGCCACTGCACTCCAGCCTGGGTGACAGAGTGAGGCTCCATCTCAAAAAAAAAAAAAAACTATTCAAATATCTTAATTTCATGGAAGACACAAAGCCAAGCCTAGAGGAAAGAACCTTCTGTTTCCTTCTTAAATTCTCTTTAAGACAAACTTAACAGACATATGGATAACTGTTCTCCTCTAACTAGAATCCTATGATTCCAGTTAGCTTATAGCTTACTTATAGGCTTCCACATGTGATATAGTTTGACTCTGTGTCCCTACCTAAATCTCATGTTGAATTGTAATCCCCAATATTGGGGGAGAGACCTGGTAGGAAGTGATTGGATCATGGGGGCAGATTTCCCACTTGTTGTTCTCATGATACTGAGTGAGTTCTCATGAGATCTGTTTGTTTAAAAGTATGTGGCACTTCCCTCTTCACTCTCCCTCCTGCTGGCCTTGTGAAGATATGCTTGCTCCCCCTTCCCCTTCCACCATGATTCTAAGTTTCCTGAGGCTTCCCCAGCCTCGCTTCCTGTAAAGTCTGCAGAACCATGAGCAATTAAACCTCTTTTATTTATAAATTACGTAGTCTCAAGTAGTTCTTTATAACAATGTGAGAACCAACTTAGACAACATGGAAGCCTATAGATGGCTGTGAGAGAAGTCAGAAAAAATGTAAGAACAGCTATTTAGGAGTTAAAATTATGCTACTGAAAGAATGACCACAAATATGCATGATCCTATACACATGGTACATTATGAGAACGCATAAGCCACAGCTACATTTTGGCATTCTTAACTTGCAAAAGTATAATTCAATAAAGTAAGTTCAGAGTTTTTAACTTACATTTTTTTATATTCTGGGCTCAAACTCCTAATTTCCGGTGAAATTTCCTTCTCTATTGTTTTAGAAAACTTGATGTATTTCTTGTGGTTAATAGTTCCTGATGACAAGTCAGTTGCAAAAGAATTAGAGCCATCATCTAATAAGTCAATATTTTCCTCTGCCTGGGGAATATAAGAGCCACAATCAAGCATGTCCTCTTTGCACATACATATTAAATATGACATTCTGGGTCAATCATTCATTTTAGATTGATATTCTTTCTCAAATAGTGCTACCGAAGAGAATTTTGTTGAAAAAGGTTTTACTCACTAATGTATTATTTTTCCAGATTCAGTACATACTCTAAATAACTCCAATTATCCTTAGTGCATTATACAGCTATAAAAGAACATCATTTATGAATATGTCTAACAGTTATTGCATCTAGCACTTTTTCTTTTTTTGAGACAGGGTCTCTTTTTGTTGCCTAGGGTGGAGTCCGTGGTGCAATCATGGCTCACTGCAGCCTTGACCTCCCAGGCTCAAGCAATTCTCCCACCTCAGCCTCCTGAGAAGCTGAGACCACAGACATGCACCATCATGCGTGGCTAATTTTTTATTATTCGTAGAGACGAGGTCTCCCTACATTGCCAAGGCTGGTCTCGAACTTCTGAGCTCAAGCAGTCCTCCCACCTCAGCCTCCCAAAGTGCTAGAATTACAGGCATGAGCTACCTCTCCCAGCCTGGATCTAGCTCTTAAGGCATCAAGGTACAAAAGTTTATCATACTCTTTGCCAAGAAAGATACAAAAGTTTATCATACTCTTTGCAAAGCAGTATTTTTATTATAAACATTAACTCGATTTTAGATACAAACTAAAGCCATGATCCATGAAAGAAATAATCGATAAGTTAAACTTCATTTAAAGCTTCTGCTCTGTGAAAGACACCATATCAAGACAATGAAAGGACAAGTCACAGACTGGGAGAAAATGTTTTCAAAAGACATATTTTATAAAGAACTGTCATCCAAAATATACAAAGAACTCTTAAAACATAATAAAAAAGAACTCAATTTTAAAATGAGCTAAAGACTTGAACAGACACCTCACCAAAGAAGATACACAGAAACATGGTAAATAATGATATGAAAAGAGGCTCAACATTATAATGGGATTAGGGAACTGCAAATTAAAAGGAAATACCATCATTACATACCTGTTAGAATGATGAAATTTTAACAAAAAAAAAACTATAAAACTTTGATAAAGGAAACTGAAGAAGACACAAATAAATGAGAAAATAGCCCAAGTTCATGGATTCAAAAAATTAATATTGTTTAAATGTCCATACTTTCCAATGATATCTACAGATTCAATGCAATTCCTCTCAAAATTCCGATGTCATTTTTCACAGAAATAAAAAAATCCTAACATTCATATGGAAACAGTAAACACCCCATATAGCCAAAGCAATCTTAAGCAAAAAGAACAAAGTTGGAGGCATCACACTTCCTAATTTCAAAACAGATGATAAAGCTATAGTAATCAAAACAGAATGTTACTGGCATAACCAATCAATAGGACACACCAATCAATAGGACAGGATAGGAAGCCTAGAAATTTTCCAAATATTTACAGTCAGCTGATTTTCAACAAAGGTGCCAAGTACACACAATGGGGAAAGAACAGTCTCTTCAATAAATGGCATTGGGAAAACTGGATATCCTTCTGCAGAAAAATGAAATTGGGACATTATCTCACACCATATACAAAAATCAATTTAAAATGCATTAAAGATTTAAACACAAGACCTAAAACTGTAAAGTTACAAGAAGATAGGGGAAAAGCTCTACCACATTGGTCTGGGGAATGATTTGTTGGATAAGACTCTATAAGCACAGGCAACAAAAGCAAAAATGGAAAATGGGATTATATGAAACTAAAAAGCTTCTGTACAGCAAGGGAAACAATCAACAGGTGAGAAACAACCCACAGAAAGGGAGAAAATATTTGCAAACCTTACATCTGTTAAGGCGATAAAGGATTTATACCCAAATTACATAAGGAACTCAACTCAAGCAAGAAAACAAACTATCCAATCAAAAAATGTGTGAAGGATCTGAACAGACATTCTCAAAAGAAGACATACGAATGGCCTATAGGTTTGTGAAAAAATGCTCAATATCACTAATTATTAGGGAAATGCAAAATAAAATTGCAATGAGATATCATCTCACACTATTCTGTTAGATATTCTGTTAGCTATTCTGTTAGAACAGCTATTATCAAAAAGACAAAGGATAACAAGTGTTGGCAAGGATGTGGAGAAAAGGGAACATCTGCACACTGTTGGTATGAATGTTAGTACAGCCATTCCAGAAAACAGTATGGAGGTTCCTCAAAAACTAAAAACAGAATTACCGTGTGATCCAGCAATCCCACTTCTGGGTATATATCCAAAGGAATTGAAATTAATATGTTGAAGAGATATCTGCACTCCCATATTCATTTCAGCATTATTCACAATAGCCAAGATATAAAAGTAACCTAAGTGTCCATCAACAGATGAATACATAAAGAAAATGTGGTGAATATATACAAATGAATACCATACAGCCTTTAAAAAGAAGGAAACTGTCATTCACGATAACATGGATAGAACTGGAAGACACTATGCTAAGTAAAATAAGCCAGGCACAGAAAGACAAACACTGTATGATCTCACTTACATGTGAAATCTAAAAATGTTGTTCTCATAGAAACAGGGAGTAGAAAGATGGTTATCAGAGGCTGGGGGGTGGAGAGGTTTGGGGGAGGAAGAGGGATGGGGAATGGGAAGACATTGATCAAAGGGCACAGAGTTTCAGTTAGACTGGAGGAACAAGTTTTAGTGATCTAATGCATTGGTGAACATGGTTAGTAAATAATATATACTTCAAAATCACTAAAATTTTTTTATGTTCTTACCACAAAAAAAGTTGGTAATGATTATGCTAATAGCTAGATTAAATATTTCTATAATGTATACATAGATCAAAATACTACATTATGCCCCCAAAATACACACAATTATTATTTGTCAATCTAAAATAATAATAAAAAACTCAATTAAGAAAAAAGAATGGCAATAACCCAAAACACTGACAACAACAAATGCTGGCAAGGATGTGAAGCAAGAACTCTCATCATTGCTGATGGGAATGCAAAATGGTACAACCACTTTGGAATACAGTTTGGCAGTTTCTTACAAAACTAAACATACTTTTACCATACAATCCAACTATTGCACTTGTTAGTATTTACTCTAACAAGTTGAAACTTTATTTCCACATAAAAACCTACAATTGGATGTTTATAGCAGCTGTACTCATAATTGCCAAAACTTGAAAGCAATCAAGATGTCCTTCAGTAATTAATAAATAAACTGTGCTAAATGTAGAGAATGGGATATTATTTAGTGCTAAAAAGAAGTGAGCTATCAAGCCTTGAAAATACATTTAAAAACTTTAAATGCACATTAAGTGAAAAAAGCCCGACCTGAATGGTTCCATATTGTATAATTCCAACTATATGACATTCTGGAAAAGGCAAAACTATGGAGACAGTAAAAAATCAGTGTTTGCCAGGGGATGGGGGAAGGAGAAGTAAATAGCTAGAGCACAGAAGATTTTAGGGCAATGTGATTATTCTGTATGATACTATAATGTTGACTATATGTCATAATACATTTGTTCAAACCCATAGAATGTACAACAAAAGTGAACTCTAATGTAAACTATGGACTTTGAGTGATAATGATGTGCCAATGTTGGTTCACCAATTACAACAAATGTACCACTCTGGTACAGGATGTTGATAGCAGGGTAAGCTGTGCATGTATAGGGGCAGTAGGTATATGGTAACTCTCTATTTTCTGCTCATTTTTTTTATGAACCTAAAACTGCTCTAAAAAAAAGTCTACATATTTAAGACCTGAAACCATAAAAATTCTAGAAGACTACCTAGGAAAAACTCTTCTGGACACTGGCTTAGGCAAAGAATTTATGACTATGACCCCAAGAGCAAATGTAACAAAAACAAAAATAAATAAATGAGACCTAATTAAATTCAGAAGCTCTTACACAGCAAAAATAATAATCAACACAGTAAACAGACAACCAACAGAATGAGAGAAAATATTTGCAAACTATACATCCAACAAAGGACTAATATCCAGAATTTACAAGGAATTCAAACAAATCAGCAGCAAAAAAACAAGTACTCCCATTAAAAAGTGGGAAAATAACATGAACAGATATTTCTCAAAAGAAGATATACAAATGGTCAACAAATACATGAAAAATGCTCAACATCACCAATCACCAGGGAAATACAAATTAAAACCACAATAAGATATCACCTTACCCCAGCCAGAATGGCCATTATTAAAAAGTCAAAAAACAATAAATGTTGGTGCAGATGGGATGATGTAAATTAGTATAATTTCCACAGAAAACAGTATGGAGATTTCTCAAAGAAATAAAGGTAGATCTATCGTTCAATCCAGCAAACCCACTACTGGGTATCTACCCAAAGGGAAAAAAAAGTTGTTGTATCAAAAAAAAAACCTACACATATATGTTTATCTCAGCACAATTCACAATACCAAAGGTATGGAACCAACCTAAGTACCCATCAACTGATGAGAGGTTAAAGAAAATGTGGTATATATACTACGGAATACTACTCACCCATAAAAAAGAACAAAATAATGTCTTTTGCAGCAACTTGGATGAAACTGGAGGCCATTATCCTAAGTGAAGTAACTCAGGAACAAAAAAACCAAATACCACATATTCTCATTTATAAATGGGAGCTAAGCTATGGATCCAAAAAGGCATATGGAGTGGTAGAGATTCAGAAGTGGAGAGGGGACAGGGAAGTGAAGGATGAAAAACTACCTGTTGGGTACAATGTATACTATTCAGGTAACAGGTACACTAAAAGCCCAGACTTCACCACTGTATAATTCAGCCATGTAACCAAAAACCACTTGTACCCCTGAAGCTACTGAAATAAAAAATATTAAATAAATAAATATCTTTCTCTACAAAAAATAAAATAACAAAAAACAAAGCCTATATTTAAAAAAAAAGAAGCTATATTGCTTCTAAATAGACACCACTCCCCACCCCCCCAAAAAGAAATAGAGTTTAGTGACAATAAACGTTTAGAAATAGAAGAATGCAGTTGGAAATATTCTCTCCTGAAATCTGGCTGTTTGCTTAAGACAACTGGCGGCATCCAGTCGATCAAAGGTGCATTAGTCCTGAGTCTTTGAACCCAAAGGTGACCATGAAGATTACACAGACAATTTATAAAGATTACCAAGGAAGTTTAGAGAGAATCTCTGTTTCCACAGGATGGAAATTAACAGAACTATTTCAGTGACTTTTAGAATCTGCATCATTTGTCTTATAACAAAGGCATACCTTTAAGTTGTTTCAAAAAGGCAATTTGATTTGCTGCCTTGATGAGATGTGTATTACAAATGATGAAAGGATTCCTAAAGAGATTGAAAAAAATGACCCAAAATAGAAAGCTGAGGGGGAAAAGGGGTAGGAAATCTAAAAAGACAGAAAAACCTGTTACCAAAGGCCAAGTGAATGAAAACAAAGAGTAGAAGCTTTTGACACAGAAGAAGAAAACAATCTCAGAAACATTGTAGTAAAAGGTGAGCCATCTGTGAAGTATAAATTATACAGTCTAAGGAAAACAAACCGGTATGATACTTTAATATTAATTTTTAAGAATTCATCTTCAAAATCAGTTTATAAGGGCAAAATCAACAAAGTAGTAGGTATAAAAAGGTAAATTTTAAATGTATATATGTGTATATATATGATATAAAGTACATATCTCAGCACTTTTCAAGAGTCTCTGAGATTATTTTTCAGACTATAGTATAGGTACATGTTTTACACAGTAGCGTCAGATCTTTAACAAGGATAAATTTAAAAGATTAGGACTCTCAATTGACAATGCTGAATTTCACTTGAGCCCTAAACTCCCAGAAAACAGTGAGGGTTAAAGGAATCCCCCCACCCTTTTGTGTTCTGGAAAATGGCTTACTGCAAACCACTCCTCCCCATATGACTTAGGTAAGACTCTGGAATGCCCCCCTTGTTTACTTATGACAATGCCAGACACACCCCCTCAAAATTCCCTTTCTTTGCGTCATAAATTATTAGCTGTTTTATCCCCACTGATAATCAGAATATAATAGACTGACTTCATGATAAAATACTCTCCAATCTACTTATCTAATCATTCTACTATTTCATCCAATTTCCCCATACCTGGTTCTTTCCAGCGTCTCTCTATAAAAGAAAACTTCTGCCCAACCCTTGAGACACCTACAGATCTTACGGTCACAGCATTCTTTCCATTGCAATAGTCCTCCTCCTCTTCCAATTTCAATAGTCCCTTTTTTCTCTTGCAATAATTATTTTGAATAAAGTCTCTGCTTACTAAGTCCAGATTTGTTTTTATTTGAAAAAACTTGTCTTATTTGACACAATACTAGCAAAAAAAGGTGGAGGCATCTAAAAAGACAGAAGGGCATAAAACTCTGAAGTACAGATAAGAGGGCTAAAGAAATTTGATGTCCTCTACATTATTTTTTGGTTATACTCTCACATCATTAATTACATTATCTACAACCTCTCATGTAAGTTTAACCCTTTTGATCTCCACAAAAATTATCCAGGTCCGTACCCCACCAAAATACTCTCATCATACACCACAGAAGATCTCTCAGTATTATATGGGTTGTAGGGATGGGAGTTCAATACATGTTCACTAAAATGACTCAAACATCATCTCAGTTACTTGGCCAGGTTCCTTATAACTATTACTCTATGAATTTGCTTACTGATTATGAATATGAGGTAATGTAAACTAATTTTAAAAAGAAGAAAGAAGAAATCTTTAGAAACTGTTTTAAATAAATACCTGGCAGAATAAATGTACTTTAGTTTCCATCTTTCTGTTTAGAGGTAAATTCTGTCCTTAAGGACTCCAGGCTTTGATGAACAAGTATGAATGAGCAATAGTACAAAAGGATTTCCTGCCAAAAAAAGAGAAAGAAGAAATCATACGCTTGTTTAGAACACTTAAGCAATTATATTTACCTACCTGAAGTTATCTCTTCAATGTAACACTGACTTGGGGTATGATACACAACATTTCACCAACACAGATATGTGGGCAAACACTAGAAAAAGCAGTTAGTAGACTATAAATCACAGATCATCCAATTCCTTAACTTTACCTTTTGTGGTTTGAGAAATCCAGTTTCAAATGGCATACAAAGCTGAGAAATCCAATTACATCTGTTTATTTAAATAAACCCTGAGAAGCAGAACTGCTAAGACAGTAGTAATCACTCATGTTACTGAATGCTTACTGTGTGCTAAATATCATGATAAAGACTTGAAGAGGTCAAGTTTCCCAAGATCACACAGCCAGCAAATAGTAGAGACAGAATTTGAATTCAGACAATTTAACTCCAAGCCTGTGGTCTTCAGTCCCATAGAACATTGCCTTTCAAAACAATGCTACTGCAAACAAAAGATGGTGTAGGCCGGGCGCAGTGGTTCACGTCTGTAATCCCAGCACTATGGGAGGCCGAGGTGGGCGGATCATGAGGTCAAGAGATTGAGACCATCCTGGTCAATATGGTGAAACCCCGTATCTACTAAAAATACAAATCAATTAGTTGGACGTGGTGGCATGCGCCTATAATCCCAGATACTCAGGAGGCTGAGGCAGAATCGCTTGAATCTGGGAGGCGGAGATTGCAGTGAGCCAAGATCGCACCACTGCACTCCAGCCTGGGATATACAGTGAGACTGTCTCAAAAATAAAAAAAAAGGCCAGGTATGGTGACTCACATCTGTAATCCCAGCACTTTGAGAGGCCAAGGCAGGTGGATCACGAGGTCAGGAGTTCAAGACCAGCCTGGCCAAGATGATGAAACCCCGTCTCTACTGAAAATACAAAAATTAGCCGAGTGTGGTGGCACGCACCTATAATCCCAGCTACTCAGGAGGCTGAGGCAAAGAACTGCTTGAACCCAGGAGGCAGAGGTTGCAGTGGGCCAAGACCACGCCACTGCACTCCAACCTGGGTGCAAGACTCTGTATCAAAAAAAACAAAACAAAAGAAAACAAAACAAAATAAAGAAAGAAAAGATGGTGTAGCCTCACTTCAAACTCAAGACTTTCACATTATGCAAATGTGATAACCAACACTTAGAAATTCCTCAAATTTTCATATTTTCAACTCACATCTGAGTTACATTTTATGAGCTATTTATCACAGTGCTAGCTATATTACATTATATTACATTGCTAGTTATAATCATCAGTCTTTTTCTTGTAAAGTTTAACTGCAAGTATTAATATTCTAATGAAGACAGAGTACTTAAAATCATTTTTATTTATTTCTGACATATGTTTATAGTCATTATTTTTCAATGTGATATGTCCAACATTCCTGGAATTCAAAATATGTTAAAATAAAATAGAACCACATTGAAAATACTCATCTCAGAAAATACTGGAAATCTATGCAGGTCTCCCCAGTAACCCATCCTACGTAATCTCTTCTAGATCTTCTCCAACCAGTTCAATATTTACCTCTAAACTACTGTGCATAGCACTTACTGCCTTCACTATTCTTGTCTTCACTATTTAACTGACATTAATCATTTGCCTTGTATTTGTATTTTTCATATGTATAGCTCCTATACCAACTATAGCCTAAATTTATAAAGAACTGGGACTGGTAACTTATCATTCTTAAAATTATTTCTCACAGTATCAAATACAATGGTATATATATAATGAAGGAAAGAGTAGAGGAAAGGAGGAATGGTATGGAGGGAGGGGAAAAGAGAGGGAGAGAGGGATGAATGAACAAATTCCCTTCCTACTAAGCTACTCACCAAGATTTCTTAAATCATCAAAGTGCTTAATTAAGCAGAGTTGACACGTTTTGAATAAATCTTGAAAGGAACAATTGTTCTGTAATTTATTGACGAGATTATCAAAAAGTTGGCAGGTCTTAATTTGCTGGATGAATCAGGTACCGCATAAGCCTCTCCAAACTTAAAAGAAAAAATTAACTTAGAAAGTCTATTCCCTGTAACTCTGACAATATAATTTTTCTCAACTATTTCAATCCTGTCTTCTATCGGTGAACTTGCAGGAACAAATCAAGAGAAATGGAGGGAGTCGTATCCCTTTTCTCCAGTCATCTATCCATTCACCTTTCTATCCATGAATTCAACGTATATGTCTGCATGCTTAGTGTGCACTAGGTTCTCTCCTAGGCTCTAGGGATATACCAATGAACAAAATATATATATGCTATATATATATATATATATATATATATATATATATATATTTTGTTTATATATATATAAAATCTGCCCTCATGAAGCTTATGTTCTAGTCAGGGAGTGAAATAATAAAATAGAAAAATAAAACATATTGTATGTTATCTGCAATAAGTACAAAAAAAAAAGTAAAGCAGGGAGGGGAATATGAAATGTAGTATAGGGGAAGAGATGCAGGGAACAGAATGGGTGGCCAAGGAAGACCTTACTGAGAGGGAGACTTTTGAGTACAGACCTGCAAGAACTGAAGTAGGGAGCTGATTAATATCTTAGGGAAGAGCATTTCAGCCAGAAAGAAAAGTAAGTACAAAAGCCCCGAGGCAAGAAGAATGTTCAAGGAATAGTGGGAAGGCCCCAGGAGGCTGAAGCAGGAGAGATCAGAGAGGCTAAGTGAAAGTGGCATATCATGGAGGACCCCTAGATGACAGTAAGAACTGTGGCTTGTACTCTGAAGGAGTGACAAGCATTGAAAGAGTTCTGAGGAGAAGGATTACATAATCTGAAGTTCTTTCTGAAAGGATCACTCTGGTTACTGTGAGGAGGGAAATCAGGTAGGTCTGGGTTCCTGAATGCCAAGTGAAGAAAGTACTTCAAGAGTGAGCAATCAGGCTGTGCATGGTGGCTTATGCAGGTAATCCCAACACTTTGATGCGGGGGTGGGGGTCTAAGCAGGAGGGCTGCTTAAGGCCAGGAGTTCAAGACCAGCCTGGGCAACAGTGAAACTCCCACCTCTACAGAATTTTTTTTTTAATCAGCTGGACATGGCGACCTTAGTCCCAGCTACTCCAAAGACTGAGCCAGGAGGATCTTTTGAGCCCAGGAGTTTGAAGCTGCAGTGGGCTATGATTGCACCACTGCACTCCAGCCTGGACGACAGAGACCTTGTCTCAAAAAAAAAAAAGGGGGGTGGGGTGGGCGGTTAAGATCAGTACTGAATGGTTCGCTAGGTTTCACAACACGGAGGACACTGACAAACTTGAAAGGAGCCATCTGGGTGGGGTGGTAAGGAGACAATGTCGTCAGAGTGAGTACAAGAGAGAACGGGGTAAAGAAATTGAACCCAGCCAGTAGGGTAGGCTCTTTCAAGGAGTTACGTTGTTAAGAGAAATAAGGCAGTAGCTGAGAGGAAAATGGGGCTGTGAGGCTTTAAGATGAGAAAAACAAAGGCGTCTTCACTGAAGCATGACTCTGTATGACATCCTTTCACAAAATACCTTCCTCTTTCCTCTCATGCCACATTTCCCTCACAAGCCGCCCGACTCGCTCGCTTTTCTCTCGCCAGAGGGACTGAAAACGTCATTAATACCAACTGCATACACAACTCCATTGCAGCTACTGCCATTCATGAACGTTCAAACTTTCGTCACCCTGTTTTCATATTTGTGTAACAAACGTCGAGTGAACGAACCTCCACCTCTTCCAAGAACCCACGCTGAGGAGGCTTCCCATAGACCCTGCTCTTACGAAGCCAACGACTTCTACAGGAAGAAAGAGGACCTGTAAGCTAGCGAGTGAACGACCCGCAAGATGGAAATGAGTGTGCTAATAGAGGTCTCCGCCTCCCGCTGAAGGAGCAGGGAAGTGACACCACCCCCGGGACCGCCAGCCTTCTACAACAACCACCATTTCTGAGGAACCACCTGATCAGTCTCAGTCACCCTTCAATCTGCCCCTTTGTCCCACTCAGTCCCCTCACTGTTCCTTTCTGGAACCTTCCTTCACCCAGCCCCACCACTGTTCTCCTTCCTCCCTCGCACCCTACTGCATTCTCCACCCTCCACCTCGAAGGCTCCCCTCCCAACTCCTCAGCGGGTCTCGCCTCCCCTCCCCACCTCTGTCCCCCAAGGGTCCCACTACCGGCCCGAGCTGCCCTCCCTTCCTCTCGGCTGGAGGCCCCCGCGCTCTCTGTGGTCAGCCCCTGCCGCCCCTCGGGCGGCGCTGCTCTAGCTCTGCAGCCTTCCCAGGATCCCGCGCCGCGCGGCCCCGCCCCCGCGGTCACCTGACCGAGCCCGACGCTCCGCCCACCGACCACCCCGAGCGGAGCGGGCCCAGGACCCTATCGGCTGTCGAGCCGGTGCTGCCGCGGCCACCGCCACCGCCCAGGGGCTCCGGGGCTGTGGGGAGCGGCTGAACTCAATACCGCCTCCGCGCTGACTGGAAGGCACTGCGGCCGCGCCTGCCTGCCCCACCTCGTAAGGGCCTGTGACCTCACGAGGCCAGCCGCCGGGCGCTGCATTCGAGCGGTGGGGCTCCTGTCCGTGCGCTTTCCTCCCGCAGCCCCGGCCGGGATTCCGCCCTCCGTCCTTGCCACCCGCTCGCCACTCTTCCCTAATCGCTGTTCATTCTCCGGTGCGCTGTCCCGCCATGGTCTGACCCCACTTCAATCTTACCTTCGGTCCGTCCTTTGAACACCCCGACCCCCGACCCCTTTCTTCCAAAACATTCCATCCTTCTTGGCTTCTGCTACTCAATAATGGACAGCAGCTCGAAGGCCATGTGTCCCACGGCTTTGCTGAAATTTGTCTCGGGTTGCCTTTAAGGAGACTGTCGTTTCCTTTTGAAAGAGATACTTTGGTTGGTTTGGTTTTCTTCTGTGTGTTTGTTTTTCCTATGTATTTATCGTATGCAGTTGGGCAAAATACTTAACGCTCCCTGAGTCTCGATTTTCTCATTCTTCCAGGGTTGTGGGAATTCAAAAATATATACGTAGTGCTCAATAAATGTTACAATATTTAATCCCTTCCGTGATACTACTGTGTTCATTTACATCTTAAACCTTGCTTTGTAGGCATTCTTTAATATTTTATTTAGATTTTTATTATTATTAAATATATGTACAAATCATAATTGTAAATATTTAATGGGGTACAATGTTATATTTTAATATATGTATACAATATGGAACGACTAAGTCAAGCTTAACATATCCATCACCTTGTTTAACGTTTTTTATGGTGAGACATTTGAAATTTACTCTTAGCAGTTTTGAGATATACGATATATTATTATTAGCTATAGTCACCACACTATGCAATAGATCTCAGAAACTTGCTGCTTTTGTCTGACTGAACCTTGTACCCTTTGAACAGCATCTCCCCATCCTGCATCTCCTACCCGCCCCGTCCCTTTCCAGCCTCTAACAACTATTCTACTGTCTACTTCTATGAGTTTGACTTTTTAAGATTCCACATATAAGTGAGATCATGTGGTATGTGTCTTTCTGTGCCTGGCTTTTTTCACTTAGTATGTCCTCCAAGTTGATTCATGTTGTCACAAATGACAGAAATTCTTTTTTAAGGCTGAATAGTATCCATTGCATATGTTGATTCATGTTGTCACAAATGACAGAAATTCTTTTTTAAGGCTGAATAGTATCCATTGCATATGTTTACTACATTTTCTTTATCCATTCATCCATCGATGGACACAGGTTGATTCCATTATCTCAGCGATTGTGCATAATGCTGAAATGAACATGGAAGTGCAAATAAGTCTTTGATATACTGATTTCAGTTACTCAATATATGCCCAGAAATAGCATCGCTGGATCATATGGTAGTTCTATTTTTAATTTTTTGGGAAACCTCCATATAGTTTTCCATAATGGCTGTAATAACACTAACAGTGTAAAAGGTTTCTCCACATCCTCAGCAACACATTTTTTTCATCATTTTGATAATAGCAATTCTTTTTTTTTTTTTTTTTTTTTTTTTTTGAGATTGAGTCACTCTGTTGCCCAGGCTGGAGTGCAGTGGCACAATCTCAAATCACTGCAACCTCCATTCCTGGGTTCAAGCAATCTTCCTGCCTCAGCCTCCCAAGTAGCTGGGATTACAAGCATGTGCCACCACACTTGGCTAATTTCTGTATTTTTAGTAGAGATGGCGTTTCACCATGTTGGCCAGGGTGGTCTCAAACGCCTGACCCTCAAGTAATCTGCCCACCTCAGCCTCCCAAAGTACTGAGATTACAGGTGTGAGCCACCACACCCAGCTTAATAGCCATGCTAACAGGTGTGAGGTGATATTGTAATCTTATTTTGCATTTCCCTAATAATAGTGATTTTTTTTTTCGCAAACCTGTTGGCCATTTGTATGTCTTCTTTTAAGAATGGCTGTGTCAGGCTGGGCATGGTGGCTCACACCCATAATCTCAGCACTTTGGGAGGCCAAGGTGGGAGGACCGCTTGAGCCCAAGAATCTGAGACCAGCCTGGGCAACATAGTGAAGCCTCATCTCTACAAAAAAAAATTTTTTTTAAAAGTCTATTCAGATTATTTGTCTATTTTTAAAATCAGGTTATTTGCTTTCTTGCTACTGAGTTTCTTGTATATCTTGGATATTAACCTCTTGTCAGATGTATAATTAGTAAATATTTTCTCCCATTCAGCAGGTTGTCTCTTCACTCTGTTAACTGTTTCCTTTGATGTGCAGAAGTTTTTAGTTTCATGTAATTCCATGTGTTTATTTTTTGTTTTCTCGCCTGTGTTCTTGAGGTCATGTCCAAAAAAATGCCCAGACCAATGTAGTGGAGCTTTCCGCCTGTTTTCTTCTAGTGGCTTTCTTCTATTTTTTCTTCTAGTAGCTTTCCCTCTATGTTTTCTTCTAGTAGTTCCAGTCTTACAGGTAAGTCTTTAATCCATTTTGACTTTTGTATACGGTGTGAGATAAGGGTCCAATTTCATTTTTCTACACATGGATATATGGTTTCCCAACAGTTTTTATCAAAGAGATTCCTTTCCCCATTGAGTGTTCTTGGCTCCTTATCAAAATTCAATTGTCTGTAAATTCTGGACTCTCTAGTATGTTCTATTGGCCAATGCATCTGTTTTTATGGAATACCATGCTGTTTTGATTACTGTAACTTTGTCGTTTATTTTAAAGTCAGGGACTGTGATGCCTTCAACTTTGTTTTTTTTTTGCTTTTTTTTTTTTGAGATGGATTCTGGCTCTGTCTCTCAGGCTGGAGTGCAGTGGCACAATCTCGGCTCACTGCAACCTCCACCTCCTGGGTTCAAGTGATTTTCCTGCCTTAGCCTCCCAAGTAGCTGGGACTAGAGGCGCGCACCACCACGCCTGGCTAATTTTTTTGTATTATTAGTAGAGACGGGGTTTTTTTTTTACCATGTTGGCCAGGCTGGTCTTGAACTCCTGATCTCATGATCTGCCCGCCTCGGCCTCCCAAAGTACTGGGATTACAGGCGTGAGCCACCACACCTGGCCCAACTTTGTTCTTTTTGCTCAAGATTGCTTTGGTTATTTGGGATCTTTTACGGTTCCATATGAATTTTAGGATTTTTTTATTTCCATGAAAAATAACTCTGGAATTTTGATAGGAATTGCATTGAATCTATAGATCACTTTGAGTAGCATGGGCATTTTAATTATATTAATTATTCCACTCCAAGAACATGGGATGTCTTTTCGTTTATTTGTGTTTTTTCCAATTTCTTTCATCAGTGTTTTTTAGTTTTTAGTATAAAGATCTTTCACTTTCTTGGTTAAATTTACACCTTTTTTGTTTCAGTTTTGGTTTTTGCTAATATAAGTAGAATTATTTTCTTAATTTCTTTTTTGGATTTGTTGTTGGCCTCTAGAAATGCTGCTGATTTTTGTGTGTTGACTGTGTACAGCAATTTTACTGACTTTATTAGTTCTAACAGTTTTTTGGTGGAGTCTTTTGGGTTTTCTATATATAAGATCATATTGTCAACAAAGAGAAAATTCCAATGCTTCCTTTCCTATTAAGATGCCTTTTATTTCTCTTGCTTAATTATTCTGACTAGAACTTCCAGTGCTATGTTGAAAAAAAAAAAAGCAGTAAGAGTGGGCATCCTTTTCTTGTTCCTGATCTTAAAGGAAATGCCTTCAACTTTTCACTGTTGAGAATGTTAGCTGTAGGCTTATCATATATGACCTTTATTGTGTTGAGGTACGTTCCTTCTATACCTAATTTGTTGAGAATTTTCATCATGAAAGGATGTTTAATTTCATCAAATGCTTTTTATGTATCTATTGAAATGATCATATGATTTTTGTTTATGTGGTGTATCACATTTATAGATTCCCATATGTTGAACCATACTTGCATCCCAGGGATAAATCCCACTAGATCATGGTGAATTATTCTTTGAATGTATTGTTGAAGTCAGTATGCTAGTATTTTGTTGAGGATTTTTGTATCTATACTCATTAGGGATATGACCTGTAATTCTTTAGTGCTTTTTAAATGTATATAGTTTATCTCCCCAAAGATTCTGAAATATCTGAGTGCTGAGACCATGTCTTTTATTTTTGTAAATACCCCTCAATCCACCCTCCATCACCCGCTTTCCCACTCCCCACGCCTGTTGTGTTTAAGGATGGTACCTCGGAGTACTGTTCAATCAGGCAAAGACTCTCTAAAGATTTTAAGAGTGGCTGGGTGCAGTGGTTCACGCCTGTAATCCCAACACTTTGAGAGGCCGAGGTGGGTGGATCACCTGAGGTCAGGAGTTGGAGACCAGCCTGGCCAACATGGTGAAACCTCATCTCTACAAAAATACAAAAAAATTAGCCGAGCGTGGTGGCGGGTGCCTGTAATCCCAGCTACTCAGGAGGCTGAGGCTGGAGAATTGCTTGAACCCGGGAGGCGGAGATTGCAGTGACCCAAGATCTCGCCACTGCACTCCAGCCTCGGTGACAGAGTAAGACTCCGTCTCAGAAAAAAGATTTTAAGAGTATGGCTCACAGGTCCTCTCATTCAAACAATAGGGCTTCTAAGAAACTTAAGGTCTTTGTCCTTCAGCAGAAGCCCAAGGTAGAAAAAGACATATCTCAAAGGTATTTGCTGCCATGGCTTTTGTCTCCTGGACTAAAACCCAGTAAGATTCACAGTAGATTCAAAAATTGTTTTAAGAGAATTGTATTGTCAGAAATACTGTCAGCTTGAGCTGAAAAAGAGTACAAAAAGGAAAGGGGCCTTTGGACCCTTTCTACAAACGCATTTCTACAAACAGGAAGCAGGCTAAGAAAACTATTTAGGTCCAAACACATCTCCCTTTCACACAAAAAAGGATGACTTAGAGGATAAAACCAAGAGCCCAGAAGGTGGAACCAAAAGCCATAGGGAGTTATTCCCAGGCTTTGAGTGTAGAACTGCAAACCTGTACTCAAATGGATTTCAGAATTGCTATGAACCAGTGACTTCTGTGCACCTTGGTTTCCACCTGTTGGAACAGGAGTGTCTATAGCAGTTATCTCCCTGCCCCTGCTGTTTTACATTGGTTGCTGTGGGGAAAGGAGCATATGACCTTTTTCTTTTTGTTCGCAGAACTTCAGATTGAAAAGCATGTACTTGAGTAGCTGTATTTAAGGAATTACACCCAAGAAGTCTCATCTTCCCTGGACTTACGTAGAGGATAAGATTCTGAACTTTGAATTGATGCTATAATGGGATAAGACTTTGGGGCCTTAGAAGGGGTAAGTTTATTTTGCATGTGGGAGAACTATAAATAATTTGTGACCAGAGGGTTGCCTGAGGTAGTCTTAAAATATGTCCACAAACACTTTGATATTTGTATTCATTTCCTATGCTGTGGTAACAAATTACCACAAACTTAGTGGCTTAAATAGCACAAATTTATCATCCCAAGTTTCTGGAGGCCAGAAGTACAAAATGAGCCTTACAGTGTTAAAATCAAAGGCTGCATTTCTTATTGAGGCCGTGGAAGAGAATCCATTCTTTGCCTTTTCCAACTTCTACGGGCTGTATACATTGCTTGACTTATGGCCATATCAGTCTGACCCACTTCCATTCACTCTCACTCTGGCCCCCCTAACTCCCTCTCTTTTTTTTTTTTTTTTTTTTTTTTGAGACAGAGTATTACTCTGTCATCCAGGCTGGAGTGCTGTGGCACAATCTCGGCTCACTGTAACCTTTGCCTCCTGGGTTCAAGCGATTCTTATGCCTTGGCCTCACAAGTAGTTGGGATTACAGGTGCGTGCCACCATGCCCAACTAATTTTTTTGTATTTTTAGTAGAGACAGGGTTTCGCCATGTTGGCCAGGCTGGTCTCAAACTCATGGCCTCAAGTGATCCAACCACCTCAGCCTCCCAAAGTCCTGGGATTACAGGCATGAGCCACTAAGCCCAGCCCTGACCCCCTCTTATAAGGACACTTGTGATTACATTGAGCCTCCCCAGATAATCCAGGATGATTGCCTCATCTAAAGATCATTAATTATGTCAACAAAGTTGTTTGTTCCACGTAAGGTAACATATTCACAGGTTCTGGAGATGGGGATGTGGCTGTCTTTGGGGGGCAATGATTCTGTACACAATGCTCCTCCCTTCAAGAGGTGGCATCTATTTCCCTCCTCTTGAATGTTAGCTGGATTTAGTGGGCTACTTCTAATGAATAGTGTATGGCAGAAATTATGGTGTAACACTTACAAAACTAAGTCATAAAAAAATTGTAGCTTCCTCCCTGTTCTCTCTTGGATTACTCCCGCTGGGAGAAACTAGCTGACATGTCATGCAGACACTCAAGCAGTCCTATAGAGATATCCAAGTGGTGAGGAACTAAGGTCTATTGCCAATAGCCAGCATGGAATTGATGCCTCCTGCCAACAGCCATGTGAGTAAGCCATCTTAGAAAAGGATTCTCCAGCCCTTTTTAGCCTTCAACCGACTACAGCCCTGGCCAACAGTTTGACTCCAACCTCATGAGAGTCTCTGAGCCAGAACCACCCAGCTAAGCCATTCCTAAATTCCTGACCACAGAAACAGCAAGATAATGTTTGTTGTTTTAAGCTACTAAATTGTGGAGTAATTTCTTATGCAGCAACAGATAACTAATACAATCCCCACTGGGTGTGGTGGCATGCACCTGTAGTCCCAGCTACGTGGGGAGGTTGAGGTGGGAGGATTGCTTGAACCCAGGAGTTCGAGTCCAACCTGGGCAACAAAGCAAGACCTTACCTCCTTAAAAAAATTTTAAAAATAAATAAAATAATACAATCCCCAAGGTCACATATTGAGCTATGAGGGCTACTTAACTTCTAGGTATTAACTCTGCATTCCCGCCTGCAAGATGAAGGAAATGGAGAAAAGTATGTTCCTTCCCTTAAACAGCATTTACTGGAAGTTGCATACACCTCTTTCATTTACATCTCATTGTCTATGAGATGGACATGGCACATGTAGCTACAAGATTTTTGCATGCTCTTTGTATCTAGCAACTTTACTAAATTTGCTTATTAGTAATAAAAGAATATTTATTCTGGGCAACCATGTGCCCAACTAAACAGCAGAAGTTCTAATATTATGTGAGAAGGAGAAAACATACTGGGCACAATCAGCAATCTCTGTCACAATGGTGAGTGTAAGGGTCAGGAAAGGCAAAGTCCAGCACACACCCATCAACATTTTTTTCCAATTTCTTAACGAAGTATTTCCATTGGCCACCAAAGCGATATTTACACATCATCACTGTGATCTCTCCAAAGAATCAAGCCAATTCTGTATGAGTCACTGGAAAATCCAATTACTATACTAAAATGAAATCAATTGTGAAACGTTTTCCTTACAAGTTCTTATTGGGGACACTGCTAAAGAATAATTTAAAATGGACATTTTGTTTAAAGGCTCCTAAATTTTCTAAATGGTGCTTTCTGTGAGCAATCTTTGATGTGTCAGAAAATATACAGCTGATGAAAGTGTTTCCTTTATGCAAGGAGTTGGAGGGGCTTCATTATAACATTAGCAGCCTCAAGGAAGGCAGTCATGTTCCTGACCTCTTCATTTTCTTTTCACATACAAACCATTCTTAGGTAGCCACATTAAGTGGATTTTTAAATTTTTATGTAATGATATACTTAACCCTAATCACAAGCTTCTAAGACTGCCTCCTTGCATGTTTTAACCAAACTAAAACAAATTAGGAATATATACTTCCATAAATATATTGTATTATAAAACCAATTAGAAATGATTTTTAAATGGCTTATTTGCAGAGCATACGTTATGGTTCCATTATACTGTGAAAACTGAGTAATTCCCAGGCAATCTGCTTGTAATTGGTCCCAGTGGCCATTAGATGGCTCTGTTACTGTAGAGTTTGGACTACCGAAGCCAAGCGTTAAAGGATTACAAATGTGGCTTGACATATAGCTTTTCATCTCATTTTACATAAGATCCTCTATTTTCATCCAGACATTTAGTCAGCAGTTACCAAGACGTAAATAAAACATAGTGAATCTCACAAGATTTCACCATAAAAGGTCTCAGTCTATGTTCACGTAATCTCTTAATGATGTCATGTATTGTATTATGCTCAAAAAATGTACATTATGTTAGGAATTTAAGACTCAGGCCAGGCACCGTAGCTCACACTTGTAATTCCAGTACTTTAGGAGGTAAAGGTGGAAGGATTGCTTGAGCCCAGGAGTTTGAGACCAGCCGGGGCAATATAGTGAGACCTCATCTCTACAAAAAAATATGTATTTAATTAGCCGAGTATGGTGGCATGTGTCTGTAGTCCCAACGCTTTGGAAGGCCAAGGCAGGAGAATCCCTTGAGCTTGGGAGGTCAAGGCTGCAGTGGCCATGATGATGCCACTGCATTCTGGCAACAAAATGAGATCCCGTCTGAAAAAAAAAAAAAGGACTTAAAGACAAAGATTATGTTATCAGTGTTCTGTAAGGTACTTCAGTCCCACACTGTTGGTGTTCAATAAATTTTAAACAGCCTTTTGGCTGTAAAGTAAAAAATTCTAAGTATTATTCTAGCATCCTATAGGATGATAATGTTAATAATTAAGATTTTGATCCTATCTCCTGTGAATAAATTCTGTAAGAATATTTCCTTGCTTGTGTCTTAGTACACATAAAAAGTATCCTGTTAGTTTTTCCCCAGGATTCTATTCTTCCAGTTTTTCATGGGAATTTGTGGTCATGAGTGAAAGCAAGATACCCAAGATCATTTAACCTGGAAAATAGGTCAAAGTAGATTTTCATTTTGTGTGGGTGGATATTTCATCTTCTGAGTATGTCAGGCAAGGTTTGCTATTAACTGTATATAGTAACTAAGCTGCCTTACTATAAAGTTCTTTCTAGGCAAGAAGGCTAAATATGTGATTCCTTAAATCAGTTGTTCTTAAACTTGAGCATGAATTAGAATCACCAGGGAGGCTTCTTAAAACAGATCATGGGTCCCCACTCCCAGATTTTCTGATTCAGCAGCTGTGGGGTGGGGCCTGTCAATTTTCATTTCTAACAAGTTTCCAGCTGATATTGATGTTGCTGGTCTTGGGACCACACTTTGACACCCACTGCCTTAAATAAAATTTAGGCATTTAAATGGTCCTGTAAATAATTTGCCATTAAGCTATTATTTTATCCATTTATGCTTCCTACAAACAAAATCTAGGCTACACTGGCAGTCTGTTCTTTTGAGGTTGCACAAGTTCCTAAATAATACCCAATTAAAAAAAAAAAACCGCAAACTCTTAGAACAGTAATAACCTACTCATTTAAAAAATATTAAGTCTAAAGAGGGCCGGGCCTGGTGGCTCACACCTGTAATTCCAGCATTTTGGGAAGCCGAGGCCGGCGGATCAGTTGAGGTCAGGAGTTTGTGACCAGCCTGGCCAACATGGTGAAACCCTGTCTCTACTAAAAATACAAAAATTAGCCGGATGTGATGATGCACACCTGTAATCCCAGCTACTCAGGAGGCTGAGGCAGGAGAATTGCTTGAGCCCCGGAGGCAGATGTTGTAGTGAGCAGGGATCACACCACTGCACTCCAGCCTGGGCAACAGAGAGAGACTCCATCTCAAAAATAAATAAAAATACAAAAATTTGCCAGGTATGGTGGTGGGCGCCTGTAATCCCAGCCACTCGGGAGGCTGAGGCAGGAGAATCTCCTGAGCCCAGGAAGCAGAGGTTGCAATGAGCCGAGATCGCGCTCACTTCACTCCAGCCTGGGCAACAGAGCGAGACTCCATCTCAACAACAACAACAAAAAAATCTAAAGAGAAGCTCTGGATTCTGAAGCTAGCTTCAGTACCCATAGTAGTCATCATTCTGTTACATTTGGAAACATGCTTGTTCTAAAATAATCATTTCTGAGTCAATGACACCTATTCTTTTCATCCAAAGGAAACAGAAATAACAACACAGGAAGCACTGAGCAGCCTTAGGCCAATTCTTTTTGGAAAGTACATTTAATTTACTGTTGCACAAACCCAAACAGAGAAGGTGGTTAGGAAGTGAGGAAGGCACTTAAGAAATTTCAACCACAGCCGGGGGCAGTGGCTCACGCCTGTAATCCCAGCACTTTGGGAGGCCGAGGCGGGAGGATCACGAGGTCAGGAGATCGAGACCTTCCTGGCTAACACCGTGAAACCCCGTCTCTACTAAAAATACAAAAAGAAATTAGCCGGGCGTGGTGGCAGGTGCCTGTAATCCCAGCTACTCGGGAGGCTGAGGCAGGAGAATGGCGTGAACCCGGGAGGCGAAGCTTGCAGTGAGCAGAGATCGTGCCACTGCACTCCAGCCTGGGTGATAGAGCAAGACTCTGTCTCAAAAAAAAAAAAAAAAAGAAAAGAAATTTCAACCAGGAATACTTAACAAAGAAAAAGAGGCCTTTGGACCCCATTAAAATCATGGATGACTGGCCGGGCACAGTGCTTCACACTTGTAATCCCAGCACTGTGGGAGGCCGAGGAAGGTGGATCGCCTAAGGTCAGGAGTTCGAGACCAGCCTGGCCAACATGGTGAAACCCCGTCTCTACTAAAAATACAAAAATTAGCCGGGTGTGGTGGCGGGTGCCTGTAATCCCGGCTACTGGGGAGGCTGAGGCAGGAGAATGGCTTGAACCTGAGAGGCAGAGATTGCAGTGAACTGAGATCTTGCCATTGCATTCCAGCTTGGGCAACAAGAGTGAGGCTTTGTCTCAAATTAAAAAAAAAATCATGGATGACCTGGGAATCTCAGAGAAGTAAAGAACTGACTCCTAATATGGCAACTTGTCAGGAATATTCAAAGTTTTCCGTTATTGTCCACAGATCCTGAGACTGGACATAAATTTTCTCCAAAAGAGCTAGACACAATCCCTTTGTGCCGTGTTATCTGATGCCAGAACACTGTTTAGCTGTTCACCCCACAGGCCAAAACTGCTATTTGCTACCTCATGAATGCAGCTACAGGTTATCCCCACATATTGACAAATAATATTGGTCTTCAAGACCTGTGAACTTCATTCCAGTAGCTCAGACAAGATTCCTGATTTGATTCACCTGTTAAATACATTTTCTTCCCCCTTTGATACAGTTTCTTCATATAAAACATCTTATCTAAAGAAAATGTCCCATTAACACTCTCATGGACTCTGTCTTAGTAACTGAAGATTATAATCACAGGCGTGAGCCACCACACCTGTCTTAGTAGCTGAAGGTTATAATTACAGGCATGAGCTTCCACACCTGTTCCCTGCCACTATTTCTAAGGACTTCTTGGATCCATGACTATCCCTCCCCGCCCCCTATTTATCCCTCTACCATACTGCCATTCCCTACAGTAAGGAGTAATCCATGGGTGAGACAGGGCTCAGTCATTGCCCCATATCTAATTCCAAGGCTTATTCTCAATGTTAACACAATAATACAGAATAGATATTTCAGCTACTTATGGATTCCTCTTCCCTAATATGTGGATGCAAATGTGTGCAAAGTGAAGAAAGAAATAATAACTAAATGAAGCTTAAGTGCTACATCAGGAGAGACGTAACTATTAACAAATGTTGGAAAACGGGTTTGGAGAGAGGATAGAATGAGACTTTCATTGAGAAAGGTGATATGGAATGACATCTGCTCTTGCCAAAGCCAGGTCTCTCAGATCTCCCAACTAAAAACACAAACAGTATCAATATCCCAGAGAATCTTAACCGCACATTTGATGACACAGTAAGTCCCAGCATCTTAGAATGTTGATACTGAAAGAGACCTTCAAGACTGGCTGCTAAAATCCCATCATTTCTCAAACTAGAAAACAGCTTTAAGAAGAAGAAAGTGACTTGCCTTAATTAAAGATTATTTAGCTGTAACACTGAGGCCAGAGCTCCAGTTTTCTGCTCATGGAACAAATGTTGATAAGTCTTTCTTTTTTTCTTGGGCATTTGGGGGTGGCTTTTAATGTTGGATGTATGTCAACACCAATGGAGCCACTGCTTTTCTGGGACAAAAGAACAGTCCCTCTTCCTCAGGAAAGGTCCAATGTGTCCACACATCTATCCCCATAGCCTTCTATCATGAGAGAGCCCCTCACAGATCCAGCCACTGGCCAGTGACTTGCTGTGAATGATGCCAAGTGGGAGTGTCTGTACCCTGCCCAAGTCTGTGTGGTTTCCTATGCTCTCCTTCTTTGCCATCACATAAATTTACAAATATAATGCAAGCATGTTTATATACATGTTCTTTTAAGTTAAGAAAACCTCATCATGAGAAAAATAAAATAAAATTGCACTGTGGCCTCTCAGATTAAAGACTGAGTTAAAATGAGGTTGTCCAACCCATAGAAGAACAGGCCACACGTGCTGATACAACTGACCCATCATTCCATCCTGGCACTTATTCCCAGCCAACTCATGGGAATAATTCCTTCACAAGGCAGCCAAGAGGTAGAAGGTAAATACAATCAGCCCCATGGATGGATACAGCACACCAAGGCACAGGGCCAGGTATGTGGAGGTGCTATGGATGAGGGACAGGAGGCCGGAAGCATAGGGCCAGACCTCTGGCTCTACAATAGCACTCTCTCCCTTTGAGGAAAAGCATTTGGTCATGAGAGACATCCCCAGCTCATAGCAAATGTCTACAGCAGTGAGGGTGTGGAATTAGGAGGTAAAGAGATGGTGCTGGCCTAAGGGTGACACACTTCTTCTAAACAAACCTCCAGAGTAGAGCTGCCAATAAGGCAAATCTGAAGGGTTGTGATTATGAACTGGGAGATGCTGGTACATCCCCCAGGCCATGAATGACCCCTGAGTGGCCCAGACATCCTCACTCCCAACAGGTCAAAGAATTAGCTTGCAAGGACTTCCCTTGCGAGAGAACCATAGCTGGGTTGAGGGGATGGCAAAAGGCACAGGCAGCTCTAATAGTTCAGCTCTCCCTGACTCCTCCTTCGGCCTGAGGGAGGGGAAAGGAGGCAGAGGTACAGATGACCCGGGCTGCCAAGCCCAGCAGTTCCTACCATAGCTGCTGAGAGTCAGGCCTGAGAACCATAAATTTATGAACTCAGGGTAGAGCCAAGGCTTGGTGTCCCTTCCTCTGGAATGAGAGGCCTCAGCCCTGCCCTTCTCTTCAGGGACAATGGCCTGATGAGGAAAGCTGGCTTCTCACTGAGGTAATGAAGAACACCTGCTCAGCTCCATAGTCACCCTCAAGCTAAGCAGGAAGAATCCCTGCAGGAGGCATTCTGGGACAAAGGCTAAGGAGCTCAGCTTATCAGGACACATCACAATTTTAAATTACACACTCCCACACACAACACACACACATAAACACACAGACCCCCACATACACACACACAGACCCACACTTCCACATACTGACATTCTCCCAACCTACCCCACTCTGAGCCCCAAATCCCTCCCCACAAATACTGTCCTCTGTAAACATGATGGCAGGGACTCCTGCAATCGTGGCACAGGCTGATAATGATCTGAGGATGACTGCTTATCATTAAGTGCCCCGGTACGTGATATTGGTGAAGGTAGACGTGGCCTCTTTATACAGTGGGTTGTTGGCCTGTGGAGGAAACAGAATAGCATCTTACAGTGACTTCCTTAAGTCCTTCCCTACCCTGAATGTTTAAAATTCATCTCAGAAGTTTTCCCAAGGCACCGTTCTCTGGAATACATCATCAATGAAACAGAATAATGTTCATTTTGCTCACACTTTAGTTCTTGGCATGGGAATTGATAGGAAATAACAGGAGGAGATGAGGTAGAATGCCATCCTGCCACCGTTTCTTTTTTTTTTTTTTTTTTTCAGACAGGGTCTCATTTTGTTGCCCAGGCTGGAGTGCAGTGGCACAATCTCGGCTTACTGAAACCTCCACCTCCCCTGACTCAAGACATCCTCCCACCTCAGCCTCCCAAGTAGCTGGGACTACAGGCACACACCACCATGTCTGGCTAATTTTTGCATTTTTTTGTAGAGATGGGGTTTCTTCATGTTGCCCAGGCTGGTCTCAAACTCCTGAGCTCAAGCGATCCACCTGCCTCAGCCTCCCAAAGTGCTGGAATTACAGGCATGAGCCACCACACCTGTTCCCTGCCACTATTTCTAAGGAGCTATATTCAGCCTATCACTCTTCAGTGATTCCACAGCATTCGGGGATAGAACCTCTCCTATTTCACCCCTGTGTCCCCGTCTCTTTTGCCCTTCTCCTATTTTCCATTCCCTGTGACAGTGATAGGAGATGTGGACAAGGGACAGAAATGTATCAGGTGCAATTCAGAACACAGAGGAAAGCTTTTGCTCAAATAATTATTAATTTGTTTTCATCTAATCTGGCCAAGCACTAACCATGGCCAGGCATGGTGGTTTATGCCTATAATCCCAGCACTTTTAGGGGCCAAGGTAGGAAGATCACTTGAGCCCAGGAGTTCTAGACCAGCCTGGGTAACAGAGTGAGACCCTGTCTCTACAAGGGAAAAAAATACAAAAATTAGCTGGCTCGGTGATGTGTGCCTGTAGTCCTGGCTACTTGGGAGGGTGAGGTGGGAGGATCACTTGAGCCCAGGAGATGGAGGCTGCATTGAGCCATGATGGCACCACTGCACTCCAGCATGGGTGACAGAGCGAGACCCTGTCTCAAAAAAAGAAGGAAGGAGGGAAGGGAAGGGAAAGAAAAGGAGAGGAGGGGAGGAAGGGAAGGGGAGGGGAGGAAGCGTAAAAGGAAGGGGAGGGGAGGAGAGGGGAGGGGAGGGGAGGGAATGGGAGAGGAGGGGAGAGAAAGAGAAAGCACTATCCACAAACTGTCATGTTATCAGGAAAAAGTAAGACCCTCACTAGGTTTCCCAAACTATTTTCCAACAGAAAGTAACAAATCCTATAATGGTAGCTTCAAGAAACACATTCTTAGCCAGGCGCAGTGGCTCACGCCTGGAATCCTAGCACTTTGGGAGGCCGAGGCGGGTGATCACGAGGTCAGGAGTTCGAGACCAGCCTGGCCAACATGGTGAAACCCCGTCGCTACTAAAAATACAAAAAATAGCTGGGCACAGTGGCTGGCGCCTGTAATCCAGTTACTTGGGAGGCTGAGGCAGGAGAATCACTTGAACCTGAGAGGCCAAGGTTGCAGTGAGCCAAGATCGCTACACTCAAGCCTGGGTGACAGAGCAAGACTCTGTCTCCAAAAAAAAAGAGAAAGAAACACATTCCTGTGGGCCTCATAGGTACAGGATGTTCCACACTGTTCTAACAGAAACATCTCAGTTTCTTGGGACCCTTGAGTATAAAGCTCTGGGGTCAACATCAAATGGGAACAAACTTGCAGCCTAACTCTGGACATTTGGGGAGTCAAATAGCCATTTGGAGGGTCGAGGAAAAAAGTTGAAATGTGAAAGAAGAGCCAAAAGAGAATAGAGTAAGATTAAGTATATAGAAAGTTCTCAGTAAATGCTTATTTAATTGGAATAAATCAGGATAAAAGAGTAGAGTCTGATTTGGAAGTAACCTTTTATTTTATTTTATTATTATTATTATTATTATTATTATTTTTGAGACCGAGTCCTGCTCTGTCACCCAGAGCAGGGTGCAATCTCAGCTCACTACAACCTCTACCTACTGGGTTCAAGCAATCCTCCTGCTTCAGCCTCCCGAATAGCTGGGATTACAGGCATGCACCACCACACCCGGCTAATTTTTATATTATTAATAGAGACGGGGTTTCACCATGTTGCCCAGGCTGGTCTCGAACTCTTGAGCTCAAGTGATCTGCCCACCTTGGCCTCTCAAAGTGCTGGGATTACAGGCACGCGCCACCAGGCCCAGCCTGGAAGTAACCATTTATTTGAGGAGAAAGAAGAGAATGAGATGGAATGACATCCTGCCACTATTTCTAAGAGGCTGAAGGAAGCTGAAGGACAAGGGGATAGTGAGACCATCTCTCCCAGTTTCCAGAACAGAGGATAATGGAAAGACGATGGTACTGGCTGAACATGACCACCCAAAGCATCTGCTGCTTCCACTTAAGAGTCTCAGACCAATGACTTTAGAAAACGCCCAGCCCCGTCTCTTACTGTGTCCCATTTTGCTCTGGCGCGTTCTTCCTCAAATTTAGCGAATTCTTTTCGGTCGTGGATGGTGATGAGGAGTTTCCAGATGAGCAGGGCGGCAAGGCCAATGAGCAGAATGGCCCCCATCACTGAGAGCAGGACCACCAGGATGTCAGGGCCCTTGGGACACTCTGTGAGGAAGAAGCACAGAGCAGGGCGGTTGTGAATGAAGCAGGAGTCACTTGAACTGGCTATGAAAAAGGTGTTCTTGACAAAGTAACTAAGGTCCTTGAAGGAAATAGGACAGTTTTCAAAAATTAATTTTTTTAAGGAGACAATCATTAGGACAGCAATAATCTGCACTGAGTGGCTCAAATCAGAAGTCTAGACCTGGTAACCCCTAGACAGAACCCAGCCACACCTTTGTGTGGGGGTTCACCCAAGTGTTTATTTTAAAAATTAAACACAAAGAAGAGAACACCAGACACTGGGACCTACTTGAGGGTGGAGACGGGGAGGAGGTGGGGATCGAAAAACTACCTATGAGTCACTATGCTTATTACCTGGGTGATGAAATAATAGGTACACCAGACCCCCATGACTCACAGTTTATCTACGGAACAAACCCACACATGTACCCCTAAAGCAAAAATAAAAGTTTTTTAAAAAATTAAAAATAAAAAGCCGAGTGTGGTGGCTCACACCTGTAATCCCAGCACTTTGGGAGGCCAAGGTGGGCAGAGCACCTGAGGTCAGGAGTTTGAGACCAGCCTGGCCAACATGGTGAAACCCCATCTCTACTAAAACTACAAAAATTAGCCTAGCATGGTGGCGAGCACCTGTAATCCCAGCTACTTGGGAGGCTGAAGCACAGAATCACTTGAACCTGGGAGGTAGAGGTTGCAGTGAACCGAGATCACACCATTACACTCCAGCCTGGGTAACAGAGCAAAACTCCATCTCAAAATAAATAAATAAATAAATAAATGAATAAGAAATAAAAAATTGACTTTATTGGCAATATTGAATAATCAGGAGATTCTCCCCCTAAAATTTCATATTAGTCTCTTTAAAAAGAAAATCCAGGCCAGGCCCAGTGGCTCATGCCTATAATGCCAGCACTTGGGAGGCCGAGGCAGGAGGACAGCTTGAGTCCAGAAGTTCAAGACCAGCCTGGGCAACATAGTGAGGCTCTGCCTCTACAAAATTGTCTTTTTTAATTAGCCAGGCATTGTGGCATATGCCTGTAGTCCCAGCTACTCAGGATGCTGAGGTGGGAGGATCGTTTGAGCCTGGGAGGTCAAGGTCATAGTGAGCCATGATCGTGCCACTGCTCTCCAGCCTGGATGACAGAGGGAGAGACTATCTCAAAAGAAAGAAAGAGAGAAATACAGAAAGAGAGAGATTCTTATATTCCTGCAGAGCAGCAGTTAGCTAGAGCTGAGGAGGAGCTGCTCCTTTTAGTTGGAACTCATGTTTTCTAGTTTACCAGAATCCCCACCACTCTCCCTTCTCTCTCCTAGAGGAAGGCAGTGTGACTTGTTGGTGTGTCTGCGCTCCTGTGGATGTTACAGCCAGACTCCCTGGGTTTGAATCCTGACTTATCACTTAACTTTTATACATGATCTTTGGAAAATTACTTAACCTTTCTGAATGTCTGTTTCCTGTTTCTCCATCTTTAAAATGAAGATAGTAATAGCACTGACTTTAAAAGAAACTTGTTATGAGGAATGATTAAATTAAATATATCTTAAAAACTCAGAACAATGCCTGGCACAGAGTAAGTGCTCAGTAAATATCAGCTACCGTTGTAACGGATCTTCTTACACCCAGCTGTTTTCACTAACTTATTTGCTTCCTTAGCCACTGTAAGTATTTGTGTCTGTTATCCTGGTTCAGATATTTACATTCCTGAGGGCTGTGAACCTAATGACATTTTTTGCATTCTTAGAGACCAGGACCTGCCAGCCAAGACAATATTTTGGGTTCTTTCCCAAAATACTTAGTCATCTAAAATCATAACCCTATTGAAAGCTGCCTTCCTGTTCAACCCCAGTCAACAACTAAAACAGAGGCATGTCACCCCTCTGGGGGTCAGGCTGAGTATACTCTGCAGAGCTCTGCTTCCCACAAATGTCAGGTATCTAATAGGTGATCTTATTCCAGTAACCTCAAGTGTTATGAAACCAGGTGTTTATATATGAGGGTGCTAATGAGCCTGGAGAGGAAGTCACACCCACTTTCCACACTGTCTCCCACCTTCTTCGCCAAACATATACCCAATGCTCACCACACACACCACAAAAACAACCACCACCATAACTCAAGCTGGCTATCTCCCAACCCGCCAAATTACAACCTGTCTATAATTAAATGAGTGCCTGGAG
Source organism: Homo sapiens (assembly GCF_000001405.40). Taxonomy (NCBI): domain Eukaryota; kingdom Metazoa; phylum Chordata; class Mammalia; order Primates; family Hominidae; genus Homo; species Homo sapiens. The sequence continues at coordinate 47,305,274 of NC_000017.11, read as the reverse complement.
AGAGGCTGTGAGGTTCCAGTGTTCAAGTTCCCAAGAGTGAAGGGCCCCAGTTCTGGGAAAAACAATTATGGATTCTCTGGAAGATTTGGGTAGGGCTGACCCTCAATTATCAAAGTAAAATCTCTTTAATTCTGCACATTAGTATGGGCAGGGCAGGTAGGGTGCCAGGAGGTCTTTAGGGGAAAACAATCTGTTAACCATGTGTCCTGAAAGGAGTTTGGGGTGGGTTTCCTGGAAGCAGAAGGCAAGATCAGGTGACCTCTGGAGGGCCCTTCCAGCCACAGCGGTGGACCAATGGCAAATGACCCAAGGTCAGAGAAGTCTGGGTAGGGTTGGCAGATTCAGCAAACAAAAACACAGGATGCTTGGCCAGGTGCAGTGGCTCACACCTGGAATCCCAGCACTTCAGGAGGCCAAGGCAGCCAGATCACTTGAAGTCAGGAGTTCAAGACCAGCCTGGCCAACATGGTGAAACCCTGTCTCTACTAAAAATACAAAAGTTAGTCAGGTGTGGTGGTGGGCGCCTGTAATCCCAGCTACTCAGGAGGCTGAGGCAGGAGAATTGCTTGAACCTGGGAGGCAGAGATTGCAGTGAGCCAAGATCACGCCGCTGTACTCCACCCTGGGCAACAGAGCAAGACTCTGTCTCAAAACAAAAACAAAAACAAAAACAAAAACAAAACAAAAAAAGCAGGAAGCCAAGACAAATCTGAATTTCAGATAAATGATTATTTTTTACTATCATTGTGTACCAAATACTGCATGGGACCTAGTGTATTTTATTTGGTAACCCCATCTGGGAGTGATAAGAGCCCAGCTCAAGAGCCCATTCCATGTGGTTAAATTCCATTTGGCCAATGCCAAAACTTTTGGCAGTGTTGTCTTTACTGCCCTATAGTGGCTTAGCCCTTCAAAGAGAGCATCTGCAAGAGCATGAGTTGGGGAAGAGAAAGAGAATCATCTCCCCCACTGTCTGAGGCCCCAGCTGCAACATTCTACTCAAAGCCAGGAAATGATTGGAGCTGGGAGATGAGCAGGGAGGCGGAGCCTAGAATTCCAGAGCAACAACATAGGAAATGTTGGCCCTGTGTGTTGGCTCACACCTGTAATCCCAACACTTTGCGGGGGGCTGAGGCGGGGGGATCACTTGAGTCCCAGAGTTTTGAGACTAGCCAGGGCAACATAGTGAGACTTCATCTCTACAAAAAAATAAAAATTAAAAAGTAGCCAGGTGTGGTAGTGTACGCCTGTAGTCCCAGGGAGGCTGGGATGGGAGGATTGTGTGAGCCGAAGAGGTTGAGACTGCAGTGAGCCAAGGTCGCACCACTGCACCCCAACCTGGGCAACAAAATGAGACCCTATCTCAAAAAAAAAGATAGGAAACGTGGGTCTATGGATCTGGGGTCTGTTCTCCTAATGTGGGGGAAGGGGTCTACTGGCAGTGAATACTCAAAAATGTTTTCTAATAATTCATCTTAACCTGTTGTTTAAGGAGAACAAAGGCCATGAAGGTGTTAAAGGGAAGCAAGCGATCGACAGCATTGGTTGGTGACAAACCTGTGGCTGGTCTGTGTATGATGGGATGGATTCCTCCTGCTCCCAGAAGGCACTGTACTTTCAGTGTTCAGGGCAGCCTTGCCTTAGTGCCTCAAACCTATCCCTACATCCTGCAGTAAACTTGGAAAGGTAACACCTCTAACCATCAGGCCTTCCTCTGAAGCACAGTCAAGTTGCTCTTGGCAACCATCTCAATTTTAATAGTGCAGATGCCATGTGCTGTAAAGTCCTAAAATTTAAATTCTTTATTTCTTGACATCATTGCCTCAAAAAAATGCGTGATATATTTTGTCCATTAATGAGATCCATATCTATCTTCTTCTCCTTACCTGCTTTCTGATTTTCCTGTCTCCTCAATTAACAAGTCACTTTCTTGATAATATTTGTATTTATAAATGCCCTTCACCCAGATGACGGTCCCTAACTTATCGTTTTTTTTTGTTGTTGTTGTTGTTTGTTTGTTTTTTTGAGACAGAGTCTCACTCTGTTGCCCAAGCTGGAGTGCAGTGGCGCGATCTCAGCTCACTGCAACCTGTGCCTCCCGGGTTCAAGTGAGTCTCCTGCCTCAGCCTCCCAAGGAGCTGGAATTACAGGCATGCACCACCATGCCCGGCTAATGTTTTTGTATTTTTAGTAGAGACAGGGTTTCACCATGTTGGCCAGGCTGGTATTGAACTCCTGACCCCAGACGATCCACCCACCATGGCCTTCCAAACTGCTGGGATTACAGGTGTTAACCACCACACCTGGCCCCTAACTTATCACTTGCAGGCTTAACCTGTTTTGCTTAACAGCTTCGATGAGTAGAGATTCCTGCCTAACATGGTTCTCCCTCTCCCTCCTGGGGCAGGGCCGGGAGCCGTCAGGGTTCACTCACCTGGCTCTTCTACCACATACAGGATGGACTTTCCACTAGAATCTTCATAGTACTGGAATCTGACGACACAGTCATCCTCATTCTTATAGGTACAATTCACTGCATCCTTGCCAGTGTCCTCTGGGAGTAGGGAAAATGGAGGAATAAAAAGTGAGACAACTACTGGAAGATGGGACCACTCCAAACCCCTATCACAGGACTTCCAGGGAAGTATGTGACAGGAAACCCTGTGCCTCATGTGCACGATGCCTAGATTCAAGGTGGCTGTTGTGTCTGGCAGTTGCCACTCACTGACACTCACTGATGTATTTTGTACTGCATAGGCCCTTTTTGGTTCCTAATCCTTCCTCTGAAAGGGACATGATATAACAGTATTACACAATTTAATTCAAATCCTGGCTTCACTACCTACCCGTTGTGTGATCTTGGGTAAGTTACCTGACCTCATCAAGTCTTTCTTCATCTATAAAAAGAAAATGATACCCCCACCTCACAAGGTCGGTGAACTAAACAGCATAAAGTGAACAGTGCCTAACATATAGTAGGTGTACTCTTCCCTCTCTTTCCTTTCTCTGCTTGCTTAGTGATTCTTAATAGTTTGCTTATGCAGCTGTTCTATTTCTTCCATTTCTGTTTCTGATCCAGTATACCTCCCCAGAGCTATCCTCTCTTCTCTGACTCCCACCGTGTTTTGTAGACTTCATCTCTTCTAATTCTAAAGTTTGTTATTCTGCAAAGATACTAGGGGTTACCCTCCACTAGCTGCACTGTGCCCCATACTGATGAAACCAGATGAGTAAAACTGACACATGATGAAATTAAGCAAATGTACCCAGGTCACACAGCAAATGAGTGATGAAGCAGAACAAGAACAGGAGTCTCAAAGCACATCTTGCAGACTTGAACTCAACAACCCTTCAGAAAACCAGTGGTATTATAATACAGGGAAAAGAGTACGGATTTCAGGACCTAGTTCTTATCTTAATTTGCCATTCCCTTGCTTGGGCCAGTTACTTAACTTTCCTGAGACTCAAAATGAAGATGAGAATAGTACTGTAGTTCTACTTCACTAGGCTATTGACAGAAAAATAAGATAATGTATATGAAAGATACTTTATAACTTTTACAAGCTATAAAATTCCCTATAAATAAGCATTTATTTTAATATGCTTATTTCCACACTCTTTTCCCTGTACTATAATACCACAGGTAGAGGGGAGGTGGAGGTACAGAACTGCTTATCAATTAGCCTGTAATACCCACCTAGTGTAGATGGTAAAAATAATATCTCAGCAGCCTCTCCTCTCTGAACTAATCATAGCAAGCCTAATCTCCTCCAGAGGAAAAACTGTTTCTTCAAACTCAATCCCCAAATCGCTAACCTCACCCCAGCCCTACTTCTGATATTAGCCAAAAGGCCCAGAGAGCTGACTCTTTTCTATAACACGCCCACCAGGAAGCTGACTGGCTGGCTGTGTCTTACTGTGGCTCTCTCTGAAATGTGTTTCTGCCTTCATGGGAGATTGCTATCTATGGAGAGATTGCCATCTCTCTAGTACTAGAGTACCATCTCAATGCCTCGCTGGCCCACATAACTATATCAGATGTGATGACAGCAGCAAAGATCATCTCCTTTTAAGTTAAGATGAAGGACAGAGAATACTTCAAGAATAATTGCAGGCAAGATTTTTTTTCTCCCTATTGTTTGTATTTCTGTCTGTCTTATTTCAAAAGGGGCCCCAGAGAGGCAGAAGGACTTCAGATAAAGCTTTTGGTTGCCTATCCATAAGGTTGAAGGTTTCCCTCCAAACTGCAAAGCTTTAAGCAAAATCTTGGGCACTGCATAACACTTTTAGTTAAGTAAACTTGGTAAACGCTTACTAGCCTACTGAGCTAAGATGATGACTATCACAGGCAACCACTTCCCAGCTCTGTGCCTCAGTTTTTTCATCTGTAAAATGGGATACATTCTCTTCCCTTCCTTAGGGAGGCACTTGCTCCCTTTGCTTTGCAGGCTCTTGCTGAGTCTGTGGGCTCTGGGAAGCAGAAGTGGTGGATGGCTGCACACACTAGTAAGAGAGGAGGACAACTCTCAGAGACACCAGCTCACATCAAGTGTCCATTGTTCCTCAAGCCTGCACAACATTCCCTGAGGTAGAAGTCACGCTTCCATTTTACAGGTGGGAGTTGGATAGGTTCTGGGATTGAATTAGAAACATTTAGAACCTGGGTGTGTGCAACTCTAAGATGTGCTGAACTTACTAAGCTCTTTCACTGACTCAATCTCGTCACGGCAGTAACGGTTGCAGGTATTTTCGTCATGTAGGGCTCCCCGGTCAAACTTCTTACACTCCACACATTCTCTGAAGGAGAGAGGACACAGTGATTAAGGCAAAGAAGGAGCAAGCCTAAGCGTATCCCAGTCCAGCTCTGATCTCCATGCATTCAGAAAGCTGCTCCACCTCCATTAAAACACACACACACACACACACACGCGCGCGCGCGCCTGTAAGACAATCCTGGGGACCTGAATGGCAAGTGTGGAGTTCAGGGGTGGGAGTGTCCCCCTCACCTGTAGGCAGCACCTGGCAGCCAGAAGCCTCCCAGGTCCTTCATTAAACTTCCCGTCCCATCCAGGGCTGTGCCAGGATGGTGAACCCTATGCCATTTCTGAGAACTATAAAGTCAGAACCAGTCATGTCATTTGGGGGCCCAGTGCAAAATGAAAATGTCAGCTCCCTTGTTCAAAGATTACTAAGAATGTCAAGACAGTGATGGCAGAGCATTAAAACAAGCATGAGGCCCTTGTAGGCACAGGGCCCTATACAGCTGCATAGGTTGCACACTCGTAAATCTGGCCCTGCTTAAAGTGGTAAGCAGAATGGCAGTGCCATGGACTCAGGCTGATGGGGCTTCCTCTGGCCCCTAAAGTGGGAGGTTTGTAGTAGTTTCACAGAGTGTCCTCCATAATTCCAGCCCTCACATCTCCCACTGAATCAGAACATTAGCACTGGATTGTTCCTCAGACTGGTTTAGCCTTCCTCCCAGCTCAGAGGGAGTCAGGATGTCACCCTAGGAGAGGACATTCTCAATCGAAGTCCAGCTCGTTCAACTTTGGCTCCTTCACAGTTGGCTCTATTCCAACTTGCCCAAAGCCTTTGGCAAAAGGAGAGACAGCCATCTGGCTGGAGTGGACTCCTCTCCCTAAGGCTCTGGTGAGCAAGAAACACACCTGGAGAGCTGGGGATTCTAGTCAGGGGATCCTCTCCTACCTCCCAGCCTCCCGGCTCTCTCCAGACTCCACACTCACTTCTTAAAGGTGCAGGCATCTGGGCAGGTGGGGCACTTCTCACAGGTGTCCCCATAGGAGCCCGGCTGGATACAGACACAGCTGCCACATTCACACTTGCCGCGGCCGCTGCACAGCAGCCCATTGCTGGACATGCAGGTGTCAGTACGCGTGGTACAGTTGCAGTAGTAGCCGGTCCAGTCGGAGTCACACAGGCAGTCCCCACAGCTGCACTGGCCATGGCCTGAAAACACACAGCCCAGGAAGGTGGACCCGCTGGCGAGAGCTCCACTCCCATGGCAGCAGGCTACACACGACCATCCTGCTCTCCCAACCACACAGATAATGATCCTCCAGGTTGGCAGGGAATTGGCTCACCACCCAGGGGAGTCCTACCCAGCAGGGACAAACTCAGTTTTCTAGGGGTCCCAAGGTATGGCAGGACTTGCTCGGAGCCACTGTAGAGCAAAAGATTCTCAGGAACTAAGTCTCCTGGGCCTCTTGCCCTCTCTCTTGCCCTTTTCTGAATACCTCTGCCTTCTGAGAAAGGCAAGAGAAAGGGTAGGAGGCTTAGAAGACTTAGTTCCTTCTAGTCTAAGAACTAGAAGCAAGCTCTTTAGCCCTTCTAGTTTGGCTGACACAGCACAAAGCCACAGCCCTGAACCTACACAGGGCACTCAGTAGCCTTGACGGTGTGACTTGATGATGGCAAAAGGCCTCACAGGCCCCAAAACTCTCTCCCTTTGACCTGACACAGCGCTGCTCGCCTCTCCTACCTGACCTGAGAGGCCTACTACCATTGTCGTCATCGTGGCCACCCAGTTGGGTTAGACAACAACATAGGGTCCAGTTTGGAAGAGCTGGTCCCGTCCCACTAACAAAGCAGCCACCACTTCCATTTCTCAAATCAGCTAGGTGTTACCTTGCAGGATGAGAAGCAGGGCTCTGAGGGCACATGCACAAGACAGGAAAATTGTAGCATAGGGAAAGAAGGAAAGGAGAGATCCAGGGCATGGGGTTATTCCAAATGCAGAGAGGGAAAGTGCACACAGAGCACCCTGAATGTATGGGTAGATGGGGTGGGGCATCCAAGGGGCAGAGGGACGGCACTGAGAACCCATGGAGTTGGCCAACGGAGCCAAGTAAGCAGAGAGAACAAATATCCCCTACCTCCCAGACTGCCGAGGGCCAGTGCAGTTAAACAAATCCCATGAATGCCATAGAGAAAAGAAGTCAGAAAATAAGAGAAATTAAATGAAAAAAAGAGAGATTTTCCTAAGGTGAACAGCAGTAGAGACAATCACTAGTAATGACCTCACGTAGCCCGATGGCCTCCCCCATGCCCCTGTTGACTCATCCTGGTTCCTGCCTCTGCACTCAACAGGTGGAGAAATGTTTGCCACAATTCAACATTTTTTTAATTAATTAATTATTTAAAGTTACAGGCGCAGTTCAAGTTCACCAACACAACCTGTCTTTCTTGACCTGGTTCCCTTCTCAATCTGACCTCATCATATCATATCTGGGAGTGCAGTGGAACAGACTTGGAAAGCATTTAGAGAAGAGAATGTGTATCTACTTTCCAAACCAACCAAGGAGGCATTTAATATGTGTCAAGTACTGTGCCAAGTTCTTTTTCTTTTTATTTATTTGCTTTTTTTTTTTTTTTTGAGACAGAGTCTCACCCTATCACCCAGGCTACAGTGCAGTGGTGCAATCATTGCTCACTGTAACTTCAAACTCCTGGGCTCAAGTGATCTTCCCACCTTAGCCTCCTGAGTAGCTGGGACTACAGGCATGTGCCACTGCAGCTGGCTAATTATTTTTGTTTTTGTACAGATGGGAGTCTTGTTATATTGCCTAGGCTTGTGGGCTTGTGCCAAGTTCTTTCTTTTTTTTTTGAGAGTCTCACTGTCACCCAGGCTGGAGTGCAGTGGTGCCATCTTGACTCACTGTAAACCCCCACCTCCCGTGTTCAAGCGATTCTCCTGCCTCAGCCTCCCAAGTAGCCAGGACTACAGGCATGCACCACCATGCCCGGCTAATGTTTGTATTTTTAGTAGAGATGGGGTCTCACCATGTTGGCCAGCCTGACCTTGAACTCCTGACCTCAGGTGATCCATGTGCCTTGCCCTCCGAAAGAGCTGTGACTACAGGCCCGGCCAGCTGGTCCACCATGCCCAGCCGCAAGTTCTTTAGTATGTTATCCTTTTCATTTGTTATAACAACCCTTTGAGGTCAGAGAGGTTAAGTAACTTTCCCAAGGCCATATGCCTTGTAAATGGCAGGGTCAGGACTCAAACTGAAGTCACTGTGACTTCAGATCCCAAGTGCTTAGCCTCTATGCAGTGTCATAAGCAATGCTTTTCCCTATTTATACTAATATGGTCTTTCCAGAAGATGTCTCTAACTTACAGAGAAAATGGCCTTAACCAACAGAAGATGGAGCCAGTTTTAATGGAATATTCTTCAAATTGACCAGTGGAGGAAGAAAAGAGACCAAAGTAGTAAGAAAGAAGTTATGGAAAGTCCAGTAACTAGGCTTGATCTCAATGAGAAATTTCAAGGAAGGAACATTTTAGGAGTCAAATGTTCTGAACTATTTAAGCGAAGGGTGGATGGGCCTCACTGTAGATATTTCCATGCCCTGTCCTCAGCCTGGTCCTGTCTCTAGATAAGTAAGTCATCTCCCCTTCTCCAGGTGATTGTCAATTCCTCTGTGGCCAGGATTCTCTTTGTAAAATGTGATTTCTCAACCTTGGTACTTTTCAATATTTGGGGCCAGATAATTTTTTGTTGGGGAGGACTGTCCTGTACATTAGGATGTTTAGCAGCATCCTTGAGCTCCACCCTCTAGACATCAGTAGCACCTTTCCAGTTATAACAATCAAAAATATCACCAGACATTGCCAAATGTGCCCTGGGAGACAAAATAGCTCCTTCCTCCCAGTTGAGAACCACCGTTTTAAAGTATGAGTCAACTTGATCATGTAACTCACCTGCTTAAAAACCTTCAAAGGCCAAGCATGGTGGCTCATGCCTGTAACCTCAACACTCTGGGAGGCCGAGGCAGATTGATCACTTGAGCCCAGGAGTTCAAGACTAGCCTGGGCAACATAGCGAGATCCCGTCTCTACAAATTTTTAAAAAATTATCCGGGCATGATGGCAAGAGCCTGTAGTCCTAGCTACTTCGGAGACTAAGGCAGAAGGATCACTTGAGCCCAGGAGTTCAAGGCTGCAGTGAGCCATGATCATGCCACTGCACTATGGGCTGGGCATGGAAAGAAATGTCTGCTTCCCAGGAAGGATGGCGGACATAACCCAAGCTGCCCCAGCTGCCAAGTATATCTGGAAAGTAGAGATGTTGGGCTGCCAGAAGGGTGGGGAAAGCAGAAAGGCTGTGTCCCGAGGCTAGGTTCCCTAGAAGTACAGCTTGGATGAGGATCTTATTTAAGGGACTCGCTGAGGATGTAGAGAGGAGGGAGGGAAACAGGACATGGCAAGAGGCAGAGCTGGCAGGAATGTGGTCTCAGCCAGATGCCCTCCAGCCTGATCCTACGTGAATGGCACCACAAAGCCAGGCCCACCCTGAGGCGAAGAGTCTAGCCTTGAGTAACCCCTTCTCCATCAGTCATTGGCCAACATCTAGGGGCAAGACAGCTCCTGTCAGCCGAGGGCAGTTCTTCACAGAAGGGGCAGCTGTGAGCTGCTATCGGCCAACCTCACAGCAGCTGGGGGAGGAGTGCGCCAGCCAGCAGAGCTGCCCCCCCACCCGCCCCCCGGCCTTTCACTACACCCTGCATTTGGCCACGGCTCCTGGATGGGAAAGACCGACACCACAGGGGCCTGGCAGCACTCAGAGGCCTCCGCCTCCTCAGAAACTCTTGTCCCATAGTGTTTCCTTTGTGAGGCTAAACAAAGTGATCTTTGACAAGATGGGCCAGCCAGGGAGTGAGGTTGGGAGTGGAAGTGACAGGTCAGAGCCAGCAGGCTGACCCCAAGCCTTGGTAGGGTTAGCCCTTAAAAGGTAGCCACAGTGTGGTAATGTCACAGGACTGGCACCCTTCCAGCAAAAGGGAGGCTGAGTCCGGGTTCATCGGAAAGTCAGAGGAGTAAAGTAAGAAATGAAGAGTGGAAGAGGAGAAAGGGAGGGGAGCCAGAAAAGGGAGGGAGGAACGGGTGCTTAAGGTCATTGGGAACACGAGCCCCACAGCTAGACCTTCTGGGCTGATGCTCGCTCCACTCCTGTCTGTCCTGAGCCTGCCCCTCCTCTGAGATCTGTCAGACATCCCACCTCCTCCATGAAGCCACCCAGGCCTACCCTGTCCCCAGTCAAGTCTCGCTCCAGTGGACTCCTATAACATTCCCTGAGCACTCCACACTTCCTGGATCTGTCAGATTCAACCTCATGTTGGGAATTATCCTTGGTTAACTGTCTTATTCACGCCTCTCTATCCTACTCCACAACAGCACAGAATCTGGCTCACAGAAGCTGCCTGACTGATCTGTGGCTGTGGCAAGTGGAAAACTCCCTTGAGGATGATGCACTTCTTGATGTTTGAGGCAGGAATGTTGATCATGAGCAACCATGAAGACCAGGCCCAAAGTAGGGAGGGGACAACGGGGATGGCCAGGGAACCAGCCGCCATGCTTACAGGCCATGGGCTAGGGAAATGGCCGAGTCACAGAACACCTGCCTCCTGAGCCCCTGCTTATAGCAAAGAATGAAGCATAGAGCCAGCAGCTCTGGCAAGGGGCAATGGTGAGTGGGGCTTTAAGCTTGGAGAGGTCAGGGATCATGCATGACCCCTTGTTCACTCATATGGACCAAATGATGGCACAGAGCAAGTGCTCAATGATGTGCGCCCCTGAGTATCTGTCACTGGAGGATGTGATGATGGCACCACAGGGTCTAGACCTGAGGCTGGGTGGGCACCTGACACCCTAGCAAGACATGGTAGAGGGAGGCGGCAATGGCTGCCCTGGTTCCCTCATGGATTAGACTGGAATGCACTGAGGAGGAGCTGTTCTTGCACTGGTGAGAGGCAGGAACTGGGGCTTCTGACCCAGTCAGCTTTGTTTTGTGGCTTTAGTGGGGCAGCAGCCAAAAGAAACATGCTCTGGCTGGGATCCTGCCGCAGTGCCTCACACCAGACCAGGAACCATCAGGCCATGGAGGAGGACTGGGGGTGCCCCCGTGGTCCAGCCGTACTCCTCTCCTGGGACCACCCTCTCTCCCTCAGTCCCCAACCTTCTTCCCAGGGGTCTCCCACTTCAAATTTACCCATTTCCTTTGGTACTTTGAATTAGATATAAATACTTTAAATAGTAAAATGAAGTGAAACTCCTGCCTCACCCCCTAATTCAAATGGTTGCTGTTTGTGCTTTCATCTGTGTGTATCTGATCTCTTGCTCTCCCCTAATCATTCTGATAACACTTCCTTCCAAACTCTCTCTAAAATTTTGACAGCATGAGTAAAGGAAACAATGTCGTAGATAATAAAAAAAGCAGTCATTTTTATGTTACTGACATGCTTTAGAAAGACACAGATCGACCTTTCTAAGTGAGCTTTTTTAAAGGTTAATATCAGTATCGAAGTGAGTATCTGCATGGATTAGCTCAACTGATTAGAGCCCCAATGCTGGCTGGGCGCAGTGGCTCATGCCTGTAATCCCAGCACTTTGGGAGGCCGAGGTGGGAGGATCACGAGGTCAAGAGATCGAGACCATCCTGGCCAATGTGGTGAAACTCCATCTCTACTAAAAATACCAAAATTAGCTGGGCATCGTGGCGCATGCCTATAGTCCCAACTACTCGGGAGGCTGAGGCAGGAGAATTGCTTGAACTGGGAGGCAGAGGTTGCAGTGAGCCAATATCGCACCACTGCACTCCAGCCTGGCGATAGAGCAAGACTCCGTCTCAAAAAAAAAAAAGAACCCCAATGCCAATGAAGCCAATCTGAGTCAAGGGTCATCCCCAGAAAACAATTATAATCTCTCTGTTTGGCCACACAATACACCCGTAACCCAGTCCCAACCAACTTGTGTCTGTCGCAAGAGGGATTAAGCCACAGTGATTATGGCCCAGTAAAAACCCATCCTCAGTGCCCCAGGAACAACTCAAGACTATTTGCCCTCTGAGAGTGTTGCCAACATGTCTGCGGATAAAGACTACATTAACATTAGTTCAACTTCTAGCTGGGAAAGTACCCCAGGAGTGGTTCTTGGGGCAAGGAGAAACTAGTTTGAGATTATCAGTGGGCCTCAAGATTTTACTGAATTTTGCAATGAGAAGGACAACTCAGTACCCTGCTGAGTAGAAGGACTTAAAATTATAATCCCCAATCTGTCAGCAGGGACTCTCTGTGGCAGTGCTATCCAAGAGAACTTTCTATCACGTTGAAATGTTCTAGATCTGTCCAATATAGCAGCCACTAGCTACATGTGGCCACTGATGAGCTGAAGAACTGAATTTTTAATTTTTCAATTTTGGTTAATTTAAATAGCCACATGTGGCTAAAGCCTACCATATTGGATAGCAAAGATCTAGAATCCAAAAAATAACAGTAGCACCAATAGTAGTAACAGTGATTAACAAAATAGTGCTAACATTAACAAGAGCATTACACCATTTTCCAGACATTGTTCAAGCACACTCCAATGTCTTGCATATATACTACTCTTTTCCCGGTCTCTTGTGATACAAAGATAAACTCATGTAAAATTATTACTAACCTTACTACATATTCTGACATGTGTTTTCTAAGTCTATAAATGCTAAAAATTTAATTGCCATCTATCAGTAACTTTTTTTTTTAACGTGAAAAGGGGATTGGTCCTTATACTCAAAAAGATTAGGAACCACTGACTTACACCTCTGCCTGCAAAGACCCATCTCAGGCCTTCACCTATGTTTCCAGTGGTTGCAGGTATATGAGGGGGTGTGGGTTCCAGGACAGGGGGCCCTGCAGTTCTCCTCACCTGAGCACATCTCCCCCTTGTAGCGGACACAGGAGAAGTCGTCACACTCGCAGTACTTGCCCGTGATCTTGCCAAAGTCACTGCTGTGGCAGACACATTGACCACAGAGGCACTCGCCCCGCTGGCTGCAGACGGGCTGACCCTCCCGGGGGCTGCATTCGTCCTGCTGGGAAGGGCGATAGTCCTCCTCTGAGCACTCACACTGGGATCCCAGCCAGCCAGGCCCACAACGGCATACCCCACACTCAAAGGTCCCATTGCCATTGTTGCAGCGATGGCTATTAGGTTCAGCTTGGGCCTGGCAGGCACAGTCACAATCAAAGGTGACCTGGACGATCAGGCTGTCCTTGAAGCCCACGGGCTTTATGGTAAAGGACTTCTCCTTCTCCTGGGGACAGCCTCGCACCTTGGCCTCAATGCTGAAGCTCACCTGGATGGAAAGAAAGATTGTATTTAGACACAGTTGGGCCCAGTTAACACTCCAGCTCTGGAGGAAAAAAAAAGTTGTTCCCTGCCCTGCCAAGGAATACCCAAATTGGGTGTCTTATGCTTTTGCAATCTGGAGTTCCTCAGCCTTCCCTATATGAAGGTCTGCAAAGCAAAAACACAAGCACGGGAATAGTATCGTTGTGACATATCTAGCTGGATGCAGAGACATGGTTTACAGTCAATAAATAATAAAAGGCTGTTTTTTCACTCCACATATGAAATAGACCAGCTCAAACTGAACAGAACCTGTGATCATATAAACACCCTGCTTTGGCCTGATTATAATTATCAGCAAGATGCACAAAGCACTATTTTGCACCACACAATCCCACATGGTGGTCAATCATAAGCTCAGGATCTACTTCAGTTCCCACACATTTCATAGCTTATGCAATAAAGCATGTTTCAGGACAATATTTCTAACATGGGATGTTTGCACAAGTGCCTGAGAGACAGATAGGTCAATAGAAAGGATCAGCGTATCCAAAGATCTATTTTCTTCCCCTCCTTCCTCCCCTCCCACCAACCCCTCTCCCCTTAGGCAGAAGCGGAGGAGAAACGACCAATAAGGAAAGTCGTGGAGAGACTGGAGTGTTTTACATTTTAGATTTTACTTTCTTGTGTCGTTTTACAAAAGAAAGGTATTAATTACCTTGGAAAGGCTGGCGACTGGTGAGGGACTGAAGGTAAAGAAATATTTTCCTTTGCAATCAACTGTGCATACACAAACAAAGGTAACCAAATTGTAAGTTTTTCAAATTCCTGAGAGTGAAGTTCACGTAACAGAAATGGCTTACGCAACAGAAGCCTCAGAGGAAAAGATTGGTGGATCCATTACATCTAACTTAGAATGACTTTCAGGAAACGTATTTTTCTTGCCCATATTTTTTTTCTGGTGGAAGGGGGCCATTTTTAGTCACTACAAAAGGAAGAAAGGGGGTTGGGTGCCCACAGATGCTCCAGGACAAAGGCCCTGCCCAGCCCACCTCACCGTGTCTCCAATCTTGAGTCCCATACAAGACTTGAGGCCAGGGATGACCTCATTGTTGAGGCAGGTGGCATTGAAGGATAGAGACAACTCTTCAGGGAGGTCACGCACTTCCAGCTCTACTTTAGAACGGATTTTCTGAGCAGAAAGGGGCACAAGAAGACAAGAAATTGAACTGAAAGGAAACGGGAAATGGCAAGAGCCAGTTCCATCCCAAGCCAAATCTGGCAAGTAGCTCTGGACTCACCCCAGCAGTGCCAGAGGCCAAGGTTTGACCTGGAAGCTGCCGGAGCACCCCTAGGACTCTGTTTCCTGCGCAGGAACCTGCTCCCTCTTTCCATCTCCACTTGCGTCTAGGTGAGTCTGGGTAAAATGTACCAGCTACACCCTCCTGCAGGCCTCACAGATGTTGCAAAAGGGGAGTGCCAATACTGGTCACCTTGGAAAGTGGCATTTTCTACCTAATGTTTCATCAACCTCACCTTCCCCATGTCTCAGCTCTCTCTTTTCCCTGTTATTGGAGCCCAGTTTTCCCTCACTCTGCCCCCACAATTCCAGGGCTCTGCTCCTTCTCCATCTAATCACCATCCCCATCCCCATCTTCTTTCCTTCTTTCTCTCTTCCTTCCTTCCTTCCTTCCTTCTCAGAAGGCTGCATCCCTTCTAGAGCGGGCCATTGCCTGGGCTCTGGGAGCACACGGAGAAGGCAGTAAGACCGTGTGGTAGACTGGCAACTGGGACTCACAAATCTGAGCCCTGCTGTGTAAGCCAAATGAGGTGGACTCTCCGCGGGACTATTCCCAGCACAAGACACTTACCCCATAAGCATCAACAATGAGCTGGAGGACATTGCTGGAATCCATGGACAGAACCCCAACTGTGGTCCCTGGGATGAGCTCACTATAGTTCTAGAAAGGAAAACAAAGATGTCCAGAGCTTACCAAAGGAAGCTGGTGGTCTCCAAAAGCCCTCCCCAAATCCCACTGAGAGTCCTGAGATGAAGATTGGAGGAAGGTACGGGATATTTCAATTGTCACTGCCAGGAATATATCTAGCAGTTTTTCAGCCCTGAGCAAAAGTAGAGGAAACCTCTCACACCCCTCACCACCTCCCCTCCACCACCACAAACACCAACACATACCTAGTAAGTTCAAGATTGCAGGAAAAAGGCCCAGAGTGCAATCTTTAGCTCCTGGGGAGTGGATTAGGGGAGACTCTTTCCTGATTGGGGACTGTATCCAATGCTAGCACAGGCTGGCTACCTGGGGCACCCACCATCACAGGGCCCACTCCAGGAAGCCCGAAGGCACAGTCACCTGATAGAGATTGACTACATTTTCAGTCACTGCAAAGATCAAATTGATGTTTTTCTGGGATAGCTTCTCAGTCATCAGCCCCAAAGAGGGATAATCCTAGGAAAATGAAGGATGTAGAGGTTAATGACGTCTCATGTACATCTCTAGGGTCTAAAGCTTAGAACTTATCTTGCTTGGGCTGTGGCTCAGAGTGTGGTGGTGCTTAAACCATTTCACTTCATGCTGAAAGTGAGACAAGAGCCTGGGCAACATAGCAAGACCCCATCTCTACAAAAAAATTTTTTTTATTTGCCAGATGTGGTGGTAAGTGCCTATAGTCCTAGCTACTGGGGAGGCTGAGGCAGGATCACTTCAGCCCAGGAGTTGGAGGTTACAGTGAGCTATGATTGCACCACTGCACTCCAGCCTGGGCAGCAGAGCAAGACTCTGTCTCTAAAAAAAAAAGGGGGGTGACAGTGAGATAAGAAGGGTAAGTAGCACAGAAGTCTACTTGTGAACTCCAGGGATAGACGAAGAGGTACAGGCCAGTGGTGTCAAAACTAAGCACCTCTTTCTTCCTGCTTGAATTTAATGCACTAATACTATGGAGCTGCTTCCGTGCACAAGGGACTGGGTTAGGCCTCTGTTTTGGAACTACTGACAAATGCCTTGGCCTGGCCCTCGTGATCCTCCACCGTGTGGTCTCAGTCTTTCTTTCCAAATATTGCTCACCTCTCTCCCTCTTCCACTCAGCAGTGATCTGGCCCACTGTCTCCCACCTGGAGTGGCCTTCTTGTTGGTAATCCTCCTCCTTTCTTAGGGCCTAGCTTAGCCCCCACCTTCTTCAGGAGACTTCCTTGGCCATCCCAGCTCATGATGACCTTTCCTCCCTTGGATACGTATAGCCACATTGGCTGTGCCACACCCATTTGGCACTAATCATGCATCTTGTGTTATTGTAAATATATATATCCTTTCTCCTCAAGTAGACCAAAAACTCCCCAAGGATAGAACCATACATAGTCTTGTTACCTCCCTCAGCCCCTGGCCCAGTGCCTTGCATAGATTAGGGGTCAAATGTTGCTGACTCATTGTCTGGTAGTGCTTGACTTGGATATGGCTGACACCAAGGAACTCAAGGACACTGTGCGGGGGCGGTGGTGAATCGTGAACATGTCCATGGGATCCTAGACCTTGCAGGGAGCTCATTAGATCCTCAGCTCAGTCTCCTGCCTTTACACAGGTACACCTTTAAGTCACCTAGATGAGGAAGTTGCTATATTGTCCTTAGGAGACGAAGAGTTCACACCTGCCCCAGATACCTAGAGCATTACAGCACATTTCTCTTATGGCTTATAGTAATTTCTCCTGATTCAATTTAAATATTTTCCTCTTGTTTAACCTTCTATGGCCATATAAAACAACTTATAAGAAGTTTTCTCATGTATAAGCTAAATCATCCTTTAGCCTTCTTTCTTTCAAGCTAAATGACTCTGGCCCTTTAATCTTTCCTCGTAGGACCTGTTCACCATGCCTTTTATGTTCTTTCCCCTCTTTCTCTCTCTCTCTCTCTCTCTCTCTCTCTCTCTCTTTCTAAGAGAAGGGGTCTCCACTAGGAGCAATGGCTCACACCTGTAATCCCAGCACTTTGGGAGGCTTAAGAGGGCAGATTGCTTAAGCCAAGGAGTTTGAGACCAGCCTGGGCAACATAGAAAGACCCTGTTTTCAAAAATTAGCTGGGCATGGTAGTGCATGCCTGTGGTCCCAGCTATTCAGGAGACTGAGGTGGTGAAGCTTGTGAGCCAAGATTGCACTACTGCACTCCAGCTGGGCAACAAAGCAAGACTCTGTATCAAAAAAAAAAAAAAAAAAAAAAAAAAAAAAAAGCAGGGGTGGTTCTTGCTCTGTCACTCAGGCTGGAGTGTAGTGGCAAGATCACAGCTCACTGCAGCCTCAGACTACTGGGCTCAAGAGATCTTTCTGCCTCAGCCCCACAAGTAGCTGGGACCATAGGCACAAACCACAACACTCAACGAATTTTTGCATTTTCTTGTAGAGGCAGGGTCTCACTATATTTCCCAAGCTGGTTTCAAACTCCTGGACTCACGTGATCCTCCCACCTCAGCCTCCCAAAGTGCTGAGATTACAGGCATGAGCCATCATATGCCTGGCCAATCTTTCTCTTTTTTTTCCTCTGTCTTCTTCCAATAACCACAAGTTAGTATGGTATTCCAAGAAAGGGCTAATCAGAGTGGAGAGGAAGACCTGCTTTCCAGCTGGGTTGTAAAAATCCTTTGGGTCCATTCTGGATCCCATGATGCTGCTGCTATGCTGGTGACAGTGAAGGCAGTGATAACACCACAATCAGGGACATCTCTAATGGTTATATAGGTTGTATGCTGGATGACGGTGTCCAGTTGGTAAGGGATAGGGGCAAGCTGGAACCGAGCCCTGCACCCTGCCCAGAAGGAGGGGCTGCCATTTTCATATTCACACAGACTCTGCCTAGATTAGGGCAACCCTCACAATCATGAATAGAAACCATAGGTGGTGCCAGAGATCTCACCATGGTAGTGGAGGCAGAGTAATGATTGTCACTACCAACATGACACTGCCCGTCATTAGGCTGGACAATGCCTGCCAGCCTTCCGTCCAATGCTATATGAGTCTTGGCATCAGTGGTAAACACCAGCAAGTGGGATGCATCATTCCTCCAGCCAATCTTTTCCTGTTAAAAGAAAACAAAAAACAAAGGCAGAGGAGACAAAACAAATTCAGCCATGTCACTGGTAGAGAACAGAGACCCAAGGTGCTCCCTGGCTAAAGGGCTGGACAGCTTATTTTTCTTCAAAACAAGGGTCTCAGTCCCAGTCCTTGGAACCGAAGCTGAAGCTTTCCAGTTCAGGAGTTTCATTCTCTTCAGAAAACAGTCTCATAGCTGATTAGTTCAAGCAGCTGAATGAGATCTTCTTAAACTCCAAACTTAACTCTTCTAATGACAGTCACATTGCTCATCTAGAAACTGACGTGCATCCACAGAGCTGATCTGGGCTAGAAGAAATCTCATCTGAACATCTGCCTACTTTGCTGAGGTTAAGTTAACTCAGCCTTAACTCTGAAGTAACTCTGAAGATGGGAAGATGCTCTCCCCTGGGAACATCTGAGACCACTGAGGTTCAAAGAAATGTCAGCTCAGGCCAGGGAGTGGATCTAAGCCAAGGCTGAATATCAGGAGCAACTTACTACTCATAACTGCAGGAAGCCCTGCTTAGTTCTCATCTCATTTTACACCAGAAATCCCCAGAGTTCAGTCACTTCCTTTCCCATTTTGATCTATGCCAGCCACACCTGGCACTCCAAGTCCTCCAAACTCACATCACAGACTGTAGCCTGCATGATGGCATCAAAGCCACCCTCTGGGGCATCTCGGTTCCGTGACACACTCTGCTTCTTCACTTCCTCATTGAAGCGGGTCACCTGGTCAGTTAGCGTCAGCACGTGTTTGTAGCCAAACATGGGCAAGCAGGTGGTCTTCATACTGGGGAGGGATGGGAGATAATTTAAGCAGACACCTTCATGGAAAAGGCAGCATGGGAATTGGGAGGAAAGAGAGGGGACAAATATAGATAGTGGTATGCCAAGGCCAGTTCCATACAACCACAGTTACCCAGACAGTTCAGACTCCAAAATCCTCAAATTATCTGAAGCTCCCCATCAACATTACCCCCATCCAGCTAACCTAGAAGATAAGAGATTGAGCTGGAAACAAGACTCCCTGAGCTTAGATCCCAGGTGCCCTCTGTACTAGTCATGGGACCTTTGGCAAGCCTCTCAATCCAACCTATGAAAGAGGGGCCAGGATAGCACATATCCCATAAGAGTTGTGAGACTTAAGTAAGTTCATACACACAAAGCACTTAGACCAGAGCGAGGCTCGAGTTGCTATTACTATCACCTTATACTTAACACTTTCCTAAAGTAACAATAAAGCAAAAGTCCATCAGTAAGTTAAGGTCCCTGAACCATCAATAAATTGATAGATCATGCAAGACAGGAGCATTTCTGCCCCCAGTCAAAATAGTGTGTTTAATTAATAGCTGATGTCTTGCCTGGGAACCTTACAACCCAGATAGAAGGTTGAATGCCACATCATATAACTTCAAAACTTTTTCTTTTTTTTTTAGAGACAGTTGTGCTCCATTGTCCAGGTTGGAGTGCAGTGGCACAATCATGGCTCACTGCAGCCTCAACCTCCCAGGCTCAATCAATCCTCCCACCTCAGCCTCCCTGTAGTCCTGGGGACTGCAGGCATGCGCCATCACACATAGCTAATTTTTTTGTAATTTTTGTAGAGATGGGGGTCTCACTATGTTGCCTAGGCTGAACTCAAACTCCTAGGCTCAAGTGATCCTCCCATCTTGGCCTCCCAAAGTGCTGGGATTACAGAAGTGAGTCACCCCACCTGGCCGTAACTTTGAAAACTAAAAAGTAAATTCACACCTTTTCAGGCTCAGCAACCAGCATTGTAAGTTATTCTAATACATGGATTTGCACAGTCTCCACCGATTAAATAAATAAGCCATTCAGTTTTAAGCCAAAGTGTCAAACAGAGGCACAAGTTATCCATTTACAGACTATAAAAGTGTCCAACAAATGTCATTTCCACTCTTTTATATTCCTTAGCACTTCATTTCTTCTGTTTTCACCCTGCAGGATGCACGGCCTTGATGAAGACAATAATGCCAACAATGGAATCGATCCTTCTGTAATCGTAATTTCTCGGTTTCCTTATCCATAAATTTCTTTCTACTTTTGACGTCATTTCCCTCCCATTCTCTCTTGCCTTCTATTTATTTGTTACCAAGACTGAGAAGCTGATGAATTTTCTTTCTAGGTTCTCCAAACAGCCTTAGGCTCCATTGACACAACACTCCAGATCCACAAGCTAGCCCATTTGCCAAACAGGGAGACCAAGGTAGAAAGGAGCTATAGTTTGGCAAGAAGACAGCCAACAAAGTGATCCTAGAGCTAGAAATAGGAACCAGGACTTGGACCTTCCTGGGGCAAAGGATGCTGTCCTGGCGTCTGGAGGAGGGACTTACTCATAGCAGGGGTTTTCGAGGGCCTCTGGTGGGGAGATATACATGTATGGTGACACAGGCTTGTCCACAAATGCCCCGAAGCCAATCCGCAGGTTACTGGTGAGCTTTCGCATCTGGGTGGCCAGCTTGGTACCCAGGTTCTGGATGCTCCACAGATCATCCTTCATGGAGTAAGACAGGTCCATCAAGTAGTAGATGTCCACAGGGTAATCCTCCACCTGCCGCACTTGGATGGAGAAATTCTTCGAATCATCTGGAAGGCAGAAAGATGTTAGTTTTTATCTTCTTCTCCCACCAAGATTGAATAAGCAGATTTGGATACAGTTGGGACTAAGAAATTGCATGATCAAAGCAAACCAGAAAGCCCTGGTCCCTTTTCCTCTTCCTTTGCAATTCTATTACTCTTCTAATCTCTTGACCCTCCTATTTTTAACCTCTTCTTTTCCATTCTAAAATTTTCCACTTTCTCTAAATCCCAGGGGATTTCTAATCCTGTGAGTTCCACGGGTCTATCACTGTGAGTCACAGAGATTTTGATAGTTACTACACTTCAGACTCTGTAAAAGACAGAAACTGCACCCTACCCTTCTCTGAATCCCATTGCATCCAACACATGCCTTGATAGTAGGTAAATCCTTCTTGACTTAGTTGGAAAGTCAAAATCAATGCTTCAAAATTTCTGTCTTTAGTCTAACCCTTCCTCCCTCTAAAGGTCTTGTGTACCTATTGTGTCTGCCCCCATTCCCCTGTCCCAATTCCCCATGAAAGGGGGGCTTACAAGTCGCTTTCTTGTTCTATATCTCATTTGCACCTCAACACAAAGCTCTAAGCTAGGTAAAACAGGCACTTGGGTAAAGAAGAAACAAATATTTTTTGAGCACCTACTATGTCTGAAGGGTTAAGTAACTTGTCCAAGGTCAAATAGCTAATATATGATACAGTAAAGATTCACCTCAGATCTTCTGACTCAAGTCCTAACGTCTCTTATTTTCTTCCATTCTCTTGCCCACACCTCCCCCCTCATCCTTGTCTTCCCACCCCATTTCCATTCTGAGCTACTTCCCCAAGACTTCCTCCTCAGACCTCCACCTTGTGCTCTATGCCCACCTGCTTCAGGTCTCTCCCCGCAAAGAGTCCCAGCCCTACCTGGCCGGAGCCGGAGTGCAATCCTCTGGGGACTGACTTGAGTGACCTGGGAGCTGTCTCCAGAGCCCTTGTCGCTGAGGGGCCTGTCCTCTAGTACTCGGGCCTCACTCACTGGGAACTCGATGGATTCTGGGGCACAGTTATCCTTCAGCAGATTCTCCTTCAGGTCACAGCGAGGTGAGCCCAGAGGCAGGGCCTGTAAGACAGGAGCCCAAAGAGAAGTCCAGCAATCAGAGCTATGGCGACTCTCTACCTCCTGCAGGCCCTACCACTTCCCAATAGCTAAGAGTTTACCCCGTACATTGGAGCATAAACAAATTGTTGTGGTCTTTCCTGGGATAATCCCTTAGGACCGTTGTACAGAAAGGGGAAATTGATACTTTGGGAGGCCAAGGCATGAGGACTGCTTGAGGCCAAGAGTTCAAGACCAGCCTAGGCAACATAGCTAGACCCCGTCTCTACCAAAAAAAAAAAAAGGAAAAAGAAAAGAGAAATTGAGATATCAAGAAGGCCTATTCATGGAGTTGTAGCTAGAAGGAGAGCCTGTACAGTAAGATGCCTGGTAGACCAGCATTTTTTAACTGTGGAATACCACACATTTGTGGGTCCCAAAATCAATTTAGCAGGTGTCAACCATCATTTTGTTAAATAAAATACAATAGAATAGAATAGAAAATATGAAAGTGTACAAATAGTCAAAGGGTTGTTTTGTGAAATTCTTATATTGTTGGAGGAGAGTGGAGAATAACACATATAATAAATAACTATACCCAGTACAGTGTGTTTCTTTCTGTAGGTCAGAGTCAAAACAGTTTGGAAGCTACTGTATTTGACACGGGCTAGACTGTGAGATCCATGTAGTCAGGGACTGTGTGTGTCTTGGCCCCTCTCATTTCCCAGCATCCGACCTAGGACTTACCACAAATGTGATAGGGAAAGGCAGTGTAAGGAGGCAGGAGAGAGTCAGGGCTAAGAGCACAGGAGTAAATCTCAGCATTGCACTTACAACTGCTTACTAAGGCAAGTCACCTAATTCCTCCAAGCCTAGTTTCCTCAGCTGTAACACGAACATAATAACAGTCCCTCCTTCAGTACTTAACAGCAATCAAAATCATAGAGTCAAAAAGTAGAATAGTAGTTTCCAGGGACTGGGAGGAATAGAGAATTACTGTTTTGATGGGTACAGAGTTTTAGTTTTACAAGATGAAAAGAGTTAAGGAGATAGATGGTGGTGAGGGGTTTCATGACATTATGAATGTACTTCATGCCACTGAACTGTATGCTTAAAAATGGTTAAGATGGGCCAGGCACAGTTGCTTATGCCTGTAATCCTAGCACTTTGGGAGGCTGAGGTGGGCAGATCACCTGAGGTCAGGAGTTCGATACCAGCCTGGCCAACCTAGTGAAACCCCGTCTCTACTGAAAATACAAAAATTAGCCAGGTGTGGTGGCGTGCACCTGTAGTCCCAGCTACTTGGGAGACGGAGGCAGGAGAATCGCTTAAACCTGGGAGGTGGAGGTTGCAGCAAGCCAAGATCGTGCCACTCCACTCCAGCCTGGGTGACAGAGCAAGACTTGATCTCACAAAACAAAACAAAATGGTTAAGATGGTAAATTCTATGTTATGTATATTTTCCCACAATAAAAGTTACTTAAAATAATAGTAATTATGGTACCTCCCTCACAGGGATGTCACACAGGCTAAATAAGACAATCCACATAAAATGCATTGGACAGCACCTGGCACAGAGGAAGTCCTCAGCAAATGTAAGCTATTACTATGAGATGCTTGACAAGTACTTCCTGGATAAGCTAATTATGAATAAACTCCACAAACTTGGGAACATGGGCCAGGCACCTAACCAGAGCCCATCCTATCACTTCAGTGTCCTCCTTCACCCTGAACAAAGAACAAATTGAGTACCCTTCCAAAAACCCACGGCCCCCTGGGGCTCTGGGTGCTTAAACCTGAGTATTGAAGGGGACCACGCCACCCTGGAAAGAACACTGAAAATCAGGAAAGAAGATCAATCCTAGGCCTGCCACTGACTAGTCATGTGACCTCAGATACGTCATTTTGTGTCCTCACCTGTTCAACAAGGCCTTTAGATGACACAGTGTTTTCAGTCCCTTCCGGCTCTGACATTCAGCCAATTTAGCCAACACTGTGTGGGTGCATGTCTATGAGGGCTCCTTACCAAGTTGAGGGGACCAGCCAGGAAGCTGGAAAACCCCTCCCGGGACCTATTTCACAATGTCTAGGCCTTCGGGCTCTCCTCAACCCCACCCCTACCCACATCCCCAACCAGCACTTCCAAATGTCTGCTGGATAACCCACACCAATATCCCAGAACAACTAGTGTTGACATTTATTGAACACTTACTGTATGTCAGGCACTGTGGTGAGCACTTTACATGGATTATTGCAATATGCCTGACAGTTCCATAATGCTGGAACTATTATAATTTTACAAGGGAGAAACCTAAGGTTTGGAGGCTTCACAAATAAGGAACCCAATCTTACAGGTAAGGAATCTGAGGCTTGGATAAATTAAGGAATTTGCTCAAAGTTGCAGAGCTAGGAAGTGGCAGAACTGAGAGGCCAGCTAGATTGTCTGACTGTAATTATCATCATAAAATAAGCTTTACTACATTCCGTATAGAGTGAGAGTCAAGGCACGGAAAAGGAAAAGTGTGGAAGGAATGGTCCTAGGGAGGAGCCACAACAGAGAATGCCCCAGGTAGGGAACAGGATGCAAGGTGGGCATGTGCGAGGGATGGAGAAGGATGGATGACATCTGCCTCCTCAGCCCCCTCAAGCAACCTGGCAGCCATAATGCCAGAAGAGGGACTGGGCCACAAGGAGCCATTCATACTCAAAAGCCCTGTAACCGGCCGGGTGCGATGACTCATGCCTGTAATCCCAGCACTGTGGGAGGCCGACACGGGTGGATAACTTGAGCTCAGGAGTTCCGGACCACCCTGGGCCACAGGGCAAAACCCCGTCTCCACTAAAAATACAAAAATTATCTGGGCATGGTAGTGCACACCTGGAATCTCAGCTACTCAGGAGGCTGAAGTGGGAGGATCACTTGAGCCAGGGAGGCGGAGGTTGCAGTGAGCCAAGATCACACCACTGCACCCCAGTCTGGGTGACAGAGTGAGACCCCACCTCAAAACAAAAACAAAAACAAAAAAACCCTGTAACCCAAAACCCTTCCCAATGCTTAAAGTCTCTCTCCCTCTCCAGTCCGATCCCCCTTTCATGGGCTGAAGCCTTCCCCACGTGGATGGGGACACGAGCAACATCAACAGCATGAGGACTACCCTGGCCCAGGCAAGAAGTAAGTAGAGTTTCTGGAAGCCAGCAGCTTCTCTCTTTCTCTCTCATCTTCACAGGTATGCAGGCAGGGAACCAGCCTCGGCGATGGAAATCAATGAATAAGACTTAACCTTCCTGGTGGCAAATACTCCAACAGGGACATCACAGACCTTCCACAACTCTGAGGAAGATGAAAGTCTCCCGTGCACCCAGCTCTGGCTGAGGACGGAATGACCTGGGGAGAACTTGGGCACTTCAGGTTTTGTGCCCAGACTCCTCCTGTTGTCCCTGCCCACCTCTCCTACCCCTTCCTCCTCTGGAAGCAGTCTTTCTCTTGCTCAAAAAAGCCCCAATCCTATCTCTGATTCTAGCTGCCCACAAAGCCCCAGGGAGAAAACCTTCCCAAAAAGGCAGTGGATAAATCAGAATGCAGTGAGGAGCGGATCCTTTCCAGGACCAAGACAGATGCTGAAGAAGACAGCAGGGACCGGAGCCCAGCAAACTGGATGAGAGCAGCAAGGCCTTCATGCATCTTCAGGCTCCATCAGCAGAGGGAGAGAATGCATTAGACGGGAGTTTCCTGACTCCTATTTTCTAATGTGGCAGTCCTAATGAGAAGAGGGTTTGAAGCGCTAAGATGTGCTGACAGTCCTAATGGTTTGTTATGAGTTTCCTTAGAAAAATTAAACACTGAAAAACAAAACTGCCTCCCTCCCTCCCTTTGTGGTTGCTGACATCAGAGGTCAGGAATATAACAGGCCTGCTCGTCAGCCAAGCTCTCCACGAGAGCCCTCTGTTCCAGAAGAGCACCAAGGCAGTGACCTCAACATACTTGGGCAACATTCCCTTTCTTGGTAACCCAGGCTGAGAAGGTAGAAAGAATGTCTCCAGGTTATGCAGGAAGAAAGCTAGAAGGGGGAGGGGTGGATATTAAAGTTTCAGTTCCCAGGGAAACCGGATGTTACACAAAAAGGGCAAAAATAGCCAAGACCCAGGGGAAGGGCCTGAGCACAGAGGTGGGAGGTTCCAGCCAGCGCCCTGCGAGCTGGCTGAATTACCTCCCTCTCCTGGGAGGGTGACACACGCTCTTGGTACCATTCTCCATTAATCCCATTTTGGAAATTGGGAAAGTACAACATGAATAGTTGTCATTATCCTGCCTATTTCACAGGGTTGGTCAGGAAGTAAAAGAAGACTGTGAATGTGAAATGCTTTCAAAATATAAAAATCTCAACATAAGTTAACTATACTGAAATCCATTAGGACAGAGGTTCCCAACCTTTTAGGCACCAGGGACTGGTTTCAGGGAAGACAATTTTTCCATGGACAGGGAGGTGGGGATGGTTTCAGAATGAAACTGTTCCACCCCAGATCATCAGGCATTAGTTTGATCCTCATAAGGAGTGAACAACCTGGATCCCTCCCATGCCCAGTTCACAGTAGGGTTTGAGCTCCTGTGAGAATCTAATGCCACCACGGATCTGACAGAAGGTGGAGCTCAGGCGGTAATGCTCACTCACCTGCTGCTGACCTCCTGCTGTGCGGCCCAGTTCCTAACAGGCCATGGACTAGGAATTGGAGCCCCTGCTTTAGGACACAGTATAAGCAAATAAATGCAAATATAAGTGACTCTTTTTTTTTTTTTAGATGGAGTTTCGCTCTTGTTGCCCAGGCTAGAGTAGTGCAATGGCACGATCTTGGCTCACTGCAACCTCCACCTCCCGGATTCAAGCAATTCTCCTGCCTCAGCCTCCCTAGTAGCTGGGGTTACAGGCCTGCGCCACCACGCCCAGCTAATTTTGTATTTTTAGTAGAGACGGGGTTTTGCCATGTTGGTCAGGCTGGTTTCAAACTCCTGACCTCAAGTGATCTGCCCACTTTGGCCCTGCTGGGATTACAGGAGTGAGCCACCACACCTGGCAGGTGACTCTTTTTTACAGTTACCACAATAACTACTATTATTTCATACTCTTCTTGGAGAGCGAGAGTCAATATGCCCCAGTACTTTTTTTACCCCAGAGCACCACCAAAACATCTCCCATCCATTGCTGTCTTGATTAACTCATCTGGTGAGGACAAGAAATCACTTGAACATGCAAAGAGAAAAGAATGAAGAGGGCAGAAAGGAGGAGGGGAGGAACATGAAGCATTTTTGTTTATAGTTGTTGGTATTCACATTTCATTGTTTACAAGAAGAGGAGCACTCTTAATATTATACTTCCTTTTACAATAATAAATTGGAGCAAAACTCTCAAGATGAACATTTGTCCTCCAGATTAAAAATAAATAGAAAGAAGACAAGTCAGAATAAAATTATGTTTGTGATTATAAAGAAATGTAAATCATGGCCTATATCTTGCTCCTGCAGTTGCAGAGAAGAAAATGAGAAGGAAATCCTATTAGAGTCTTCCTCTACTTTGCTAGACTCAAACTCCTTCTTCCTCTGTCACCCTTGGTTGTCAGGCTAAGTGGGAAGCTGGCCCACCTTCCAGGGTGTACTCAGGCTTATATAAGAATTCCTAGTATTTCCCTCCACTGTAGGGTTGCCAAATTTAGCAAATATTTGGGACAAACTTATACTAAAAATTATTTTTTAATTCAAATTTAAGTGGATGTTCTGTAATCTAGATTTATTTTTTAGAGACAGGATCTCCCTGTGTTACCCAGGCTGGAGTGCAGTGGCTATTAGCAGACATGATCATGGTGCACTATTGCCTCAAACTCCTGGGCTCAGAGGATTCTCCCACTCCAGCCTCCTGAGTAGCTGGGACTACAGGCACCAGGCTGGATGTTCTGTATTTATCTGGCAACCTTAACTCCACCTCCATCCACCTTGACCCAACCCCAGTGGCCCTTCAATTAGCAATGTTTGCCAAACTTGCTATCATAAATATCCATTCTGATGTAACAGACCCAGGATCCATCCCGGGAAGCTTTATTTTTAACAAGCACCTCAGGCAATTCTCAACACCAAATGAGTTTGGGAGGTTCTAGACTCCAGCATGTCACTGTTGAGACTAAGACTACGCGTTGAGTCTCTGTATAAAGCCCGCCTCTTTGCTAGATTTATGGACCAGAGAGAGCACAGCAACCCAACCCGCGTCGGTATCCAACCCTCCAAGAACACACCCTATGCAGATGGGCCCAAAACTCCGTGCTCATCCACGTTGGCTGTTTTCCTCTTACCCAGCCAAGCTCTCACTATACACACCCAAGAGCTCCGGTCCTCTAGGACCAAGGGGAAAGCCGAGCCCAACCAGTTGTTTTTCCAGGCACTGCCAGCTTGCCTGGAACAGCCAACTCAGGGGAGGAAGAAGAACAGAGGGCTCTCCAAGGTTTGATTATTCAAAAAATTACCTAAAAAATGGACCAGCCAGTTCACCTTTGGTTTTTTGAAGTCAATGTCCAAGGCATTTTCAGCAGTTAAACTTGGCCTATCCAGGGGAAGCCCTGCTCCTCTCAAGAACAAAATAGCATTTATGTTCAGGTTACAGTCCAGGATTCCCACCTCCCATCCCTCCCCGGTCACCACATTCTGTCCCATACTGGGGTCCTCCACCCTTCCTTCTCTCCCTCCTCCCTCTTGCTGAGGGATAGTTGTAGTCCTTCACTAACCTTGGCCCCGCCTCCTTTCATGTTTATATGCCATTCTCCCAGGGAATATCTTACTGGACTTTCTACCTCCTTCCATTTGTTTTCTTTGGTCCTAGCTGCGCCCATTTCCTCACTGACTGCACCCCTAATTCCTAGGCTGGTCCTATGTCATGCTCTGATCTACCCTGCACCTTTCCCTCTGCCCTCCCCAGGCCTGCCCCAGGGGACAAGGAGCACAACAGTCACCCATAAATATTCTACATTTGCATCTTTGAAATCTGGTTATGTGACCTAAGGGCTTTGTCTGGTCAGGCCCCAGCCCACCTCAGCTGCATGGCTAGTCCCTATACAGATCAAGAGGGATGAAAAATGGGGGATAGGGAGCAGGACAGACCCTCCAAGAAGGTTTTCTTTTTCCCCAGATTCTCTGGGCCAGAGATACCTGCATTTTCTCTTGCTTTGGGTTGGAAAGGAGGGAAGGAGGAAAAGGGGGAAGCACCCTTTGAGTGACACTAGGGCTTCTGTCCTGACCTTCCTCTGCTCCTGAAGGCTTTCGGCTACCCAAGGCCCCCCTCCCCATTCAGCTCTCTCTTCTTCCAGCATTCAGTTGCAGAATTGCAACTTCCTGGTAAAAGAAGCTTTAGTAATATCACGATGGGAGGAAGGAGGACATAGTGAATAAGGAGGGAGGAGGCTACATCACACTGAGCAGCCCGCTCAGCCCAGAGGGGAGGAGAACCTGCGGGGGTGGGGGAGAAGGTCTCATCCATGCCCCCCTTACACCCCTTCCCTAGCCCCAGGGAATGTTTCATTTGCTAAATGAAGTTAATGTGGCCCAGATGTTGGGCAGCTGCCTCTGGAAGCAGTTCCCGTGCTGAACGGCAAAGAGGCCAAAGCAACGTGCGGAGCTGGCCTCTGCTGCTCTGGCAGCCCTCCTGGCCGGTGATAAACACAGCCTCCCAGCTCCCGCCCCTCCCCCCAGGCGGCCAGGGAGGTTGCCTTTTTAGGAAACTCAGCAGATCTGAAAAAGAAGCAGACAGAGAGACTGAGGGCTGGATTGGAGCGGTCATAAAACTGGAGAGGGCTGGGACTTGTTGTGGGACAGAGGAAGCCTCAGGTAGCTGAGCCGCAGCCAGGCCAGGAACTCAGGTAACCACCTGCTGGCCAGGCCAGTGACTCAGCCTGAGACTCTATAATCACCGAATCTCTTCAACCACATTCATCTTCCACCCCCACCCCATCAGCTCTTGCCAGCTCCAAATTTCCATCCCAGCCACAAACATAGCCATTCCCTCAGACACACTCATTCCCTAGGGCCCCAGACACAACAAACCCTCTGCCTAGACACAACTAACCCTTTCCTGTCCCCCTTCCATCCTCACCAAGTGGGCCCAGCTCCTTTCTTCAACACCTGTGAGAAGGAAGGAAGGAAAGAAGAAGAGAAAGAAAAATGTAAAGCCGCGGGGCCCAATCATCAAAGAGAAGGGAAGAGAAAAGATTTTCTGACTAAACATCACCACACACAAGCACAAGATTTCTCTTCTATTTGCCTTTTTTAACCTCTAGGAAAAAGAAGTAAGCCAGCAACCCCTCCCAACCCCATCCGTACCTATACCCCTTGCTGCCTCTCCTTTTGAGACCTGACGCCCTGCTTCCCTGGGATATTCCACCCCAAGAAATGCAAGCAAAGGGCTGGGCATGGTGGGTCACACATGAAATCCCAGCACATTGGGAGGCCAAGGTAGGAGGATCTCTTATGTCTAGTTCAAGACCAGCCTGGGCAACATAGTGAGACCCTGTCTCTACCAAAAAATTTAAAATAAACTGTTTTTCTTAGGAAAAAAAGCAAGCAAAGTGTGAGAAAGGGCAGCAGTGGTTACAGAGAGGACAGGAGGTCGAGCCAAACTGGCAAGGGCCAGGGGCTATATGGTAGACTTGGGTTAGTATTCCCAGCAACATCCCCATGACAGCTCCTCACCATGCATCAATGGGAAAAATTCATCAAAGTTTTGCTTAGAAGGGATAAGGGGCATGTGTATTCAAGAGGGAGGTGATAACTTCATGGGTCTGTTTCTGCACAAAAGCAGCTTAGTCTGGAGAAGAAACAAGGTCTGGTATCTGCTCCTTACCTCATCAGAGCACCAGGCACACATGGGGCTCACAGCCAGGCACTGCTGGCAGGAGCTCACACCTCGCGTGGTACAGATGTTGGGCCCTGCAACAGACAGACAAAGGCATTAGCACCAGATTTGGCTCAGTGAAGGTACTTGCCTGCCTCATCCTTCCCAACTTTCCCAATGTCCAGGTTTACAGCTCTCAGGTGCACACAAACACACCCTAACCATACCACAGACGTCTACCAAATACAGGTTATTGGTTAGGAAGAAGGAGGAGGAGGAAAATCAGGAGAAACTCATCACCGCTCTCAACTGATGAGGCCACAGTGGTAACAAGTGACAGGGCAAGGCTGAGCCATGGACGCAAGTCTCAGATCGTAACTGATGGAAAGGCTTTAATTAA
Source organism: Homo sapiens (assembly GCF_000001405.40). NCBI lineage: Eukaryota > Metazoa > Chordata > Mammalia > Primates > Hominidae > Homo > Homo sapiens. The sequence goes on along the minus strand of NC_000017.11, from coordinate 47,274,113 downwards.
CAACTGGTTTGACACCTACATTGTGCAAATGAAAATATCTCCGGGGCCCAGAAAAATGGCAATGTATCCCCTCTTCAGTCATTCTAGTGATATTCACAGCCACTACACAGGGGATCCAAGGCCCAGATGCACTAACATTAACACATAGCCTAAATACAGTGGGGGCGTGGAGGGTGAGGTGACTTTGGTGGCAGTGTCCCACTGACTGGCAAAAGAAAAGCAAATCTGAAATCTTCTCAAGCTTCTCAATGCATATATCTTGGAATCCAACCACAAAATGCTCTAGGAGGAAGTGCAGAAATGTTAGAAAAGGCTGACTGATATACACTAAAAGAACATGGAATTTTAGAGTTGGAAGGTTTGTGCTTGAATTCTGAATGTTCTTCCTGCTAACTACTTCATGACCTTGGGCAACTCAACTAGCCTCTATGGGATGACAATATCTGTCTCTCAGGATTTGTACAAGAATTCAGTGAGGTAAGGGGAAGCACTTGGTACACTATAAGGTGCTATTCAAATGTGAACAGTCCTCATACTGTCAAAGGACAGAGCAAAGGCTACGAGGAGGAGCAGAAACAACCAGGAGAACCAAAATCACCTTGAGAAGCTCAGCCAGGAAGCCAAACCCAGGCATCTGCTTAGACAGAAGCCACTGTCCTCTCTAATTGCCTAGCTCAGCATTCCTGCTCCAGCCAGGTGAACCCTTCTTCCTGCAGTGCCTTAAGGAGGTTTTTTCCAATATAAGGAGCAGAATGTGAGGGATCTGTTCCTCTCCATGACCCAGTTACCCTGACAGCTCCTTCATGCAGTTTTCCAAAGGGACCTCTTTGACCCCAGCTGGTAAGACCAGCGAACCTATTTTGGAGAAATCAGCCTGACCATTGCGATGTTTTCCCAGTGTCCCCAAAACTTCTCATTTAGCTGTCTCCATTCATTTTATTACAGTGTGACTGAATTCCCTCCTTCCCAACACCTGGACAAAAACACACTCAGAAAATGAGGGTGTATACACACACACAATATTGTAAAGAAAAATTATGGCCAGGCGTGGTGGCTCATGCCTGTAATCTCCCCACTTTGGGAGGACGAGGCAGGCGGATCACTTGAGTTCAGGAGTTTGAGACCAGCCTGGCCAACATGGTGAAACTCCATCTCTGCTAAAAAATACAAAAATTAGCCGGGCGTGGTGGTGCACTCCTGTAATCCCAGCTACTCAGGAGGCTGAGGCAGGAGAATCACTTGAACCAAGGAGGCAGAGGTTGCAGTTAGCTGAGATCATGCCACTGCACTCCAGCCTGGGTGACACAGTGAGACTCCATCTCAGAAAAGAAAAAAAAGGAAAGAAAGAAAGGAAGGAAGGAGAGAGAAAGAAAGAAAAGAAAGAACGAAAGAAAGAAAGAAAGAAAGAAAGAAGGAAAGAAAGAAAGAAAAAAAAAGAAAGAAAGAAAGATTACATAAAATTTGGAAACAGGCAAAGAAAATACAAATGTCCTTTCAATGTAATGCAGAATGTTGACTAGCTGACCCACCATGCTTAGGGATTATCTGATTTTCTAAGAGTATGTACCTATTATTTGGCTTCTATTAATCAGGATATTTTACAATACTGTAAGAGTAGATGTTGACCTATTGAAAACCATAAAAACGGAAATGATCACCATTACACTCCAACCCTGGGCAATAGTGCGAGACTCTGTCTCAAAAAAAAGGGAAATAATTCTTGATGAGAACAATGTATATTATTCTTTTAAAAAAAAAATGGCCAAGCGCAGTGGCTCACACCTGTAATCCCAGCACTTTGGGAGGCCGAGACCGGCGGATCACGAGGTCAGGAGATCAAGACTATCCTGGCTAACACAGTGAAACCCTGTCTCTACTAAAATACAAAAAATTAGCCGGGTGTGGTGGCAGGCCCCTGTGGTCCCAGCTACTTGGGAGGCTGAGGCAGGAGAATGGCATGAACTCAGGAGGCGGAGCTTGTGGTGAGCCAAGATAGTGTCACTGCACTCCAGCCTGAGCCAGAGCAAGACTCCATCTCAAAAAAAAAAAAAAAAAAATAGCCCCGGTGAGGCGGCTCATGCCTGTAATCCCAGCACTTTGGGAGGCCGAGGCAGGTAGATCACCTGAGGTCAGGAGTTCAAGACCAGCCTGACCAACATGGTGAAACCCCGTCTCTATTAAAAATACAAAAAATTAGCTGGGCATTGGGGTGGGCGCCTGTGATCCCAGCTACTTGGGAGGCTACTCAGGAGGGGCAGGAGAATCACTTAAACCCAGGAGGCAGAGGTTACAGTGAGCCGATATCATGCCACTGCACTCCACCTGGGCAACAAGAGCAAGACTCTGTCTCAAAATAAATAAATAAATAAGTGTTTGCTGTTTAAGCCACCCAGTTTATGGCATTTTGTTATAGCTGCTAGAACTGGCTAAGACAACATTTTAATCTAATCATGATCATATTGTGGTGTGCAAGGTAAATTATTTAGATAAGAGAACAATGTATATTATTCTTATCCAACAACAATACCAATGATTTCTGTCTGGTAGAAAAGGTTATCCCCCACAGGTTAAGGTTCATTGCCTTGCAGAATATTAACCAATTTTCAATCTATTCACTAATTCATTTCAGCATTCCTTTGACTGATCAACCATAAATCTCCCTTCTTTGAAATTCCTTTTGAACTACTCCTAACGTCTTACTGGTTCTTTAATTACTAAAGTTGAATAAAATCTTTTACACATATTCCCTTTATATTTGTGTAGAAATCATACTTTTAACTCTGTTAAAATTATATATACTTTAACAGTACCCATTTCAGGACCTTACTTGGGGGACAGGAGGTCTAACAGAATGGGTACACACAATGAGTAGACTGTCATCCTAATCGAGTCACCCACTAATAGTGTGGCCATGGGTGAATCATTTAACTCCTCTCAGCCTCCATTTCTTCAATTCTAATATTCCTACCACATCATAATAATTTATGTGTCTGCCTTAACAACACTGCCACCCAACAGATTTTAAGTCCCTTGAGACCTGCTCTGCCCTGCCCAGCTCAGCTCCAGTTCTTACTCAGTGGAGATGCTCAGTAAATATGCACTGGGGCAAAATGAAAGGTAGGGGAATAGATGAAGTTTTGCTTTGCTTTTTTAAGCAACTGAGCTCATTTCTCAAAATTATGCATAGAATTCCAATATAAAACATGTAAATGGGCTACAACAATTCCTCAGGCAATTTAAACTTTCATTGTTCTCCCAAAAACCCTAGATTATATGCGGAATCCTTGAAGCACCTCCTGGAAGCCCCAGGTTTCCTCAGAGCCTTGAGTCCATCTAACTTCAAAGGCCTTGCCCAACTTTAAAATTCTACAAGTGGGATGCCTTTATGAGCCCATGAATAACCTCTGGGGCTCCACTCTCCGACTTGACTACAACTTCAGAATGTAAGCGTGAGGCCCATGAGTGGGAATGATGACATTGGTTCCAAGCCTGGCCTTAAAGCATCAAGGTCACCTCTGAGATGGGGCAGCCCTGAGCCATGCAATGTCTATAATGAAAGAAAAGTGGCTGCTAGTTTCAGAATTCCTGAATGTTCACAACGAACAATGCAACCCAAGACTTCTCCCTGCATGAGCTGCCTGGCCATCTCTTAGCCTTATAATTGCTCTCTTCCCAGGCAGATGTGGACAGAGCCTCTCTTTTTTCCCCTATCAGAAGACTTCTGAGAGGAGCACAGCCTGAACTATTTTAAGTATCTCCCTCCCTTTCTGGAGTTTCCATGGGAATTGGCATGCCAAGGGGTAATTCTGGACATAAATGCCATTGATATTCACAAGAGACAGAAGCACAAGAAGACATCAAGAAGGGTTAGAAGAGGGAAGAGGACCATGGGAGATATGAGCACTGCTATGGTTTGGCTGTGTCTCCACCCAAAACTCATCTTGAACTGTAGTACCCATAATCCCCACAGGTCATGAGAGGGACTCAGTGGGAGGTAATAGAATCACAGGGATGATTATCCTCATGTTGCTGTTCTCCTAATAGTAAGTTCTCACAAGATCTGATGGTTTAATAAAAGGCTTTTCCCCCTTTGCTCAGCACTTCTCCATCCTGCCACCATGTGAAGAAGGATGTGTTTGCTTCCCCTTCCACCATGATTGTAAGTTTCCTGAGGCCTTCTCAGCCATGCTAAACTGTGAGTCAACTAAACCTCTTTCTTTTATAAATTACCTGGTATTGGGTATGTCTTTATTAGCAGTGTGAGAACAGACTATTACAGTAAATTGGCAATGGTAGAGTGGAGTGCTGCTATAAGGATACCAAAAATGTGGAAGTGACTTTGGAACTGAGTAACAGGCAGAAATTGCAACAGTTTGGAGGGCTCAGAAGAAGACAGGAAAATGTGGGAAAGTTTGGAGCTTCCTAGAAACTTGGAGGGCTCAGAATACAGGAAGATGTGGTAAAGTTTGGAACTTCCTAGAGACTTGTTGAATGACTTTGACCAAAATGCTGACAGTGATATGGACAATGAAGTCCAGGCTGAGGTGGTCTCAGAAGGAGATGAGGAACTTATTGGGAACTGGAGTAAAGGTCATGCTTCCTATGCTTTAGCAAAGAGACTGGCAGCATTTTGCCCCTGCCCTAGAGCTCTGTGGAATATTGAATGTGAGAGAGATGATTTAGGGGATCTGTCAGATGAAATTTCTAGGCAGCAAAGCATACAGCAGCAGGAAGCAGAGCATAAACGTGTGGAAAATTTGCAGCCTGACGATGTGATAGAAAAGAAAAACCCATTTTCTGTGGAGAAATTCAAGCCAGCTGCAGAAATAAGTAACGAGGAGCTGAATGTTAATTACCAAGAAAATGGGGAAAATGTCTCCAGGGCATGTCAGAGACCTTCATGGTAGCCCCTCTCATCACAGGCACAGAGGCCTAAGAGGAAAAAATGGTTTCCTGGGCTGGGCCCAGGGCCTCCCTGCTATGTGCAGCCTAGGAACTTGGTGACCTGCATCCCAGCCACTCTAGCCATGGCTAAAAGTGACCAACATAGAGCTCAGGCCATGGTTTCAGAGGATACAAGCCCCAAGCCTTGGCAGCTTCCATGTGGTGTTGAGCCTACAGGTGCACAGAAGTCAAGAACTGACGTTTGGGAACCTCTGCCTAGATTTCAGAGGATGTATGGAAACACCTGGATGTCCAGGCAGAAGTTTGCTACAAGGCAGGGCCCTCATGGAGAGCCTCTGCTAGGGGAGTGCACAAGGGAAATATGGGTTGAGGCCCCCACATAGAGCCCCCCACTCGGGCACTGCCTAGTGGAGCTGTGAGCAGAGGGCCACCATCCTCCAGACCCCAGAATGGTAGATCCATTGACAGCCTGCACCATGTGCCTGGAAAAGCCACAGACATTCAATGCCAGCCCATGAAAGTGGCTGGGAGAGAGGCTGTACCCTGCAAAGCCACAAGGGTGGAGCTGCCCAAAGCCATGGGAGACCACCTCTTGCATCAATATGACCTAGGTGTGAGACATGGAGTCAAAGGAGATCATTTTGGAGCTTTAAGATTTGACTGTCCTGCTGGATTTCAGACTTGCGTGGGGCCAGTAGCCTGTTTGTTTTGGCCAATTTCTCCCATTTGGAATGGCTGTATTTACCCAATGCCTCCACTCCCGTTGTATCTAGGAAGTAACTAATTTGCTTTCAATTTTACAGTCTCATAGGCAGAAGGGACTTGCCTTGTCTCAGATAAGACTTTGGACTTGGACTTTCAGGTTAATCCTTGAATGAGTTAAGATTTGAAGGAACTGTTGGGAAGTCATGATTGTGTTTTGAAATGTGAGGACATGAGATTTGGGAGGGGTTGGGGTGAAATGATATGGTTTGGCAGTGTGCCCCACCCCCCAAATCTCCTCTTGAATTGTAGTTCCCACAATCCCCATGTGTTGTGGGAGGGACCTGATGGGAGGTAATTGAATCATGGGGGCAGTTACCTCCATGCTGCTGTTCTCATGATAGTAAGTGAGCTCTCATGAGATCTGATGGTTTTATAAGGGGCTTTTCTCCCTTTTGCTTGGCACTTATCTTTCCTGCCACCATGTGAAGAAGGACGTGTTTGCTTCCCCTTCCACCATGATTGTAAGTTTCCTGAGGCCTCCCAAGCCATGTTGAACTGTGAGTCAATTAAACCTCTTTCCTTTATAAACTACCAAATCTTGGATATGTTTTTATAAGCAGCATGAAAATGAACTAATACAGACACTGTCAGATTACTTTTTAGGACTTTTCCCAGTCTATTCATTTAACCACCCATTCATTCTCAAATTAGCATTTCCCTATGAGTCCTTGACTTGTAGCCACAATAGAAAGTTTTGCAAGATACAAAATAAATAACAGCAGGTCCCTCCCAGTGAACTAATGGTCCCTGACCCCAGAGGATAAAATGAGGTGCTGGGATTTGTTCTTTAGGAAATCATGCCTGCAGAGTCATGGTTACCAAGTCCCTTTATCCACTCTTTTTAATGAATCACAGGTTGATTTTATGAGAACCAATGAACCCCCCATGATACCCCCAACCAAGTCCTGCTACCCAGGCAGATTCCCTGGAATGCAGTGGTTAAAAGTGACTGACTCATCAGAAGTCTCTGCACTGAGCCCATGCTGATTCAATGAGTTGTTGTTCTGAGCCCACCCCTCCCTCCTGAACGTGTGGAAGGAGTTTGGGCCTCTGTTTCCAGTCATTCATAAAGCCTATGTTCCTGCTCATTCTCTGGGGCCCAGACTCATTCCTGCTAAAGTGGGAATCTTCACCATAATGTCACTTACAGAACAAACAACTCCTACCTCCTACCACCCCTTTCCTCTGACAGGTTAGCCAGAACCAGGGACAAGGTGGATTGACCCCAGTCTTCACAGGGTGGTTGTAAGGATGAAATAAACCAAACCCTGTAAAACTCTGAGCACAACAGCTGGAACACAGAAAGTACTCAATAAATGCTGCTGCTGCTGCTGCTGTAATTTATATTGGTTTTATTGTTGTTTTTATCCTGAGTCTCAAATTGTTTAGGGCAGGTGAATACTTTTTTTTCCTTGATGACATCATTCTAGGGGACACTAGACATGACGTTAAGTATGCCCTGAGCAGAAGGAGTCGTGGGAGCGTGGAGCCAGAAAGTATCACACCAGGGTGAAATGTTTACTTGTCAGATCTGGCTTCTAAATGGGGTTAGGAATATTAGTCTTCGAAAATCCAGGCTCATGCCTGTAATCCCAGCATTCTCGGAGGCCAAGGCAGGAGGATTGCTTGAGCCCAGTAGTTGGCGACTAGTCTGGGCAACATAGTGAGACCCCCATCTCTATGAAAATTTTTTTAAAAATTAGCTGGGCATGGTAGCATGCACCAGCAGTCCCAGCTACTCAGGAGGCTGAGGCAGGAAAATCAGCTGGACCTGGGAGGTTGAGGCTGCAGTGAGCTGTGATTGTGCCACTGCACTCCAGCCTGGGCAACAAAGTGAGACCCTGCCTCAAAAAAGTTTTTTGAAAATAACAATTTTAATCCAATCAAGACCAGCCAAGAAGTTTGCCTGGAAAGTAGAAGTAGAAGGCTGTGGTTTGGCACATCAGCTTGAATCACAGAAGCAGAAGAGAGACAAAGGGTGGGAAAAATGGAAGAACAAAGGAAACAAGGGAGGGAATTGGATCCAGTGGAAGTCATAATGCGTCAATGGGGGCTATTTTGAGGACATGTTGTCCAGTGAGACAGGATGCTGGACTGTAGGAACAGGCCACCCTAATGAGGACAGGGGACTACAGGAGAGGGCTAAGTCACAGTAAGAGGTGTTTATCGAGAAGGGAGGATGTTCCACTAACACTATGGACATCTATCACTCTGCCAGAAAGGAGTTCTAATCTGGGTCCCCAGCCCTGCCACTGACCTTTGACTGCTCACTTCCCAATTAGGTCCATGGGGACAGTGGGTGACTCACATGATGCCTCATTGTAGTCACCTGGCCATGTGACTCATGAAAAAAAAAAATCTCATGCTTACTGTCCTACATAGGCACAAGTGGTTTATCTAGAGCAAGTTGCTAAGAAAGTTTATTTTAATTTTGGTCCTTCCTTAAATGTAGCATCAGCTAAGTAACCCAAGGAAGGAGAAGGAGACAGGGAGGTGGAGTTTAGGGTAACACATACCTCTGTGCTCTGAGCAAAAAGCTCCAGTAAGCATCACCCAAAGCAGTAGAGAACCCAGGCACCATATTTCATCAAATCTAACACTATGAATATAGTATATGTCCTGATTTTAGAGATTTAAAACTGTTTTTAAGTATATCAGAGCCAGTTAAGTACGGTATTTAACATTGGAAAACATTTGTGTATAACTTGCCTCCACCAATATTAAAATGTGTTATAAGTTGACTTATGTCCCCAAAAAAGATATGTTGAAGTCCTTACCCCAGTGCCCATGACCATGACCTTACAGAGAAATCAGGTCTTTGCAGATGTGATCAATTGATGTCGTTAGGGTAGGCCCTAATCCAACATGACTGATGTCCTTATGAGAAGAGGAAAACACCACACGAAGAGAGAGACATATAGAGAGAATGCCACATGAGGCAGAGATTGGAGTGATACAGCCAGAAACTAAGGAACACCAAGGATTGCCAGCCAACACCAGAAGATAGGAAGGAGGAAGGATTCTACCCAGAGTCTCAGAGGGACCATGGGCCTGCTGACACCTTAATTTCAGATTTCTAGCTTCCAACAAGAATAAATTTCTGTTGTTTTATGCCACCCAGTTTGTGGTGCTTTGTTACAACAGCCCTAAGAAACTAATACAAAATGGATTTGCATCTCCATCATGTATATGGCATGATTTTGAAGAACACTGCCGTGAAATACTTTGCATGATTGAAAAAAAGCCAGCATGAAATGAAATTTTTGTTGCATTTAATCCACGTATGGATAAGGTTTGAAAAATGGTTACTTTAGCTGTACATTTTTCTACCTATATATATCAATGGTGTCAGCATTCATTGATTCATTCATTCATTTACTCGACAAATATTCATTGAGCATCTACCTGTGCCAGGCACTCTCCTAGGCACTGGAGACACACTGATAAACTAAACAAAGCCCCTGCTCTTGTGAAGCTTACATTTTAGTGAGGAAGATGGTAACAAAAAATACACAACAAAAATGCACAATTTCAAACAGTGGCAAATGCTGTAAGAAAATAAAGCAGGATAAAGGAATAACAAGCAATAAGGGGAAGGACTCTCTTTAGAGCATGTGATCAGAAAAGGTCTCTCTGTGGAGCTGACATTTCAAAATGATGTTAAAGAGTGAATCCTGGGACGATCCAAGGCACAGACATTCCAGAAAGAACCCAAGGCAAGATCTGGATGGACATCAGCCTGTTAAAGAAATAGCAGGTGGAGAGAAAGGAGGAAGAGAAAAGCACAGAGGAGGTTAGAGGAGCAGTTAGGGACCAGAACACTAGGAAGCTATAGGCCATGGTAGAGAGTGTGGCTTTTTTCTCCACATAGTGGGAAGCCACTGGAGGAATCTGAGCAGAGGTGAGCAAAAAAAGATCATCCTGGCTGCTGAGTGCAAGACAGAAAGAAGGGAAGCAAAAAGGAAAGAGACTTATTATTCAATTAGAAATGTACTAAAATAATCCAGGCAACAGATGGCAGTGGATTTGGACAGTAGCGGAGCCACTGATGTGGTCAGACTCTAGATACGTTCCATCTAAAGACTTGCTGATGGATGGCTCATGGGGCATGAGGGTGTGAACAAATGTGAACCTGAAAGAGCCAGTCCTTCAAGATAGATCTGGAGTGGCTAAGTGGGCCTAAATTTTAAACAGAGCAAAGCTGCCATTTGCTGACTAGAGGTCACAACCCACTTTGAGTTCCCTGAAAATCAACACCTCTCTTCAACTTTGGGACCTCCAGAGCTAACCTAAAATAACCAGTCAGGGCTCTGCTGCCTTGACCAATCAGGCCTCAGTTGTTTCAACCAAACAGAACTAAGCAAGTTGGAATTGTTCATTTGCATAAGTGGACCTCATCAGGATCCTAGGCAGGAACTTTCATTATAAACCCCCAATTCTGACACCAACAGCTGAGTTTCCCCAGTTTCCAAACTGTTCATTGGAATAAAGTCTTTCCTCCCAATTCCTTTTCAGAGAACTTTTGTTCACAAGGGAAAAACAGGAAGGATTTTTGTCTGAGCAAGGGGATTCCCTGTACACAAAGTTCAAATGTCTTGACCACTGGCCATATCCTTTCATTGACCCTTCATGCTGTAAGAAAATAAAGCAGGATAGGCCGGGCATGGTGGCTAACACTGTAATCTGAGCACTGTGGGAGGCCAAGGCGGGTAGATCACCTGAGGTCAGGAGTTCAAGACCAGCCTGGCCAACATGGCGAAATCCAGTCTTTACTAAAACTAGAAAAATTAGCTGGGCATGGTGGCACGCACCTGTAATCCCAGCTACTTGGGAGGCTGAGGCAGGAGAATTGCTTGAACATGGGAGGCGGAGTTTGCAGTGAGCCAAGATCGTGCCACTGCACTCCAGCCTGTGTGATGGAGTGAGACTCTGCCTCAAAGGGAAAAGAAAGGGTGGGGGTGGGGGGGGCGGGGAATAGCAAGCAATGAGGGAAGGAGTCTCCTTTAAAGCATGTGGTCAGGAAAGGTCTCTCTGTGGAGCTGACACTTCAAGATGATGTTAATGGGAAGATCTAGGGCAGGTCCTGTCCTTGTAAATGAAGCCACATTATGTCTGGTTATCATCTCCAATGAGGTTAATTAGGTCGCCATGTGCTGAAGACTGCATAAAGCCCATTCCAGGGACAGAGTCCTGTCTTCTCTAAGGTTGTGGTCTAAAATTAACACCCAGCTCCTGAGAAATGTGGTAAGGCAGGAGCAGTAAAACAACAGATGGATATGGCAGAAAAAGCATGCAAAGCAGCAGGAAACCTCACGTCTAAAGCCATCTTTGCCCTTCCTCTGGCCGTATGACCTCAAGTACATCCCTTCATCTCTCTGGTGCTCTCTCCAAGGCCCAGTGCCTCTTTGAGTCTATGTCACATTCATAGTCGAGAAGTGATAACTGCTCTGTAGTATTTAACGGGTCTAACCAGCCACATCGGCCAAGCACCGGAGACTCCAAACAGCTGCTTCCTTTCCCCAGTGCTCCCGAGTTGTTAGGATTAAATGACATAACACGTATGAAAGAACCCTCTATAGTGGATGCTCAATAAATGTTCATTTCCTTCCCCCTTACTTTCACTCTAGTCACTTCCTACACCAGGAATCCCCATCCCCTCGCCTCCACCTCAGGGTCAGACGTGAAAGGGCCCTTTGTCTCTAACAGGATATAGTGAAGAAATCACTCTGGGCAGGAGACAAGAGTCCCCAGGGAGAGACCCAACCAATGCCACTGAGCCAGTTGTATGATCTTGGACAAGTCACTTCACTTCTCAGGAACTCCCTTTTTGCTTTTTTGTAAAACAAACAGGTGTCAAATTTGATGATCTTCAAGGTGCTGCCAGTCCTGGAAGTATCCACTCTTCCAGCCAGAAAACATCAACAGGGGGACTCATACCCTAGGAAGCCTAGCAACCCAAGGCATGAGAACCCTCAAACAAGGCACAAGTGGCCATTTCTTCCTGATGGCCTGATATTTGACTCAAACGCTGCATCTCAAGAGTTCTGGAAATTTTTATTAGCATCGACCCCACCTCATTCAGTATACAGAAGAAGCAGGTCTGTACCAAGCTGTCCGAGGCTCAGCCCAGGGGTGCCCTATTGGTGACCTCCTTGGCATCCTGCTGTCCAGTTCTGCAGCCTTCCTCCCCCAGCTCATGTGTTATGGGTGTGGACAGCAGGCCGCGGTGCTAACACCAGTCCTTACTGCCAGCCTGTCTTGGTAGGAAAGCAAACTGGTTCAACCGTTTGGGAGGACAAATTGACAACACCTACTAAAATTTAAATTTAAAATACGCATGCCCTTCGACCCACCAACTTTCATTCAAGAAATTAAGTCTGTAGAAACACTTGAACAAAGGTGCATAATAAATGAATAAGGATATCCCCTGCAGCTTTATTTGTAGTAGCAAATAATTGGGAATGATCCCAATGTCTGCCAACAGGGAATTGGTTAAGTAAATTCTGATATATCCATATAACAAAGAGTATGCCTTATGGCTAGAATTATAGCTCTTGGGATAAATAATGGAAAGCCATAAACTGACATAAAAAGATGCCTAGAGTATATTATTAAGAGACAATGGGCCAGGTGCGGTGGCTTATGCGTGTAATCCCAGCACTTTGGGAGGCCGAGGCGGGTGGATCACCTGTGGTTAGGAGTTCAAAACCAGCCTGGCCAACATGGCCAAACCCTGTCTCTATCAAAAACACAAAAATTAGCTGGGCGTGGTGGCAAATGCCTGTGATCCCAGCTACTCGGGAATCTGAGGCAGGAGAATTGCTTGAACCCAGGAGGCGGAGGTTGCAGTGAGCTGGGATCACACAACTGCACTCCAGCCTGGGCGACAGAGTGAGACTCCATCTCAAAAAAAAAAAAAAAAAAGACAATGATCCTATTATTGATTATCCTATTTGAGAAATAACAATAATGATAAATAATTATATATGTTGACAAATACATAGAAAAAAACTCTGCAGTAACTATCAACAGTGGTTATCTTTAAGGACAAGACTACAAGGAACTGGTACTGGTACTTTCTGCATTATATTTCTGAGCTGCCTTTTTTTAAATAATAAGCTTAATTACTTTTATAAGCTAAAAGAAAATTAAAGCTAATTTGAAATGTCCTCTGTTCTGCCTCCCTGTCGACATTTGCATTTATTTAAATGTAGGCTCCCCAGAGTCTGCTGGGCTTTCCACAAACTGCACCTTCAGCATCAAAACCTCTTGGAATGGCAAACTCAGCAGGAACACAGAAATGAGCTTTGGGGTATGGTTTGCATGAGGAGATGCTGGTCAAGGGATATAAATTTTCAGTTAGACAAGAGGAATAAGTTCAAGAGATCCACTGTACAACATGGTGACTATAGTTAATAACCGTATGTCATCTACCTGAAAATTGCTGGGAGGAGATTTTTAAGTGTTCTCACCACAAATAAATCAGAAGTATGTATGTGAGGTAATGCATATGTTATTTAACTTCATTTAACCATTCCACAATGCGCACATATTTCAAGACATCATGTTGTACATCATAAATATACATAATTTTTATTTGTCAATTTCAAACAATAATAATAATAAAAGAGAATGGAAAAAAAAAAAGGAATAAACTTTGTCAGGCCCACTCTCACAGCCTTCAAGAACTGCCCAGGGCAGCATGGTCTGTTCTCAACTTGTGGAAGTCCCAGAAAGGAAACACCACCCTCCCCTCCACTGGGGATTGGTCAAACATGCTCCTTGCAGGCGGCTCCAGCAAAGGCTCAACCTGGAGTTCAACACGTGCGATGGCTAAAGTTGGGGTCTGGAGCCATCAGTGGATCTCACAGACCCAGGTTTCTCTATCCAAAATTTCCATTAGCAAAGAGATGTAGGGTTGACTACAGGGACTTTTTAAGTGGCTACTGAATATGTCTTTTGCCAAACTTCTGGAGCTCTCTTCTAGTGCAAAGTTTTTCAAGCTTGATTTTAACAGCAGGATCTTCTTTTTTTCCCAAAGAAATCCTTACATGAACTCCAAATTGTTAATTAGTTAAAGGAGTTCCAGTTGAAGGTGGTGGGGAAGGGGCAGGAGCAAATTGAAGTATTTCCCTTCATCTTCTCTGTCCCACTTTGCAGCCCCTGGGACACCAAGAGACTGATGCCTAAAGGTAAAGTCACTTGTTCAAAGTCACCCAGCAAGCTGATGAAAAAGCCTGCAGAACTGTGAATCGAATGTAGGTTTCTTAATTCCAGATACGTTGTTCTTTCCACACTGAGCTTTTTTCTATATAAAAGGAAGTACTATATATCATGGGTTTAAGTAAAGGAATACACACACACACACAAATAAACATAAATGCGAGGGGAAATGTCTAAACAGAACACACCACCTGATTAATATGAACATTATAGGGGAATAGAATTAGAAGGGAACCAGCAATTTTAACGACTGACAATGATCCTATGTGGATGAACCTATTTGAGAAATAACAATATTTGTTTTGTTTTGTTCTGTTTTTTGAGACAGAGTTTTGCTCTTGTTGCTCAGGCTGGAGTGCAATGGCACAATCTCGGCTCACTGCAACCTCTGCCTCCTGGGTTCAAGCGATTCTCCTGCCTCAGCCTCCCGAGTAGCTGGGATTACAGACGCATGCCACCATGCCCAGCTGATTTTGTATTTTTAGTAGAGACAGGGTTTCTCCATGTTGGTCAGGCTGGTCTTGAACTCCTGACCTCAGGTGATCCGCCCGCCTCGGCCTCCCAAAGTGCTGGGATTACAGGCATGAGCCACCGCGCCCAGCCAAGAAATAACAATATTTGTTATTTTGACTTTTTTAAAATGTGTATCACCTTGTTCTTTTTCTTTCTCTCCTTGAATATTTAAACATCTTCACTAACTGAACTAAGAAATTGAACTAACTCAACTATAAAACCGAGAGAGGGGGGTAAGTAAATAGTCTTTTCATGGGAACATGACAGAAAAACAGAAATAAGACATCTAGTGTTAGATCTAGTGTTAGAATTTGTCTAGCAAGCTTTCTGGTTTTGGCCAAAAAGCCACCCACCCACCCACCCTCCCAAAAAAAAGGAAAAAAAAAAAGTCAAGTGGGTTGTTTTTTCAGAGATGCTACCAAAAATGTAAAAAGGTAGAATAGCCCCCAGGTTTACTTAACAACTTCTGACTCCAAGCATCATGACATACAATATTTGGCCACAAAATATCTGTTACTCCTATGAGCAAGAATAATAAGTGTTGGTTGCTACAGAATCCTCTCTAGTATCCTGAAGTCTTTAACTACTTAGCACATGGAAAATCTAATGACTTATATATAGCTAAATACATCTATCCAATTATAAAATTTAGAAGCTGAAAGCTGGGGAGCACCTCCAAAGTTTAACGGATCCAGTCCCACTGCTTTCAGGGTAACTGTTCCAACACGGAGGATGACGGAGTGGCCTCAGACAATGTCTTAGAGTTACTGATAGATGCAGCATCATAGATTAACCCCAAATGTATTGTGCTAAGTGAAAGAAGCCAGACTGAAAGTCTATACACTGCATGCTTTCATTTATATGACATTTTGTAAAACATAGAACTGCAGGGACAGGAAATAGATCAGCAGTTGCAACCGACGAGGGTTGAGGGTAGGGTATCGATTACAAAAGAGCTGGGGGGGCACCTGGCACAGTAGCTCACGCCTGTAATCCCAACACTTTGGGAGGCCGAGGTGGGCAGATTGCCTGAGCTCAGAAGTTCGAGACCAGCCTGGGCAATATGGTGAGACCCTGCCTCTAGAAAGAAAAAGAAGGGAAAAAAAGAGCTTGGGGGAATTTTAGGGGATGATGGAAAAATTCTGTATCTTGATGATGGCAATGGTTACTTGACTATATGCATTTGTCAAAATTCATAGAACTGTATGCACTAAAAAGGGTGAATTTTACTGTACATAAATTATACCTGAATTATCTAACAAAAAAAAAAAAAGAGTGTTTTTGGTGAGACTGTGTGTGTGGACAGAAAGGCAGATGCTATCACTTTTTTGCTGGAGAGTCTCACGTTTCAATAAATGCCAGCAGTTCCCACACGGGGAATAGGCAGTTCCCCTAAACAGAGTCATTTCCCTGCTCCCACCTTCATTTCCACTAGTGGCCTGAGCTCCATCAGGCACAATGAAGGTCCCACTCAGGAAGGGCCAAGGTTCAGGAAGAGGGAGCAGAGGCGATGGGGTGGAGCAGCCCACTCTGTGGGCAGCAGAGAGGGCTGGGTAAAACGAAGCGGTTCATCCCTGAAGCTGCTCAGTCACTCCCTCGGTTAATTATCTGTCTTCTGATTCATGAGTTGTGGTTCCTGTGGGCATGCTTCCTGGAGATTTCTGCCAACAAGGGAAGAAGGGTTCTTGGGACTGGGAGGGGATGATAACCTCAGATCCCAAGTAGGGTGGGGAGCTTTAGAGGAGAAATTTCGATCAGGAAATTCTAAAGTCATAGCCAGACTCCCCCTCCTCACTGTGGTGTGCTTGCCCCATCTTATGGTCTTCCCAGGAGACCTCTGTCACTCCTCACCCTTGCCCCAACACCCACACGTCCAAGGGGGAGAAAGGAGAATGTTGCCCTTCTAACGGCTCCTCCCAGGAGGGAAAAAAAGGCAGACACTTTACAGAGGATCCCTTGAGTTTTTCACACTCTCAGATCACAGGTCTAAATGGTGCAACAGTGCAGCGGCCCAAATGCCCAAAGAATTCATGATCTTGGCTATGTTTTCATACCCTCCAGATTATCCAAACGGAGCACTTGAGGATCTTGTATGAATGAGTGCAAATATTCAAATATTGGGTTTCTTAAAGGGAGGCACATCATCTATAGATGCCTTTACATAGCATTCCACAGATATTTGTTTTGCTGCCTATGTGCCAGGCAGTGGGCATAGAGTATTGAACAAAATAGACATGTCCCTCTTCTCATGGAACTTGAAGTCTTATAGATCCTTTTATCTTCCTCTTTTTTCAGATACAGGGCTTGAGGTTTTCTTATGGGTAAAGCAAATGTATAAGCCTTTTTCCTTCTTGGCTTCTTCTGTGGATTCTTGCCGGGTTAGAGTAGCTGAGATATGCCAAACCAGCAATGAGGAACGAGTTGAAATAAGAGGGACCCCCTCTCACATATGTGGGGGAAAGGGACCCCATCAGTTTCATTCTGGAAGCCTGCATAGCGCATATGCATGAAGTAGTAACAGCTTTTGCCTCCAATACATGGCAGATAGCATGGATAGGAAGAATAATGACAATAGTAGTTGTCATTCATTAAACACTTATTTTGTGCCTCTGTTTCATTTAATCAGCATAATCATAGGCATTGTTTCCTCTGCCTTACAAATGAGGAAACTGAGGACTCAAGAGATTAGGTAACTTATTTAAGGCCACACAGCCTACAGGAGACAAAGTCAAGAATCAAACCCACATCTTACTGGCTTTAAACCATAGCCCTCCCTTTCCGAAGCCAACAAGCCTTCCTGCTGTGTTTCTCCAGGACCTGAGGATACCTGCAGAGGGCTTCGATTGGAGAGCTTCTAGGATATAAACTCCAGAAGAGAAATAAGCACCTCAGCTTAGACCTAATTAGGTCAGAATAAAAACCTAAACACGAGGAAGACACAAAACCCATACTTCCTGGGTGAAGCTAAAAAGATCATCTTTGTACATAAAATGAAAAACTTGATGCTATCCTCAGTCAATCTCTCTTCTCCCCAAAGCAGACTCCGCTACTCTGGGACAACCTCTCTGTGCCACTCAGCTCTTTCTGTGCCCCTTCAACACTTGGAGTCCCAACACAACTCTCCTACTCTCATCCCACCATCTGCTTCCCCAGGGATCTGAAGACCCTACCACCAACACTGGGATGGCAGATATAAATATAGTAGAAACTGATTTGTGAGGTTGGGGGGGGGGGTATTACTCTGGAAGTCTGACTTTAGAGCCCCTGCCCTTAAACACTACTGTACACTGCTTCTCAGAGAGAGTGTGGGGCTAGCTCAGCACAACCCATTACCACTTCTGGAATCGCCCCAATCACAAGATTAATCTGTGAACAGATCGCCTAAGGATTTTTTTTTAATTTTTAGTAGAGATTAGGTCTCACTATGTTGCCCAAGCTGGTCTCGAACTCCTGGGCTCAAGCAATCCTTCTACCTCCACTTCCCAAAGTGCTGGGATTACAGGCGTGAGCCACCGTGCCTGACCAGATATCTTAAAGGATCTTTTAATGCAAACTTACGTATGTCAATGCAGTGGAATCCAATACACTCCAAAGTGAATTTAGAAGACTGTGAATGTGAAAATTTTTTAATGACAGCAAAAATTGTCGTAAGTGCATGGAAGCAAGCATCTCATCCTGGACAGGACAAGGATACCCTTTTTTTAATTATGTATTTATTTATTTATTTATTTATTTATTTTTACTGAGTTGCCCTGGTGGATTTCTCCATTCCCGGCATCAATAGCCAGCAGCATCTGACCCAAGGCTCCACATGTCCCAGGGCAGAATGCTGGAGATTCTTATTTCTGTGTCATAGTCATCAGACTGCTCACTGCACGCTAACACTATCAGCTGATCTGTTTTAGTCCCAGTCACATAGGAAATGCAGCAATAACCACTGCAATATTCCTCTACATATCAACTGTAATCCCTCCTTCAAGATACCCTTGGCCGGGTGCGGTGGCTCACGCCTGTAATCCCAGCACTTTGGGAGGCCAAGGCAGGCTGATCACGGGGTCAAGAGATCGAGATCATCCTGGCCAACATGGGGAAATCCCGTCTCTACTAAAAATACAAAAATTAGTAGGGCGTGGTGGTGCGTGCCTGTAATCCCAGCTACTCGGGAGGCTGAGGCAGGAGAATCCCTTGAACCCGGGAAGCGGAGGTTGCAGTGAGCTGAAATCGCGCCACTGCACTCTAGCCTGGCGACAGCGAGAGTCCATCTCAAAACAAACAAACAAACAAAAAAAGATATCCTTGCCCTGTCCAGAATGAGTTATACGTCTATACATACACAGAAGAGTCTTGACGGGAATCACTAAAGTATTTTCGAATAGTTTATCTTTGAAGTGAATTTATCAACAAATCTTCCCTTTTTAAAATAAATCCTGGCCAGGTGCGGTGGCTCACGCCTGTATTCCCAGCACTTTGGGAGGCTGAGGTGGGCGGATCACTTGAGGCCAGGAGCTCCAGACCAGCCTGGCCAACATGGTGAAACCGCGTCTCTACTAAAAATACAAAAATTAGCCGGCCGTGGTGGCAGGCGCCTGTAATCCCAGCTACTCGGGAGGCTGAGCCAGAAGAATCGCTTAAACCCAGGAGGCAGAAGTTGCAGTGAGCCGAGAACCCACCACTGCACTCCAGCCTGGGCGACAGAGCAAGACTCCGTCTCAAAAATAAATAAATAAATAAATAAATAATAAAATAAAATAACAAATCCCTTCTGCAGGGTGTAGATTGTTTTACGAGTACTACAGTTTTTATTAAAAATACTTACATGCACTCTTGTGTCATCCTCTGAGGCAGAGGCGGCCCCAGCAGACCAGGAGCCAGGGTTTCTCTCCAGCCCAGGCAAAATCACCAAGGACTCAGAGAGGACCACGGGCAGCAACCCCGGGCTGTGCCCGCTCCATCCCTCCACCTGTGTCCCCAGTACCAAAGAGGCCGAATGCCAATTGCCCTGACGGCTGACGGTGTGCGCAGCAGCCAGAGACAAAGCCAAGGATCCCACCGGCCCAAGGGAGCCTTTTCATGGCTCCCCGAATACACTAGAGATTTTTCGGGTGCAGGGTCTGCCCTGGGAGCAGAGGCACCGCTGCCACCTGGGGACACTGGAGGAGGCAAAGCCCTCATCCTGCTCCAAAACAACCCCGCAGGAAGCCAAGTTGAAGGTAAAAAAAAGAAAGAAAGAAAGAAAAAAGGAAAAGAAAAAACCTTCTGGAGAAAGCGTAACAGGAGAAATTGGAAATGTGGGGAAACTGGCAAACCCGCGCGCGCGCACGCTCTCACCCAGGAAGCTACAGCGGCATCCCTCTGCCAAGGCGCGGGAACAACCCCCGGAAGCCCCACCTCGCCTTGGCTCCTGGGCCAGTCGTCCTTGGCCCGACCAGGACCACCCGCGACGCGCGCAGCCCCGGGTGAGCGCGGGGCTCAGAGATGCGCCCACCGCACCGTGCGCGCCGCGGCGGCCGGGAAGGCGCTCAGCCTGGCTGATGGCTTCGGCGTCTCGGAGGACCCGCTCCCAGGCACCAGGCACCTCTCAGCCCCGCCACCGCCGGGCCAGGAAGGTCCCCAGCTCCCGGCTCCGACCGCGCCAGCCAGGACACGCGCATTCCCAGCGCAGACGCGCGGGACCAGCCCTCCGCGTTTGCCGGCTCCAAGTCCGCAACTTGACCGGGGCGCAGATCCTGGGGCAGCTGCGACGCTGCCGAGCCGGAGCCTCACTCACCTCCTACGCCAACGCCCGCCAGCGCCCCCAGCGCCAGCACAGTCGCCCAGAGCGGCCGGGGCCGCGGCCGCGCTCGCATCTCGTCCGCCTCCCGCGGCGCTCCGCCCGCCCCACAGTGGGCGCCGCCGCCCGCGGCCGCTTTTCCCGCAGCGGGAGGGGAGGGGAGGGGACGCGGTGGGTGGGACGCAACGGGGCGGGCCGCGGACTCGCGCTTCCTCCCCTCCGGCTTCTCTAGATCCCCTCGCGCTTCTCTAGACCCTGCGCCTGAGAGGGAGCGGTGGGAAACTATTGCTCCTCTCTCGCCGCCTCCCTCGCCTCGCCCACGAGGACCCGCCTGCCAGCCGGGTCGTCAGCGCATCCTGGTCCCGGGGGTCCGCGACTGGGCACTTGGTGTGCTTAGAAAGGCCAGGAGCCTGTGGCCCCTCTCCGGACCCTTCCAGTCCCGCCTCCTGGGAGACCCTGTTTCGCTGGATTCTTGGGACACATTCACCCACTACCTCGAGTTTCATTCATTCACACTTTAATTCATTTGACTGGCAAACATCTGCTGAATGCCTTCTCTGAACCGGTTCAGTCCTTTATTATTCACTAATTTTTTTCTTGCCTTAGTTTGGTTTTCCGGTAGACTACCTACCTGTTGAGGGCAAGACCACATCCCAAGCTTGCGTAAGCAGTGATAGGTCCATGAAGAGCCTCGCCCTACAAACACTTGCTTGCACCTAGCCAGTGTCTGAAAACGTTTCAGAACACAGCATATTGCCTCCAAATTCACACTCACAGGCTTTGGGACTTTATCTATTTTCCTCAAAGGCCTCCTGCCTGACTCCCCCAAACTGTGGCCCCTTATCTCCCACCCCAATCTTTCTTTGAGTCCCTGGGTCTTCCCCAGACTTAAAACCTCTGGAAGCTCAGAGAGGCAAAATACTATGGCTATGAGCAAGAGGGCACCAGGAAGTAGCTGGTAGTGCAGCCTGCCTCAATGGGTAGTCCTGATGGTGATAAAAACAAGGCCAGAGGCATCAGTTCCCCTTTAGGGCTTTCAGAGTGGCCCTGGGCTTCCCTACGCAGCGTGCCCACCCTCTTCTGAGACACACAAGATGCCAGACAACTGGCCCTGACCCATCTCTCCAGCCCATCTCCCACCCTAGTCCAAGAAGATACTTGTCATTCCCCAATGCTCCATGCCTTCCTATCTGACTGATTTTCCTTCCTTTTTCCACTTGGAAAATTCCACTTATCTTTCAAAACATCTCAGATGCCATCTTTTTCCATGTAATTTTTTTCTGACAATCCTCCACCTCCTGCCCCACCCTCCCAAACACTAGGACCTTAATAGTAACACACATCAGCTGAAGCGTCACTAGCAATTTGCAAGGGGAAAAGCCAGCTCTGCAAAGGGTACTTGGGCCCTCTGACCTGGGTTTTCAGGCTGAAGCTCCATCTACCTCCCCTGGCTGCAGAGGGCCTCTAGGCCAGAAGCATTTTAACAGCAGTGTCAATGCCCTGGAGCAAAGTTCAGGTCACATGGCCTGGTTACATCTCTGCCTAAGTATTTAGTTATCTGCTCCATTCCCATATATATAAAACCAATCTCCAGCCACTTAGGTGTCTCCTTAGCCTATCCCTGCTGTCAGCAACCACTTGGGGTGGGCACTGGCCTCAGCAAGTATGCTAAGTCCACAACCCTAGCCCAAGCCCTAGCAAACATGACATAATTGTGCAAGTGAGTCCATCCTGCACTCCCAGCCCCAGGGAAGGCAAAGGAGCTAGTCCATTCACATTTAGTATAGTAATTGATGGTTGTGTTTACATTTACTATCTTGTTATTCGTTCTATCTTTTTGGCTGGTTTCTCTGTTTCTCTTTTTCTGCTTTCTTTTGGGATAATTTTTTTTTCTCTACTGGCTTCCTAGCTACACCTCGTTTGCATGTGTGTGTGTGTGTGTGTGTGTGTGTGTGTGTGTTTGCTCTAGGTATTACAATATTCCTCCTTAACTTATCATACAGTAGCCTATGTTGAATTAATATTGAACAATTCTATGTAAATTGTAAGAACCTGTAAACTAAAAATAACATTATAAGCCCCCCCACAACTGTCTGAACTAACCCTTCCTCTCAGCCAAGGGCATTCCAAAGTTAATCTGAAAAACTAGTTCAGACCATGATGTGAAGCAGGTTTGGGGAAGGTGGAGGGGGGGTGGTGGTTGAATATGCCTCACAGCTGACCAGCATTAGCATCAACACAAAGACCTTAAGGCTGATAGAATAGACTCTCTAAGTCTGATAAGAAACATTAACAGTCTATTCTGTCTGAAGCCTCTGGCTTCATCTGCATGATAAAAGTTTGGTCTCCACAACCCTTTATCCTAACTCAGACATTCCTTTCTGTTGGTTCTAGGTCTTTAGATAATAACACTTACAACCAATTGCCAATGAAAAAATCTTTGAATCCGTCTCTAACCTGGAAGTCCCTGTGTCAGATGTCCTGCCTTTCTGGACTGAACCAATGTTCAATGTACATGTATTGATTGATGTCTTTTGTCTCCCTAAAATGTATAAAACTGAGCTGTAGCCTGACCACCTTGGGCACGTGTCTTCAGGACTTCCTGAGGCTATGTCATGGGCATGTGCTTAACCTTGGCCAAATAAACTTCTAAATTGATTGAGACTTGTCTCTTCAAGTACATTAAAGATGGTCTGCTGTTTGCTGTCTCCATCATCTCTGGTGAGAAGTCTGCCATCCTTTATATTCTTGTTTCTCTTTCTTCTCCTCCTGGATTTTTTTCCCTAACTTTTTATTTTGAAATCATTAATACTTACAGAAGAGTTACAAAATACTAAAGAGAGTTTTCTTATGTCCTTCACCCAGCTTCCCCTAACGTTCACATCTTACATTTCTACATCATAATTATCAAACACAGGAAATTAACATCGATATAATACTATCAATTCATCTAGCTACAGAATTTGAATTTTACCATTTTTTTTCCCATTAATGTTCTTTTTCTGGTCCAGGATCTAATCCATTGTATTTAGTCATCATGTCTCCTTAGTTGGCCTCAATCTGTGACATTTTCTCAGTCTTTCTCATTCATCACTTTGACACTTTTGAAAAGTCTAGGCCAGCCGGGTGTGGTAGCTAATGCCTATAATCCCAGCACTTTGGGAGGCCAAGGCAGGTGGATCACTTGAGGTCAGGAGTTCAAGACCAGCCTGGCCAAGATGGCGAAACGCTATCCCTACTAAAAATACAAAAAAGGGCCAGGCGTGGTGGCTCATACCTGTAATCCCAGCACTTTGGGAGGCCAAGATGGGCAGATCACCTGAGGTCAGGAGTTTGAGGTCAGCCTGGCCAACATGGTGAAACCCTATCTCTACCAAAAATACAAAAAATTAGCCAGGCATCATGGCAGGCACTTGTAATCCCAGCTACTTAGGAGGCTGAGACAGGAGAATCGCTTGAACCTGGGAGGCGGAGTTGCAGTGAGCCAAGATCACACCACTGCACATCAGCCTCGGTGACAGAGCAAGACTCCGTCATACACACACATACACACAAATTAGCTGGGCATGGTGGTACGTGCCTGTAGTCCCAGCTACTTGGGAGGCTGAGGCAGGAGAATCACTTGAACCTGGGAGGCAGAGGTTGCTGTGAGCCGAGATTGCACCGCTGCACTCCAGCCTGGGTGACAGAGGAAGACTCCATCTCAAAAAGAAAAAAAAAGAAAAGAAAAGTCTAGGCCAGTTTTTTGTAGTATTTTGTTTATTTGGGGCTTGTCTGTTGTTTTCTCATTTTGGACAATAATACCACAAAAATGATGTTGTGCCTTCTCAGTACATCATATCAAGGAGTATATGATGTTGATATGGCTTATTACTTTGATCACATTGTTAAGGTGGTGTCTGCCAGGTTTATTCACTATAAAGCTACCATTTCTGTGAATGACAGGGCCTTAGCAGATGGATAATAAAAAGTAAAAAAATACAAAAAAAAAGCTACCATTTTTCTCTTTGTAATCAATACATATTTAATGGGAGGATACTTTAATTTTATGCAAATATCATAATGGTTTCATAATTTCACCCACTAATTTTATCATCCATTGATGATTCTTAACTGCAACAATTATTACTGTGGCATTTGATTCACAGTGATTTTCTATTTTCCTTTTTCTTATACAGTTATTAATTAACATTCAACAGTAAAGAAGAGCTGTCCCTTCTCTTCCACTTTAAAATTTGTTTATTTATGTCAGTATAAACTCACAGATATTTATTTTATTGCAGGACTGATAATCCAGTACTATCATTATTATGCTGCTCAAATTGTCCCAGGTTTTTCTCTAGCTACTCTATTCAACATCATCTAGATGTCGTCTATCTATTTGGAGACAGTTTTCAAATCCTTTCTAAGATTTATGTTCTCTAGGTGATATGACCCCAATTTATTTTATTTTATTTTATTTTATTTTATTTCATTTCATTTCATTTTTGACACAGGATCTTGCTCTGTTGCCCAGGCTAGAGTGCAGTGACATGATCATAGCTGATTGTAGCCTTGAACTCCTGGGCTAAAGCAATCCTCCTACTCCAGCCTCCTCAGTATCTAGGACTATAGGCACACACCACCACATCCAGATAATTTTTAAATTCTTTGTAGAGACAGAGTCTTCCTATGTTGCCCAGGCTTGTCTCAAACTCCTGGCCTCAAGTGATCTTCCTGCCTTGGCCTCTTAAAGTCCTGGGATTACAGGCATGAGACACTATGCCTAGCCTTCTCCAGTTACTTTTAAGTTCTTTATCTTTTTTTTTTTTTTGAGATGGAGTCTTGCTCTGTCACCCAGGCTGGAGTACAGTGGTGCAATCTCTGCTCACTGCAACCTCTGCCTCCCAGGTTCAAGCAATTCTCCTGCCTCAGCCTCCCAAGTAGCTGGGATTACAGGCACCCGCTGCCACGCCCAGCTAATTTTTGTATTTTTAGTAGAGACAGGGTTTCGCCGTGTTGGCCAGGCTGGACTCAAACTCCTGACCTCAGGTCACCCACCCGCCTTGGCCTCCCAAAGTGCTGGGATTGCAGGCATGCACCACCATGCCCAGCTCTTTCTTTATCTTTGGTTTCTCAGCAGCTTAACTAAAAGGTGATTAGGTGCTGTTTTATTTTATTTATCTAGCTTACAGTCTGGTGTGATTTATGGATATATAAGTGGTTTACTTTTCCTCACATGTAGGTTATTTTTAGCCATTATTTCTCAAAATACTATTTTCTACACATTTTCTCTCTGCTTACCTGCTGAAACTCCAATTACACATATTTTAGACTATCTGATTTTATTCCACAAACCACTGCAGTTTAGGTCTTTTTTAAATTACTTTTTCTGTCTTTCAGATTAAATAGTCTATTGATATCTCTTAAGTTTCTCAATCCTTTCTTTTGCAGTCTCTAATATTCTGTGATGCCTATCCAGGAGAATTTTCCTTTCAGACATTATACTTGTAAGTTCTAGAATTTCCATTAGTTCTCTTCTATACTGGCAATTTATCTGCTGATATTCCCCCATCTCTTCAACCATTATGCCTATATTTTTCTTTAAGTCCTTAAACATGTTTACAGCAGTTGTTTTAAAATTCTAGTTTGCTAATTCTAGTTCATCTCAAGGTTTGTTTCTATTGATTTCCTTTTTCAGGAAAAATTATGGGTCCCTATGTACCTATAATCCCAGTTACTCAGGAGGCTGAAGTGGGAGGATCACTTGAGGCCAGGAGTTTGAGACCAGCCTGAACAACATAGCAACACCCCATCTCTTAAACAGCCTGAACAACATAGCAAGATGCCATCTCTTTAAAAAAAAGTAACAAAAAAAATTATGCATCCCATTTTCCTTCTTCTTGACATGTCTAGTAATATTAGGTTTTATAGTGAAACATTGTGGACTACTGATTTTGAGTTTACGTTGTCTTTTCTTGAAGAGTATTGAGTTTTGTCCTATTAAGCAGTTAGGCCAAGTATGGTGGCTTATGCCTGCAATCCTAGCAGTTTGGGAGGCCGAGGAAGAAGAATCATTTAAGCCCAGGAGGTTGAGGTTGCAGTGAGCTATATCATGCCACTGCACTCTGGCCTGGGTGACAGAGTGGGACCCTGTCTCTAAAAATAAATGAATAAATAAATAATCTGTTAAATTAGTACCAGATTGTCTTGATCTAGTCAGGCTTAGTTTTATTCTTCATCAGAAATGGCCTTTTTAAATTTTATCCTTGGTCTTAAAGTGTGGTTTCTTGTTCTTCTTGTTGTTGTTGTTGTTCATTGTTTCTAAATTATAATTTTAGCCAAAAGAATATTCTTACATAGAAAACGTGTGGATCCAGAATCTATTTCTTTCATCAAATGTCATTTCAAGTTAACTCTAACTTTTAATATACTTTATTTTTTTTAGAGCAGCTTTACATTCACAGCAAAATGTAGTGGAAAGCACAGAGTTCCCACACACGCCCCTGCGCCACACATGGAGAGCAACCCCCATTATCCATCCCCCACCAGAGTGGTACATTTGCTACAACTGAGGAACCTACATTGACACATCATTATCACCCAACATTCACAGTTTACATGAAGTTCACCCTTGATGTTATACATTTTATGGGTTTGGACAATTTTTTTTTTTTTTTTTTTGAGACAGAATCTCGCTGTGTCGCCCAGGCTGGAGTGCAGTGGCACCATCTTGGCTCACTGCAACCTCTGCTTCCTGGGTTCAAGCAATTCTCCTGCCTCAGCCTCCCAAGTGGCTGGGATTACAGGCACCCACTGCCATGCCCAGCTAATTTTTGTATTATTAGTGGAGACGGGGTTGCACCACGTTGGCCAGGATGGTTTCGAACTCCTGACCTCAGGTGATCTGCCCGCCTTGGCCTCCCAAAATGCTGAGATTACAGACGTGAGCCACCGCACCCGGCTGGACAAATTTATAAATATGTGTATCTACCATTATAGTATTATAGTCCCCTAGAATCGTTTCACTGCCCTAAAACTTCTCTGTGCTCTAAATATTTATCCCTCCTTCCCTCCAATCCCTGGAAACGACTGACCTTTCTACTGTCTCCAGGGTTTTTCTTTCTCCAGATTGTCATATAGTTGGAATCATATAGTGTATAGTCCTTTCAGGCTGGCTTCTTTCACTTAGTAATATGTAGTTAAGGTTCCTCCCTGTCTTTTCATGGCTCAATAGCTCATTTCTTTTTAGCACTGAATAATATCCCATTGTCTGGAGGTACTACAGTTTATTTACCCATTCACCTACTAAAGGATATCTTGCTTCCAAGTTTTGGCAATTTTGAATAAAGCTGCTTATAAACACTATGTGCAGATTTTTGTGTGGACATCAGTGTTCCGGATTTTGGCCATTCTAACAGGCGTGTAGTAGCATTTTATTATTGTTTTACTTCATATTTCTCTGATGATATATGATGTAGAGCATCTTTCATATGTTTATTTGCTTCTTGTATACCTTCAAGGAGTGTTTTTTTACTATTGAACGTGGTCCTTCCTCCTAAGGCATGGATTTTCTGGAGTGTAATCTGAGGACCCAAGTTGCTCAATGAGATTTATTCATTCTGGCTAAGCCGAAACTCCAACATCTGCAAGCCATGTACAGCCTCTAGTGACCTGTTCAGCTCTCAGCTGCTCTCTGAAAAACCTTAGGGAGTCTCACCCTGTGTATATCAGCCCATCCCTCATCCAAAGACCATGCAGAACACCCATGCAAACTTCTGGGAGCACCTCTGTGTTCAGTTCCTTCCTCTCTAAAAGCCTTCCTTGCAAATTACATCTTCCTCAGCAGCCCTGAATTCTAATCTATGCCTCTTCTGCCCAATGAGACCAACATGTACTTCTTGAGCTTCTGGATTGCAGTGCAACCCAGAAAATGTCCCAATGCAGAAAGCTGGGCAGATATAGGGTTGAGCTCATGTGTTCTCTCTTCCTTCAAGGATTATAATTCTGCTCTGCCTATTGCTCCATTTCTAAAAGGAGTTCTTTAAATATTTTTTCAAAATGTTTTGTTGTTTCCTGTGGGAGAGCAAGTCCCATACTAGTCACTTTGCCATAGCCAAAAGCAAAGGTTCTGTGATTACTTATTTACTTACCTCCACCTCTTCTACCAATACTGGACAGCAAGATGTTTTGAGTGCCAGGACTTATTTATATTTCCTAGCAAGCTCTCAACAAATAAAAGAGTATCTTCCTATTTGTTTACCGTTTTCATTTTAACAGACTACCTATCCAGCACATATGTTGGGAGACCTGAGTGTCCACTCTTTGATTTGCCCAAGTGCCATGCTCCCTAGCAGATAGGACCAGGGAGGGGTATCCAATGCATGGCAGGTGGAAGATCTTTCCCAAGATCCGTTTACAAGGCAAGAGTCACATTATCTGGTCCCTTGCCCCACTGTGCCAGGCTGATACCAAAATAGGTATGCTTTTCCTGTGTTCTCATTAATAGTCTGCCCCAACCCGGGGCAGCTCCTGCTCCTATTCAGTTCCTTATTGTCACCACTATAAGTTTTGTGGCCAGGTTTGTGGCCGTTTCTCGAACCTCTTACCTTCATGGTCATGTTTAATTCCCCTTTGTACAAAGAGCCAAAAGGTCTAGATTCACATCCTTGCCTCATCTTTTACTAGTTAGATGACCTTGAAAAAGTCTCCAAATCCTCTCTACATTCATCTTCTTTATCTGTAAAAAATACACTGCCTGTTTCCTGCCTTTTTCCCACCCCCAATTTTAGCCTTCCCCCTCCCAACACACACACATGGATATGAGGTTCCATTAGACCATGGATATACGAAAGCCCTTTGGAATCTGGAAAGCACAGAGGCATGTGTTATTATTATTGTTATTTGTAGAGAGACTGCAGAGAAGACCAAGTGTGGCTCAGAATCTTCTCCTCCTACACATTTGGCAGAGACTCTTCTGTCCATTGAGAAAGGGATGACCCAGCTGTTCTTTTGGCTTACAGGAGAATGGGCTTTTCAGAGTCCACACTGACTAAAAATGGCGTACCTGGACTTTATGGGCTCTGGGGAGCTACTTGAAAACTATCCCTAGTTTTTTATCAAGGAAGTTGTGGAGGGATGAGCTCAGCCTTGGCATTCAACATTCATTCATAAGCATGTACTAAGCATATGCAGCATGCCAGGTGCTTCTCTGGATGCTGAGGCCTTAATAGTAAAGAACAACAGGCCCGGCCCTCCTAGCACTTGAGCCTGGTTGGGCCTGGTGCTCTGTCTTGGAGTGCAACTCCTTCCTCATCCTCATGTGAGGCAGCCCTTCCTCTGCTGAGAAGAAAACGTGTGAAGCTCAGGGCCATACCAAACGCATCCTGTGCCCACTGATGGCAGCCGTGACCTACATGGAGAAACAGGACTTCCGCATGTACCTCCTGAGCCACAAGGAGCTGGGAAGCCAGCGTGGCTATGCCCACACTGTGATGGATGAGTTGCTGATCTCGTGCTGGGCGGTCAACTGCCTCCTCATCCTCCCTCTCCTCTGGCCTGGTGCCCTCCTCACTCTCACCTACACCTGGGGCCTACACTGGCTGGCTCCCACGGTACTGTGGCTGTAATGTGCCCAGCCCTGGGGGGCTGTGCAGAGCTACATCCTCCCTGCAGGCGGCAGTTGCTATGTAAATTAATCTTGTACATGTTGGGTGTGCGTTCTGTAACCTCTTCCCCTTCCCTCTCAACCACACCATATGAATTATACAAAATATTTCTGTTGAACTAGGACTGTCCTTTCCTTGGCTTTTATACATATTAAACAGTTGTGAATCTAGAAAGAAGAAAGGAAGGAAGGAAGGAAAGAAGGAAAGAAGGAAGGAAGGGGAGAGAGAGAGAGAAAGAAAGAAGGAAAGAAAGAAAGGAAGGAAGAAAGAAAGAAAAAAAAGAAAGGAGGGAGGGAGAGAAGGAAGGAAGGAAGGGAAAGAGAGAGAAAAGAAGAGAGAGAGAGAAAGAAGGAAAGAAAGAGAAAAAAGAGAGAAAGAAAGAGAGAGAGAAAAAGAGAGAAAAGAGAGAGAAGAAAGAGAAAGGAAGGAAGGAAGAAAGAAAGAAAAAAAAAGAAAAGAAAAGGAAAAGAAAAGAAAAGAAGTGAAGTGAAGCCAAGGACTTTCCATCCCAGCTCAGCAAACAAGGTACTGCCTGGCCAAGCCTAGATTCAAGCTCTGTGCCCACAAAGGGCATCACTGCCCATGCTCCATCTCAGACCAATCCATGCCTCTTCCCCATCCAACCCCGGAATAATGGAGCTACTGCTTGGCTTCTGGCCCCAAGCTCCTGTTCTAGTATCCCTCTAAATCCCCCGTCGCCCTCCTTGGGACCCTGCTCCAGTGAATTCAAACTTGCAGCTGGCTCCAGACATTTCTCTCAGCCCTCTCTGACATTCCCTATTTGGTTTTTTTTTTTTTTTTGAGTTGGAGTTTTGCTCTTGTCACCCAGGCTGGAGTGCAATGGTGCGATCTTGGCTCACTGCAACCTCTGCCTCCTGGGTTCAAGCGATTCTCCTGCCTCAGCCTCCTGAGTAGCTGGGATTACAGGCACCCACCACCACACCCGGCTAATTTGTTTGTATTTTTAGTAGAGACAGGGTTTCACCATGTTGGCCAGGCTGGTCTCGAACTCCTGACCTCAAGTGATCCACCCGCCTTTGCCTCCCAAAGTGCTGGGATTACAGTTGTGAGCCCAGCCTTCTTATTTGTATTCTTAAAAGACAGGTTTGAATCCTAGAGCCTCCATTTCCTAGCTGAGGGACCCTGGCAAGTTACTAGACTGCCCTAAGCCTCCATTTCCTCATCTATGAAATAGAGTTAGAAGGGACATGATGGCTCATACCTGTAATCCCAGTGCTTGGGGAGGCTGAGGCAGGAGGATCACTTGAGCCCAGGAGTTCAAGACCAGCCTGAGAATCGAAGCAAGACTTCATCTCTACGGAAATGTTTAAAAATTAGCTGGGTGCACTGGCACACACCTGTAGTCCTAGCTACTTGGGAGGCTGAGGTGGGAGGACTGCTTCAGCCACTTAGCACAGTAATTAGCATGTAATAAGTATTCAATAAATGGTGGGCATGGTGACTCACACCTATAATCCCTGTGTGGGAGATTTTAGGTGTGAGCATTGTGGGAGGCCAAGGAGAGGATCCCTTGAGCCCAAGAGTTTAAAACCAGCCTGGACAACATGGTGAAACCCCATCTCTAAAAGTAAGTAAGTAAGTAAATAAATAAACAAATAAATAAGAGCTATTTTTTCCTCTTAGGATCAACTCATCTATGCTGGTTTAATCTACCCCCACATTCTGCCTACGAGTCAGGATACCTACTGATTTTCATTGTTGCTGCCCATCTCTAGCTCCCTGGACAATGTTGGCTGAATGGAGGCAGGAGGAGGTTGCATACTGTCTGGGTACTGTCTTTACCAGTCAAACTGAGCATCCTCTGACAGCTCCTGGATCAGGTCCTGTGCCCTGTGCCAACCCACGGGTGGATCTAGTGTCTAGTCCTTGGGCTTAATTAGTGCTGCTGGGACAAGTCCACCAGGTTTCTTCACCTGAAGTCCCTTGATGAGTTCCTGGGGATCTGTGAGGCCCCTCTAATATGCAAACATTTGTGTGATATGCATTTTTCTATAGAAATGCTCCTTAGTTTTCACTAGCTTCTCAAACGGGTCTGTGACCTCTAGGGTTAACAACAATTGTTCCACCTTCTTAAAGAACTAAAAGTAGATCTACCACTCCATCCAGCAATCTCACTACTGGGTATCTACCCAAAGGAAAAGAAGTCATTGCATCAAAAAGACACCTGCATGCGTAGGTTTATCACAGCACAATTCACAACTGCAAAGATACGGAATCAACCTAAGTACCTATCAACTGATGAGTGGATAAAGAAAATGTAGTAGTTGGGCATGGTGGCTCATGCCTGTAATCCCAGCACTTTGGGAGGCCGAGGCGGGTGGATCACCTGAGATCAGGGGTTCGAGACCAGCCCGGCCAACATGGTGAAACCCCGTGTCTACTAAAAATACAAAAGTTAGCTGGGGATGGAGGTGCACACCTGTAACCACAACTACTCGGGAGGCTGAGGGAGGAGAACCACTTGAACCTGGGAGGCAGAGGTTGCAGTGAGCCAAGATTGCACCATTGCACTCCAGCCTGGACGACAGAGCGAGTGTCGGTCTCAAAAATAAAAAAGAAAATGTGGTATATAGACATCATGGAATACTACTCAGCCATAAAAAGGAAGGACATAATGTATTTTGCAGTAACTTGGATGGAGCTGGAGGCCATCATTCTAAGTGAAGTAATTCAGGAGTGGAAAACCAAATACTGTATGTTCTCACTTATAAGTGGGAGCTAAGCTATGGGTATGCAAAGGCAAACAGAGTGGTATAATGGACTTTGGAGACTCAGAAGGGGGAAGGTTGAGGGGGTTGAGGGATAAAAAAAACACATATTGGGTACAATATATACTACCCAGGTGATGGGTGCAGTAAAATATCAGACTTCACCATTATACAATTCATCCATATAATCAAAAACCACTTGTACTCCAAAAGCTATTGAAATTTTTAAAAACATATCTATAATAAGAAAAAAAAAGAACAATTGCTCCAGAGGAATCCTAGGATCTAGAACACCATGAGGCTAGTTTGGGCCACTGAGGACTCAGGAAGGCCCTTGCTATAGCCAATACCCACACTGTCAGCTATCTGCTTTCACTACTCCAGCCTGCCACTCACCAGCTTCTCTGGAGTAGCAGGACCTAGTCAGTTCTCCCAAATCTGCCTGAATTCAGTGCCAGTCCATTGTCCAGTCCCCGACATTTCTACTCAGCAGAGGGGGTTAACTCCACAGGTCTACTCCAGCCAGGGACTGACCTCCCTTCCCCCAACCCCACTTCCCCTCAGCACATGAGCTGCTGACCCAGGTCCTCTTCCCCAGCGTCTGGCTTTCCTCCATGGGAAGGAACTAGAATTTGAGAACACCTACCATATACCACCTTCTATACAAATATTGCAAATATTGATTATTTCCCTCAATCCTCATTTTATAGAGGTGCAAACTGAAGCTTGGTGGGCGAAGAGACAGTGATGATGATGATGATGATGATTTTACTAGATGCCATTTATTTTGAGGTTAGTGTGTTCAAGATACTATGCTAAGCATTCTTTCATACTTTTCTTTTTTTTAGTCTGCGGTAAGATACGTGGGGAAATCCTGATTTTACAAGTGAAAAAATGGAGGCACAGAGAGATGAGGTAATTAGCTCAAGAGCACCAGGGAGTTAGTGGCAAAGATGGGGTTCAGAAAAGTTCAGCCTGACTTCAGTGCTTACCCTACAACCTACTGTCTCCCTTACTGTAAGTGTGGGTATAGAATGTCAGGCACTCCCAAATGTTTCAAGTCAGCATTGCTATGATAATGGGAGAAATTCCTGTTTGTCATAAAACACTACTAGATTTCCCATTGTCTGAGATAAAATTGGGAAATCCATAAAGACATTATCTCTAGCGTCGCTGCAGCCCAGGCCAAGTCCAGGAATTCTGTGCCACTAGCCTGAGGAGGCACCCAGAGCTGGGTCAGTCCTACCCACCCCCAAGGGCTGCTCTATTTCCAGGTCCTGACCACTTCCTGTCTTGACTATTACAAGAAGTTACCAACCATGTCTGGCTGAATCCTGAGATATGATAGTGGCACCAGAAAAACCTGGGCATTGGGCCAAGGTCTGAGCTAAACAGAGGGCCCTTGGGATACAGCTTTTCCTTGAAAGGATGACAAACAGAGAGATGACTGTGAGCTGGAAGTATGATTAGCAAGCATGTCTCACTTCCCCCATGGCCCTATGTGTTTCCAACCCAGTAAGACCTGCCTGGAAGCCATGAGGCCTGAGGAAGCAGCCGTGAGGCCTCACCTCCTTCACTGCACAGGACCCCTGGCAGGAGCGCTCCTCTGCCTCTCTGGTCCTGCCTCCTCCCTCTCCTCTCCACCCCTCTGGCTCCATTCTCCTCGCTTCAGGGACTCAGATACCTGTGCCTACCCCAAGGGCTGTGTTCCCCGTCCCTGGGCAGTTACTCTCAACCGCCATCCTCTGTCTGCCTCACCCTGATTCTTTGGTCCTTCCCTAGGAACTCTTTGCCTGCACACCGATCCCTTAAATGCTCAGAGGATTCTGTACATGGTAAAACTTTCAGCCTAAGACCATTCTAGTTAATGAATGCCCTGTTTCCTAACGCTTTCCTTTGCTCAGGTCATAAAATGGACTCGTTGTGCCTCAGAATTCTACTAGGCAATGCACTGAATAAGATTTAAGCTAAGAGGACAAGAATGTTGATAACTTTACATCTGACATTTATTGAGGGCTCATTTTGGGCCAGGTGTTATTCTAATAAATGCCTCATACATATTACCTTGTAACATCCTCACAACATCCCTTAATGAGGTGGGTGTTGTTTTCATCCCCATTTTAGAGAGAAGGATGCCAAGGTGCAGAAAGGAAGAGGAGTCTCCAGTTCTAAACTCTGGCATTCTGGCTTCAGAGGCCAAACACTCAATAGTCAAGCCATACCCAGAAGCCTTCAATGCCTACACCCCCAAAAAGTAATTAATAATGGATATTTGGGGCACTGTGGCAGGTGACCATGGATACCCTTCAAGGTAGGGGGATAGAACTCCCAAAGTCCCTCAAAATCTAATTGTAATATGGCAGAGGATGGGAAGGAAGCATGTGAAGGTTTGGCTATGATATTAATTACATAGGTTATAAGATATAAGCCCCAGCTCTGTTTATCTGTGCCAACTTTTTAAGTTGTATTTTTTCATCAAGACAGACGGGGAAAAAAGTACCTTAAAAATATGAGCTAGCCAGGCACAGTGGCATGTGCTACTCAGGAGGCTAAGATGGGAGGATGGCATGAACTCAGAGGTTCGAATCCTCGCCTCTAAAATTAAAAATTAAAAAAAAAACCATAAAAATATGAGTGATTTTGTAGCAAGACTATCCTTACTGATGGCAGCAGCGGGCCATCCGAAGCAGGGGCTTACCATCACACCAGCTGCAGCAGGGAGGAGCCAGCAGTGGCGACAGGAGCAGCTGTGGGAGTGGCAGTGGCGGCGGTGGGACCCCTGCGCCCCACGTCCCATGTGCCCTGCATCCCGAGGCAGCCGACTGCACCGCCCTCACCATCACACGGCGTGGGTGGGACCCACCCCCAGGCCTGGAGCCTCCATCACTTTTGACCCTGCCCCCATGTCGCCACTCTTGCCCACCGCGGCTGCGGGGAGGGTGTGGGGAGGAGGATGACAGTCCCCAGAGCCCAGCCCAGGGAGCTGCCCCAGAGCCCGCCGCCCTGGGGGCCACCGCAATGGGGCCAGGCCCAGTCACCAGCCTGCAGGGGAACAATGCAGTTGGGCACAGAGAGGTGTGCAGAGAGGGGCCTGGGGCGCAGAGCTGGGGCCGTGCTTAGGGGACCGGGGGTGGAAAGCGGGAGCGGCCCCTGCTTAGAGACCCAGCCAGCAGTACGGCCACGTGCCCAACCCACTGAGAGCAGGGGTTCCTGTGCCTCAAGAGGAGGCTCTGCGCAGGGTTGCCGGGGCTGCATCCCCAGGATCTGCCCTACATCAGGGTGACCACCGAGCCTGACACTCCTGATGGCCGGGCTCAGGACCTACAATCCACTCTCGAAGTCACTCCTGGAGGCACCCCTGGGCAGGGTCTGACAGGGCGGGGGAGAGCCCTGGGCCATCCCTGAGCATTGGGGCCATGGTAACTCATGACAATGACACCCTTACACCAGATGCCTGGCCCAGGCCCAGGCCCAGTGAAAACTTGAAGACCTCACTCCAGACTGTGAGGAGGCACCGCCAGGGCCGCTCGCTCCACAGAGCCAGCAGGAGCCAGGGACTAGCAGAAGCCCCACCCCTTCCAAGTTGGTGGGTGGGAACTCCCCAGGTGCTGCTGCAGCCACCCTGCCCTGTGGAATCAGGCATTTCTGCACTCTTGGGAGCCCAGGAAGGTCCCTCTACCCCCTGCAAGCTCGGGGGTGCCTACTCCCGCTGCCTGGCTTCTCCCCACTGTTGGCACCCACTCTGATCTCAGAGCAAGGCCAGGGCCTAGCCTGGGCACTGTCACAGCCCTGCCTGGGATGCACACACTTGAGGCAGTGCTGACACACCAGGCCCCTGCTGCCTTGGTCCCCTCTGGACTGTGGGTGCCAACAAGCACAGGAAGGAGGCTGAGGGGAGTGCTGAGGACAGCCCGGAGCTGGCCTGCTGACTGAACAGCCTGGGCACCATGAAGTGGACAGGAGGCAGACAGGCTCCTGGGTGGAAGAGGGAGGGTCCCCAGTGAAGCTCCACTTTCAAGGGAGTGGCAGGGTGGGGGGCAGC
Organism: Homo sapiens; assembly: GCF_000001405.40. Classification (NCBI taxonomy): domain Eukaryota; kingdom Metazoa; phylum Chordata; class Mammalia; order Primates; family Hominidae; genus Homo; species Homo sapiens. The sequence goes on along the minus strand of NC_000017.11, from coordinate 47,237,519 downwards.
TGCCAGTCCAAGACCAGAGAGGGAACCTGAAGTGCTTTTCTCTGAACCCTGCCCATAGCCACCTATGGACAAATCAGCATGCACTTCCTCCCTTATGAAGCCCATAAAAACCCTGGACTCAGCCAGACTGAGCAGAGGAGGGAAAGCATGACAGCCAGGGAGGTGATGACCAGCTGCAGAGAGGAGCTGCCCTCCCCAGAGGAGCTGCCCACCCCAGGGTCTCCTGTCTGCTGAGAGCTGAGGAGATGACCAGCTGCAGAGAGGAGCTACCCTCTCTGCTGAGAGCTGAACACTTATTGGGACACCCTGGCTATGGAGAGGAGCCGCTCACTACAGGTCTCCTCTGAGCTGTTCTGTTGCTCCATAAAGCTCCTCTTCATCTTGCTCACCCTCCACTTGTCTATGTACTCATTCTTCCTGGTTGCAGGGCAATAACTTAGGACCTGCCAAATGGCAAGGCTAAAAGAGCTGTAACACAAACAGTGCTGAAACATGCCGCTTGCTTGCCCCATTGGGGGCAAAGAGGAGAGAAAATCTGTGGCCCTTTAGGAATCTCAGACCTGGGAGCTCCCCAAGCCAGGGCTGTGACTCCCTCTTTGGGGCCCTGCAGTTCCTGGCATCTCCAAGCTTCTGGGTGCCACTGCATTCCCCACTGCCAGCCAGGGAAGCTATTTGTGCACCCAGTCCAGCAGCAGCCTCACAGAGAGCTGGCACCCATGTTACCACCTGGAGCTGCCCACCCTGTGGCAGCAGCCGGCATGTCCAACTGCGCACAGTGGCTAGACCCCATGCTCACTCATGCACCCCTTACCACTCCATGTCTGACTTGCAGTCTCCCTTGAAGGCATGGGATTCAGGCCGATAATGTGAGCGGAGCATGGCCTGCCAGGCCGAGTGGGTGGAACAAGCCCAGTAGGCCTGAGCAAAACTTGGGCAAAGGCGCTGTTGGCCACAGACGTTTCCCACCAGAAAAGCAACACTCCAAAGATCCAATAACACTACCAAGTCCAAATAATCTGAGTCCCATTCACGGAAAAAAGAAATTTAGTAATAGGTATACCTGAGTTACAAATCACATGACACAAGTGACTTACTGTCTCTCCTGCTACTCCCTACCCACTCCATCTCTTCTCCCACAACCCACAAGACTCATTGCAACCAGATGCCACAAAGAAAGGACCAGGGGACAGGGTCACCAGGACACATCCCCTCATTCCACCTTCCCAACTGGAGCCGCAAGCAGCATTCCTCATTTCCTTTAATTTAAGGTCTCTTTGGCTCTTAATCCCTGGGAAGTGTCCCTAACTCACCTCTAGTCTCTGATCATTTCTGTACTCTAAATCATTTCAGTATTTCTGCCCTAATTTTGTTAAGTGTTGGTCGGATTTATTTATTTATTTATTTATTTATTTACCTGCTAGCAGGTTTGTACCAAGGCCTGAATGCTTTGCTCTACACTTCTTTGAGTATTCCTAGTGTCATGTTATTTGGTGGCCAAAATGGTACATGATGGCTGAGTAACCAAAGCTGGAGAAGAGGGGAGAAAAAGAGCTGGAAGGGATCCCAGAGCACCTTTGTCTCCTATACTGCAAAAGGAAACTGAAGCCCAGGAGGAGAAAGTGACTTGACAAGGTGAAAAGTTTGACTGGTGGTGAGGGACAACCAGGTAGTTTTTGTTTCCTACTTCACGGCATTGGGTAGAGAAAATTGGGGTGGGGCCAAGGAAAGCAAAGGGCAATAAGGCATGGCGCTAAGAACACAGGCAGCGAGCTGATGTGGGCCTGATTCCTGAAGCTTCCACCCACTCACTGAGTGCCCTGGTGAGAGTTACTTAACCTCCAGAAGCCTCAGTTTTCTCATCTGTAGAATGGGGATAACCACACCTACCTCATGAGGAATCTCTGGGAAGGGTAAATGAATAATGTACACAAAGCACTTGAAACAGCATAAGCACAGGGGAAGTATGCAGAAGAGGGAGGTGCTCTTACTATTATGAGCAGTATTTCTCTCTCCATTTGTCTTCTAGGCATTTTTTATTCTTCTTTCTTTCTTTCTTTTTTTTTTTTGGTCGGGTGCAGGATCTCACTCTGTTGCCCAGGCTGGAGTGCAGAGGCACAATCAAGTCTCACTGCACCACTGACCTTCCAGGCTCAAGTGATCCCCCCACCTCAGCCATTGGAGTAGCAGGGACCAGAGACACACACCACCACATTGGCTTTTTTTTTTTCTTCACTTTTTGTAGAGATAGGGTCTCACTGTGTTGCCCAGGCTGGTCTTGAAGTCCTGGGCTCATGTGATCCTCCCACCCTGATCTCCCAAAGTGCTGGGATATCAGATGTGAGCCACCACACCCAGCCATTTCTATTATTTTTGAGTTTTCTAAAAGAATAATGGTTCTTTCATTTTCCTTCTTTTGCTAAGGTTATTCCCATTGCTTAAGATACCCTCCTCCCCTACAGAGCTAATGTGTATTGAGTCCTTACTATATTGCAGACACTGTTTTAAGTGCTTTACACATTTTAAATTATTTGATCTTCTTAATAACCAAATTGGGTCAGTATGACTATTATCCCCAGTTTATAGATTAGGAAATTAGCCAGGCATGGTGGCTCACTCCTGTAATCCAAGCACCTTGGGAGGCTGAGGAAAGAGGATTGCTTGAGGCCAGGAGTTTGAGACCAGCCTGGGCAACATAGTAAGACCCCATCTCTACAAAAAGTAAAACAATAAAATAAAATAGCCAGGCATGGTGGCACCCACCTGTAGTCCCAGCTCCTTGGGAAGCTGAAGCAGAAGGATGACTTGAGCCCAGGAGTTTGAGGTTGAAATGAACTATGCACAGCAAGACTCTGTCTCAAAAAAAAAAAAAGTAAGTTCCAATTCAAAACAAAACCAGCAATACAATGCATTAAGGACATGATTATGAAACTAACTATACAGAGTTCTCTCCACGTTCCAACTGGTAACCAAGCTTTTAATGCTGGATCTTTGACTTCTAGCTTTTGTTTGTTTGTTTGTTTGTTTGTTTGTTTTGAGACACAGTCTCACTCTATTGCCCAGGCTGTAGTGCAGTGGCATGATCTCGGCTTACTGCAACCTCCACCTCCCAGGTCTAAGCGATTCTCCTGCCTCAGCCTCCCAGGTAGCTGGGATTACAGACATGCGCCACCATGCCCAGTTAATTTTTGTGTTTTTAGTAGAGATGGGGTTTCACCATGTTAGCCAGGCTGGTCTCGAACTCCTGACCTCAAGTGATCCACCACCTGGGCTTCCAAAAGTGCTAGGATTACAGGCGTGAGCCACTACACCCAGCCAACTTCTAGCTTTTTTCATTAGACTACAGAGCACAGATAGACTGAGCTGATTACTGAAGAGTGTAGGTGGAAATGGAAAGGGAGAAGGTAGGGCCAAGGGGGCCATTATTGAATCTCCTTTGAAGCTCCAGGGCCAGGAAGTTGAGACCAGCTCAGGCAGATGTGCAGTTTCAAATTCTTGGCCACCAAGACCAAAGTCTCACACATCACAAAGAAAACTGAGACATGGATGCCCCCAATTCCCTGTGCCTACATCGATCACATCTGTCAGTTACAAAGTGACACTTCTGTCCCTAATAACTAATATCATATAAGATTTATGTAAATGCAAAATGATTGAGATTTTTAGGAACTGCTCATACTCTCTTGAGTATGACCAAAAATTTGTGAGAGGAGAATCACTTCCATTGACAATGAACTTAATTCTACAGAAAAATTAGGCCGAGTGCAGTGGCTCACACCTGTAATCCCAGCACTTTGGGAGGCCGAGGCGGGTGGATTATCTGAGGTCAAGAGTTTGAGAGCAGCCTGGCCAATATGGTGAAACCCCATCTCTACTAAAAACACAAAAATTAGCTGGGTGTGGTGGCAGGCACCTGTAATCCCAGCTACTCAGGAGGCTGAGGCACTAGAATCACTTGAACCCGAGAGGCAGAGTTTGCAGTGAGCTGAGATCACACCACTGCACTCCAGCCTGGGCAGCAGAGCAAGACTCTATCTCAAAAATAAAATAAAATAAAGAAAGGAAGAAAGGAAGGAATTAAACTGATAGGAATGGAGGCATGTGAGTAAGTGCTGATCATCAGGAAGATTCAGATCTACTGGGAACCTGACCATCTGAGGGAGGACACCCAGTGGAGGCCATCAGAACCTGACAAAGGAAGAGAGGAAAAGAGGTGGCCTCAGTGGTGTGCAAGCCTGTGCGCCCTCAGTTCCTACTAGGGGATATGTGCCCCTTGCAGATCCAGCAGGGTTTGGAACAAGATTGAGAGGAGCTTGGTGTTTATGCAGATCTAAGTGGCCCCACAAAGGAGTAAAAGTTATAAGTGGAACTGTCTCTTTAAACCCAAGAGTGACCCAAAGAATGGCGGGGGGCAGAGCTGGAAGTGAAGAGAGTCCTGGGAGAAAGAGATGAGCTATCTTGGAGTTCATGGTAGCCTGAGAGGAAGACTGGCTACACCAGATGCAATGTCAAAACATTCAGGAAAAAGATAAACAGTATCCCACAAAGGCCCTGAAACAGCAGTTCTTAACCTTTTTTTTTTTTTTTTTTTAGGCCTCTGACCCCTTTGAAAATATAACAAAAAGGACAAATCCTCCCCTTGGAAAAACAGCAGAAATATGCCTACAATGGTTTTCTATGGTTAAGAACCTCAGTTTCTATTGTAAAAAGAATGAATGGTACTCAAAATTGAAATTCTAGGCCGGGCATGGTGGCTCATGCCTATAATCCCAGCACTTTAGGAGGCTGAGGCAGGAGAATCACCTGGGGCCAGGAGTTCAAGCCCAGCCTGGGCAACATAGCAAGACCCTATCTCTAAAAAAAAAATGTTTAACTAGCAAAGCATGGTGGCATATGCCTATAGTCCTTGCTACTCAGGAGGCTGAGGCAGGAAGATGGCTTGAGCCCAGGAGTTCGAGGGTGCAGTGAACTATGGTCATGCCACTGTACTCCAGCCTGGGAGCAGGGTTCCAGTCAGGAGGCACAGGGGCCTCCCTCTTTGCCAACATAACCACAGATTCTACCTTTTAGGATTTGGGTAAAAAGTAAAGAAGAATAAAAGAAGAGTGAGAAAGAGAACTGGAGAATGGGATAGAGGCAAGGAAAAGGGAAGAAAGACACGATGGAGCGGGGAGCACCCATTCACTCTGGAGTGATGTGTACCCATTCAGAGGTAGAGAAGCAAAGTGAAACAATCTGAATATAGGTCAGGTGTGGTGGCTCATGCCTGTAATCTCAGCACTTTTGGAGGCTGAGCAGGGCCAATCCCTTGAGCCGAGGAGGTCGAGACCAGCCTAGGCAATGTGGCAAAACCCCATCTCTACAAAAAATAGAAAAATTAGCCAGGTATGCCTGTAGTCCCAGCTACGTGGGAGACTGAGGTGGGAAGATCACCTGTTCCCCCCCAGCAAGGCTGAGGCTACAGTGAGCCTTGATTGTGCCACACTCTGCTCCAGCCTGGGCAATGAAGTGAAACCCTGTCTCAAAAAAAAAAAAAAAATCTGAAGGTGAGCTGGGAAAGCACTCATTCTTTTCTCCCCTAATCTTGTACAACCACAGAATCATAGGTTTCAGGGTTGGAAGAGATCTTTAGTTCAAACTCTTCCATAAAAGCCCCATGAAATATTTGCTAGTGTTCACTTGAATACCTACCACGACATGGGACTCAATACTTCGCAAGGTAGACCATTCCATTTGAGAAAACCTCTAATCGACATTAAATTTTTCCTAGCAGGGATCTGACATATACATCTCTGAGGTTTTCATCCACTGATCCTGGATTTGCCCCCAAAGTGACCCAGAAAAAATGTAGGACAATTCCCCATTATAGAAGTTGCTGTTTCCCCATTTCTCAGCCAAGTACTTTCCAGCAGGTGATTGTTCTAGGCAAATACTCTTGAATCCGTATTATGTGGCCATTTGCTCTGAAACCTGTTTTATCTTGGGTCTCAGTTCCCTCTAAGCTACGTATTTTCATGTTTTAGAGTCAGAAGATTAATCTCCTTGACAGAAAAGATGGAACTGAGGTCAAAATAGAAGTTGAGTTCTACTAATGTCACACTGCTGGCACAAAGGGCAGTGCCCTTCCTGCTCTTCTTGCTCTGAACGTAAGTAAAAGCATATATTTGTTGGTTTTAACATATAAACATTTTCATTTCATTTTAGACTTATGCCTTCTTGGCTTTGTTCTCACAGCTCTATGCCACTACTTTATGTCCATCAGCGGCTCTCAGCTCACCTTCAGAATTTTTTTTTTTTTTTTGTAGACAGGGTTTCACTTCATTGCCCAGGCTGGAGCACAGTGTGGCGCAATCACGGCTCACTGCAGCCTCAACCTTCCCAGGGGGGAACAGGTGATCTTCCCGCCTCAGTCTCCCGTGTAGTTGGGACTACAGACATGCCTGACTAATTTTTCTATTTTTTGTAGAGACGGGGTTTCGCCACATTGCCCAGGCTGGTCTTGACCTCCTGGGCTCAAGGGATCAGCCCTGTTCAGCCTCCAAAAGTGCTGGGATTAGGCATGAGCCACCGCCCCTGACCTATCTTTAGATTGTTTCACTTTGCTTCTCTACCTCTGAACGGGTACATGTCCCTCCACAGTGAATGGGTGCTCCCCGCTCCACCTTGTCTTTTTTCCCTTTTCCTTGCCTCACATCCCATTCTCCAGTTCTTTTTCTCACTCTTCTTTTATTCTTCTTTACTTCTTTTTGCCCAAATTCTAAAAGGCAGGAACTGTGGTTATGTCGGCAAAGATGAAGGCACCCTGTGCCTCCTTACTGGAGCCCCGCTCCCTGAGTTCTTGTCTATTGATATTCCATCAGAGCTTGCCACCTCTCCTCCTTAAAGCCCTCCCTGACCACCCCTCCTCCTCTGAGCTCCTAGTGTCCTGGTCCCACACCTCTCCCTTGCTCCTTAGACATATACTGCCTAGTGTCATTTCGATTATTTTGTCTTTTAATATAGTTCAGCTCCACTTATATATTTTTTCCCTCAAGTAGAGTATAAACTCATAGAGGGAGAGACCACAGATGACTTTGTTTTTATATCCTGAAGTACCTACTGCTGTGCACTCAATAATTTATTTTGAATGAATGCTTCCCACCGCTGGAGGTTCTAAACACACATATACAATAAGGATCAAAACGAAACAAATGGACTAAGGCTGACTGTAGTGAGAGGGAGTTGCTGAATGCTAAATGATTAGTATCAGAGAGCTGGAAGGGACATGAACCATGATCTAATCGATTCCCTCATTTTGCAACCTGTGGACTGAGGTTGAGTGGGGATGTGACTTGACCAGGTCCCCACATGTCCACAAGTGTCCTCTCTATGACCCCTCATTGCAAAACCTTTGTGGGGGTACTGAAGCAAGCGAACGAATTGCTGTGAGTCTTTAAAAGTAAACAAAAACTCCATTTGTCTGAAGGCAAAGAGACGGACTAAGTGATTTCTCAAGTTTCCTTTCAGCCCGGGCTGGCAATCGGTTTTCTCCAGCGTCTCAGGAACGTGTCAAACGTGGGCGTCCTGTTGGAAGCACGCTGTTGCAAGTTTGTCATCTAGTGGTGGAAGGTAGGTATTGCGCCACCAGCCATCTCCAACACCGTTTTCCCTAAAAGCCCTGGTCAACGGAGTTTGTTTAGGATGCCAAACGCGTGATGACACTCTGCTAACCGTGGCCCTCAGGTGATTACAGTCTACTAGAAGTCTGCAGGGTCTCCTGTAGCTCTACAGTTCCAGTCTGGCGACTGTGTTAGGGAGACTAAATTGTGACCATCACTAATTAATACAGATGGGAAAATCTCTAGGGAAGAGGTGAGCCTGACTTGCGTATTGAAGGGTGGGAATAAGGTGGATGAACAGAATGGGGCACGTATCAGGAGAGAGAAACAAGATGAATCAAGAGGTCCTGGGGTGAGGAGAGAAGGGGAGAGGGAAGCAGCACTGGGGAGCTAACAGAAAGAAAGATCAGCTGGCTTCAGCCAGTGATGCCTCTAGCAGATTTGGGGCAAATAAAGGAAGGCCTTAGAAGTTAAATAGAAAGGTTTGGAAATGACCCAGTAGGGGATAGGAGCTCTTTTAAGTCCTAATTAGGGAAGAAATTTGATTAAAACAGTGTTTCAGGAATATAAATATGCCATGCTACCATCTTTTTTCTTTTGTCTTTTTCTCACCACCCCCCACCCCCCACGACCAGCCCCACCCCCTAGACGGAGTCTTGCTCTGTCACACAGGCTGGAGTGCAGTGGCGCGATCTCAGCTCACTGCAACCTCCGCCTCCCAGGTTTAAGCAATTCTCCTGCCTCAGCCTCCCAGGTAGCTGGGATTACAGGCATCTGCCACCGCGCCTGGCTAATCTCACCATGTTTGCCAGGCTGGTCTCGAACTCCTGACCTTGTGATCCGCCTGCCTCGGCCTCCCAAAATGCTGGAATTACAAGTGTAAGCCACCGCGCCCGGACTTCTTTTTTTTTTTTTTTTTAAGATGGAGTCTCACTCTGTTGTCCAGGCTGGAGTACAGTGGTGCGATCTTGGCTCACTGCAACCTCCACCTCCCGGGTTCAAGTGATTCTCCTGCCTCAGCCTCCCGAGTAGCTGGGATTACAGGCATCCAACACCACGCCCAGCTAATTTTTGTATTTTTAGTAGAAACAGCGTTTCACCATGTTGGCCAAGCTGGTCTTGAACTCCTGACCTCAGGTGATCTGTCCACATCAGCCTCCCAAAGTGCTGGGATTACAGGCATGAGCCACTGTGCCCAGCCCATGCTACCATCTTTAACTGGAGAGGGGAAACTAGAAAAATTATGAGTCGAGTTTGTTGTTATTATTCTTCCTATGTATTTTTAAATTAATAATTAAATTAATAAATGTTTTTAATTAATAAATACATAAACTCCTAAACTGCTATGACAGAATGATAGAAGTGCTTAGCACAGTGCCAGCACATAGTAGGTGCTCAGTAAGTTGATGATGCTCTTTATTATCATCTCTCTGAAATTCACCTTTGACATCAGGGGACCTCATATGATCATCATCTTAGCTCTAGTGACCGCTTTGCTCATTTTCTCTCCGCGGGGTAGTAGAGGCTCTGGCCTCTGTCAGGGGCCTGTGGCAGTGGACAGGGAGGAGACTTACAGAAGGCCCCTGAATACCCTCTCCCCCTCTGCTCCTTTCCCACCTCCCTCCTGAAGGTCACTGGCTGTTCGTTCCTCTGACAGTGGGAAGTTTCCATGAAGATACCCATCCTCTGATAACTTTCTGGGCAACTTTCTCCCCAGCATCTGTCCACAGGGAGCAGAAAGCCTGGCCTTTGGGGAACACACAGTCATACTCTCTTTCCACAGAAGCAGCTTCCCTGTGTCCCCTCATGTGTCATCATCCCTTCAGGATGGTGCCATTGCTGGCTCCAGGCCAGAGCCCCCCTTAAATCTTCCCCCGAGCTGGGACACCTTTCCCCTCCTCCTTCTGGCCCACTTACTCACACTCATCCTGCCTGAGATGCCACCTTCTCAGGCCCTCAGTCAGGAACCCCTCAGGGTGGTGGAAGGGCCCCCAGTGGGCTCAGTCCTATTTCCATAAATTATGGTTGACCCATGAACAACGTAGAGGTTGGAGGCACCAACCCACGTGCAATCAAAATGTGCATATAACTTTTGATTCCCCAAAAACTTAACTACTAATGGCCTACTGTTGACTGGAAGCCTTACGAAAAGCATAAAAATTTAACATATTTTGTATCTATATATTATAGACTGTATTCTTATAATAAAGTAAGTTGGAGAAAAAAATTAAGAAAATCATAAGGAAAAGAAAATATATTTACTAGTAAGTGGAAGTGGATAATCTTCAAGGCCTTCATCTTCCTTGTCTTCAGGTTGAGTAGGCTGAGGAGGAGGAAGGGTTGGTCTTGCGGTCCTAGGGTGGCAGAGGTGGAAGAGGAGGTGGAGGTGAAAGGAGAGGCAGGAGGGACAGGCACATTCAGTGTAAATTTTATTGAAAAGTGTCTGTATATAAATGGATCCACACAGTTCAAGCCTATGTTGTTCAAGGGTCAACTGTACATGGTCTGGATCTGGGTTCGAAATAGTGGAAGTCAGTCTAGTTGAAGAAAATCGTGAACTTTATTTAGTCACTTTTTATGCATACCTCTTCCCAGGAGGGGCAAGTGCCAAACCTTAGTTATGGGCCGGGCAAAGTACAGGGTTGGGGAAGGGATGACTAGGAGGACAAGAGTCTCTTCTGTCTTCAGATAAACAAGCCCAACACCATGGAGGCAGCAAATAAGTTGCACTGGTTCCCAAGGAGGTTTGTGAAGTAGAAAATGCTTCCCGGCTGGGCGCGGTGGCTCACACCTGTAATCCCAGCACTTTGGGAGGCCAAGGCAGGTGGATCACCTGAGGTCAGGAGTTTGAGACCAGCCTGGCCAACATGGTGAAACCCCATCTCTACTAAAAATACAAAAAATTAGCTGGGTGTGGTGGCGCGCACCTGTAATCTCAGCTACTCGGGAGGCTGAGGCAGGAGAATCGCTTGAACCTGGGAGGTGGAGGTTGCAGTGAGCTGAGATCGTGCCACTGCACTCCAGCCTGGATCACAGAGTGAGACTCCATTTCAAAAAAAAGAGAGAGAAAAGAAAATAAAATGCTTCCTGAACTATTCTCTCAGTGGAAGTGATGGCTGAGCCGGAGCAGCATCTTAGACCATGTGTAGAGGTCACACACTGAGACACCATACGATAAAAGAACTTGGGTCCCTGAGGACTGTGGAGCATGCCGGCTGTGCCAGCCAGGGACTGCCAATCTCTGGATTGTAATGGGAGGAAGAAACGCACTTCCATGTCTCTTAAGCCACTGTGTTTTGGTGTCCATACGCACAGCCAAATATAATCTTAATTAATACTGTGTTCAATAAATGTTGGCTGATGTTGTCACATGATTATAACTAATGTCTGTCTTCCCACTAGACTGAAAGCTCCTTGAGGACAGGGGCCATGTCTGTGTGGTTCAGTATATCCCCAAGGCTCATGCCAGTGCCATGTGCACAGCAGGTACCCAATGGGCATCTGTTGAATTAGTAAGTGAGCTATGACCTCTGTTCATGCTCTTCTTCTCCCTGGGGCTAAGCACCAACCTTGGGGCACCTTTTCCTTTAAGGTCTCACTGAAAGCCCTTCTCCCAGAGAAAATATTTGTAATGCCTCACTTCTTTCTGGTTCCTCCTTGTATTGGTTCCTTAAAACTTACACTGTATGTTACATAGATGGAGTTATCCCTATGCTATTTGGGGATCATTCTCTATTTATCCCTGGATACTTATGTGCTTGCTTAAGTGGACAGTAAGCTACTTTGGGCAAGGAAAACACTTTCAGTTTTCAAATCACTGGGAACCTTAACTCCAGTTCCTCACAAGTGAATACAGTGAGCAATAAATACTTGCTGAAGAAAGAAAGAAGAGAGGGAGGAGGGTGAGGATCAAAAAACTACCTATCAGGTACTATGTATATTACCTGGGTGGTGAAATAATCTGTACACCAAACCCCTGAGACATGCAATTTACCTATGTAACAAACCTGCACATGTGCCCCTGAACCTAAAATAAATGTTAAAAAACCAAAAAAAAAAAAAAAAAAAAGAAGGGAAGGAGGAAAACCTGACGAGGCCCCAGTGCTAAGGAGAATGTTGGCATTTCAAACTGGGGGTGTGATTTAAAGAAAAGGAGCAGAAAGTGAGGCCAAAAAGAGCAGTCTGCGAGGTAGGGACAAGGAAAAGAGTCCTAAGAGCCAAGCTTGGAAAACATTTCAAAGGCAGGTTGAAAATGGTGTGTTGAAAATTGAAACAATGTAGAATTCAGGGGACCTTGTCAACATTAGCTGTGACCTTGATTAAGTCACTTCCCATTTAAGGATCTGTTTTCCTGATTTTGACTCTTAGGAAGTCTGACTAATCGGTGAACTGGCTCTGCTCCAAGGAGCCTAGTTAGAGGCTCCAAGAAGCCTGAACCCAGCCCTCTCCTCCTCAGCCAGAGAAACTCTGTTCTCTTCAGTTTCATGCACTGACTTCCCCATAAAATTTAGTTCGAACAAAAGGCTATGGGTCTAAACCAAAGTTTGAGAACCACTGGATTCAATGAACCCCTGCTCAACCGTATAAAGATCCCTGGTTTTGTGTTTCAACCAGTCACTCACAAAGCTGAAACCCTTCCTCAAAGAAAATCTGGGAAACAAAGGGCATGTATATAGACCTTGGCCTTGTCTCCCCAGCCAGACTGTAAATTCTAAGAAAAGCAAACTTGGGCTCATGGTTCTCAGCTTCCCATGACAGGCAGGCAGCCTTGGCTGAATTCTTAGATGTTTCACAGAGTTCTGTGGCTGGATGATTGATAGTTAGGCAACAGAAAGGCCATGGGAAGGATTTATTTCACCTTGGGGAGTCCTCAGGGATGTAAGGACTCCCTTTCTGGGATGACTGGACCCCTGTGCTCCCATATAAATATTTCTACTCATATACATGTGTGTTTAACTTCCTCACATCATCTTGCTCCTTCTTCCCAATTGCTGGTTTTCAGGCGTCTCTTTTCCACGTGCCTCTCCCCACTCTCCTCCTCTCTCAGCCTGAGGTTCCTGACCTCTGACCCTGACTCTTTCCAGGGCACTGAGCTGGAATCCTGGGTCTGGAGTCAATGAGATGTCCAGAACAGGCAGGACTGAACCAGGTACCAGGAGCTTTGCACTCAGAGGAAGAGGCACCTAAAAAAGCGAGGACCAAACCAAACCGTGGTTGACCTATACAATGGGACATGATTCCGCCTTAAAAAAGGAACACGAGGACATTGTGCTAAGTGAAATAAGCCGGTCACAAAAGACAAACACTGTCTGATTTCACTTATCCAGGGTGGTCAAATTCATAGAAATGGAAAGTAGAATGCTGATTGCCAGGGGCTGGGGGAAGGAGGGAATGGGGAGTTATTTATTGAGTACAGTGTTTCTGCTGGTGGAAATGAAAAGGTTCTGGAGATTCATTACTGATATGGTTTGGCTGTGTCCCCACTCAAATCTCATCTTGAATTCCCATGTGTTGTGGGAGGGACCCAGTAGGAGGTAACTTTCCCATGCTGTTCTCATGATAGTGAATAAGTCTCACAAGATCTGATGGTTTTTAAAAGGGGAATTTCCCTGCACAAGCTCTCTTTGCCTGCCGCCATCCATGTAAGATGTGCCTTTGCTCCTCCTTGCCTTCCGCCATGATTGTGAGGCCTCCCCAGCCATGTGGAACTGTAAATCCATTAAACCTCTTTTTCTTCCCAGTTTCAGGTATGTCTTTATCAGTAGCATGAAAAGAGACTAATACAGTTACACAACAATGTGAATATACCTCACTCTACTGACTTGTATGCTTAAAAATGGTTAAGATGGTAAATTTCATGTTATGTGTATTTTACAACAATTTTTGTTTAAAAGCAGCAAGAGCAAGGACCAAAGGAGGAGTCCCTGCCTCAGCCTGGCCCCTCTCTGCCTGCCATCTGGAGGTGTGATTAGGTAGAGGGTGAGCCCAAAGGGAATAAAACTCCTCCAGGTGACAACTCCTCAAGCTGCTGGCCTTCCAGAGCTTGCTCTCCTGGGTCTGACCCCAATATCTCTAGATCCACAGGCTTTTGTCCTTGTCTCCTAGCTCCCAGATACTACTCATTTCTCTGAGCACACATGAGGCCTCAGGTGACTTTATCTCTCTCTCTCTCACACACACACACACAACGCAAACCAATGCAATTCGTTAATTAGTTTTAAAAAAACAAACAAAACAGAGACTGGTCAGAATCCCAGAGCCCAGCCTGGCCGTGTTAGAGCTGTTTATTAACAGGGAGGGCCTGTAAGGTCCTTGGGGCAGTGGTGTGGTGATAAGTCGAGGACTCCATCTCAGCTCACCCAGCCGGGGCCTCTCTTTAACTCACCCTGGTATGGCTAAAGCCAAGGGCCAGGCACCTGAAAGAAAGTGCTAGGAGGAAAGGGCATTTCACCCTCCTAGACCCAGCCCCTTACCACACCCAGGGGGATCCCAGGGAAAACCTAGGGAAAGAAGTGAGGAAGAACGGGGTCAAGAGCACAGGCCAGGGACCTTCTCTTCCACTTGGGATCGGCTTTCTCACTCCCAGGAGCCTGTACAGGAGGCCCCAGGCCTGAGGGAAGGGCATTGCCTTGAGAGATCCTGGGAGAGGCAAGAGGATGTGACTGATAGGGTCAAGACAGGGTGAACAGGCAAGGGCAGGCAGGAGACAGGAGATGGTGAGTGAGCAGGGCTGTCCTCACTTCCTGATCCCAAGAGGTTTCCTCTTAAGGGGTCAGGGCTGGGACAGATGCCTTCTAGGGCACATGGTGTTATTCTTAAGGCCCTATGTGACCCCGGAAGGGACCAGGAGGGAGAGGCTGCACTCACCTGGAAGACTCTGCTTCACCCTGACATGATGTGCTTGACAAAGGCTAGGAAAAAAGTGAAAATCAGCCACCATGTGGCTCAGCGCCTCTAGGCCCATAAACCACTTGTCCCTTCTCTACACTGCCTGACTTCTAACCCTCCTGCTCCCCTTTCTCCAGACTGTGTAGTTCCTGCTCTTATTTGGGGGTTGGTGGGGAGAAGGTGGGTGGAGGGCAGATACCTAGACTCTGCTCTGTGCCCACTCTCTATGCTGATTCTCAACACAAATGGAATGAACTACATTATCTCTATGAATCCCCACAGCCTTGAGAAAGGTGCCAGCATCACCCCCATCCCTCAGATGAGAAAACTGAGGCTCAGAGAAAATCAGTGACTTAATCAAGCCCACCAGCTAATATATCACAGAGCTATCTCCAAAATCCATGCTCCCGCCATTACACTAGGAGGTTCACTCACAAGATGGAACAGAACAACATCCAATGGGGGGTCTACAAAAACCCACCTCAGACACATACCCTCCAGCTCCTGGGCCCACCCCACCCAAGCTGTTCCCATCCTACCATCCCTGGCTGCCCTGGGATGCAAGGCGCGGCTTAATACCTTCATAATTGATGCAGCCATTGGCATCCTCTTGCCCAGCTAACAGCTGCTCCACTTCAGCCTCAGTCATCTTCTCTCCTGCGGTGGGTTTGGGAGGTGGTGCGCTCTTAATTACAGATGGCAAAGGAGGAACTGGCAATACCCAAGTACCCCCTTAAGTGTGAAGGTCCAAGACTGCCTGGATCTGGGAGGTGGTTCAAACCAAGCCTCTCCCAGAGGTTCTGAAGGGTGCGGCCAAGGGTCTAAAGGTCTTGCCTAGTCTCCGAAGCCTCCCCCTCTGCCTTACAGCTTCCAGAGCCTCAGTGTTTCAGGCAAAGACAAGGACAGAAGCCCTGAGTCCCACCTCTCAGGCCTCAGTAGTAAGCCCTGCTCTGCCAACCTGCTCTCCCCTCCTCTCCCAAACCCTGGTACCTGCTGAGCAAACCCAACTGGGAATGGTTGTTCTTGCAGAGCCCAGGGAGACAGGGCCTGGATCAGGTCATTATCCTCAGGATGCAAAGACCCTTGTATACCACCCCCCACCCAACCAGCATATGTCACCTTGGCACCTCCCACCCCTCCATTCCTCCCACTTGGTCTTCATCTCTGCCCAGCTGGCATACCCAGGGTGGCAAGGACGTGCCGAAGCTCAGCACCCATGACCGTGCCATTGCTCTCCTTGTCAAAGACACGCAGGCCCTCCACGAAGTCCTCATAGGTGCCCTGCTCCTTGTTGCGGGAAATGTGCTGCAGGATGGGCAAGAACGTCTCAAAGTCCAGCATCTTGACATTCATCTCTTCAGGCAGGCAGGGTAAAGAAAGAGAAATCAATGTGAGCAGGTGCTCAAGGGAGCAGAGGGTCAAGAGGGGGCCTCACCCCAAGTCTGACAGCACCCAGGGCTTGGGCTGCAGCCAATTCTGGGTGGTACACCCATTAGTGCTCCTAGAGGACACAGAGCTTCCCATCCAAGCAAGGTAGGGGACTGGGAGCTGGGGAGATGGTCTCAGGGGCCCTCTTTTCTCAGTGAAAGCAGTAGGATGGAAGGAAAAAGGAGCCCTCCACCCAGACCTCTAAGCACCAGGTGGCCAGCCAAGCGGAGGAGCTGAGGGTGGCAGCAGCAGGATGTGAGGGGTCTGAAGTGCCACGCGGCCCGGGCCTCACACTCAGTTTAGACCCTTGACGTGACAGACCTATAATCACAGGGGCAAACCAACAGGATTGAAAAAAGCAACGTTTGCATCACTCTGCATGGGGTCCCATCACTAGACCACACAGCTTGAAGCTACTCTGAATCAATAATTCTTATAAATTCACAGTTCTCTTGTGAATAGCATACTTCTCCCACATGGTAGTGTATTTAAAAGGCTTTAATTTAATAGAGGCAAACTATTTTTAAATATCACAAATGTGGGCATTTCTTTCTTTTATAAGCACACAGGACTTGCTTCTGACTTCTGAGATGCAAGCCCCTAGCCCTCTGGTCCTTTCCTGCCCACATCCTTCACCCCCGCGGTTACCTTCAGCCAGAGGAGAAGGGGGACGGGCCAGAACCAAGGGATGGGGAGGAAACCACTATGGGGCCCAGGAAGCCTCCAGAGACAGACCACCCTTGCTGAGAGGCTCACCCCACCCCAAACCCCGTGCCAACACCACTGAGGAGAAGCATGTGTGTGTGTTTTAGAGCAGCTGTTAACTTGACTGGCACACATGACAGACAACATTCACAAACAGGACACACTCCCTCACACCTCTTCTCATCTGCCGTAATGATTGACAGAGGCACAGCTCACATGAGTATGAACACTCAATGATCACACTTAGGAGCCACAAAAGAATCGTTTGCACCACTTTCTAAACACTTACTCACCATTCTAAACACTCACTCACCAAAACCTATTGAAATGCAAATGAATGAAAGAGGCAGCACGTAGAGCTAAGAATCTTGAAGCTGCTCTAATTTATACCAAACAATTTGCAAACGTCAGTACTCTAACCATTATTAGAAACAAATTGTTTGTAATACAGCTCGCGATGGCCACCACAGGATACCTCGGTGCTGTGACAGATGCCCCTCCTGAGAGCTCCTGGGCTGGGGAGTGGGAACCATCAGTTATCAGATTTCCAGATTCCCACTCAGCCTTCCTCAGACACTGAGGCAACAGAATGTGGCTCATGCCCCACAGGAGCTCCCAACCTCGTGAGGGAAACAAGCCCAGGCTACATTCCTCAAGGGTCACTTAAGTACGGGGACGTCTAGATAAATTCTCAAAATGGGACTAGGGTAAGCTGGGTAGGTGAGGCTGGTCCTGAGGGGCTAAAGCAGGAGAAGAGAGAGTGCAGATGGCAGAGAAGATCTGGACAAGGAGGAAGCCAAGGGGCTGCAAGCCTGACCCTGGGAGAGGTCTGCCATGCAGCCGCACTGACCTTCAGGCTTGGGCTTGCCCAGCACACGCAGCACCTCGGCATTGGTAGGGTTCTGGCCCAGGGCCCGCAGTACATCCCCGCACTGGCCGTAGGTGATCTTCATCTCTCCAGTCGGGGTCCGGTCAAACAATGAAAAGGCCTCTTTGAACTCTGTGGAGAGAAGACCCAGCTATACCTTCCAATCCCCAGTGAAGGTGGTGGCTGGTGGCCAATCAGCCTCCACCCAAGCTGAATAGCAGGTGAGTGTGGTTGTTAAAATATCCCAATATTTCGCTTTGTCCATTATCCCAGGCCGTCCCTCGAACCCGTCCTCATCCCATCTTCTGTCAACCAAAGAAGCAGCCTGGTGCCTCCACGACCCATTCCAGGGCTGGGACTGGGATCTCTTCTATTGCTTCGTTGTTATAAAATTCCAGTGTTGGGAGGCTGCGGCCCGAGAATCGCTTGAGCTCGGGAGGCAGAGGTTGCAGTCAGCCAAGATCGCACCACTGCACTCCAGCCTGGGTGACAGAGTGAAACTCCATCTTGAAACAAAAAAAAAATTCAGATGTCTCCCTGGCCTCCACCCCTCCCACCCACACATCCCGCTCTGGTGTAGGTGAGGTTCCTGACTCCTGAAATGACAGACAAGTGAAAACAGCACTGGCCCAGAAGTGAGGATTCCTAAATTCTCATCTTGGCTCTGCCTCAGAGTGCAGGATAAGCTGGGCTGGGTCTCAGCTTCATGTGCACACAAAGGGAGTGACAACTACACCCCACTCCCTGGGCCTGTCACTGTGAGAGCAAAGGGAGGTCGCAGTGTGTGGAAGCACTTTACAAAGTGATAAGACCGCTGGAAAGTCAGCTGTTATCAGTACTGCCTGTTCCAGGCTGAAAGGCGGCCCCCAGGCCAGATAAGGCAATGGTCAGACCACCCCAGCTCTGCCATGGACTCGCATACAGCCTTGGGCAAACTATTAACCCCTGTGGGCCCTCATTTTCCTAGCTCTAAGTGGAGATACAATGATCACTTGAGTGGGTTGCAGGTGGGATCACAAAGCACGCCAAGCAATGTTCAGCATATGGTAAGGGAATCGACAAATTGTGGTTACAGCTGTTTCCTAGTTCTCTTTCCTACTTACCAGCTCAGAACCACAGGGACTGGACTCCTTGAAGGCAGCAGGGCAAGTATCCCTGCAGCAAGACCAAAGGAAGGCACTCCTGGTCCCTTTTTCAAAGAACCTTAACTCTTCATTGATTTGTTTTGGTTTTGTTTTTGTTTTTGTTTGAGACAGAGTCTCGCTCTGTCACCCAGGCTGGAGTACAGTGGTGTGATCTCAGTTCACTGCAACCTCCGCCTCCCAGATTCAAGCAATTCCTGTGCCTCAGCCTCCGAGTAGCTGGGACTACAGGCGCCCACCACCACGACACCTGGCTAATTTTTGTATTTTAGCAGAGACAGGGTTTCACCATGTTGGCCAGGCTGGTCTCAAATTCCTGGCCTCAAGTGATCCATCTGCCTTGGCCTCCCTAGTGCTGGGATGACAGGTGTGAGCCATCATACCCGGGCCCAATTCTTCATTGATTGGGATTCAACCAATTCATTAGTGGAGGTAATTTGGCCTGGGAGGGGCATTTAAGTTACCTTATGCTACCCACAAAGAAGTGCTTTACTAAGCAGATGAACAGTATAAGCCAAAAAAGAATTCATGAACTACTTAGGAAAAAAAGCCAGTTTTCATCCTTTCCAAGTACTTCTTTCCTTCGAGGCTGCGTATGGATTATTTACAAATCATTCCACATATCACAGAAGATTCCCCAGACCTTTACTTCCAACTCTTTCTTCGGCTTTATATGAATTTAAAAGACATAAAACCACATTTCTTTCACATTACTGAATAATCGAGTTCAAATTTCATTCCCATTGCTTGACTTTGGACAAATAAATATTTAACCTCTAAAAACCTCTTCTATAAATGGTACCTACATCATAGGTTTCTTTTTAGTTAGTTTTTTGTTTTTTTTTTTTTTTTGAGATGGAGTTTCACTCTTGTTGCCCAGGCTGGAGTGCAATGTCGCGATTTCGGCTCACTGCAACCTCCGCCTCCCGGTTCAAGCGATTCTCCTGCCTCAGCCTCCTGAGTAGCTAGGATTACAGGCATTACAGGCATGCGCCACCACGCCAGGCTAATTATGTATTTTTAGTAGAGACGGGGTTTCTCCATGTTGGTCAGGCTGGTCTCGAACTCCCAACCTCAGGTGATCAGCCCACGTCGGCCTCCCAAAGTGCTGGGATTACAGGTGTGAGTCACTCCACCCAGCTATCATAGGTTTCTTAAATTACATTCAAATTAATATAATAATGTATGTAAATATACTAGGTATATAAATACAATAATGTATGTAAAAATTTTTAACACAATGACCAGCACATAGTAAATGCATAAACAATGCTGCTAGTATTATCTTATTGAGTTTAATCCTAATTTGGATCACTTAACCATGTGATCTTGGCCAAATCATTTAACTTTGCTGAACTTTGGTTTCCTGCTTTGTAAAAAGGAAATAACACCTACCTCATAGCCTTGTTATAAGGATGTAATCTTTTTTTTTTTTGGAGACAAAGTCTTGCTCTGTCACCTGGGCTGGAGTACAGTGGCACAATCTCAGCTCACTGCAACCTCCACCTCCCAGGTTCAAGCAATTCTCCTGCCTCAGCCTCTCGAGTAGCTGGGATTACAGGTGCGTGCCACCACCCCCAGCTAATTTTTTATACTCTTGGTAGAGGTGGGGTTTCACCACGTTGGCCAGGCTGGTCTCCAACTCATGACCTCAAGTGATCCACCTGCCTCAGCCTCCCAAAGTGCTGAGATTACAGGTATGAGCCACCGCACCCAGGCAGGATTTATCTTTTTTACCTTTAAAACAATTAGCATGGTGTCTGGCACAAATTCAGTGCTTGATAAATACATATTTGTTAGTTGAATCTGAAGTCAGACTTTTTGATCTCCTAGTTCATTCAGAAGAGTGAGGTCAAGTTTAACAAAAGAGGAAGTCTCCTCAAAAGAAGATGTAATGATGTGCCAGGCACAGTGGCTCACGCCTGTAATCCCAGTACTTTGGGAGGCCAAGGCGGGCAGATCACCTGAGGTTGGGAGTTTGAGACCAGCCTGACCAACATGGAGAAACCCCATCTATATAAAAAATACAAAATTATCTGAGCGTGGTGATGCATGCCTGCAATCCCAGCTACTCAGGAGGCTGAGGCAGGAGAATTGCTTGAACCCGGGAGGCGGAGGTTGCGGTGAGCAGAGATCACACCATTGCACTCCAGCCTGGGCAACAAGCGCAAAACTCTGTCTCAAAAAAAAAAAAGAAAGAAAAAGAAAAAAAAGATGTCATGATGCTTAATAAGAGGGTGAAACCTGAAGAGGAAGGTAATAAGAACAATGACCTATAATTTGAGCACTTACCATGAACCAGGATCTGAGCAAATAATTTTGCATAGAACACTTTATTAATCTTTATGAAAAAATATATGCTATAGGTATTATTATCCTCATGTAAAAGCCAATGTAGATATGACTTATGATCAACTATTAAGCAAACCAAGGAAATGATGGGGAGGAAGGAGGAAGAGAAGGAGACCTGCTTGTTATAACTGCTAATGCTCCAACCAATCACCTGGCCTGCTGGGAAGCCTGGTATGCACATAAAAAAATCAAACACTGAAGTTTAGGACTACAACTAGAAAAAAAAAAAAAAAAGCCAGTGTGAACTTCAGGTATTAGAGGTGATGTTCAAGGGTCCAGAAGAGACCTTTCCTCAATAATCTGCAGTAGTGTGGTCACCTGCTTACTAGAGCAATGAGTCCAGTGGTAGTAACCCCTCTCTAAAAGAATACAGAAGTCTGGAGAGGGATGAGAAGCAAGCCAAGGGTTAGAAGCTAATTCCTATGAGGGGGAAAAAAAAAAAAAGCACAAAAGAAATTGGGAGGCCAGGCACAGTGACTTAATGCCTATAATCCCAGCACTGTGGGAGGCCAAGGTGGGAGGATTGCTTGAGGCCAGGAGTTGGAGTCCAGTCTGGGCAAAATAGCGAGACCCCCATCTCTACAAAACATAAAAACAATGGTACATGCCTGTAGTACAAGCTACTCAGGAGACTGAGGTGAAAGGATTGCTTAAAACCAGGAATTCAAGGTTATCGTGAGCTATGATAGCACCATTGCACTCCAGCCTAGGTGAGAGAGCAAGACCTTGTCTCAAGATAAAATAAAATGATAAAATAAAATAAAATAAATTGAGGCATATCACCTAGAGAATATAAATCTTAGGAGGGATTTGAAAACTATCTCCAAATAGATGGAGGATATCTAGAGGATGCTGAATGGACTAGAATTTCTGAATTGAAACCCAAATACCCTCACTTTGTGGATAAGAAAATTAAGATTTAAAGAAGTGACTTGTCCGAAGTCTCATGGCCAATAATGGAAGAATTAGGGCTAATACGAAAGTCTCCTAATTCCAAATTATGTTCTTTCCACCATAACCAAGATGACAATGAGAAAACCATTATAATCTTCACCAAAAAACAAATGAAAAGATCGCTGGGGTAAAATTAAAGGAAAAACAATTCTGATTCAACAGAAGGAAAAATGTCTTCAAAGTCAGAGGGATAAAAGATCAGAATGAGTTGTCCCCTCCCCATCAGCCCTGAAAGTCTTCAGGAGAGAAGAGATAACCATCTGTTCCAGTTGGCCATTTGGGAAATTAAAATTTTAAATCATTAGTTGATTTTCCAGTCCTCACTAGTGTCATTGTGTTTCTATATCCACGTAAGTATATATTTAACTAAAATGCATTGAAATTAATGCTGCAAGTGAGTATCCACTGAGTATTATGAAAACAGAGTCAGGCTCAATTCACTAGTTTCAAAATGCATATGCCAGCTCTCATGCTCCATTTGTGGGTAAACTGGTGTCACTTTTTTGGAGAGCAACCTGGTAATAACCATTATAATTTAAAATGCACCATCCTTTAAACCCTGCTAGGAAGGCCACAGGCGAAAGAAAGCTGATATCCTCCCACCGGAAACAATCTGAAAGCCTATCAATATAGTCTTGATTAAATTAAAAGGGTACATCTGTGTGTGAGAGTCTATATAATTGTTTAAAAGAATGAGGTAGAACTGTTTGTGTTAATTTTGAAAAGATATCCAAATACTGTATATTATTAAATCCAAGTATATATTTAATAAAAGGTGGACAGTGTGTATCACACGGCTTGATTTGTATAAACTGTATACACTCATACATACACACAAACTTGTGTATCATTATATATTTTTCTGAAAGGATACATAAACACCTGTTCACAGTGGTTGTCTTTGGGAGAGGAATCAGCATGGAAAAAAAGGATTTTTATTTTTTATTATTTACTTTTAAGTAATATGTGTGTGCTTTTTTGCTTTTTTGTTTTACCATGTGCAAATATTCATTTAAGTTTTAAAAGAGAGTATGTGCTTAAAATGAGGGGGTTGGATTAGGTGATTTTTCAAGGTCCCTTCCAATTCCTATAATTTTATGTCCTAGAGGCGTTTGGTGGAGGAAACAGAGGGATACGCTGCAATGACATTGAGTCCTGCTTTACAGCTGGGGACACAGAGCATCACATGATAAAACATTTCATTGGCCCTGCCACCATTAGTGGGTTAGCATATTGGCAGACTTCATGGTGGGAAGAGGGGAAGCTGGTAAACTAAGGAGGGCTTTCCAATAATGGGAACAGAAATGAGGGCTTCCAAATATCTTAGATAGATCTTTGGGGCCAAGAAAAAAAGGCACTAACTTTTGTTAAGCATCTACTATGCTCCAAGCAGTCTGGCAGAGTAGTTGAGGAAACAGATCTGGAATCAGATTGCCTGAGTTTGAATCTTAGCTCTACTGCTGACTGCCATGTGAGACTGGGCAAGTCACCCAATCTCTATGTGTCTCAGTTTATCACTTGTAAAATGGGGGAGGTAACAATTTCTACCTCATGGTGTTGTTATGAGAATTAAAGGAGTTAATCCATATAAAGTGCCTAGGACTATGCCTGACACATGGTAGATGCTCAATATAGGTTTGCTATGATGATGACAGTGATTACTATTACCATGAGGACAACTACTCCTCCTCTTCTTCCTCCTCCTCCTCCTCCTCCAGGAAAGTGCAATAGAGACGGAGAGGTGGGGTTGTCCATACTCACCTTCAATCTGGTCGGCAGTGAAGTCTATCTGTAGGGAGGGAAATAGTAGTGAGGGCTTGGATTGCTAAAAGCAGTTGTAAAGGCCCCCCAAAGGGAAGTAGAAGCAGAAGTGGCTTCCAATGCAGTATGGCCACCTCCAGCAGGCCACTGATAAGCAGGGAAGGTGACTTGTGCTAAGGGTAAAACACAAGTCTCCTGATGAATGAGCCACAACTGACAGGCTATAAAATACCGTCGGCCCTCCTCCCCAGGTTCAACCAACTCTGGATTGAAAATATTCAGAAAACAATAAATAACCACACGAAAATAAAATATAATACAAAAAATACATAACAACTATCACATAGTATTCACATTGTACTAGGTATTATAAGTAACCTAGAGATGATTTAAATTATACAGGAGGTTGTGTGTAGATTATATGCAAATATGCAAACTTTATATAGGAGACTTGAGCATCCTCAGATTTTGGTATCCGTGGGGGTCCTGGAACTAATCCCCTACAGATAACGAGGGACAACTGTAATGCAGACTCCAAAGCTCTCTCAATACCGCTTATTAAGTGATGGCTCCAGGTAAGAGCGAAAGGGAAAGAAAAATTCCCTGGATAATTCTAGAACGTACACGGACTGCCTATTGTAATGCCTCCGGGTCTGAGGTAAATTCTTCATCCTAGCCACCCACAAACTGCCCTCACTGTTGCCCCTTCAATCTCTTCCTAGTCCATAGTCCTCTGACAAGCTGCACTTCTGCCCTCTTTGGGCACCACCACTCCCCACACTCGGACTGCTCTTTCTATTTGATTCTGATTTTAAATCCACTCCCTTCAATGAAGGCTTCCCACACCGCATCCCACTCCAACCCCTCCTTCAGCACATATCCCTCGTTAAGTACAATTTATAAGAGGCCGTTGGTTTGTACTGAGCTCCTACACTAGGACCAACAGACCAAACCAAAATAGATTCACTCATGCTGAAGTTCCATGTCACCAAGCTGAAACTAAGTTGTTCATCTGATTTTCCAAGAAATCAGGAAAATAAGAGATAATAGCCAAATCCCCAAACATGACAGTTTCAGCCAGCTTGATAAGAAAGTGCCATCTGCTTTAACCTTTACAAGAAAAGTAACTTTGCAATGAACAATTTGCATTTTGCTCTCATTTCTGCTTACCTCAGCCTTTCTTTGTCTATAATACCACCTCCTCTGCTCGGCTCATTGTTGCCAGATTCTAGACTCAAACATAAAAGCCAATTCAGATCTTTAAACTAAAATGCCTTCTAATTTTGTCTTCTGACACACTCTTAGGCACTCTGGGACAGCAAGAGCAATTGGCATGGGCCCTCCACGCTTCCTAATTGTTTCCAGTCATGCCTTTACGTGCACTCTGTCTCCTTGAAGCCACTGCTCCCTCAGGCAAGGATTCTTGTTATTGTTCACTGAAATGCTCAGTACATAGTAGGCACTGAAAAACATTTGTTGAATGAAGTAATACATTTTAGATTTCCCCCATATAATGCATAGTAATTTAATGCTGAGTACAGAAGAGGAGAGTGAATGACAATGGCCAAGCATAAGTCATCATTTTATTTTATTTTTTATTCTTATTTTTTGAGATGGAGTTTCGCACTTGTCACCCAGGCTGGAGTGCAATGGTGTGATCTTGGCTCACTGCGACCTTCGCCTCCCAAGTTCAAGCGATTCTTCTGCCTCAGTAGCTGAGATTACAGGCACCCGCCATAACGCCCAGCTAATTTTTGTATTTTTAGTAGAGACAGGGTTTCACCATGTTGGCTAGGCTGGCCTCGAACTCCTGACCTCAGGTGATCCACCTGCCTCGACCTCCCAAAGTGCTGAGATTACAGGCGTGAGCCACCACACCCAGCCCAAGTCATCATTTTGATTTAAGATCTTGTATGTTACCTCGTGGTCCTTATGCACCCCACCCCACCCCATCCCATCCCATCCCCTCTCCACTGGTGGTGGTTCCAATCCTGGAGCCTCTTCTTCAAGTGCCGTCATTCCTAGTCCTAATTCTGCTGCTGCTTGTGCTGTGCCCATCCTGTCTCATCTCCGAGAACTGACCTCCATTCATGAGGACCCAGATATGGCAGCCATGAGCTGGGGATAGGTTGGGGCAGTGGGGAGTTAACTGGGTTGGAAAGAAAACTAGTTGTGGCTAGGAATAGACTGCCAAAAGTAGGGGGTGGTCAGAAAGTTAAAGGAACCCCCTAGATGGGGTGAAGGATGCTCTGCATTCACTCTCTGAGGAAAAGGCACAGTTTGCCTTACTTTACAATGCTTTAAGAACCAGGAATAAACATGTAAGAGCAATTAATGTAAAAACTTAAAATCTCAATAGACGTGGTCCTAACTACACACACTGGGCTTAAGTTTGCTTCTGTTCTATCTTCGAATCTTTTTTATAATTTATTTATTTATTTGTAGAGACAAGGATCTTGCCATGTTGCCCAGGCTGGACTCAAATGCCTGGCCTCAAATTACCCTCCCGCCTCAGCCTCCCAAAGGGCTGGGATTATAAACATGAATCACCTCATCTGGCTTCTCTTCTGTCTTGGAGTAAAGAACCTTCTAATCAAAGGAACTGGGTAAGTATAACACAATAATAGGGAAAATGTCTCTCATAAAAGATACCTATTTTTTTTCTACTTCAAAGCAACTTCAACAACCCCCATGAAGATGCAGATATGGAAAAGAGGATTGCAACCAGGGGTGCAATTTCTCACGGGTGAGAAATTGAGAGAGGAGAGTGAATGAAAGAAGTGACAGGCCAAGGGAAGGACACCAGTTTGATGCCACTAGGCAGCTGTTGCCCAGACACCAGGGACAAGGCCTGGCAACCCACCCAAAGGCACAGTGCTTTATGGGAACAAATCAGAAATAAAGGCGAGGAGGGATCCTGAAGGGTGAAATAGTCAGCTTTTCCTGCCAGGCTCAGCTTGTAAATGGAGTGATGTATGACCTAGAAAACCTGCAGGTGTTTTCAGGGTCCTACAGTAGCCTCAGTTTCCCCAGAGTGAGCCATAACCAAGCTCAGAAAAGGGACAATTGCCTCCATCTCTTGGCTAAGCAGTTCCTGTCCCTTGCGGGGACTGGGTCTTTGGCATAATACTTGTAGGGTTATCCCGGCTGTGGGTATGAGAGGAATTCTCAGAGGGCAGGGAGGTCATACAATTAGAGCTCTGGGTTTTAATTTCCCTGCCTGCTTGTCACAGAACCTTGTCCTGTGCTCTTATTTTGACCTGATCCCTCACCACCCCCAGCCCTGTCCTAAGGCTGAGATCCCTGGGGGCTCAGCACTCCCAACCTGTTATTAATAGCTCTTCATACCAGTAGCCACTTGACCTTTTCCACTCTGGTGCCAAGGCTTAAAACTGCTCCTCTTCAGAGGTCTCTGGCCCCCTCCCTCTTCAGCCCACCCCTCTCCCACCAGTTCCATTCCTTCAGCAGCTGGGCCAGAGAGCTGGGAGGTCTAAAATGACTGAGTCAGCATGCAGGGCCCACACCAGCTCCAGGGAGAGGAATGTTTTGTGTGAGGAGAGCAGGGTGGGGCAAAGGAACCAGGCCCAGCTTCCTGACCCGGTTGGAGAGAGGGTCTCAGCCCAGGGTGGGCCAGTCCTCTGCATGCTACAGATAGGAACCCAGGCTAAGGCCACAGAAGGAAAGGCCCGTCTGGGTAAGGAAAGAGAGAGAGGAATCCGGGCTCCTCTTACCTTAACCACAACCTCCTTCCCACCCTGCCCTCACCTGCCGTAAGAGTGTTTGTGAGTGAAGCCTTTCCCAAACTGCCATGCACAGGGAGGATATTCCCTGACTGTTTATATCACTTACTCCAAGTTACACTGGCAGCTGCCATGATCTGTCTGTTCTCCATAAAGATATCCCACTACCTCCTAGGAAAAGGCTAGTCTGTTTTACTTTGCTATGGTGGTCCTCATAATGCCTTATAAAAGGGTGGATGGATGGTTGGTTGTACCTCCCCCCATTCCCAACTTAGCTGCACAAATCTAGGGTAGCAGGACAGGGCTCCCTCAAAGCAGCACCTCATTCTTGACGGAAAAGGTTTATGACTCAATCTCCCCCTCATCAGCCCCAACACCCACTCCACTGCCCCATGGGACTGCGATCTGGGGCATGGACACCCTAGTCCTCATCCCAGTCCAGCCCACATAAAGTAGATCGCTAAGCTCCAGAGCAAAAGGACTCTCAATGTCATCCCCACCTCTATCCCAATGGCTGAGCCTCACTTACCTTTACACTCTTGGGGTCAAAGGCAGGTTCCTTGGGAGCCTCAGGAGCTGGGGCAGGGGCTGGTGCAGGGGCTGGAGCTGGAGCTGGAGCTGGCTTGGCTGCCTCCTTCTTAGGCTCAGGCTTCTTGGGAGCCATGTTGTCTTGTTGGGATCTTTGGCAGAGGAGTGATCTAAGAAGAAACCGAGAGACGTGGCGTCTGGGAGATGAGATAGGAGCCTGGGCTGCCTCCCTTCCCTTTTATCCTGGGCAGGAGCCCCCACAGAGGGGCTGGGTGAAAGCAAGAGCAACTGCTGCTGACTATAAAAGGAAGAAACGCCAGCAGGGTACAGCTGACAACTGTGTATTGTCACCAGGTTTGGGGCCACCAGCCCCCTCCCCTTCATGCCACAGCTCTCTCTTCACCTCTAGGACAGGCTGATCCCTTCTTGCCAATTGGTGGAAACCCAGAAGGACCAGGGAAACAGACCTTCTCAAATATGCCGGAGCAGCCAGAGAGATGAGCTGACTTGAGCAGTTGATAAGCCTCACACAAAGCCCAGGGGAGGGTGAGGCTTTTTTTAGCCCCTCCCGAGCAGAGGCAGCCCACTGCACATTCCTTCTAAGCCAAGATCCTTTAAGCTGAGAGCCACTCTGGGCCCTCAGCTCTGCCTAGAGGCCCAACTCTCCAGGCATGGAGCTCTGAAGCAACAGCTGGTCCAGCCAACCCACACTGCCCCACACCCTCCCAACTCACAGGATGAAAGCCTCCATTTTCCAGAGCAGGCATCCCAGGAACTCCACAGACCTCAGATCCCTAGATCTACCCCCTTACACACAACCTCAGTCATTCATTCAACAAGTAGTGAGCACTGAACCCATGCCTAGGCACCTAGGAGAGAAGCAGAGAGATGTGGTAGAAAGTCGAGGAGACTGAGGGTCAGAAAACTTGGGGTTTAGTTTTCACTTTACCTCTAACTCATTCTGTGCTCTGTGTGTGTGTGTGTGTGTGTGTGTGTGTGTGTGTGTGTAGTGCTTACTACTATCAGTACCAGGAACTGTTAAGTGCTATTCATATAAAATCTCATTAAATCTTCACCATGATCCTATAAGGTAGATACTATTTTGTTTGTTTGTTTGTTTTAACAGAAACAAGGTATCGCTCTGTTGCTCAGGTTGCAGTGCAGTGGTGCAATCACAGCTCACTGCAGCCTCGTCTTTCCTGGCTCAAGCGATTCTCCCACCTCAGCCTTCCGAGTAGCTGGGACTACAGGTGCACACCAGCACACTTGGCTAATTTTGGGGGAGTTTTTTTGTTTTTTGTTTTTCAGTAGAGATGAGGTCTTGCTAAATTGCCCAGGTTGGTCTTGAACTCCTGAGCTCAAGGGATCCACTAGCCTCGGTCTTCCAAAGGGCTGGGATTATAGGCATAAGCCGCCACGCCAGGCCAGGTAGATACTATTATTATTTTCACTTTACACATGGGGAGATTGAGACTAAAACTGGATGAACAACTTGGCCAAGGTCACTCAAATAATTAGCTATAAGCTGGGATTAGATGTAGATATGTCTGAGTCTAAAGCCTATGCTTGAATAATGTATATGATAATCCAGTTGTCGGGGAGAGACATACAAGTTTCTGCATTTATTGGAGGAGTCAGGATGGATACACGCTGAACTGTTAACAGAGACACCTCTGGGGACCTAGGGGGTAAGGGTGGGAGGATAACAGCAATTTGCAGTTTTTTACTTTTTTCACTTCCTGTATTAATGGAAATTTTTATAACGAGCATTTACTGTTTATGTAAAAAAAACTTTGAAAGTCAACAAAATAATTCAGAAAAATAACAACAAAAAAGCTTATGTATCCACTACACAAAACTGCTTTGTGCTGAATCTTTAGACTCTACAGTTCAGAGGAAAAGAGGAATAAAGCTGAGAGAGGCAAAAAAATCACTTCGCCTTTCTAGGCCCAGTTTCCTCACCTGTAAAGCAAGATTGCTAGACTACAGAATCCTGGTTGCTGTTAGCTCCTAAGCCTGCAATTCTGGGTGCCCTGGAGCCCACATCTGCCCATTTCCCAGCTCTCTAACTACAGGTTCCATGCCCCAGATCATTGCCTTCAGAGCCAGAAGGACCCTTAGAGATCATCTGGCCCCATGCTGTTTTACAGGCAAGGAATCTAAGGTCCAGGGAAACGTTGAAGTTGCCTCAAGACATTCAGCTACTTATAGGCAGAGCTGGGCCAACTAATTCTGTTTCCTGGGGTGCAGTGCTCTCTGTAGCACACTGCTCTTCACTGCTCCTCCTGTAGCCTATACACGCTCACTGGTGGTGACAGAGAAGCCCTCAAAGGAAACGGGCAGGAAAAAGGGCCAGGACTTGCTCAAGGGAATACTAGAACGAGACCAGGGCCCAGATTCTAGCCCAGCCCTGGTCCTGAGCTGGGATGGTGGCTCCTTTGCTCTGTGCACCTCACCTCCTCCCCTCATCTTCTGCCTCACCTCTCTTCCTTGCCGGCTACCAAACTTGATTCCTTGTACCTTCGCTCGCACTCTTCTATAATCCCTGTCAGTCCTCTCCTTGACCTACCCCATTCCCCACAGGGGTTGGGAGTTCAGGTTGTTGGTGACGAGGAAAGAGAAAAAGTGGAAGCCCAGGCCCTCCTCCTTCTCCACCTCCACCTGCATCCCTTCCTGGACTGCATCCTGCGGAGTTTGTGCAAAAATATACAAACTGGGATTTCTGTAAAGAGCTGCAGGATAGAAGCTGGGAGACCCAGGCACTAGTCCTGACTCTGCCAGCCACTTCCTCTCTCTGGGCCTCAGCTTGCTTATTTTAAAAGGAAAAACAATCAGGAGACTTTCAAACCATGTTCAACAGAATCCTGAGACTAGCAATCTTGCTATCTTGCTTTATAGGGTGACATGCTTCTGGCTGCAGGGTACATAGAAAGGCCAGACCTTGGAGCTCCTTCCACCACCATCACTTCAGTCACCACCACTCCTGTGTTTTACATACTGGAGCTCCCAGTATGTAAAACAGTATCATTTTCTAATGGTTCCATGGCTTAAAATTTTTTTAAATAATCACTGAATGACACATGCCCCCTTCCAGTTAAAACACACACGCACACACAACAAGTTAGTATTATGTTATTGTTGTAGTTATTCTACAAAGACGTATGATCCTCAGAAGAAAAAGCTGGAAGGTTGTTCTTTCCTTTTCTTCTTTTCCTTTTTTCCCCCACCCCACTCCCCTTTCTTTTCTAAATTCTAAGAAGCAAAATATCAGGTCTGCATGGGAACAGAGCTATGAGGTTAGAAAGCTGGGAAAGCCGAATGGGGCTCCGGAGACATCCAAAATCACGCAAATACTGTGGACTCTGGAGGTAGACAGTGATGGGTCTGAAGCCTGGTTTTGCCACTTTCTAATCTAGGCCTTAGTAGCCTCAGGACCTTTGAGGATAAACATTTCCTTTTCAAATTGTCATGAGATTTGTATGAAATAATGTTAAGTAAGGCACTGCAAACAACCTCTGCCATGTAGGAAACATTCGAAGATGTTCATTTCACTTTCCTTTGCCAAGCAGGTTGAAGCTAGAGGTGCATTCAGGCTTCCCAGATTTGGAACTTCCAGAGAGAGGTCCACATGAGAAAGGGACAAGGTAAGGTGACAGTGGCTAAAGGGATTTTAAGGTGTGGGATTAGGAATGAGGAAGAGGTGGAAAGGAATGGAAGCGGGGGGAAGGGCAGCAGCTGGGAACTCATGGTGTAAAATATTTGTGGCTCAGAAAGCATGTGGCAAGTCTCTAGGGCCAGGCAGCCTGTCTGACGGAGAACACTCAGAGAAGGCATGCCCAACCACCTGAAACCTTAGGCACAGGAGCCCCAGCAGGGGAGGAGACGCTCCTCAAATCAGTTTCGGATTCGTTTTCAGCAGCCCCAGTGAAAAAAGTGCCTGGCACTTCAGAAACAACTGGAGGAGAGCTGTGGTTTCAGGGAAAGAGCCATGCATGAAGAAGCAACATATCAACCCCTGGCCTTGTTTTTACTAAAATTCATGACGCCACGCTTCATTAGAGCCCAGTAACTGGAGTCCGAGCTTCCATCGTCTTATGGTCTTCATTCTGTTTCATGGCCAGTAACTTTCACCTTCAAATCTTACCAATCGAGAGCATCCTTCCCAGGGCCTATGACACAGACTTGCCCTACAATATGTGTTGGCCCATCAGAGCCAAGGAAAGAAGGAGATGTAGTAGTGTGAAGAGGCAAGTATGGCAGTGGGTACTGGCAGCCAAACAACTTTCTCTGGGAAGCATCTGGTGGTTTCTGAGCCAGAGTTGCTGAGGCTCACCCAAATGCTCCCATGAGGGACTTCCAATTCAGCAGATTGAAAACACAAGACAGAATTTAGCACCAACCGGTTTACATCAGATGTCAAATTCGGACACAAATGCACAAAGGAGAAGTGACATCAGCCCTCATTTGGGCTGAGCTCGCAAACACTCACTCCTCCTCCTCCCTTCATCTCTAACCACACAGAGCCTGTCTGTGTCCTGCTCAGAGAGGTCCATTAGAGTCTCCTGCCTGGGATCAAATGCTGCTGACAGCTAGCCTGGCTGTTAATGCCTTGTTCCTGTCACCCTCTCTCTCTCTTCTCTGACCAATGTCTCATAAGCCTGGACATCACAGGGCAATGCCCTGGCCAACACTTTGTCAATCGTCCCCATAGAGAGTACTGGGTAATTTGGGTTTCACTGCAAGGCAGAGGTTAAGAAGGCTGACTCATGAATCAGACTGCCTGGTTTAGAGTCCTGGCTTAGTTAGTTAACTTTTTTTTTTTTTTTTCGAGACAGGGTCTCACTTTGTCACTCAGGCTGGAGTGCAGTGGTGAAACATAGTTCATTGCAGCCTCCATTTCCCTGGTTCAAGTGATTCTCCCGCCTCAGTCTCCCAAGTAGCTGGGACTACAGGTGCACCCTACCACACCTGGCTACTTTTTAACTTCTTCATGCCTCAGTTTTCTCATCTGTAAAATGTGGCTGTTATAACTACAAGGTAGTTGTGAAGATTAAATGAGTTAATACAGGTGGCACATGTAGAATAAAGTGTCTAGCACAAAGCAACTACTCAAGATCTTTAAGCTTGGATCCTGATGGAACTACTGTGACCATGGCTCCCTATCCCAAGATCACCCGCAGAAGAGTTACAAAGAGAAAATATCAAGAAATGAAGAAAAACTCGAGAAACCCCTTGGGTGAAGGAGAGGACCTTGTTTTGAATTGGTGTGTGTGGTAGAAGGGTGGCTTTGATTAGAGGCAGGAAGTGGCCAGGCACAGCTGTGGAATGATTAAAAAAAGAAAAGGAGCTCTCAGGGTTCTGATCTCCCTTTTCCTCCACCACTGTCTTATGACAAACGGTGCTACTCCCTCACTCGCCATGACTCAAACTGTGGTCCGGGTGTTGGTAAGAGTAACAGCAAAGCACTGGAGATGCACTGTGCTTGTGATCAAAACAGGTAAGGGGGCAACCCAACTTTAGACAAATGTTCCCCCTCCTTAGCCCTCTAAATTTCCAGGGCATGTGAACTATACTCTAAGAAGTGTTTTGGCCACAGACACGGTGGCTCATGCCTGTACTCCTAAGGCTGCTTTTCCCTGATGGGAGGGCAAAGGGTGAAGCCCTGACATGGAGAGTTATTTTATGAGTCTGAGCATGACACACTTGGGAGTTTGGGAGCCAAGCATTCTCGGTTTTAGGGCTCATTCACCCCCAGCCTTCAACCTCTAAGCTCAATGGCACTAGTATGCATTGTTGGACAGAACAACCTGTATGGCCAAGGACAAAATAACAAGACACCTGAATAGCACAACTCATCCGAAAGGATACAACTTACTTGATTACACAGTGTAACTTAAGTGGAAATATGACAACAGATGGACCAAGATTTTAAAAGTAGCCCAAAAATCATGCTAAAAGAGATAAACGAAAATATTACTAATATGACACCAGGACAAGAAAATGTAAAGAACAAACAGAATATCAACTATAAAAAGTATAATAGATGAAATAAGAAAAAATATTTTTAAAAAACAAGCAGATATCTTATGTATGAAAAAGTAATCACCAAAATAGAGCACATAATAGATTTGAAAAGTGGCAGAATAGATATAGCTGGGAAACAAATTAGGGAATTGAAAAACAAGAAAGACTATCTCCCAGAAGAAAAAAGAGGGCAAAGAAATAGAAAACATAAAAGAAAAGCTAAGAGATATGGAGGATAGTACGTTTACATTTAATTGACAATTTAAAAAAAGGGATATGAAAGATAGAAGTCGAAATGTTTTAGCCCAGTATTCCCAGCACTTTGGGAGGCTGAGGCAGGCAGATCACTTGAGGTCAGGAGTTCAAGACCAGCCTGGCCAACATGGTGAAACCCTGTCTCTACTAAAAATACAAAAATCAGCTGGGCATGGCAGTGCATGCCTGTAATTCCAGATACTCAGGAGGCTGAGACAAGAGAATTGCTTGAACTAGGGAAGCAGGGCTGCAGTGAGCCGAGATTGTACCACTGCACTCCAGCCTGGGCAACAGAATGAGACTCTGTCTATAAGTAAATAAATAAATAAATAAATAAATTTAAGCTTCAAGGAAAGAAAACATCTCTGACTTATCTAGATAGGTGAAGGAATTTATGCTCAAATTGAAACCTTTCACAATACAAATCAATATACATTATTTCAATGTAAGTATGCAGAAGATTCTAATTGTAATAAACAGTATTATGTAAATTGGCTACAAAAACAAGAAAAGTTTAAATAATGCTTTGTTGATATTAATAAATTTAGAGTTGCTTTTGTTGATATTAATAAATTTAGAGTTGCTTTTTCAATTTATACAATACCTCTTTGAATTTCGTGTTAATGATACTGAGTTGACAGAAGAGTTAGTGAATTTACTTAATTTGGACAGATGTAGTTTTAAAACTGATATGTTTTTGCTTCAAAGTCAAGTCAATTCTGCTAAAATAAATATGACTAATATGACTAATATGAAGTAGTTTTGTCAGTTTGCATGTAAACATTAAAGAAAAATACTTTTTTGATATTTGATTATTAGAAAACTTTTAAGTATGCTTGGGACAACTTAGGTATATGAATCTACTTTTTCGACTGTGCATTTTATGAAATCTAAATACAGATTAAGTGTTTATAATGAAAATTTACCATCCAAATTGAGATATGCTATAACAGTAAAATACATACTGGATTTTGAAGTACAAAAAAAGAATGTGGGCCTGGCACAGTGGCTCATGCCTGTAATCCCAACACTTTGGGAGGCCAAGGCAGGTGGATCACTTCAGGTCAGGAGTTTGAGACCAGCCTGGCCAACATGGTGAAACCCCTTCTCTACTAAAAATACAAAAATTAGTTGGGCGTGGTGGCACGTGCCTGTAATCCCAGCTACTCGGGAGGCTGAGGCAGGAGAATCACTTGAATGCCGGAGGTGGAGATTGCAGTGAGCCGAGATCGAGCCACTGCACTCCAGCCTGGGCGACAGAATGAGACTCCATCTCAAAAAAGAAGACAAAGAAGAATGTAACATATCTCATATTGATTACATGTTGAAATGATAACATTTTGGGTGTATTGAGCTAAATATTATTAAAATTTTTAATAATACACACATACTAGAAGCATTACCCATTATCCAAGAACACATACAAACAAAAAAATACACATTAAAAGTATTCAATAATTGCCTAGAGTGGGTGTGGTTTGGATGGCTGGGTCAATGAGATAAAAGAAAATAAATAAGTAATCCGGCCAGGTGCAGTGGCTCACGCCTATAATCCTGGCACTTTGGGAGGCCGAGGCGGGCGGATCACCTGAGGTCAGGAGTTTGAGACCAGCCTGACCAACATGGAGAAACCTCGTCTCTACTAAAAATACAAAATTAGCCAGGTGCTGTGGCTCATGCCTGTAATCTCAGCTACTTGGGAGACTGAGGCATGAGAATCACTTGAACCTGGGAGAGGCGGAGGTTGCAGTGAGCAGATCGTGCCATTGCACTGCAGCCTGGGCAACAAGAGCAAAACTCCGCCTCAAAAAAGAAAAAAAAAAAAGAAAAGAAATAAGTAATTAAACAAGAAAGGCGTTGCATGGACCACTGAAGAAAGAAGGCCATAAATCAGGAGAATGATTAACCCAATCCTCTGTATATAAGAATCCTTCCCACCAAGGAGGGAGGAAAAAAAAAGCAATGAATCACCTGAAGGCTCAATAATTCATAAGGCCCAGAACACCAAAAATGAAAGCAGAAAAGGAGGGGAAAGGTGTCTAAAATCAAAGTTCAAGGACCACAGTAAAACTAGCTATCACAACACTTTATTTTTTACTTATTTATTTTTTGAGACGGAGTCTCACTCTGTCACCCAGGCTGGAGTGCAGTGGCTCGATCTCTTACTGCAACCTCTGCCTCCCTAGTTCAAGCGATTCTTCTGCCTCAGCCTCCTCAGTAGCTGGGATTACAGGTGCCCGCCACCATGCCCAGCTAATTTTTGTATTTTTAGTAGAGACAGGGTTTCACCATGTTGGCCAGGATGGTCTCAAACTCCTGACCTCAAGTGATCCACCTGCCTTGGCCTCCCAAAGTGCTGGGATTACAGGAATGAGCCATAGCGCCCAGCCAACACTTTAAATCATCCTCTCAAACTTCATTTCCTTGACTGCTTTAGCATAGGTGGAGAATGCTATATGTTCAGCCTCATCACTCAATTGTTTAAATGGTTGAAGCTCATTTCTGTACTGCAGTCAAGGCAGTGCTGTCTAGTGACATATGTGTGAACTGAATCCTGTGAGAAGGACACTGGGAGGGAGCCTGCCTAAGGTGGGTTAGAGTCTACCTAGGGATCTAAAGCAGAGGGCAGGATAGCTGGTGTTTGGCAGAGATTTATAGTTGCAAAGCAGCAGAGAGCAAGTTGGAATCCTCACCAGTCATCCAAACTGCATCATCCCAGATATGCTAACAGCTACAAGGAACTTCAGAGGTCCAGAGAGAAGGGGGTGACTTGCCCAACGTCACACTGAGTTATGACCGACCTGAGACTAGAATGCAGGATGCTAAGACAACCATGGGAGCTGGCAGAACTGACAAAAGGGTTCTCTGACGGAGAAGCTTAGCCCCCAAGGGGGCAAGGAAGCAAGGAGACATCAGTAGAAGAGACGGCCCTGGAACCCACAGCATGGGTATCTCTCAGTAAGCAAAAAGAGCCTAAATCCTTTCTCAGCAATTGGGGATATATTTTTAATGCTAAAGATTATTCTTTCTTCTCAGTTTCCCTTTCCACTGACTTCCTCTTTTACTTCTTGAATTCTGACTTCCTCTCTAGCACACCACCAGTGACTTCCCTGTGACTAGATCTAGTGTGCTTGTCTTGGGCCTTCTCTGCTATGCTTGTAACACCAAAATTCTGCCACCAACTCTCCTCTCCCTCATTCAGATTACTCTCATTCATTCATTCAACTAACACTTATTGAGGCCAGGCGTGGTGGCTCACATCTATAATTCCAGCACTTTGGGAGGCCAAGGCAGGTGGATCGCTTGAGCCCAGGAATTCGAGACCTGCCTGGGTAACATGGCGAAACCCTGTCTCTACAAAAAAAAACCCACAAAAATTAGCCAGGTATGGTGGCACATGCCTGTAGTCCCAGCTACTCCAGAGGCTGAGGTGGGAGGATCGGTTGAACCCAGGAAGCAGAGGTTGCAGTGAGCTGAGATGGCGCCACTGCTTTACAGCGCGAGTGACAGAGACCCTGTCTCAAAAAAAAAAAAAAAAAAAAGACTTTACTACAACTAACATGTATTGAGCACCTACAATATGCAGGTACTTTTTTTTTTTTTTTGAGACAGGGTCTCCAAGAAGCTGGGATTACAGGTACACATTTGTTAATGTAATGCCTTGTAAAATCTTTGTGAAACTATTTATCATTATATTAAAACTACGTATTTGTATGTCTGCATCCTCTACACCAGACAGTGAGCTCCTTGGGGCCAGGAATGGTCTCTTATTCATCTTAGTAGAAGTACCTGCAGGCTGGGCACAGTGGCTCATGCCTATAATCCCAGTACTTTGGGAGGCCAAGGCGGGAGGATCGTACAACTGAAAGAAGGTGCGCAACTAAAAGATGCTTTTAGTTCTGCCTGAAAACTCTCTCTCCAGTCCCAAATTCTTTCCTTGTTTGTTTATTTGTTTTTCTGGGGTTTTTTTTTTTTTTGAGACAAAGTC
Source organism: Homo sapiens (assembly GCF_000001405.40). Lineage (NCBI taxonomy): Eukaryota > Metazoa > Chordata > Mammalia > Primates > Hominidae > Homo > Homo sapiens. The sequence goes on along the minus strand of NC_000017.11, from coordinate 47,199,291 downwards.
TTGCTCTATCTCTCCAGCTGGAATACAGTGGTATAATTTTTTTTTTTTTTTGAGACAGAGTCTTGCTCTGTTGCCCAGGCTGGAGTGCAGTGGCACAATCTTGGCTCATTGCAAGGTCCACTTCTGGGGGTCACACCATTCTCCTGCCTCAGCCTCCCAAGTAGCTGGGACTACAGGCGCCCGCCACCACGCCCGGCTAAATTTGTATTTTTTTTTTTTTTAGTAAAGACGGGGTTTCACCTTGTTAGCCAGGATGGTGTTGATCTCCCAACCTCGTGATCCGCCTGCCTCGGCCTCCCAAAGTGCTGGGATTACAGGTGAGAGCCACCATGCCTGGCCATACAGTGCTATAATTTTAACTCACTGCAACTTCGAACTTCTAGGCTCAAGAGATCCTCCCACCTCAGCCTCCCAAGTAGCTAAGACTAGAGGCATACACAACCATGCCTGGCTAGTTTTTTTTATTTTTTTTGTAGAAATGAGGGTCTCTCTTTGTTGCCCAGGGTGTTCTCGAACTCCTGGCCTCGAGTGATCCTCCTGAACTTCCAAAGTGCTGGGATCACAGGCGTGAGCTACTGCGCCTGGCCAAGCTTCACGTTTTCAATTAACCTTTGGATATTTCTCATCTGAGGCTCTCCCAACTCAGTCTGGTTTAAACCTAGATCAGCCTCTATCTCCCAAATCACATATCTGTAACAAAAACAAAGTCTATTCAAGACAGCTACGGTGTAAACTGAATACTAAAATATAATCAATCTGTGTTTAATCCATTGCTCTGCAATTTACCCAGAGAAAAAATGAGGCTGCTTAGAGCCTAGTTAGAAAAGAGAGAAGCAAATAATCTATTATTTGGTGGGCATCCACTCCAGATGCTATAGATATTTTTTATCTAGTAGTCAGGTATATACGTCACTTCTGAGGAAAAAAAGAGATGACAGCCACTAAGATCATTAAATTTACTCTTTTTGTTCTAAGTCTGTACTCAGTAAGCAGTCTTCTGGTTAGAATCTGAATGCCTTCAGGTCAAGGAATTGGATAAGAATATTTCTCATTTTAAGTTAGTAACTCAAAACTGTTTAAATTTTCTATCTTTTTTCAGATTCAACCATCTAAGATCCTAGAATAGTGAATATTCAGAGTTGCCCAGACTCCCTGGCAGCCTCTCTGCTGCATTCCTAGCCCCTAGTCTTTCTCTCCTCCAATGCACATAATCCTCAGCTGTTAGCATAATCTTTTTCAAATTCTGGTCTCATGAGGTCACTCTCCAGCTCAATCATCATCAACAGCTCCTTTGGTCTATTTTATCAAAACTAAAGTCATCAGCCAGGAACCCAAAGGTTTTTATCAGCTGTCCCCAACACCACCATTTCAACCAAGCTTATACAGCCTCCAGTCCAGACAAGCTAATTTGCTTATAGTCTCCTGCCTTTATTACAGATGCTCCCCACCATCAGTTGACAATATCAAGTCAAAAATGCATTTAATACACCTAACCTACTGAACATCATAGTTTAGCAAAGCCTACCTTAAACGTGCTTAGAACACTCACCTTAGCCTACAGTTGGGCAAAGCTATCTAACACAAATCCTATTTTATAATGAAGTGCTGAATCTCATGTATTGAATACTGTACTGAAAGTGAGACACAGAATGGTTGTATAGGTATCTGAAGTACAGTTTCTACTGACTGCACATTGCTTCTACACCATCATAAAGTCAAAAAATCATAACTTGGGGGCTGTCTGTAGTTTATTTCCCTGTGCTTTTGAGTCAGCCCTAGGCGCCCTAGTCATACGCCATTTAGCACATCTCGGAGCTCATCTCAATCAAGATGCATTTTCTGAATAGTCTCAATACTTCAGATACTGCCTTGACTTTAAATCCCTTAAGGATTTGGCCGGGTGCGGTGGCTCATGCCTGTAATCTCAGCACTTTGGGAGGCCAAGGCTGGCAGATCACGAAGTCAGGAGATCGAGACCATCCTGGCTAACACGGTGAAACCCTATCTCTACTCAAAATACAAAAAATTAGCCAGGCGTGGTGGCGGGCGCCTATAGTCCCAGCTACTCGGGAGGCTGAAGCAGGAGAATGACATGAACCCGGGAGGTGGAGCTTGCAGTGAGCCGAGATAGCGCCACTGCACTCCAGCCTGGGCGACAGTGCGAGACTCTGTCTCAAAAAAAAAAAAAAAAAAAAAAAACCCTTTAAGGATTTATGTGCAAGACCAGCATGTTCTCTGGGCCCAGAAAGGGGGAGTCAAAAAAAAAGCATCATGTTTAGATCAGTGAGATGAAATTAAGTCATCAAGTCATTCAATCATCAGATATTTCAAAAATATTTATATATTTACAATATTTTAACGAAACAAGAGCGAAATATTATAATATTTTAGCAAAACAACAACAACAAAAAATATTTATATATTTTATAATATTTGTGCAGGGCACTGAACTAGGTGATGGGGACATAATGTTCAAACCAAGGTCCCTGCCTTCAATGCAGCTTATATTAAACAAATACGATTAAAATTACCATACATACTATGAAAGAAAAGAACAAAAATGGCATGAGAGAGAATAACAGGCTGGAGCTAAGAATTTAAATTAGGTAGGTCTAGGAATATTCTGAGGATGTGATACTGAAGCTGAGGCTTGAAGAATAAATAGAATTTCACTGGTCAAAGAGTAAGGGAAATGTATTTCAGGAAGAAAGAATAATATGTAGAAAGACTTCCACTTTAATCACTCAGTCAATATATTTCTTAAGAATTTTCTACATATGTGGTGTTTTTCAAAGAACAATATACAGAAATATAAGACTTGGCCCTTGCATTAGGGAGACAAGACATAAACAGAATAATCAATTATATAAGTCTACCTGGGCTTGCCATAACAACATACCACACACCGGGTGGCTTGAACATTAGAGATTTATTTTCTCATGGTTCTGGAGGCTAGAGGTCCATGATCAAAGTGCTGGCAAAACAGATTCTGGTGAGGGCTCTCTTCCTAGATGTTGGCCTTTTCCCTGTGTCCTCCTATGACCCTTCTTTGGTGAATGCCCACAGAGAGATCAAACTTTCCTGTGCATCTTTTTATAAGGACACTAATTCTGTCGGATCAGGGCCCCATCTTTATGATATCATTTAACTTTAATCACTTTCTTAGAGACCCCATGTCCAAATACAGCCACACTAGGGGTTAGCTTCAACATATGAATTTTGAGGAGATGCAACCAGTCTATAACATCAATCAACAAACAAAAATAATACTAGGAACACAGTGAGTTTATTCTATTCATTCATTAAACAAATAATACTAAGTTCCCATTAGATGCCAGATACTGTACTAAGTGTTGAGAATACACAGGGAACAAGGCAGACAGGGCTTCTGCCCTCATGGAGCTTATAGACTAGACCAGAAGTAGACAATTAAACAGATAATTAATTACAGCAAAGAGTGATGGGAGTAATGACAAGTCTGGTAGCACTAGAGTAACAGCAGGGAGAGCCAAGCTATCCCAGAGGAGCAGAAAAGGCCTGGAAGAAGTATATTTGGAGGATAAGCAGAGCTAGCCAGATGAAGAATAGAATTAAGATGAAGAGTGGAATTAAGAGGGTTCTGGGGAGAGTGCAGTACATGCAAAGCCTGTGAGGCAAGAGAGTGGGTGATTTTGGGAGGCCATGGCAGGCGGATCACCTGAGATCAGGAGTTGGAGACCAGCCTGGCCAACATGGTAAAACCCAGTCTCTACTAAAAATACTTGGCTGGGCACGGTGGCTCACACCTGTAATTCCAACACTTTGGGAGGCCAAGGCGGGCAGATCACCTGAAGTCGGGAGTTCGAGGCCAGCCTGACCAACATGGAGACACCCCGTCTCTACTAAAAATACAAAATTAGCTGGGCATGGTGGTCTATGCCTGTAATCCCAGCTACTTGGGAGGCTGAGGCAGGAGAATCGCTTGAACCTGGGAGGCAGAGGTTGCGGTGAGCCAAGATCATGCCATTGCACTCCAGCCTGGGCAACAAGAGCAAAACCCCGTCTCAAAAAAAAAAAAAAAAATTAGCCCACTGTGGTGGCATGCACCTGTAATCCCAGCTACTTACTTAGGAGCCTGAGGCAGGAGAATTGCTTGAACCCGGGAGGCAGAGTTTGCAGTGAGCCAAGAGTGCACCATTGCACTCCAGCCTGGGTGACAACAGTGAGACTCTGTCTCAAAAAAAAAAAAAAAAAAAAAAAGTTCCATGAAGGGGCTGGGCACCGTGGCTCACGCCTGTAATCCCAGCACTTTGGGAGGCTGAGACGGGTGGACCACTTGAGCTCAGGAGTTCGAGAAGAGCCTGAGCAACATGGCAAAACCCCGTCTCTACAAAGGATACAAAAAATAGCCAGGCGTGGTGGCATGCACCTGTAGTCCCAGCTACTTGGGAAGCTAAGGTGAGAGGATCACTTGAGCCTGGGAGGTTAAGGCTACAGTAAGCTTCCAACCTGGGTGGAACACAGAGACCCTGTCTCAAAAAAAAAAAATTCTATGTAATTGGAAGGTGGACTATAAAGGAGACATGAGTGAGATAAGGCTGAATAAAGAGGCAGCTACTAGACCTGAAGGTAAGTCCTGAATTTGGGGGGTGGGGGAAGACAGGGAGAGGAGTCCTAACATGATCAGACTTATTTTTGGAGGTAGATAAGATACAGGAAGGAAGAAACATGAAGATATATTTAGGAGGTAAAATTGGCAGGTCGTTGCGACTAGATATTGGAGTTGTAGAGTCAAAATATGCCACACTGATATATGCCACTTTGGCATAAGGATTATTTTGAGAATAATATACACTTGAAAAACAGCATATGCAAGAAGAGCACTCTGGCCTTCCTTTTTCTTACTGAAACCAGTAGATAAAACTCCATGTGAAAGATGCCCTCCTTGTACCAGGAGAAAGCCATTCTTATCACCAGAGACAGAGCTGAGGCTGGGAATAAATCTGTACAAACCTTGTTAAACTAACCCTTATCTAATCTTTTGGGCAATGGAAAAGATGGTGATATCTTAAACTGGGATAGGAAATATTTTAAGACAATGAGGGGTTCCATTCCGAACAAAGTACCTATGAGACATCCAGATAAAGGTGTCCTCTTGGCAGTTAGTCATTTGGGCCTGGAGCTCTAAAAAGTAGTCTGGCTGGAGATACAAATTTTTCAAACCATTTGTAGATGAGAAACTGGGGCCACAAGAATGGATAGGGGCGGGGTATGGTGGCTTACGCCTGTAATCCCAGCACTTTGGGAGGCCAAGGTGGGTGGATCACCTAAGGTCAGGAGACCAGCCTGGCCAACATGGCGAAACCCCATCTCTACTAAAAATGCAAAAATTAGCCTGGCATGGTGGCGTGTGCCTGTGGTCCCAGCTACTCGGGAGGCTGAGGCAGGAGAATCGCTTGAACCTGGGAGGTGGAGGTTGCAGCGGGCTGAGATCACACCACTGCACTCCAGCCTGGGTGACAGAGTGAGACTCTGTCTCAAAAGAAAGGAAAGAGAAAGAAAAAGGAAGAAAGAAAGAAAGGAAGGAAGGAAGGAAGGAAAGAAAGAAAGAAAGGATAGTTTTGCCTAAGAAGAATGTGTAGGGTGGGTGAGAAGAAGGCCTAGAACAGGTCCTTGAAGCATGCTTAATATTAAAGGGGCTGGCAGAGGAGCTGCAAAGGAAACCGATTAAAAAACAGAGCAGTAGGCCAGGCGCAGTGGCTCATGCCTGTAATCCCAGCATTTTGGAAGGCTGAGGCAGGCAGATCACTTGAGGTCAAGAGTTCGAGACCAGCCCAGCCAACATGGCGAAACTCCGTCTCTACTGAAAATACAAAAATTAGCTGGGTGTGGTGGCGCACACCTGTAAATTCAGCTACTCAGGGGGCTGAGGCAGGAGAATCGCTTGAACCCAGGAGACGGAGGCTGCAGTGAGCCGAGATAGCGCCATTGCACTCCAGCCTGGGTGACAGAGCGAGACTCTCTCAAACAAACAAACAAACAAAAACAGAGCAGTAGGAGGAAAGCTAGGAGATGGTGTCATTAGAGAAGCCAAAAGAAGAGGATGATTTGACCAAAGAGTAAACATGGTGAGGGTGGGGTGGGGGTGGTGGGGTGCAAGGTCAGGTAAGGAGGCCATAAAACCGCACGCAACAGGGACAAAATGAAGGGTACAGACAAGGAGGACTGAAAGACTTCAGGAGAGTACACTTACTCTGGGCTATGTTTCAGTGGGACCTACATTTTGCTACTGATATCACGTCTAGCTTTTTGAATAGTTCCCTAAATGCCAGCCTCCAAATCTGACTGAATATGAAATAGACCAAGAAGCAGGCTTAGGAGAAAAAATAATTTTCCAATTCCATTTTTGGAATAATGCTGTTGTAACCCAACTCCACTCACTAGCCAAACATATTGGATAACGGATGACAGCAGGATGCCCAAGTGGTTGATGAATAGCGAGTTTAAGTAGGTCAATTAGGAGCAGAGAAGGAAGTAAAAACACTCCAAAATACCCCATCAAAGTACTTCAAACAATGTGGCTTTGCTGTGGATGAGTAGAAACCACAACAGATGTATTAGCCTGGTCAACAACAATCAGAAAGGAGATGCTTTTTTTTTTTTGAGACACAGTCTTGCACTGTCACCCAGGCTGGAGTGCAGTGGCCCGATCTCAGCTCACCGCAAGCTCCGCCTCCCAGATTCACGCCATTCTCCTGCCTCAGCCTCCCCAGCAGCTGGGGACCACAGGTGCCCACCACCACGCCCGGCCAATTTTTTGTATTTTTAGTAGAGATGGGGTTTCACTGTGTTAGCCAGGATGGTCTCGATCTCCTGACCTTGTGATCTGCCCGCCTTGGCCTCCTAAAGTGCTGGGATTACAGGCGTGAGCCAACGCGCCTGGCCTTTTTTTTTTTTTGAGACGGAGTTTTGCTCTTGTTGCCCAGGCTGGAGAACAATGGCGCAATCTCAGCTCACCGCAACCTCCACCTCCCAGGTTCAAGCGATTCTCCTGCCTCAGCCTCCCAAGTAGCTGGGATTACAGGCATGTGCCACCACGCCCAGCTAATTTGGTATTTTTAGTAGAGACAGGTTTTCTCCATGTTGGTCAGGCTGGTCTGGAACGCCTGACCTCAGGTGATCCGTCTGCATTGGCCTCCCAAAGTGTTGGGATTACAGGCGTGAGCCACCTCACCCAGCCAGGAAATGCTCTTTTTTAGGTTAAAAAAAGAAAAAAGGCTTTAGGCAAATTCTAAGCCTATAAGCCAGAGTGCCAAGCATCAGAGGCTCTTTAAATGCTGACTCTAGATCCATATTTTCACAAAGTATCATCTTTATGTATCCTCTGTGGTAAGGTCCTATATTTAGGTTTACAAAACTCTGCTGCACACATACAAGACTTGGGTTGGCAGCATGTTGTGTGAAAAAGAGCTGAGTCCGTAAATGACCACACAAGTTTAGCATGAGCAAACAGTGTCATGTGACTGCTAAAAAATGTAAATACAGGCTGGGCACAGTGGCTCACACCTGTAATCCCAGCACTTTGGGAGGCCGAGATGGGTGGATCATGAGATCAGGAGTTTGAGACCAGCCTGGCCAACATGGTGAAACCCCGTCTCTACTAAAAATACAAAAATTAACCGGGCGTGGTGGTGCGCACCTGCAATCCCAGCTACTCGGGACGTTGAGACAGGAGAATTGCTTGAACCCCGGAGGCGGAGGACGCAGTCAGCCGAGATTGCGCCATTACACTCCAGCTCTGGGCAACAGAGCAAGACTCAGTCTCGGAAAAAAAAAATGTAAATACAACTGTAGTCCACTTTAATAGACGTGTCCAGATAATAATAGTCCAACTGCATTCTGAATTATTCAGAATAAATCTGGAGTACTGTGTTCAGTTGAAAGGGTCACATTTTAAGAGTGATAGCTCTTACTTATCCCTTTCTTTCCATTCCCAATCTTAGATACTCTCATCTCATATCTAGCGTGGTAGATTGTTTCCAAAGATGACCCAAAAACTCCTCCCATGGCACACGCCCTTTGTGGTGTTACTTTGCCACTCTTCCCATTAAGAAGTAGACTATTCCTCCTGGTGAATCCAGGGTGGCTCTGAGTCTTACTCTGACCAACAAGAAGTGATGCTCACAGGCCTAGGCCTAAGGGACCTCACAGCTTCTATTTTTGCGCACTTTGTTGTCAACCACCAAGTCAAGAAGCTGGAGCTAAACTACTGACTCATAAGAGGCCAGTGTGAAAAGAGAGGTCATGCAGAGAAGAAATGAAGGACCCAGCCAATAGCTACCACTGACACCCTAGACATGTGAGTGAAGCCATCTTGAATCTTTCAGCCCTAGCCAAGCCAGTGCTGGTGATGTTCTTCTATATCTGTGTGACTGTCCAATATGGCAGTCACTAGCCACATACAGGGCTACTGAATCCTTGGAATGTGGCTAGGGCATCTGAAGAACTTCATTTTTAATTTCATTTTAACTTAAACTTTAAATAGCTAATGGCTACTTTCCAGGCCAGTGTAAAAGTCTGTTACCACTCAAGTCATCCAGCATAATCCCGCTAAAGCAACTGGGCACAGGGCAGCCAAAAATCATCTTAGCACCTGCCCTTTAGGGGCTATAAGTATATATACAGTGACAAGACAAGGCGGTGGAGAAGGATGCAGTGTAGCTCTGTCAGCCTTGTTTTTAAAAATGAAAGAAAAAATATCTCCCTCTAACATCACCCAAAGGGAAATTTCCAAGCAATGGAATATATCATGATTCTCACATCTAGCCTAGAGAGCTCCTGACTAGAAAAGTAACTTTCAAAAACTGTTTCCTCATCTGCTGAAAAACAAAATTTAAACAGTCCCCTGGTTCACTCTTTTTGGGGGGAGAAGGGGAGCAGAAAGGAAATATGAGAGAGTCTACATTGCATGCTAGACACGGCCACATTTATAATACATCGAATTCTCTTAATCCTTTTTTTTCAAACTAAGCGAACATAAGTTCAGAGAGGTAATTTGCCAAGGACCTATGACTAGTTAGTGCTAAAGATAAAATTCAAAACCAGGCCTCTGAATTTCCGACCCCCTACTCTTCCCACCACAGCGGAATGCCTCACCTATCAAAAATAAAAATTTCTAATGGCCTATTGAGCTTTTCCATGATCTCTTCACCTAAGTAACTATTTCCAATTAATGCCTTCTTAGCAGACTGATCCCATTTTTCCTCCCTTCACTTTCCTATACTTCTTTTTCCTCTAATTTTACCCATCCTTCAAACTCCATTTTAAACTTTTTTTTCCTTCCATAGAACTTTCCTTATCTTATCACAATTGCCCTCTCTGAATTTTTATATTACTTATAATAGGCACCATATAATATAGCGTTCTCTGTTACACTGCTTTTCCCTTAAATAGACCTTAATCTCCTTGAAGACAGAAGCTATCCTATGTCTTTGGGGAGTGGCAATCTTTCCAAATTTCTTTAGCTTTCCCCCAGAGCCGTGAGTAGATACTTCTGGAATGGACGAATGATCTAAACTCAATAGACAAATACTTGTTGATTCATTAAAGACAGCCCCAAACTCTGCTGTTTCACCCTTTGCTTCATAATCTACAGCACACCAATTAATCCAAAAGGGCTGAGGGGCTAATCCACACTGCAGCCCCGCCACGTAACGCTACCCGCCCGCGCTGTCACGCCACGCCCAGCCTGCTGGTTGCAGATTTGGCGTAGCCCAACCCTGGGACGGCCGATTGGGCGTGGTGTGCGTGGCTGAAGGCGTGGCTGAGAAGAGAAACCTACGCTTTGGGTCAGACTCGGTAGCTTCCGGTAATCTTCGACAATTTCCGGCAACGGTTTTCTCTCTCGTCGACCAACCTCGGGTATTTCCGACTCCCTTCGGGCTTTTCCGTCTGGTTCCCGCTCGGCTTTCTCCACTTCGGGTATTCCCGTGTCCCGCTCGGAAGCACTCGGCAATCGCTCGGCCTCCCCCATCCCCCGGTAACGGTCGCTGGTGAGTTTAAATGAGCAGGGGCTGGCCGGGCCGGAGCCGCTACAGGGGGGGCCTGAGGCACTGCAGAAAGTGGGCCTGAGCCTCGAGGATGACGGTGCTGCAGGAACCCGTCCAGGTAATGATAACCTTCTTCTCTGGGGCTTGGCTGGCAGCCTCGGTCGGGAAGCAGCAGCGTAGGGCCACTCCGCGGCCTGGTGCGGCCTAGGCCCGGCTGCTTCTCCCGCCTCCCCTGCTGCCGTGTCCTGCCTATCTTTAGTCAGTTCGGAGGCCTTGCCCACAGCCTAAGCCGTGTTACCTCTGGCCCTACATTACTTCACCCTTAGCGTGAGCGGCTTCGGCGAAAATAACCGCCTTTCCCGTCCGAGCCAACGTCCGGCCAGCCTTTCCTGTCAGTCCAGGGGCCTGGCTTGACTGGGGGTGGGAGATGAGGGGCCGAAAATGCACCCCAAGCGCTCTCTTGCCTAAAAGATGATCGAGAAGCACATTTGATCGGAGCTTGTGTGATCTTCGTGACGGTAGGGCAAGTTTACGGAGGTTTTTTTTATTTTGTCTTGTATGAGAGGGTGGAGGGAGCGTAGGATCGGTCTTTTTAATACTAATTTCTATTTTGGTAACAGACTTCCTATCCCACGTTTCCTTTCTCGGTGAATTTCCCACCGGACAATGATGGTTTGAGAAGACAACTCCAAGCCTCAGTGCTGAGGCGCAAGCACCAATACCAGGGGAGGAGGTGGAAAGGGCACATTTGGGTTGTTTTCATCCTCTCTGATGGGGATCAGGAGCATTTTGTTGTGCATGTTTATAAGGCATTCAGGAAATGAAACACAAATAATGGTGTTTCTGTCCATTTCACTGCCTTTACACCAGGGTATGCTTTGACGCACAGTGCTGTGTTGCATTAAAGGAACCCTATTGGATTTTAAGTGTGTGATGCGGTGCCAAGTCATTTTCCCCCCTGACATCTGGAGAAACTGTATCTTTTGTGCCTTGGTAATGGACCAGGTCTGGGAGACTTCATCCCACTATATGATCTTTAACTTGATCAGAATTGACCTCTATCAACTGCTGTCATTGAGTCATGGACTTTATTTTGAAGTTATAAAGCAAACTGATTTTTAGAAATTCCTTCATATTGCCCTTAAAAGGCTTGAGGTATCAAACAGTAAATATTTTAATATATCACTACTTTCATATTTATTTCATTTTTCTAAACAGCATGAAATACTCATTTCTTCTAGTTTGGTTTTTTTCTCCAGCTGTTTACATATAGCAGCTATTAGTGTTTGAATTAATAAAACGTAAGATTATATCTTATGAAATTTACCTGTCTGTAAGTTGTATTAGTTTTTCTAGAGCTATTTCCATCCAAATTCTTTTTACCAGTATAGTTTCTTTTAAGATTTTTTTTTATTCTGGCTGTAGATGAGGTAATTATATATATATAATTTTTTAAGGCCTAACATGAACTTAAATAGATAAGCAGATTACTCAAGTTATTTAATTTCTGTTGCATATTCTTATAATTTTGTTTTAATAGTTAATGATTTTTTTTTTTTTGCCTTCTCTGGCCCCAGAAGTCTTCTAAAGTGATAAACTAGTTGCATTGATAGACTATAACCACCATTTAATAATAATTTCAGACTTTATAAAAGCATGGAAGGCCGGGCGTGGTGGCTTACACCTGAAATCCCAGCACTTTGGGAGGCTGAGGCGGGTGGATCACCTGAGGTCAGGAGTTCGAGACCTGCCTGGCCAACACAGTGAAACCCTGTCTCTACTAAAAATATAAAAAATTAGCCAGGCGTGGTGGTGGGCGCCTGTAATCCCAGCTACTTGGGAGGCTGAGGCAGGAGAATTGCCTGAACCCAGGAGATGGAGTTTGCAGTGAGCCGACATGGTCCCGCTGCACTCCAGCCTGGGCGACAGAGTGAGACTCCATCTCAAAATAAATAAATAAATAAAAAATAAAAGCATGGAAAAGAAAAGGAATATGTAGCCTGTTTCTAGATAGTACCCATCAGGTTTCCTGTTTGTCCTTAAAGTACTCTGAGCAGTAATACACTTTGATATTTTTAAGGCTTAAATGTCAAATTTGCTTCTTTTTCATAGCAGCATTGTCCATTAGATTTTTGAGATAGTGGTAGAAAGTTTTAGGATATGACTAGGTGAAAATTTTGGTTGTATAGTATAAGAAGCCATTCAAGAATGGATTTGGAACAGTGAGAAGAACAAGCAACTTTGGCTACAATGATAAAGATCAATGATCAGGGATAGTGCTGCAAATGGGAAAGAATTAGGAAGAGAATAAAAATAGGACAGATATATAAGATACTGTCTTTATTAAAAAAAAAACTATGATGACAGATTGCGTGTATTTGGAAAGCAATGAGAGTAAGTTGGAAAATTGTTCTTTCTTGGAATGCCTCAGAGTTGATGGTATTACTAGGCATAGGAAAAAGTTCACAGAAAATATGAAGAACTGTTTTCTGCATTTTTTTTTCTTTAAAGTTTTAATGTAGAATGGCCAGTCCGATATACCATATATGCCTAAATTAAAACTCCGTCTCAAATTACTACCTCTCAGAAGAGTATTACTTTATATTTGAGTCCTTACAAAAGTCTCACATATGAGGCAGAATTTCTGTCAGTTCTTTTATTTTTAATGGTAACTATTTGGAAAGACACACTAGCCTAAGTGACTTCAGTGAGAGCTTTTTGAATATTTATAAAAGTCACCTGGTGAAATTGGTTTTTAAAAAAGAAGCAAAGAGATTTTATATAGATTTAGCAATTATTCCTAGGGGTAAGACTTCACAGAAGTGTTGGATGAAGTTGTAAATAAGCCTTTCGAAAATTAATTTAATAAGCAATATAGCAATTGGGTACTATATACATGATACTGTTTTAGAGATCATTAGATGGTGAAGGAGTACTCTTGGCTGGGGATAAAATGTTCAGGGACAGCATCTAACATGGATTCAAAGAGTAACATATTTTGGCTACTCAATGAGAAATTTAGATTTAATGTGCATTGGTAATGAATAACCATTATATGAGCAGAAGAGTTTTTGAGCAGAGGAATTATGTAATAAAAGCACCACTTTGGGAATATTTATCTGGTGCTGTTGGAAAGGGAGGAAGAGACAAGAGTTAGACATACAGACTAGTAGAATAATCCAACTGCATGATCATGTAGACCAGGGCTGCTTAATCTGAGCACTATTGACATTTGGGGCAAGCTAATACTTTGTTGGAAGCTGTGCATTGTAGAATGTTTTGTAGCATCCCTGGCTTCTAACCACTGGATGACCCCTCCATTTGTGACAACCAAAAATACCCTCTAGACATTGCTAAATGTTGGGGCATTAATTGGGAGTAAGAAGGCAAAATTGCCCAGAGTAAGAACCACTGACGTGCATCTAAACTAAATCAGTATCCTAGAAATTCAATTATAATGTATAATATGAAATTTCAACAGTGATTTTTTTCTTTGTATCTTCTTACATTGTCTGAAGCCTTTATTATCCATTTATTTTATGGTTTTTAAAAAAGGGCAGCTGACTGGGCACAGTGGCTCACGCTTGTAATCCCAGCACTTTCAGAGGCTGAGGCAGACAGATCACTTGAGCCAAGGAGTTCAAGACCAACAAATAAAATAAAATAAAGACAGCTTTTTTGACAAAAACAAGAACACAAAATGTATAAAAAATTTAACAAAAACAAGTAAACAAATTTTTTGTAATAAGCTTTCTCTAACAAAAAATTTATAATGATTACAGGCCGGGCGCGGTGCCTCACGCCTGTAATCCCAGCACTTTGGGGGGCTGAGGCAGGCGGATCACGAGGTCAGGAGATCGAGACCATCCTGGCCAACAGGGTGAAACCATTCCTTCTCTACTAAAAATACAAAAAAAATTAGCCGGGCATGGTGGCAGGCACCTGTAGTCCCAGCTACTCAGGAGGCTGAGGCAGGAGAATGGCGTGAACCCAGGAGGTGGAGCTTGCAGTGAGCCGAGATCGCGCCACTGCACTCCAGCCTGGGTGACAGAGTGAGACTCTGTCTCAAAAAAAAAGAGAAAAATTTATAGTGATTACATTTAAGTCTAAGTACAACTTATAGAGGTTTGTTTATATTTTAAATAATATTTTATATTTAAGAATAGCTAGCTGGTAAGGAATTTTGCAACTTTAAGCTGTTGGTTTATTTATCTTTTAAATTAGTGCACCTGGGGACTAACCCATTAATCAGTCAGATTTCTCTTAAACATTTTTTAGGGGAGAGGGAGAGGAGCGTTGTTCTTTTTGGCTTCATAACTTTCTTTTAGCAGCATTTCGTTCATCTGGCTTTAATTTGTAGAACTCTAGCGGTAATGCACTGGGTGTTCTTTTAAGGGAAGGCCCACACCATCAGTTGGGCAGAGGTGCTGATTTTAGCCCTGTTCATCATCAGCTACTAATCTGTAGTGCCTTAGAGAATAATCTGTTCTTCCCCCCAATCCCGGCACAAGAGACACTGTTAGTCAGGAACTTAGAATTGATTGAGCAAAGCGGGATGGAAGCAGTATGTGAGATTCTCGAGATGGCAAGTTTTTTCTGATGCTCTTAAGAACTGGTGATAAGGGAATGATGTTCTGAGCAAAGCTTGATTTTAAGTCAGAAATGGATACAACTCTTGAATATGATACCTTTTTTCCTTCTTTTTTCCCCCCGCCCTTGCCTCTTATTTCTTTAATTTTAAAAGGACAGAAAAAATTTCAAAGCTCTAGGACTTTTTGACTTTAGTATATGTGTGTGAAATTTTCCTAGTGGTCCATAGTAGTAAAATAGCTGGTAAATCATTTGAGTCTTTTGTGGCTTATATATTGCAAAATAAGCAGTTGTAGCAGGTATGCTGGGGAGATGTTATGCAACAGAAACTACATATTTATTGAATTTCTTTATATTAAGAGATTGGCAAGGAAAAGGTTTTCCAAGTGCTTAATGTATGATAGTATACTAGGAGCATTATAAATGGATCATTTCATTTAATCCACAAAACAACTCCAATAAATAAACTCCATTTATCAGATGAAGAGATTGAGGCTGAGAAAAGTTGAGTATTTCCCACAAAGTCCCACTACTGGAAGTGCTGGCACACAAATTTGAGCACGTCTCCAAACATCAAATCTTTGGTATCTTCATTCTACTCACCATTTTCTTTCACTTACAGCAAAATTAAACATGTAGGTTCTTAGGAAATCCCAGATTTCATAAAGGAGTAATTTGGTGGTAATTATTTGCATAATAAAATAATTCTTCTATTTATCACAGAGTTTCTTTCAATAGAGACTCCCAGAGATTCTTTATTATTAGATATACATCTAGGAATACAAAGAAACTTAATGCTAAGACTAACGTACAAGAGTGTCAACAGTGGAAGACTGCTAGAAATTAAAGATCATTTGCTTATTCATTCAACATATAAGCACCTGCTTTAAAAGCACATAATGGATACTGGGAGTATAATAATGAGCAAAAACAGACGTAGCCCCTACCTTGTGGAGTTTGTAATATAGTAAGGAAAACATCACTCAAATACTCTCCTAAATTAATACAGAATTATAGCAGTGGGAAGTATTACAAAGGAAAGGTACTTGGTGCAATTAGAGTGTATAATAATGGTGCCTAATCTCATCTTTTTCCTTGTATCTAGATAGGAATGGTAAAATTAGACATCTTTGAGACTTTATAAAATTTAAGCTATATAAACAAAGGTTAAACAAGAGGCTCTGGAGATCCCAAACTAAGTTCATTACTGTTCTTTCTTGAGGAAATAGAAAGGGCTAAGTCATTTACTACTTTTATTTTTAAAATTATAATTAATATACTCATTGCAGAATTATTAAACATTTACTTGTTTGTTCAACAAAATTTGTTGAGCCTTTACTGTATCTAAGGCATATTAATCACTTAATATAATTTAGATGTACTGGTACAATGTTAGCTAGTGATCAGTAACCAGATTTTACTGGTTTCCGTTGTAACCTTTTTAAATCATTCAACAAATTATAAGCTGGTGTATGTGCTAAAAATAAAAAATAACGCTTGTATCATGATCAGGTGTGAGATATCTCAAAAGTAGTTTATTACTAAAAATGATTTGACATTACCTAGTAAAGATGAACATATGCATATTCAACAACCCAGTAATTTTATTCCTAAATATATATCCTAATTTGGAGAGATTCTTTTTTGTGTTTTTTTGATGGGAGTCTTGCTCCTATTGCACTCCAGCAGCTATTCACAGGTATGATCATAGCCTTGAACTCCTGGACTCAAGCAGTCTTCCCAGCTCAGCCTTCT
This sequence comes from Homo sapiens, assembly GCF_000001405.40. Classification (NCBI taxonomy): domain Eukaryota; kingdom Metazoa; phylum Chordata; class Mammalia; order Primates; family Hominidae; genus Homo; species Homo sapiens. The sequence continues at coordinate 47,182,918 of NC_000017.11, read as the reverse complement.
GAGTCGCTGGGACTAAAGGCTCACACCACCGTGATAGGCTGGAGAGATTCTTAAATATATACCCCAGGAGATGAATCTAAGACTGTTGCAGCATTGTTATAATTGGAAAAACAAAACAAAACAAAAAAACACCCTAGAAATAACCCAAATGTCCACATGCTGTAAAATAGATAAAATACATTTTGGATTTTGATATGTTTATACAATGGAAATATTATTTATTCAGCAATGAAAACAAATGAACTCTAGCTACACACATCAAGAATGAATTTTCAAAACATTGGATTTCAAAAGCAAATCGTAGCAGAATGTATACAATATGATTGTATTTATTTAAAGTTCAAAAACAGGAAAAAGTAAATGTTATACTGCTTAGAGATGATATGTACAAATGTATAAAATTGTGAAGAAAACCAAGAGAAAGGTCAAGAAAATTCAGTGTGGTGGTTTCCTCTTTGGGGCAGGGAGAGGTTTTGGTATCAACAAGGAACACACAGGGAGTTTCAGAGATATTTTATTTCTTAAGCTGGGTGGTGAGTACATGGGCCTAAATGTCTTTGGTTATTGTTACTTAAAATGTCCTTCTATCTCATATATACTTTAGGTTATATGTTTTGTAATTCTAAAAGAGAAAACATATATTCAAAAAATTAAAAGTTATTCCTATGATAACTTTACTCATTTGCATTCCAATATGCTTCCTGGAGTGGATGAGAATTGAGTGGCATTAAAGGTAATAGATAGGGAAGTTTTTGTGGGAGGATGACATACATTTTAATATCTCTGTCATGTATATCACATAAAGTGGTTGAGAACCACTGCTGCTAAAAGTCTGTAGTTTAGTAGGGTTGGCAGTCCTGTTAACAAATAACCATGTTATGAGTGCTCTACTAGAAGAGGTATCTTAAAAAAGAAATGGCTTGACATCAGCCAGGAAAGCTTTATGGGGCAGATGTTATTTAAGCTGGATCTTTAGGGACGAGCAGTTTATAAGGGGAGACTGGTGAGGGGAGCCCACATTGCCCAATGGAGGAAAAGGGTGTACAAAGGCACAGAAGCCTAAAAGTCCATAGAGAGTTGAGTGAGGAAATTCAGATATGTTAGGAGCCATACTGTGAAGAGCCTTGCCCGGCACACTCTGGAGTTTGCTCTGTGGGCATTGGGGTTTTATCACTTAAATTAGGGATATTAATTTCAGTATTTGATGTAAGGCTGTGTGCTAGTAGTTACCTTGAAAGTCTGTATGTATGTATATTTATGTTCTTTTTCCTCCATTTGCAGGCTGCTATATGGCAAGCACTAAACCACTATGCTTACCGAGATGCGGTTTTCCTCGCAGAACGCCTTTATGCAGAAGGTTTGAAATCTATTCATTGCTGTAGAATGATAAATGAATAACATATATGAAATTCCATAACTTTTTATCACTGTAACAAGATTCTAGCTATCATCATCTTGTTGTTTTTCTGATTGACACTAGTTCATAAAATCTTTACTTTTTTTCTGTGTAGTTCCCTTACATACTACTTTTAATAACTATGTAGAATTGATTCAGGTTTATATGCTATGATTTACTTAATCATTTTTCAATCTTTAGGTTTTTTTTTCCCCCAGGGTTTTTGTTGTTTTGGGTTTTTTTTTTTTTTTTTTTTTTTTTTTTTTTTGAAACAGGGTCTCACTCTGTCACCCATGTTGGAGTACAGTGGGACCATCTCAGCTCACTGCAACCTCTACCTCCCAGGCTCAAGCGATCCTCCCACATCAGCCTCCCAAGTAGCTGGGACCGCAGGCACGGACCACCACGCCTGGCTAATTTTTTTTTTTTTTTTGGTAGAGATAGGGTTTTGCTATGTTGCCCAGGCTGGTCTCAAATTCCTGAGCTTAGGTGATCCACCTGCCTTGGCCTCCCAAAGTGCTGGGATTATACTCATGGGCCACCATGCCATGTATTTTTTTTTTTTTTTTTTTTTTTTAAGAAAAGAGTCTGTATTCTATGGTGAAGAACATGGATTTAGACTCTATAGCCTTGGAACAAATCCTAACCTGTCACTTAAATGTACAGTTTTATAACCTTGGACGAGTTACTTTAATATCTGAAAATTCAGATATTTCATCTATAAAATAATCATTGCCCCTTAGAATTAAAAATTCAATGAGATGGTTTATTTAAAGCCCTTAGCACAGCCATCTGGCTTGGTAATCAATGCTTAATAAACACCACTGATAATGTATGTTTTGTTTCTGTCATTATTATAATTCCCTTTCTAAGATGCTGATATAGATCATTGTGTACAGCTTTTTTTTTTTTTTGAGTCATTTCCTTGGGTTATGTACTTTTAAATGGAATTTACAAGTCAAACAGTATGGGTTTAGTAGCTGAGAGTTGTGAGAACAAGGCCTAAACCTCAGGGGCAGGAAATTTCACAAAAGGACAAAGAGCAATGCTTGGAAGTAGTTTTGAGAAGTTAAGTGGAAACCAGCCTTACCTTGACTCTGAGATAGTGGGATGTAAGGTGATTACTGTCCATGTGAGAGAGCTGTCTCCTCGGTGGAGAATGGGAATTCAGTGAGAAAAGTGAGGAAGATCTGGGCAGCAGGAGTTTAAGGTCCCAATGAAAAGATTAGAAAGGTGAGAAGGAATGGAAGGCTTAGAAAGAAGATTATACAATAGATTAATCTACTCCATTCACTTATGCAAAAGTGATGTTTATTGTGAATAATCTATTTAAAAATATTTTCATTGATACCTAGGCAGGCCCCATATTTTGCTGTATTTTTAAAAATTTTTGTTGAGTCAGAATCTCACTCTGTCGCCCAGGCTAGAGTACAGTGGCACAATCATAGCTCACTGCAGCCTTGAACTCCTGGACTGAAGTGATCCTCCTGCCTCAGCCTCCCAAAGAGCTGGAGTTACAGATGTGAGCCACTGTACTCGGCCACTGTCTTCTATTTCTAGTATTTCCTTTTTGTTTTTGTTTATTATTAAAGAATAGGCAGTTTCTAGTTTATTATAGTTAGGCTCTTAAAAATTGTAAATTCATGGTTTAGAATTCAATTAGATTTTCCCATAGAATTGGTGGCAAGATTCCCAGATTAGTCCACATAAAGCTGTTTAATCCACGTTATTTATGTACCTGATACAATGCTTGGCACTTGGAAAGTTGCTCAGTAAATGTTAGTTTCTTTCAATATAGAACCTCACCATTCGGTTTAACCATATTTATATGAGGAAAGATTTTAGAATTAAGTGTAGTAAGAGCAGATACTATCCTGGCTCAGTAATAATAACAATAATTCTATCACTTATTGATTTCTTACTGTATACTAGGTACTCTAAGTATTTAATATTAGTTACTAATTTAATCTTCAATAATCCTATCAAATAGACATTGCTATTGCCATTTTCTGGATGAAGAACTGAGACTAATGTCCACAGGCGGTAACTAGTAATCTGTCTGATTCCGCTTTCCCAAGAGTAGCAATTACCACTTCTCTGATTTGCAACCATAGTAGGCATCACTAATCCATTACAGTACTCATTCCCACTGAACCAACCTCAGAATTCTTGGCAACAGTTTTCTTGGTGGACAATATCAGTTGATATGCTAGATGTAACCTGTTTGCTCAGGGGCCTCCTATGTCACTAGTAGCAGTTTCTATATTTGGAGAAAGACATCCAACAAGGCATGAGGCTAAAGCAGTTGATCAGTAGGATCTTCTGTAAGTCAAATTCTTGAAATAATTTCTCAGTTTCACTAGTTCTTTGTCGCCCATTTGTCTTTCTCTCGAGATTTATAGTCGGCCTGAGACTGTGGGATCAGAAAGAAGGAACAGCAGAATGATATAAGAGAGAATCTGGGAGGCTGAGGTGGGCAGATCACCTGAGGTTGGGAATTTGAGACCAGCCTGACCAACATGGAGAAACCCCATCTCTACTAAAAAATACAAAATTAGCCGGTGTAGTGGCACATGCCTGTAATCCCAGCCACCCAGGAGGCTGAGGCAGGAGAATTGCTTGAACCCGGGAGGCGGAGGTTGCGGTGAGCCGAGATTACACCACTGCACTCCAGCCTGGGCAACAGAGCGAGACTCCGTCTCAAAAAAAAAACGGAAAAAGGAAAGAGAATCTGAATTCAGATACTCATTTGCCATTTGATCTTAAGCCAAAAGTCATTCTGAGCCTTATTTTCCTTATCTTTAAAATAGAAGAGAAATATCTGTTTAACAAGATAGTTTTAAGGACTAAATACAGTAAAATATGTAAAGAGTCTGCTGTAGTTTCTGGCACATAGAAAGTCCTTTACAGGTTCCCTCTCCCCTAACATATCCTAATACAGTGACTTTTCAGGGTTTTTTTTTTTTTTTCTTATTTTTATTTATTTATTTATTTTTGAGATAGCCTGTCACCCAGGTTGGAGTGCAGTCATGTGATCTTTTCTCACTTCAGCCTTGACCTCCCAGGCCCAAACAATCCTCCCACCTCAACCTCCCTACTAGATGAGACTACAGGCACATGCTACCATGCCCAGCTAATTTTTGTATTTTTGAGAACACGAGATCTCACAATGTTGCCCAGGCCAGTCTTAAACTCCTGGTCTCAAGCAGTCCTCCCACCTCCGTCTCCCAAAGTGCTGGGATTACAGACGTGAGCCACTGTGGCCTGGCCAGATTTTTTTTACCCTTATTAGATATGATACACTCTAATATTTTCCATTGAGTGGTTTTGTTGTTGTTGTTTTAACGTAGGCTGATAACCACTAAATTGACATCACAGTCCACTAGTGAGTTGAGATTTGCTGTTTTGGAAAAACTGTCCTAATTTTACCATCTCCCTCCAATAAATTCCCTTCCCCCATTGTAAGCATGTATTTTTCTTTCCCACCACCAATACCTGATCCCCTTGACCAAGGTTTTTCTCTTTTGTTAATTAACTGTTAAGAATGAATAGAAATAAGTGCTATACAACAAATAGAAATAGTGTTAGACTATGAGGAAAAAAATACATTAATGCAACTACTATGATAGCTCTTTGGAGATATGTGTGTGTGTGTGTGTGTGTGTACACACACATATAAAATAAGAGTTATGTTCAGAAAATCAACCAGACATAAGTTTTGTGTGCATTTTTTTCATAAGTAATTGCTACCTATGGAACTCTATGAGACTAAGAGGATTGTAACTAGTGAAAGGAAAAGAAAGAGAAACAGCTGAAAACCTTGTGTCAACATGTATTCCTAGGTTATTTTGAGGGTCCTAGCCCAGAGTTCAAAATTGCTTAAGGTCTACTGTTTTATCTTAAATTAATGTGGGTTTTACATCCCACACTGCAAAATGTTTTTGTTTGTTTGTTTCAGATAGGGTCTCCCTCTGTCACCCAGGCTGCAGTGCAGTGGCCCAATCTCGGCTGACTGCCTCCCAGGTTCAGGCAATTCTCCTGCATCAGCCTCCTGAGTAGCTGGGATTATAAGCGCCTGCGGCCACGCCCACCTAATTTTTGTATTTTTAGTAGAGATGGAGTTTCACCATGTTGGCTAAGCTGGACTCAAACTCCTAGCCTCAAGTGATCTGTCCACCTCGGCCTCCCAAAGTGCTGGGAATACAGGCGGGAGCCACTGTATCCGGTCTTTATTTTTTAATATTAGTACTTTTTAAACATTTTTTTTTAAGTCAAGATCTCCCTATGTTGCCCATGCTGGCCTCAAACACTTGGGCTCAAGCGATCCTCCCAGGTAGCTAGGAATACAGGCATGTGCTGCTGCGCCCTACTTGAATGCATTTTAAATGACCGTAAAATCGTTCACCAATTTTCTACCTGTCTTAGTGATTAGTGGGTAAGATGTATAGATTGCATCGGGTGTATCAATTTTAGTAAATTAGGCTCAGTGGGAGAGAACTGAACCAGAGTAAAACGTTCAGCATCTGTTTCTTTTCTATTAACCAGGATACTGAGAGCCCAAACTCACAGAAATATATGCGTACAAATGGCAACATATAAAAAAAAACTTATTTACCAGATTGTGTTAAGATCAGTATTAAAGAATATCCAGAATTCTACTAAAGATGTGGAATAATGTATCATTTTGAGGCCTTTATTGATCCAAGACTCACCTATTTTCATTGAATTAACTTGGATGTTTCACAGACACATCAAACTCAATATATTCAAATCTAACCTAAGATACCACTAACTGAATTTTCCTTATCTCCCGTTCCCTGCCTGTTCCTTTTCCCCTCCCAAATTTATGTTCCTTCTTAAAACCCTTCAGAAGTATCTAATTGTTGTAAGGATCTGTTCCTAAATCTTTACACAGTTTACAAAGCCCTGCACAATTTGGCCATCTTTTTTCTCCTCATATATTGCCATTTTCTGCCTCAAACACTAAGGAGCCTTTTAAAACTTCTTCCAGCCCTCTTTTATTTGTGGTCTTTTTACTCTAAGCGTGGTTTTAAAATACTTAAGAGCACTATTAACCCCATCATTAACAACAGGTATAAAACCAGTTGGTATTGAAATGCAGGATGTAAATAAATGTAGAAAAGATAAACATTGAGAATAGTATTCATATGCTAAATTTGCATATGTAGATGAAATGTTCAACAGTAGAAATGACTCTGAACAACAGAATGAATAATGAAATATAAGAAAAGTATAGCCTCCATACAATTGAAAACAGAAAAAAAAAAAGTTGATGAAATAGAATTACTTGAGCATGTGGCTCAGGGACACTTATGTACCCCCTGCATTAATATCAAATATCTATTCAGGTATTGTAAATTTAAGAGAAGGCCAATAATTAAAATAATAGCACATACAGCCTTCACTATGTGTCAGATACTATCCTAATTGCTGTGCATGTATTAAGTCATTTAATCCTAACAGCAACCTTTAAAGGTAGGTATCATAGTCCTTACCGGATGAAAAAAAAATGAGGGTCAGAGAAGTTAAGTAACTCTGCCCTAAGTCATAGCTAGTAGGTTGAAGTGCCAGAATCTGAACCCAAGCAGTCTAGCTTCAGAGTCGGTACTTTAATCCACATGTCATACTACTTATAGTTGATTAAAAAACTTAACAGATAATCGATTTGTTTTATTTTTTTTCTTTTGAGACAGAGTCTCGCTCTGTTGCCCAGGCTGGAGTGCAGTGGCGTGATCTCAGCTTACTGCAACCTCTGCCTCCCAGGTTCAAGCGATTCTTGTACCTCTACCTCCCAAGAAGCTGGAATTACAGACATGCACCACTATGCCTGATTAATTTTTGTATTTTTAGTAGAGATGGGGTTTCGCCATGTTGGCCAGGCTGGTCTCCAGCTCGTGGACTCAAGTGATCTGCCCACCTTGGCCTCCCAGAGTGCTGAGATTACAGGCATGAGCCACTGTGCCTGGCCCAGATAATCAATTTGAAACATGTGTCACAAATCATAAAAAGTTCCATAGGTTCTATGCCCTTAAATTCACACAACATCAGAGTTCATGACAGGGTAGCCACAGAGTACTCTAACCTCTGAGGGCTTCTCTGATATTTGTATAGTTTATCAAGGCTAGGTAAAGAACAGTCACCTCAACAAATTTTAAATTTGTCAAAATTGGTCCATTTTAGAAAGGCTGCTTATTTAGATTATAAATCAGCGTGAAGAAGAGGCGTCTATCTGGTTTAAAAGCTTTGAAAGACTAATTTACCTTTCTGTTTGATGTAAATGTATCTGGAGGATGCAAGGTTAAACCCCTCTTAATTATTTTGGACTTACACTCAAAAGACCTTTCCAATTTTGAAGCCAAACCTGTTTGTAAGAAGAGGAACTTCAGTAGTGCTGCTACAACTTACTTCCTTCCTTCCTTCCTTCCTTCCTTCCTTCCTTCCTTCCTTCCTTCCTTCCTTCCTCTCTCTCTCTTTCTCTCTTTCTTTCTTTCTCTCTCTCCTTTCCTTTCCTGTCCTGTCCTGTCCTGTCCTGTTTCGATAGTCCTGTTTCGACCGAGTTTCGCTGTTGCCCAGGCTGGAGTGCAGTGGCATGATCTCGGCTCACTGCAACCACTGCCTCCCGGGTTTAAGTGATTGTTCTGCCTCAGCCTCCCGAGTAGCTGGGATCACAGGTGCACGCCACCACACCCGGCTGATTTTTGTATTTTTAGTAGAGATGGGGTTTCACCATGTTGGCCAGGCTGGCCTTGAACTCTTGACCTCAGGTGATCCACCTGCCTCGGCCTCCCAAAGTGCTGGGATTACAGGCTTAATTTGTTTGTTTTTTCACTTTAGCAGTACATTCTGGAAATCTTTCTATGTCTGTATTTTTCATCACATGGACATAGCATAATTTAACTAGTACACGATTGATTTCTCAATATTACTTTAAGAGTGACTTAATGGAGTCAATGCTAACTTCATTCATGATTATGCAATATATTATGGACCTTATAATTCTAATCCCATATTTTAATTAAGTCTGTAAATAAAGGATGGTAAATAAGTGACATGCAAACATCTATAACTGTTTCTGGATCCTGTTATTTTGATCACTACTCTTGGTAGCTAGGCCATGATCAGCCTCAAGAAGTTTTCTGAACATGGCATTTCAGACAGCCATTATCCGTAAGTTGGAGTTACTGTTCTAGATGAAATCTTTGTCAATCCTATCCAGTAAACATATTCTGTGCTTTTTAGATTTATGGCTGCTTACCACTGCTTCTTTAGTTGTGTTTGGGGTACTGTTATCTTTTTCTGCTGCCAAGTTACTTGTGAGGAGCCTAAGAAACCACCCGTGTCACAACACTTCAGATTGCTCTGGATTTGCTTCCTTATCTGACAGTTTCATTATATTTATTTATTTATTTAAACAGAATCTCACTCTGTCACCCAGGCTGGAATGCGGTGGCACGATCTCGGCTCACTGCAGTCTCTGCCTCCTGGGTCCAGGCGATTCTCCTGCCTCAGCCTCCGGAGTAGCTGGGATTACAGGCTTGCGCCACCGCGCCTGGCTAATTTTTGTATTTTTAGTAGAAGACGGGGTTTCGCCATGTTGGCCAGGCTGGGCTTGAATTCCTGACCTCAGGTGATCTGCCTGCCTCAGCCTCCCAAAGTGCTAGGATTACAGGCATGAGCCACCACGCCTGGCCAGTTTCATTATTTTTAAGTTTTGCCTAAATCACCAATCCGTATTCCCATTTGAACATATAATTTTTAAGTTACTATGCTTCAAAAAGCTAATTGCAGTATTACACTAAAATTACACACGCACATGTACACACAAAAAGAATAGTTGGTGTCTTTATTAGGCAATTTTATTGCAGTGAAAGTGGACCTACACATAATCAAATATTTGTAAACAATTGAGACAGCATTACTGTGACTGGGAGTTAAATTAGTTTGTGGGAGCCATTGTTTATTGGTATAATCAATAGTTTTTAAAAACTTATAAGGTGAAAAGAAACCAGACCATTGTAAAATCTAGAGGAAATCAAACTTTCTAACTTATGTAAATTAGAAGTTGTAGCTCAGTAAAATTAATAGTTTATTCCTACTGCAGTGAGCGCCCCATTCTTTTTTTTTTTTTGTAGCTGCAGCACTAATACTACTATACATCTCATTAAAACACATCTGCCAAAATTTCTTATCATTTACTATTTATTATTTTTTACACTGTGGTTTCATAAAAAACCATAAGATGGACCAGAGAAGAAGGGTTCTGTTGGTTTTTGCTTGCACATATCTGTGACAAAAAACTTAGAAATAAAATTTCAAATTACTTTTTTATCCAAACTCTTAGAATGATGTTAACTATTTAAAAAGATGTGGCAAGTTTGTCTTGTACTTTACAACAGTGGTTCTCAAACTTGAGAATGCCACAGAATCACTTGCAGAGTTTGTTAACCACGTAGATTACTGGTTCCTACTCCCAGAATTACTAATTTAGTGGGTATGAGATGGGACACAAAAATTTTCATTTCTAGCAAGTTTCCAAGTTATGCTGATACTGGTACAAGGACCACACTTTGAGAACCACTGGCTTAGAAGATCCTTCAGCTCACTGGTATTATTGCATAACCCATTTTTAGAAGCACAGTTTTGTGGTTTTCCCTCTCTTTCCATCCTCTTTGTTGTTGCCTCTGTAGACCCTGGATTGTGGGGATAGAAGTGAAGTGATGATCAGTTTAGTAGAGACATAGACTAAATAAGGGTGAAAAATGCCACTTGCATTAAGAAGGCAGGGGGCATTTCCTAATGTAAAAAGGAGGGACAGATTGATAGATAACTCAGCTCTTGCTATTGTAATGTAATTTAATTATTGTTACTATAGTCTGTCAACTGAATGTTAAAATGGTGTGAGCATTCACAATTTATAATTTATCTTAAATATAATTTAATGTATATTTGATGTTAAAGCAAAACAAGTGGATTTTTTTCAATCTGGTCTTTTTAAAATATAGAAATTATTTCATATTGGTAGTTAGATTTATTTACACTCAGGTTTCTCTTGCTAATGAAATTTGACTTCTATCCTCCCGAAAGATTTATTAGAAAAATATTACCTAAAAACAAGATCCTTTACTGGTAGTCTGTTTAAAGGCAGGGGTGTTTCTGTGTGTGTATGCTTTTCTTAAATATTTACAGAGAATACCATGATTGTCTTCATTGTATTATTTCCTTGGTTTCTTGTAGAGAAAAGTAATCAAGATCTAAGGAACTGACTTTGCTATAAGCAAACCGTTTCTCCATAATTCAAATTTGAATTAATAAGTGATTGTTTTGTGTTAAAATAGCAAGCCTAATTTTTTTTTTTGCTAAACTTGTTTATTGCATGATAAACTGATTATCATTCAATATACTGAACAATAGCCTTTTTAAAAAATGTCTGTTTTTAGTACACTCAGAAGAAGCCTTGTTTTTACTGGCAACCTGTTATTACCGCTCAGGAAAGGCATATAAAGCATATAGACTCTTGAAAGGACACAGTTGTACTACACCGCAATGCAAATACCTGCTTGCAAAATGTTGTGTTGATCTCAGCAAGTAAGTTTTAAAATATTTTCTAGCTATTTTGTTTTACTTACACTGTTGAATTTTGGATAAAATTCCTTTCAGATTAAACTCTGATTCCCTTTCTTCCCTGTTTTCCATCTATTTCAGTAACATTCGAAATGTTTACACTGTTGCCTATGGCATTATTTATATTATGGAGATTTCATTGTTATGGTAATAAATAATAGAGTTTAACTCTGGAGAAACTTAAGTTATAACCGATTCTTATTGGTTTCTTAAATGATCACAAATATTTCGTTTTCTTTGCTTTCAGTGTTAGACCAATTTGAGTAAGCCTGAAAACCCACCAGCTCACTTGAGATTAAGGCTCCCTTGTGTTTAGGTGATTGTATAGTTTCCTTTCAAGATCATTTTATTGAGTACTTCTTTTGCACATTACAGTTAAACCAAGTCAGCTGTCCCTATACCAAATTTGGAGGCATTTAGAGATACAGATAGTTAGGTTCTATTCAATTCTTTTCTGTACTGTAAGAGATGGAATAATGGTAAAAGGGACTAAACGGTCACATGTGTAAACGGTGTTAGATATTTGTAAAAGCCTGTATGTATAATTGGCTTGTAGGTTTACAAGGGGAAGATACAAGTAAGTCTCACCATAGACTGATCAATAACTATATTATCTGTCCAGTGACTAATTGATGGCTTTTTAATTAAAGCTAGCTAAAATATCTGAAATTTCTGAGACATTTGTTGTTGAATTACTTTTAAATTTCAAAGATCCTAATGTGGAATTCTTAAAAATCTTTCTTATGTAATTTGCCAGTTCCTTTTTCTTTTTTCCTTTTTTTAGAGAAAGGGTCCTGCTGTGTTGCTCAGGCTGGAGTGCAGTGGGGTGATGATGGCTCACTGCAGTCCCCATCTGGGCCTAAGCGATCCTCCCATCTCAGCCTCCCACGTAGCTGGAGCTGCAGACACGTGTCACTACACCTGGCTAATTTTCTTATTTTTTGTATAGATGGGGTCTCACTATGTTGCCCAGGCTGGTTTTGAACTCTTGGGTTCAAGCTGTCCTCCCACCTTGGCCTCCCACAATGCTGGGGTTATAGGCTTGAGCCACTGTGCCGGGCATAAGTATGCAATTTTTAATTAAACTATGTTAGTCTTGTTTAATTTGCATATACATTTCTATTTTAAGGAAGTAAAAAGGACCACCATGTTTGTTAATGAAGAACCATTTATATTTTCTCCCCCAGTATAGTAATCATCTTCTGTTCCTTCTGACATGAGTAATGAATATGTTGCTCAGACTGGATTTGTACATACAGAGACTAAATGTAATTGATTCTGTTTTTAAAGGTAAAAGTGAAATTTTAAGATCATAAATTTCCAGCCTCTCAAATGATTCTAAATAAGTGTTTGCCACTATTGTAATTAAAAAAAATTTTTTTTACAAAAAACAAATTGGCCAGGTGCAGTGTCTCATGCTTGTGATCCCATGAGATGAGAGGATTGCATGAGCCCAGGAGTTTGAAACCAGCCTGGTCAACATAGTGAGACCCTGTCTCTACAAAAAAATTAAAAATTAGCTGGGTGTGGTGGTGTGCACCTGTAGTCCCAGCTACTCACAAGGCTGATGCAAGAGGCTCACCTGAGTCCAGGAATTTGAGGCCATGTGAACTATGATTGTACTACTGCACTCTAGCCTGGGTAACAAAGCAAGACCCTATCTCTTTAAAGAAAGGAAGACAGAGAGAGGGAGGGATGAAGGAAGGAAGGAAAAGGAAAGAGAGAGAGAGAAAAAATTTGTGTCTCCATAGTTAGATGCACTTTGGTAATGAAGAATATGTTTACATGAACTGCTTTTTATATTGGTTTTTAAAAATCTTTAAATTTGTATTTTAAAGGCTTGCAGAAGGGGAACAAATCTTATCTGGTGGAGTGTTTAATAAGCAGAAAAGCCATGATGATATTGTTACTGAGTTTGGTGATTCAGCTTGCTTTACTCTTTCATTGTTGGGACATGTATATTGGTAAGTAAGAATGATTCAAACTGTCAGAAAAGCATTTCCATACAAGTATGTTTTATAGTTTAAAAAACCTATGTTGATCAGTGTTTATCAAATATTACTTGGCTGAGTAGTACATAGTCTGATTCTATGACCTTATTAAAATAGCAGAGATGCTAATCTAAGTTTGAACTCTCCACTTATCCTTACTGATAATAGCTACAGCTGCCCTGCCTAACAATTGATCATACATGTTAGGTTTTTTTGTTTGTTTCTATTTTTTTTTTTTTTTTTTGAGATGGAGTTTCACTCTTGTCACCCAGGCTGGAGTGCAATGGTGTGATCTCAGTTCACTGCAACCTCCACCTCCAGGGTTCAAGCAATTCTCCTGCCTCAGCCTCCCAAGTAGCTGGGATTTCAGGTGCCCGACACCACGCCCAGCTAATTTTTGTATTTTTGGTAGACAGGGTTTTACCATGTTGGCCAGGCTGGTCTCAAACTCCTGACCTCAAGGTGATTCACCTGCCTCAGCCTCCCAAAGTGCTGGGATTACAGGTGTGAGCCACCGTACCCGGCCCCATGTTAGTTTATTTTACCTTGGGTGAAAAGAGTATCTTTATGTGATCCACTGAGGAGATAGAAGAAAAGATAGCCAGGTGCATTGTCTCACGCCTGTAATCTCAACACTTCGGGAGGTGGAGGTGGGAGGATCACTTGAGGCCAGGAGTTGAAGACTAGCCTGGGCAGCATACCAAGACCCCATCTCTACAAAAAAATAAAAAATTAGCTGGGTGTGGTGGCACATACCTGTAGTTCCAGCTACTCAGGAGACTGAGGTGGAGGATCTCTTGAGCCCAGGAGGTTGGAGCTGCTGTGAGCTGTGATTGTGCCACTGCACTCCAGCCTGGGTAACAGAGCGAGACCCTGTTTCCAAAAAAAAAAAAAGAAAAAAAAAAAGAAAAAGAACAAGTAACTCTGCCCATGGGAATGCTTCACATGTGTAAATGTTATCTGTTGTCACTTCTCCCCCGTGGGAGAAGTGACTGGGGACTGCTTGTCTAAAGAACTAGGATAGCATCTGTTTTAAGATAAATTGAGGCTAGTTTGAATATTGGTTATTTTTCAAAACCTTGAAAATGTATTTCTGAACAGAATACATTATTTGACTAAGTTTGGGGGCCCGTTTTCAGGTGTAACGGTGGTATGTTTATCCATTAACACCACTCTTGCGAACATGAGTAAGCAAAGACATAATATCAATATATTCATTTACCTTAAGGACTGAGAATAATAAATTTAGTTCATGAAACTATGATTCTTCTTGTCATTTAGTCAAGAAACTTTGAGATTCATTTCCATTATAGCTAAACACACTTGGCTTGAATATAAAGATAAATAACTCACAGTCATACTTGGCTTGAATATAAAGATAAATAACTCACAGTCCCCACCCTCAAAGGTTTATAATAGAGTAGGAGAAGAGAAACAGTAAACAAAAGTTTGTAAGTGTGATATAGTGAAATATATATATTTGGTCTTTGACCTCATTTCCTCGTATACACTTAGAAACTCCAAAGTGATATCTTTTTGTATGCAAACGAATTGACTGGTAGCTGGCATCCCCTAGGTAGCTTCAGGATGGGGACTGGCAGCAAAAGACCAAGGCAGGATTAGAGGATTGGGACTTTTCATCCCCACCCCGCAACCTCCCAGGAGGTGAGAGGAGCTGAAGATTAAGTTTCACCATTAAATTGGTGATAAGATTATCACCAACAGCCAATGGTTTAATCAGTAATGCCTATGTAGTGAAGCCTCCGTAAAAACTCAAAAGGACAGGGTTCAGAAAGCTTCCAGAAAACTGAACACATGGAGGTTCCTGGCAGGTGGCTTGCCTGGAGAGGCCATGGAAGCTCCGCACCTCTCTTTCCCCATGCCTCGCCCTATGCACTCTTCATCTGTATCCTTTGTGATATCCTTTATAAGTCAACTGCTCTAGCAAATTCATCAAACCTGAATAGAGCATTGTGGGAATCCCAATTTATAGCTAGTTGATCAGAAGTTCCTTAGGCCCAGACTTGTGACTGGTTTCTGAAGGTGGGGCAGGGCAGTCTTGAAGACTGAGCCCTTAACCTGTGGGACCTGAGGCTGTCTACAGGTAGATGGTATCAGAATTGAATTAGCGGACATTCAGCTGGCGTTTGATGCTTGGTGTGTTTAGGGGGAATTAGAAAACCCAGACATTTGGTCACAGAAGTCTTCTGTATTGATGATTGTTACTGTTAAGAGAGAATAGGAAAAAACAAAATGTTGCTTTTTCCACACTCAAAGTTCGTTTTTATTATCACATTAAACGTTCTGTCATAAAATTTGAGCATTATATTGTTCAAATGAGAGAATAATTAGTCCTGCCTGGTTAAGAAGAGGGGTTGTGATAACTAGGAAAAACTTGATAGAAAAAGTAAAATTTGACAACATCTCATATCTATAGAGTGACTTCCAGAGGAAAATAGATGTTCAAAGACTACAAATTATTTGAGAGGAGTGATGTACAAACACTGGAGGGTAGACAATTTATGAAAGAAGTTGGCAAAATTTTAATAAGGAATGTTGGAGAAATAATCCTAAAGAGCATCATATTCT
The DNA here is from genome assembly GCF_000001405.40 of Homo sapiens. Taxonomy (NCBI): domain Eukaryota; kingdom Metazoa; phylum Chordata; class Mammalia; order Primates; family Hominidae; genus Homo; species Homo sapiens. The sequence continues at coordinate 47,167,300 of NC_000017.11, read as the reverse complement.
TTTATTTTTAGAAAATTAACTAAAATGAAGTATTATAAATATTACTCTGTTGAAAAAAGTTGCATTAGATAATAAAAAGTCACACATGGATAAGAAAATCTCAAAACATTTGGAAATGAAACCACATACTTCTAAATAATTAATGGGTCTGGGCACAGTGGCTCACGCCTGTAATCCCAGCCCTTTGGGAGGCCAAGGTGGGTGGATCACCTGAGGTGGGGAATTTGAGACCAGCCAGGCCAACATGGTGAAACCTTGTCTCTACTAAAAATAAAAAAGTTAGCCGGGCATGGTGGTGCACGTCTGTAATCTCAGCTACTTGGGAGTCTGAGGCACGAGAATTGCTTGAACCTGGGAGGCAGAGGTTACAGTGAGTCGAGATCACACCATTGCACTCCAACCTGGGTGACAGAGTGAGACTCCATCTCAAAAAAATTAAATAAATAAATAATTCATGGGTTGAAGAGGAAGTCTCACAGGAGATTTTAAAAATATATTGAACTGAATGAAAGGGATAATAAATATGACATATTAAAAACTATGATGTTGCTAAAGTCTTACAGCGAAATTTATAGCACTAAATGTTTGTTATAAAAGAACAGTTTCAACTCTGCTATCTAAGCTTTCACTGTAAGAAACTAGAAAAAGAAGAGCACAGTAAATCCAAGCAAACAGAAAGAAGGAAATAATAAAAAGTAGAAATCAGTGAAATTGCAAACAGAAAAACAATAGAGAAAATCATAGAAACCAAAGCTGGTCCTTGGAAAGATTGGTAAAACTGCCGAAAGTGACCCCAAAAAAGAAAGAGAGAGAACACCATTACTTATATCAGGAATGAAAGAAGGAATATCACTACCTACCCTGAGGACAGTGAAAGGATGTGTATGCTGAAAACTTAAAACAACTCTATGCACATGAATTTAACAACTTAGATGAAATGGGCCAATTTCTTAATAAGCCACACTACCAAAACTCACCTAAGAAATAGAAATCTGAATAATCCTAAAATTATGAAAGAAACTTTAATTTGTAGTTAAAAGTCTTCCCTAATGCTACATAATCTCTTCCAGAAAACAGAACAAGAAGAAATACTCCTCTACTCATGAGGCCACATTTCCTTGATTCCAAAATGAAATACTGTTCTAAAAAGGAAAACTATAGGCCACTATTCCTTAAGAATACATGTATACACAAAAATCTTCAAAAAAAATTAGGAAATCAGATGTATCAGTGATATATAAAAATAATACTATTTCTCAGAAAATTGAAACTAGAATTACTATTTGAGCCAGTAATTCCACTTGTGGGAACATACACAAAATAATTAAAAACAGGATCTTGGATGGTCAGTTGACTTTTGAAGAAGGTGAAAAACAATTTAATGGAGGAATGATATCCTTTTTAGCAAATAATGGTGCCAGTGCAATTGGATATCCATAGGCAGAGAAATGAGCATTGACTTAAACCCCATACCTTATTAAAAATTTAACTCAAATGAATCATGGATCTAAATGTAAAACATAAAACTATTAAACTTTTAGAAAAAAATCTTTATGAGCTAGGGTTAGGCAAAGACTTCTTAAACATAACACCCAAATGACAGTACATAAAATAAAAAGTTGATAAATTTTATCAAAATTAAAACTCTTTGCTTGGCAAAAGACATTAATGAAAATACACACAAGTCACAGCCTGGGAGAAAATATTTGCAAATCCCATAAACAACACAGATTGTATCTAGACTATATAAAGAACTCTCTCAGTAATAAAAGAAAAATCAGTTCAATTAGAAAATAAGTAAAACAATTGAATGGACATTTCACCAAAGAGAGTATATGGATGGTAAATAAGCAGGTGAAAAGATGTTCTAAATCGTTAGCCATTAAGGAAAGTGATTAAAAACCACCATTAGATACAATGGCTAAAAATAAAAACTACTGACAATACCAAGTGCTGGTGAGAGGATGCAGTGCAGCAGGATTCCTCGTACACTGCTGGTGGGAATGTAAGGTGATATTTTACACAGGAGTTCATAGCAACTTTATTCATAAAAGCCCAAAACTGGAAACAACCCAAAATTCAGTAAGTAAATAGATAAACTAGTCCATATGATGGACTACTTAGCAATAAAGAGAAACAAACTACTATATTGATATGTATAGTAACTTAGATAGATTACAAGGTTATTATGGCAAGTGAAAAAAGCCAATTTCAGAAGTTTCTATAATTCCATTTATATAACATTAATCTGACAGAATTATAGTGAAGGAGAACAGATCAGTGGTTCTCAGGTTGGGTTAGGGTGAGGATGTAACTATTTAGGGGTTTCTTTGGGATATTAAAACAGTTTTATATCCTGATTGTAGTAGTGGTTATAGAAATTTGTAAATGTGATAATATTCTCTATATAAACGTGTAAAAACTGCTAAAATTCAAATAAGCTCTGTGGTTTAGTTTACAGTTGTTGTTGTTGTTGTTGTTTGAAATGGAATCTTGCGCTCTGTCGCTCAGGCTGGAGTACAGTTGCACAATCTCAGCTCACTGCAGTCTCCACCTCCCAGGTTCAAGCAGTTCTCGTGCCTCAGCCTCCGGAGTAGCTGGGATTACATGTGAGCGCCACCATGCCCAGCTAATTTTTGTATTTTTAGTAGAGACGGGGTTTCACCATATTGGCCAGGCTGGTCTCAAATTCCCAACCTCACATGATCCACCTGCCTCGGCCTCCCGAAGTGCTGGGATTACAGTCATGAGCCACCGTGTCCAGCGTAGTTTACAGTTTTGTACTAATGTCAATTTCCTAGTTTTGATAACTGTACTATGGTTATGTCAGATATTATTGGGGGAAGCTGGGTGTAGGGTACATGGGAACTGTGTACTGTTTTTGCAAGTTCTATGTAAGTCTAAAATTATTCCAAAGTAAAGTTTAAAAAAATTAAGTTAAAATCACAAATATGTTATACAGTCATGTGTCACTTTATGATGGGGATTTGTTCTGAGAAATGTGTCCTTAGGTGATTTTGTCATTTGTGAACATCATAAAGTGCATATGCACAAACCTAGATGGTGTAGCCTACTACACACCTAGGCTATATTGTATAACCTATTGCTCCTGGGCCACAAACCTGTACAGCATGTTACCTTACTGAATACTGTAGGCAGTTATAACAGTATGGTAAATATTTGTGTATCTAAACAAAGAAAAGATACAGTAGAAATATGGCATTATAATCTTATGGGGGCCAGGCAGGGTGGCTCACACCTATAATCCCAGCATTTTGGGAGGCCGAGGCGGGCAGATCACCTGAGGTCAAGAGTTCGAGACTAGCCTGGCCAACACGGTGAAACCCCACCTCAACTAAAAATACAAAAATCAGCTGGGCGTGGTGACACGAGCCTGTAATCCAGCTACTGGGGAGGCTGAAACAGGAGAATCACTTGAATCCAGGAGGCAGAGGTTGCAGTGAGCTGAGATCGTGCCATTGTACTCCAGCCTGGGCAGCAAGAGTGAAACTCCATCTCAAAAAAAGCAAAAGAAACAAATAATCTTATGAGACTATTGTCATACATGTGATCTGTTGTAACAGAATGTCATGTGGCACTGAACTATTCAGATAAAATCATTAAAGTTTTTTTAAAGATGCAGTTAAATCAGTTCCTCAGAAAGGTATGTGTGTGTATGTATACATATATGTAAACAAGGAAGTTCTTTTTTCTCCTTCTTCAGAGGAATATGGATGGGTTCTTTTATATTTTTTTGGTTTTGGTAGATATGGGGTCTCCCTATGTTGCCCAGGCTGGTCTTAAGCTCCTGGGCTCAAGCAGTCCTGGCACCTCAGCCTCCCAAAGTGCTGGGATTACAGGCATGAGCCACAGCACCCAGCCAAGGGTTATTTTTATTCATCATCAAGATTAAAAGATTGAGTATTGAAAGTGGAACAACCCTACCCCAATCCTGGCTTTTCATTTTAGCCATTATATACCAGAATTGCACCTAGTAATCTAGATACATACATGTGGTTTTGTAGCTAAGGTGTGTTAGGTTTTCTTTTCTATCTCCAGTATAGACTTTTTTTTGTCTTTTTGTCTATTACAGCACATGAGACTTCTATGTTTAGGACACAACTGATACTAAGTCTGATTCCTAAATTATCCTATTTCTTCCCAATACCACTTAAATAATATTTTTTATGCCAGTTCTTTAGGAAACTTCTGGCTGGGTTTTGTGTGTATCACTCAATTTTAATAAAAACTTCGATCTAAATTTAGAGTACCCCAGCACTTTACTTTTCTTAAATCTTTGTCCCCTTTTATCTCTCTATTGAATAATTAGAGGTTTTATCTTCCAGGCTAGATTATTATAATTCCACACCTGACTTCTTCCCTAGTTAGCTCTTATGTGATTTATACATATATCTATCCATATGTGTATCTAATCTCTTAACAGACATGAATTTTGATTTAAATTTCTTCTGTTTTGTGGTCTATTCATGAAATAATTACTCATTATAAAAATCAGCCTTGCCAACTTAACCAAGTTTGATTTTTTCTTTTCCTAATATAAAAATAATACAATTTTAATTTAAGTAATACTGGAAATGAGACTTTTCAGCACAAAGGATCACCCCTCTTACTTTTCCAGAATATTTTTCCCGTAACAGATTATTTTGTCTTTGCTTAATCAATGTTTGTCTACTTCCTTTCTGGCCATGTAAATAATTCATACAGTTCACTAATGCAACTTTTAAAATTATTAATAAAAATGTCTGTTTTATATCACATTCTGCTGGCAAAGCAAGGGGACGGGGCTACTTGAAAACAGGAAACAGGTAGTATAAAAATGGCAAAGACTAATTCTCCATTCTCAGAGAGCTTATAATCACTTGCAAGAGAGAATGCTTGAAAAGATAAATAGGCAGACTATGGTTAGTATTATGAGACAGAAGGGGCCTAGATAGATGAATTGAAGGGATGAAGAGGCAAGACATTAATTAGGAATCTATTGATGGTTTAGATGAGAAGCAATAAGGATCCTAACAGTGAAAATAAAGAGGGAACTTAAGCCAGAAATAAAATGAAAGTACATGAATTATGGCTTCGTTGCTGATTGGCTGTGAAGGTCAGAGGAGAAGAAGAAGGAGTCAGTGCTATCTCTAAGTAGGATTTTTGAGTCTGTAAACTTGTAAAAATAGTGGTGTCCTTAAAACACACACAGAAAGAAAGAGAAAGAACAGATTTTGGGGAGAAAAGATGAACTTGACTTTGAATTTACTAAGCTTTAGATAAGGAAGTAAAACCTAGATGAAATTGCCCATCAGGCAAAGGAAAGGTAAGGTTGAAGTTAGAAGTAGATTTAGTTGTCATCTCTGTAGAAGGGATTCTCACCAGACAGAGATTTTCTAAAGAAGGGACTGAGGCCTGAGGGAATGGCTTTACTTAGGAACTACAAGAAGAAAAAAAAAAAAAATGAAGAAATGGTCATTGACCTATTTGAAGCTTAGGATAATCCTCAAACAATGAGATTTCACTGTATTTTGTTTTTATTTATTTATTTGAGACAGAGTCTCGCTCTGTCACCCAGGCTGGAGTGCAATGGCATGATCTCGACTCACTGTAACCTCCACCTCCAGGATGCAAGCAGTTCTCCTGCCTCAGCCTCCCAGGTAGCTGGGATTACAGGTGCCCACCACCACACCTGGCTAATTTTATGTTTTTAGTAGAGACGAGTTTTCACCGTGTTGGCCAGGCTGGTCTCGAACTCCTGACCTCAAGTGATCCACCTGCCTTGGCCTCCCAAAGTGCTGAGATTACAGGCATGAGCCACCGTGCCTGGCTGTGTATTTTCTTTTGCTTAGCCTTATGTTAAAAGCTCCCAAGCACTGATTTGCCACGTTCCACCCTATTACTTTCAGCAAATGTTTTTTTGTATGCCCTTTCTTCATTTCCTATTTCTAAATTACCACTCTATCCCTGGTGGGTGATTATGTCAGTCTTATGACAATTATATTTAAGAAATTTCAGGCCAGTTGTGGTGGCTCACACCTGTAATCCCAGGTTTGAGACCAGCCTGGGCAACATAGCAAAACACCGCTAACTTTTTTTTTTTTTTTTAATTAGCCAGCCATGGTAGCATGCACTTGTAGTCCCAGCTACTTGGGAGGCTGAGGCAGGAGAATCACTTAAGGCCAGGAGTCCAGCCTGGGCAACATAGCAGGATCCTATCCCTTTAAAAAAAAAAAAAAGAAAGAAATTTTTGATCTAAATGATCTTAGATACAGACTTTGATAAAACTTATTTATGTTTTCCAAAAGTCTGCATCCTACTTCTGCTTCCTACTTTGTCCATTTGTTTATTGGCTTAAATTACACAAGTGTGGGAAGCTAGATATCCTTCAACTGGTAGTACTTTCTTTGTCATATCACTTATTTCTAGTTTTTACTCACTTGAAAATTTGGCAGTGAGGCAAACTAATATCTGGTTCCCCAAGGGTACCTTCTTCATAGTTCTCTGAGGTTATACTGACATTCCGCACATAAACAGATGATGTATACATTTTACCTGATAGTTTCAGTTGAGGATCTCGGTTAGATTTCTTCTGGTCCTTTATATATAAAACCTTAGAATTTTGGAAGAATTGCTGTTCTGAATTTTTTTCCATTTGATATTGAAGCATTTGAACTTCAGACCAGGTAAGTTGTATTTTTTACCTGAATGCTTTAATTGGTCTCACTAGCCACTAACCCCTTCCATCCTCCTATTTAAAAGCTAAGGAGGAGGCGACCAGGTGCTGTGGCTCACGCCTGTAATCCCAACACTTTGGGAGGCTGAAGCGGGTGGATCACTTGAGTCCAGGAGTTCAAAAACAGCCTGGCCAACCTGGTGAAACCCTATCTCTACTAAAATATAAAAATTAGCTGGCATGGTGGTGTGCACCTGTAATCCCAGCTACTCGGGAGGCTGAGGCATGAGAATCACTTGAATCCAGAAGGTGGAGGTTGCAGTGAGCCGAGATCATGCCACTGCACTCCAGCCTGGGCAACAGGGCCAGACTCTCAGGAAAAAAAAAAAAAAAAAAAGCTAGAGAGGCAGCAATGCTGTTCTGATAATCCCCAGATTTTTCCAAGTATATATGTTCCCAGGGATATTGTCCAGATTCCATATGTAAGCGTTTATACACCTGATTTAGAAAGAAACATAAATTTTCCTTTTCATTAAGGAAGCAGATCCTCCACAAACAGATCTTGAGGGGAGAGGGGAGGAAAAAGACCTACCACCTCTAGTTTGTTTGAAAAAAAAAAAAAAGAAGCAGAGGTTTCAGCAGTGGCATCCAGGGCTGGGGTCGCAGCCGTGGATGGGGCCGGGACCGAGGCCACGGAGCTCGTGGAGGCAAGGCCAAGGATAAGGAGTAGATTCCCATCACCAAGCTGGGGCTCCTGGTCAAGGACATGAAGATCAAGTCCCTGGAGGAGATCTATCTCTTCTCCCTGCCCATCAGGGAATCTGAGATCATTGACTTTTTCCTGGGGGCCTCTCTCAAGCACAAGGTTTTGAAGATTATGCCGGTGCAGAAGCAGACCCGTGCCAGCCAGGGCACCAGGTTCGAGGCGTTTGTTGCCATCGAGGACTACAATGGCCACGTCGGTCTGGGTGTTAAATGCTCCAAGGAGGTGGCCACTGCCATCTGCAGGGCCATCAACATCCTGGCCAAACTCTCGATTGTCCCCGTGCGCAGAGGCTACTGGGGGAACAAGATTGGCAAGCCCTACGCCGTCCCTTGCAAGGTGACAGGCCACTGCGGCTCTGTGCTGGTGCGCCTCGTCGCACCCCCAGGAGCACGGGCATCGTCTTGGCACGTGTGCCCAAGAAGCTGCTCATGATGACTGGTATCGATGACTGCTACACCTCAGCCAGGGGCTGCACTGCCACCCTGGGCAACTTCACCAAGGCCACCTTTGATGCCATCTCTAAGACCTACAACTACCTGACCCCGGACCTCTGGAAGGAGACTGTATTCACCAAGTCTCCCTATCGGGAATTCACTGACCACCTCGTCAAGACCCACACTAGAGTCTCCGTACAGAGGACCCGGGCTCCAGCTGTGGCTACAACATAGGGTTTTTACACAAGAAAAATAAAGTGAATTAAGCCTGGAAAAAAAACAACAACAAATAAAAACCTGGTCATTTATGCTATATTTAAAGCATTTAAATCACTTTCAGAATTACCACTGGGAATGTTGTATTAAAAATTAAGGCCAAGCGTGGTGGATCACGCCTGTAATTCCAGCATTTTGGGAGGCTGTGGTGGGCAGATCACTTGAGCTCATGAGTTCGAGACCTGCCTGGGCAATATGGCAAAACCCCATCTCGACGAAAATACAAAAAGGCCAGGTGCGGTGGCTCACACCTGTAATCCCAGCATTTTGGAAGGCCAAGACAGGTAAATCACCAGAGCTCATGAGTTCAAGACCCGCCTGGGCATCAATGGTGAAGCCTGGTCTCTACAAAATATGCAAAAATTAGCCGGATATGGTGGTGCGCACCTATAGTCTCAGCTGTTCAGGAGGCTGAGGTAGGAGGATGGCTTTAGCGTAGGAAGTAGGGGTTGCAGTGAGCCAAGATCATGCCACTGCACTTCAGCCTGTATGATAGAGCCAGACCTTGTCCAAAAAAAAAAAAAAAAATTAAGAATAATACTGAAGGATTTGGATGTTTTTCACATCTCCCTCAATAACTCTAGTATCTGACAGGAAGTTTAAAGTAATAGTAATATTCAAGAAGGCAACGATAGTTTGTTTTGTAAGCATTTCTTTTGATTCATGTTCTGTGCGCTTTCACTTGATTTGGAGATTAGCAGATGGGAGAAATTGGTAACTTAGAGAAGCATCACAAAGAGTGCTCTCTGAACTTCTGTAACTTTTACCTAATTTTTTATACTAAAAGTTTATGATACAGGTTTTGGGGTTTGTAGCTTATTTAATCTACTTGTTTCTCTCCACAGCAAGACAGATCGGCTTGCCAAAGGATCAGAATGTTACCAAAAGAGCCTTAGTTTAAATCCTTTCCTCTGGTCTCCCTTTGAATCATTATGTGAAATAGGTAGGTGGGTGGGGTTGAGAGGTGGGTGGGTTCCCATCTCCTCTTCTTTTTTTCCTGCTACTTAATTTTTGGAGAGCAATACAGATCATCTACCCCCAAGAAAAATATTTTTCAAAGTTAAAATTGAGAATAAAAAATAAGTTAGAATCTTCGGTATGTTTCAAGAATCATATAACTGAAAATTACACAAAGATTAAATCCAGTAGATTCTTCTGTTGAACCAATCTATTTTCAAGTATCTGGTGTCCTCTAGAATGGGTTATATTGTGTGTTTAACACTAGCAAAATTGCTTTCTGAATAAGAAAATTAATAAAATTTCTAATGCAATTAATAAATGCCTGAAACTTACAAGACCTGAACAGTACAGGGAGAGAATTTCTCAGTATATTTGGCCTAGGATACATAAAGGACCATTTTTCAGCATTGTTGCATCTATGTATATATAGAAGGGCTTCAACCTTTACTGTAAAATATGATGGGTTTTAACTCTTCAACCTCATCTCCTACTTTGAGAAAAATGAGATCTAGTTATTTTCAGCTTTAAAACAAACACAGAAATCTGCATTTTTCTGCGATTTGTTATGTTTAAAATTAGTGTTCTTGTAGTTTATTTTCATTTACAGCTTTATCTTACTGGTAAACTTTTATGATATATTGATAGATGGGTTTTTTGGGGGTAAATTTGATTAGCAGAAGTGGACAGGAGATTTTTAAAGTTTGGATAAGGCCTATTTCCTGTTTCCACTGATTTATGCATACTTGAAAAACATGTATTCCTCACTTCCTCAGAGACAAACTTTTTTTTTTTTTGTCTTCACAGGTGAAAAGCCAGATCCTGACCAAACATTTAAATTCACATCTTTACAGAACTTTAGCAACTGTCTGCCCAACTCTTGCACAACACAAGTACCTAATCATAGTTTATCTCACAGACAGCCTGAGACAGTTCTTACGGAAACACCCCAGGACACAATTGTAAGTGTCTTATATTCTAGTGTTCAAAATATTATGAAAACTACAAAGAATGATCTGAACTAAATAATATATTGTGAATGACTTGGTAGAAATTTTCTGTTTCAGGAATTAAACAGATTGAATTTAGAATCTTCCAATTCAAAGTACTCCTTGAATACAGATTCCTCAGTGTCTTATATTGATTCAGCTGTAATTTCACCTGATACTGTCCCACTGGGAACAGGAACTTCCATATTATCTAAACAGGTTCAAAATAAACCAAAAACTGGTCGAAGTTTATTAGGAGGACCAGCAGCTCTTAGTCCATTAACCCCAAGGTAAGTCAAACAAGATACTTTCAAATGTGCTATAATACCAAATGATCTTATGATAACTCATATTGTTAGTAATGCAGATTATTACAACAGCAACTTCTAAATCACTGTGGAAACAGGGGCATTCTGTTTTCAGAAAATGAAGTAAAAACTGGCAAATAGTGATGTTGCCAGGTGCGGTGGCTCATGCCTGTAATCCCAGCACCTTGGGAGGCCAAGGCAGGCAGATCACCTGAGGTCAGGAGTTCAAGAACAGCCTGGCCAACATGGTGAAACCCTGTCTCTACTAAAAATACAAAAATTAGCTGGGCATGGTGGCGGGCGCCTGTAATCCCAGCTACTCAGGAGGCTGAGACAGGAGAATTGCTTGAACCCGGGAGGCGGAGGTTGTAGTGAGCCGAGATGGAGCCACTACACTCCATCCTGGGCGACAGACCAAGACTCCAACTCAAAAAAAATTGATATTGAATATTGGACTGGCCAGGCGCAGTGGCTCACGCCTGTAATCCCAGCACTTTGGGAGACCAAGGTGGGCAGATCACGAGGTCAGGAGATCGAGACCATCCTGGCCAACATGGCGAAACCCCGTCTCTACTAAAAATACAAAAAACTAGCCGGGTGTGGTGGCACGCGCCTGTAGATCCAGCTACTCGGGAGGCTGAGGCAAGAGAATCACTTGAACCCGGGAGACAGAGGTTGCAGTGAGCCGAGATGGTGTCACTGCACTCCAGCCTGGGAGACAGGGCAAGACTCCATCTCAAAAAAAAAATTGGAGGAAAATTTAAAACTCTGAAATATTCCTTAATTAGGTAGTAAACACATTAAAAAATACTGTCTTTATGGCTGTGCATTAATGGATAGCGGTGAGCCTCATGAAATGTTATAATCAGGGCACCACTGGTTACTGTTAAAGTGCCTTTTTCCAAAACATGGAGGAAATTTGACACCTACCTTTTTTTGTTTGAGACAGGATCTCACTCTGTCACCCAGGTTAGAGTGCAGTGGCACAATCATAGCTCACTGCAGCCTCAAATTCTTGGGCTCAAGCGATCCTCCCACCTCAGACTCCTGAGTAGCTGGGACTGCAGGCACATGCCACCACACCTGGCTAATTTTTTAAGTGTTTTTGTAGAGATGGGGTCTTGCTGTGTTGCCCAAGCTGATCTGGAACTCCTGGCCTCTAGTGATCCTCCTGCTGTGGCCTCCCAAAGTGCTAGGATTACCGTGAGCCACTGAACCTAGCTGTCACACCTATTAATATAAAATATTTTATCAAAATTATTAGAAGTATATGTATGTATAAATACAGGAACTCAGCCCAGAGGATACATATCCAAAAGTATCAAAATGAAAAATTATGTGCTAGAATGGGTTGGGCATGGGGGCTCATGCCTGTAATCCCAGCACTTTGGGAGGCTGAGGTGGGCAGATCACTTGAGACCAGGAGCTCAAGACCAGTCTGGCCAACATGGTGAAACCCTATCTCTACTAAAATTACAAAAATTAGCCCGGCATGGTGACACATACGTGTAATCCCAGGTACTTTGGGGGTTGAGGCACAAGAATCATTTGAACCCAGCAGGTGGAGGTTGCAGTGAGCTGAGATCATGCCACTGCACTCCAGCCTGGGCAACAGAGCGAGACTCTGTCTCAAAAAAATATATACATATATGCTAGAAGAAATTCTATGAATCAGGTCCTGAGGCCGGGGAACTACTAAAATAGCATGACCATGAGATTACAACTCTGGAGAGTTATAGTTATCTAATGGTCTCTAGAGACATTTTCTCTGTAGTTGTGTCTAAATCCCATAAATTCCAAGAATTTGAAGTAATCTCATCATTTGGATCTTAGATTTATAAAGCTACTCTTCTTTATTTCTAATAAATCTCCTGAGATCAGTAATTGTTGCTCAGTTTAGTTCCTTGTTTGATAGCTTTTTAAAATTTTAGTTATGGTGGGTGGAATAGTCTACATTCACAGCTTATTTTTAATCTGCCCCTCAGATCCTCACTGTCCCTAAGACTGATTTGCCATTCTCTTCCTTTTAGACCTTCTAATTTAAGTATACTGCTGCTTTATATATGCCTTGATGACTTTTTGACACCTTGATTTCAACCTCTTCTCAGTTTTGGGATTTTGCCATTAGAAACCCCAAGTCCTGGAGATGGATCCTATTTACAAAACTACACTAATACACCTCCTGTAATTGATGTGCCATCCACCGGAGCCCCTTCAAAAAAGGTATTTTCCATGTAAAATGCAGTTTGGGAATTGATTAAAGCAACTTGTTTATTTCAATCTTTTAAAGGTAATCTCAGGGAAAATCTTACTTTATGTAATTGCTTTTGCCTTATATTTGAACCCAGCAGGTAGAGGGTGATCTAAATATAAAAGAATGTCATTATTGTTGTAGCCTCTTGGTTACAGTAGGAGACAGACTTCTTACTCTTTTGGCCAAGTAAGATTGTATCTCACAAATTTAGTTTATTTCAGCATATAGTTAAATAAACATAATCATATTTTTACTTTTTAATTTCCTTTTTAAAAAACAAAATTAATATTGTTTATATTACTTGACTATAAATAACAGAAATTATGTCTGCCATAGTTTTTACTTGTCCCTACCACTGTGTATATATGTTTTTTTAATAACACTAATAATTATATGAAAAAAAATTTGCTCAGGTAAAGCCAGATATTTCTGATAATAAGATTTTTGGTAGATCATGGATGTATAGTTTTAACATGAAAATGAAAAATATTTGGTAGTATACTTATAGTAAATATTGCGGCAAGTTTCATGAGGCTTTTTTTTTTTTTTTTTGAGACAGGGTCTCGCTCTCCTGCCCAGGCTGGAGTGCAGTGGTGTGACCATGACTCACTGTAGCCTCTACCTCCCAGGCTCAAGTGATCCTTCCACCTTAGCCTCCCAAGTACCTAGGACTATAGGTGTACACCACCACACCCAGCTAATTTTTTTAACTTTTATTTTTGTAGAGACAGGATCTCACTGTGTTGCCAGGGATGGTCTCAAACTCCTGGGCTCAAGCAATCCTCCTGCCTTGGCCTCTCAAAGTGCTAGGATTATAAACATGAGTCACTGCCCTGCTGAGGCTCTTGTTTTATAATGTTCCCTTTTATAGGTATATGGAAATAGAGGCCAAAATACCATTTTTAAAAAGCATATCTGTGGCACAAGGTAACTTCTGTGAGAATTAAATTAGGTTCTATATATAAAATACCTATTGCCATGCTTCATAAATATTCAAGAAATGGAAGCTAAACAAGTCATACTAATATGTGAATAACAGTTATACTCTCTTTACCTTAATAGAAACATGTTTCTTCTTATAGTTGTTTTTTTACTATTTTACTCCTGAACATCCTTAGAATCTGCAAAAGATTTTTCTATAATAACTCCTTAGTGAGTGATAATAGGAACTCCAAGAATACTTAAAAGGGACTGCAAAATAGTTTGTGTATGGATTGTTTTAAACATTACAGTTATGAAGAAGGCAAAACAAAATGGTAGTTAGCATGCCAGGTGAAGTAGGCCAAAACTAGAAGAGCCATAATAACCATAATAACCAGAGCAAGTTAAGACAGTGGGCAGGCACATGATTTTAGTGCCCAGATAAGATTGCTCTCTCATCCTCTTCTGCCTCTGTTCTCCTCTTACCTTATTACAAGACATTCCCAGAAAAGTCACGCATGTAGGTCTGCATGCAGTGTCAACTGAAAATATCAAACCAGGTATTGAGTGCAGTGTACATAGTTCTTTGATAAATAAGGAAAAGCCAGAGTTGACTTTTGTCCCTTGGATGAATGTAGTGATCCCAATTTGGAAAAGGCGGAGGAAGGCTTATGAAGTTTTATTTTGAAGTGGTGGTACATTAGATGAAAATATTCAGTAGAAAGTTAGTCATAGAGGAAAAAATGTGACCTGCTGATAGAAATAATAATTGAAACTATTAAAATGACCAGGCTCTCCTAGGGAAAGAAAGAGTAGCTAAGGAGAACAGAGTAAACCTAATTTAAAAATAGTAGAAGGATAAAGGGCCAGCAAATGAAGTGGCAGGACAAATAATGTAATGTTTTGGAAGTAACACAAAGTTTCAAAAAGTAGGGCATGATCAGTGATGTTGAATGCAGGAAAGGCTAAAATAAGGTTTTAATATCTGATGAGACAGTGATTATTAGTGATTATTTATAATATGCAGTTTGAGGATTGTGTACAGGACATCAGGGTAACAGTAAGTTTTGAAGAAAATTCTCTGGTAGCCAAAGGGGAAAAACAGTGCACTGATACAATAGTCATAGATCATTTAAAGAAGCTAGATGGTGGAAATGAATAGAAATAAGGGAATAAATTAGAGAAGACTGAAGAGCCAAGCAAAGATTTTTTTTTCTCCAAGGGAACAGAAACCAATTAATGAAGATTAGAAAAACTAAGCAATATTAACTCTAAAGAACAATATCCTTAGGTTTTGGAAAGTAATCAGATGGTTGTTTTTTTAAAATCTACTCCTCTGAACTCCTTTAGAACTGTTACCAAGTGCCAAAGGAGTATAAAATCTTATCGTATTATTATTTTTTTCTGTGTATAATGAGATAAATCATAAATCTTGAGAATTTAGCTGTCTTAAAATTTTTTAGTACTTAACCCCAAATAGAGAAGGTATGTAATAAATGGAGGATGGTCACAATGAGATGAAAAGAATAGCTTCTGGGGATTTTTAGTCTTTGAAACAAAAAGCGAAAGATGAAAAGACATTATAGAGGTAAAAATACTGTGAGATTAAAACAGGGAAATAGACTGATGTTCATACTAATACAACAATAATTAACAATATGATATAAATAGTTTATCTTTAAGGTGACAGTATATTATGGCTGCTTGTATTGAGAAAATGTAGATGGGAGCGTTGTGTTGTCTTTTATCATTTACAGTGCAGCCCATAATTCACAAACCTTAGACTTTTCGTGTTTTACAGTCTGTTGCCAGAATCGGCCAAACTGGAACAAAGTCTGTCTTCTCACAGAGTGGAAATAGCCGAGAGGTAACTCCAATTCTTGCACAAACACAAAGTTCTGGTCCACAAACAAGGTATTTATCATTGTAATTATTCAACTTTTCTTGGCATAAAACTTGATTCTTTACATTTCTTTAATTTAGGCAGATAGTGACTCTCGTGGATTCTAGAATAACTACTGTAAATTTTGAAGATGTAAAATTTGAAACCTCTAACTTACAACACTAATGTAATTTTGAGTTGAGTTTTGTAATGCACAGAAGACAATAGTTAACTAAAGCAGCATTTTAGTTTACTCTGATTGCCTCATGGATTTGTAATTTTCTTCTTATGCACATGACCCTTTCTATAGTTTAGGTACAGATAGGTTTCATACTCCCCTTCCCCACATTATGCATGTCTATAAACAGATTATAAAAATAACAGACAAATAAACTTCAAATAATGAATCTATTTCCACACAGAAATGGTGTTAGATAGGATTTTCTTTTCCTCTTCAAGGACTCAATAGATTATAGCTAACATTTTAAAAGGAAGATACAATTTTCTTTCTCCTTTCTAAAACTGTGAACATGTACCTAAATTTTAAAACAGACATACACACAGGTGTGCATATACCTCCTTGACTATCTAAAAGACCTCTATGTTCCTGTAATGCTCCCAGAATGGTAAGTCTAATCCTCTTGAGTGCCAGCTTGCAGTGATTGCCTGAGGCTCTGTTGTGAGAAGGAACTTGAGACCTCCTGCAAAGCAACATTATATGTAAAAATAATTTCCGATTTGTACATTTCACTTTAGAGTCAAACAAATAGACTAACACTAATAAACATCAGCTCTTTTTTTTATGGAGATGGAGTTTCACTCTTGTTGCCCAAGCTGGAGTGCAGTGGTGTGATCTCGGCCCACCACAACCTCCGCCTCCCGGGTTCAAGTGATTCTCCTGCCTCAGCTTCCTGAGTAGCTGGGATTATAGGCATGTGTCACCACACCCAGCTAATTTTGTATTTTTAGTAAAGACAGGGTTTCTCCATGTTGGTCAGGCTGGTCTCGAACTCCCAACCTCAGGTGATCCGCCTGCCTCAGCCTCCCAAAGTGCTGGGATTACAGGCATGAGCCACCGTGCCTGGCCAACATTCACTCTTAATAATTTTGTGTTCTTTGTATTGTTGATTCCATTTTATCTCCTTAATTGCCTATATTAGTTTTCTAGGGCTGCCATAACAAAGTACCACAACTTAGTGTCTTAAAACAACAGATACTTATTCTCTTACAGTTGTAAAGCCATAAGTCCAAAATCAAGGTGTTGGCAGGGTTGTTCCCCTTCCAAAATCTTTAGAGGAGGATTTTTCCTTGCCTCCTCCAGCTTCTGATAACCCCAGGTGTTCTTTAGCATGTGACAGTATAACTCAGTATCTTCCTCTGTCTTCACATGGTCATCTTCCATGTGTGTTTCTGTATCTAAATTTCCCTCTTGTAAAGACAACAGTTATATTGGATTAGGGTCAACCCAGATATCCTCAGCTTAACTCAATGACATCTGCAAAAACCAAATTTCTGAATAAAATCACATTGACATGTACTGGGGCTTAGGGCTTCAACATATCTTTTGGGGAGGTACAATTCAATATTGCCTTATTAGCAATTGCTCTTTATTTTGTCTTTTTAAAGGTTGTTTGGAGTTTGTAGTAAACATTTTAACTTATCAAGGTTTGCCTTCAAGTAATAGACAATTTCATGTATAGCACAGAACCTTACAATAGTATACTTTCGTGCTCCTCTCTTAGTCTTTATGGGAGGGATGGCTGTAATATATTTAATTTCTATATATGTTATAAACCCCACAGTGCATTATTGTGGTTGTGGTTTCTGCCTTAAACAGTCAGTTGTCTTTTTATAGAGTTTTGTTTTTGTTTTTGTTTTTGTTTTAGACGGAGTTTCGCTCTGTTACCCAGGCTGTAGTGCAATGGTGCAATCTCGGCTCACTGCAACCTCCACCTCCCCAGTTCAAGCAATGCTACTGCCTCAGCCTCCCATGTAGCTGGGATTACAGGCATGTGCCACCACGCCCGGCTAATTTTTGTATTTTTAGTAGAGACAGGGTTTCACGATGTTGGCCAGGCTAGCGTCAAACTCCTGACCTCAAATGATCCACCCGCCTCAGCCTCCCAAAGTGCTGGGATTACAGGCATGAGCTACCATGCCCAGCTGAAATTTTTTTAAATGAGAAAAAGAAGTCTATTTTATATTTACACACATAACTACAATTTCTGGTGCCCTTTCCTTCTATAGATCCAGATTGCGATCTGATATCATTTTCCTCCACCTTGAAGGACTTCTTTTTAACATTTCTTTTTTTTTTTTTTTTTTTTTAAGACAGAGTCTCACTCTGTCACCAGGCTGAAGTGCAGTGGCACGATCTCGGCTCACTGCAACTTCTGCCACCTGGGTTAAAGCGATTCTCCTGCCTCAGCCTCCCGAGTAGCTGGGACTACAGGTGTGCACCACCACACCCAGCTAATTTTTGTATTTTTAGTAGAAACGGGGTTTCACCATGTTGGCCAGGATGGTCCCGATCTCTTGACCTTGTGATCCTCCTGCCTTGGCCTCCCGAAGTGCTGGGATTACAGTCATGAGCCCCACCGCACCTGGCCTTTTTATCATTTCTTATAGTACGAGTCAGCTGGTAATGAATTTTTTCAGCTTTTGTGGATCAGAAAAAAAGTTCTTATTTCATCTTTATTTTTGAACAATATTTTTACTAGGCAAGAATTTCTTTCTTTTTCTTTTTTTTTTTTTTTTTTTGAGACAGAGTCTTGCTTGTTGCCTGGGCTGGAGTGCAATGGCACAATCTTGGCTCCCTGCAACCTCTGCTTCCCGAGTTCAAGCAATTCTCCTGCCACGGCCTCCCGAGTAGCTGGGATTACAGGCATGTGCTATCATGCTCAGCTAATTTTTGCATTTTTAGTAGAGATTGGCTTTCACCATGTTGGCCAGGCTAGTCTTGAATTCCTGACCTCAGGTGATCGCCCATCTTGGCCTCCCAAAGTGCTGAGATTACAGGCATGAGCCACTACGCCTGGCCAAGAATTTCTAATTGACAATTTTTTTAGGGATGTTGCTTTACTGGTTTTTTGGCTTATATTGTTTCTGACAAGAAATCTGCTGTCAATCTCATTTTTGTTCCTCTATATGTAGTAATATGTCTTTTCTCTGTTTCAAGGTTTTGTTTTTAATTGCTGATTTTAAGCAATTCGATTATGATGTGCTCTAGTGTAGCTTTGTTGTTTCTCGGCCTTTGGATTTATTGAGCTTCTTGGATCTGTGGGTTTATAGTTTTCATAATAGTTGGCTAAATTGGGGGCATTATTTCTTCAAATATTATGTCCATGTCTTACCCTCTCCCTCTGGGACTCCAGGTACTTGTATATTAGATTGCTTGAAGTTGCCCCACAGCTCACTAATTCTTCATTTTTGTTTCCAATCTTTCTCCTCTCCGTGTTTCATTTTGGATAGTGTTTATTGCTATGTCTTCAAATTAATGTTTCTTCAGCAGTGTCAGACCTGTTATTAACCACACCCAGTGTTGTTGGGTTTTTTGTTTTGTTTTGTTTTTTTATTGCAGACATTTGTCTTTCATCTCTAGATTGATTTGGTTTTCTTTCTTTCTTTTTTTTTTTTTTTGAGATAGAGTCTCGCTCTGTTGCCCAGGCTGGAGTGCAGTGGCACAATCTGGCTCACTGCACCCTCCGCCCCTCCTGGGTTCAAGCGATTCTCCTGCCTCAGCCTCCTGAGTAGCTGGGATTACAGGCATGTGCCACTGCGCCCTGCTAATTTTTGTATTTTTAGTAGAGATGGGGTTTCACCATGTTGGTCAGGCTGATCTCAAACTCCTGACTCGTGATCCGCCCACCTTGGCCTCCGAAAGTGCTGGGATTACAGGTGTGAGCCACCGCGCCCAGCCTTTTTTTTTTTTTTTTTTTTGAGACAGGGTCTCACTGTCACCCAGGCTGGAGTGCAGTGATGCTACTATGGCTCACTGTAGCCTCAAACTCCTTGGCTCAAGCGATTCTCTTGCGTTAGCCTCCTGAGTAGCTGGGACTACAGGCACATGCCACCACATGTGGCTGATTATTTTTATTTTTTATTTTTTTGTAGAGACAAGGACAAGGTCTCTATGAGACAAGGTCTTGCTATGTTGTCCAGGCAGATCTTGACCTCCGGGCCTGAAGCAGTCCTGGCTTGGCCTCCCAAAGTGCTGGGCCGACAGGCATGAGCCACCTCATCCAGTCTCTTCTATGTTTTTGAACGTATAGGATGTATTTGTATTTTTTTAATGTTTTTGCCTACTAAGTCTGTTACTTTGTTATTTCTAAGTGTTTCTTATATTACTTTTCCTCTTCATTGTAGATTATATTTTCCTGCTG
The DNA here is from genome assembly GCF_000001405.40 of Homo sapiens. Classification (NCBI taxonomy): domain Eukaryota; kingdom Metazoa; phylum Chordata; class Mammalia; order Primates; family Hominidae; genus Homo; species Homo sapiens. The sequence continues at coordinate 47,147,455 of NC_000017.11, read as the reverse complement.
TTTTCTATGCCTAGTGTTTTTTTTTTTGTTTGTTTGTTTGTTTGTTTGTTTGTTTTTGAGACGGAGTTTCGCTCTGTCGCCCAGGCTGGAGTGCAGTGGCGCGATCTCGACTCACTGCAAGCTCCGCCTCCCGGGTTCACGCCATTCTCCTGCCTCAGCCTCCCGTGTAGCTGGGACTACAGGCGCGCGCCACCATGCCCAGCTAATTTTTGTATTTTTAGTAGAGACGGGGTTTCACCGTGTTAGCCAGGATGGTCTCGATCTCCTGACCTCGTGATCCGCCCGTCTCGGCCTCCCAAAGTGCTGGGATTACAGGCGTGAGCCACCGCGCCCGGCTGCCTAGTGTTTTTTAATTGGATGTCAGTTATTATAAATTTTACTTTTTTTCTTTGAGACAGGGTCTTTTACTCTGATGCCCAGGCTAGAGTACAGTGGTGTGATTATAGCTCAGTGCAGCCTCAAACTCCTGGGCTCAAGAAGTCCTCCCACTTCAGGCTCCTGGGTAGCTGGAACTATAGGCACGTGCCACATATGGCTAATTTTTTTTTAGTTTTGCAGAGATGGGGTCTTGCTGTGTTGCTCAGGCTGTTCTCAAACTCCTGGCCTCAAGCAATCCTCCCACCTCACCCACCCGAGTTGTTGGGATTACAGGTGTGAGCCACTGTGCCTGGCTATAAATTTTACATTGTTGATTACTGGATATTTTTGCATTCCTTTAGGTATTTTAAAGTTTTATTCTGAGATGCAGTAAAGTTGCTTGGAAACAGCTTGATCCCTTCAGGTCTTACCTTTTAAATTTTGTCCAGACAAAAGTAGCCTTAGTCTGGACTAATCTTGTCCCACCATTGAGGAAGTACCCTTTGAGTACTCTCCTCAAAAACCTGTTTAGTATGAGGTTTCTTCACTCTGCCTATTGAAAGTATGAGCTATTCCCAGCTTGGAGTGAGATCCAGTAATTATTCTGTCTGCTTCTTTTCAGTAATACTTTCCCCAGCTTTGGGTAGTTTCTTCACTATAGTACTATAATGTAATTCTGATGCTAACTACCCAAACTTAGCACAGACACCACAGGTTAAGATCACAGTCCCCAACAAGAACTGTCTGAACTGCCCAGTTGTAGGTTCTGGGTTCCCCAGGCCACCCACATTTCTGACCAACTGGCTACAAATTTAAGGATTCCTACTACCCTCTTACATTCAGTAATTTGCTAGAGCACCTCACAGAGTCCAGGAAAGTGCTATACTTAATGATTACAGTTTTATTGTAGATGACATAATTAGGAGATCCATAGGATTAGATATGGGAGGGTCCTGATACAGAGCTTTCATGTCTTCTTTCTGGGCTCACCCTCCCAATGCATCAGTATGTTTACAAACCAGGAATTTGAGCCAAGTTTTGGTGTTCAAAATTTTTATTAGGGTTTTTAAATTATGTAGGTGTGATTGATGGAATCATTGGCCACATGATTGAACTCAATTTCCTTCCCAGAGGAGCTCAGGCTGGTGTTGCTGGCTCAAAGCCCCAGCCCTCTAATCACATGGTTGACTTTTTTTTTTTTGAGACAGAGTTTCGCTGTTGTCGCCCAGGCTGCAATGCAATGGCACGATCTTGGCTCACTGCAACCTCCACCTCCCGGGTTCAAGTGATTACACTTGAACCCGCGAGTGGCTGGGATTACAGGCACCCGCCATCATGCCCAGCTAATTTTTGTATTTTTAGTAGAGATGGGGTTCCACCATGTTGGCCAGGATGATCTCGATCTCTTGACCTCGTGATCCGCCTGCCTTGGCCTGCCAAAGTGCTGGGATTACATGTGTGAGCCACCATGCCCGGCCACATGGTTGACCTTTACAGCACAGCCAGCACCCATCCAGAAAGTATCTAGGAGTTACTTCATTAGCATAAATTCAGGCACGGTCCCAGGAGCTCATAATGAATAACAAAGACATCCCTGTCACTTGAGGAATTCCAAGGACTTAGTAGATCTCAGGAGCCTGGGACGTGGACCAGACAAATTCTTTATTATATAACACTCAAACACCTACACTGATCAATTTTCAACTGAAGACTCTAGGGAAGCCCTCTGCAGATCTTTGTAGGTCTCCTCTTTGTAGCTCTCTTCTCTCTGGTGCTCTGCCTTGCAAATTCTGGCTGCTTTGGCTTTCTCAAATTCTCAACATTTTCTTTTCAACACAGTGGGACCACTGAGCTCTATTTTGCATTCTTTTTTCCTGCAAGGTGGCCCTAGAACTGTCCTCGGAAATGTTTTGCCTATTGTCCAGTGTCTGAAAACCATTGTTCCATATATTTGGTTCAGTTTGTAGTTATCTGAAATGGGAGAATAAATTTATTCCATTTTACTCTGTCATGACTAGCGGAAGTCTGTTCTTTCTATTTAGAAAGTTTTTTTAGAGATGATTAGAATGGCATAGTACTTTTAGCTAAATCATCCAAGAAAGGTTGTGTGTCATTTGCTCCATATGAAGTGAAGTCTAATTCTGAACTTTGGAAGCCTTTCGTTATCAAACTCCTAGTTTATCAGATGCAGATTAAAAGGATTTATGTGTGTGTGTGTGTGTGTGTGATATACACACACATGCATATACAGAGGTATCTGTACATATTACATATGTACATATCGTAAAAGATGAAAATATATATCTTTTTATTTTCTGAAATTCTTTGACCCAGACTCAGGTAGCTAGTAGGATTTCCCATAAATTATAAAGTTTAGATAGTTTAGTCCACAAGTTTACCCACTGTCAATTCTAGATTGTTTCAGATTTTAAGTTTGCTTGCTAAGATTGAAATTCTCATATCTCAGGGTTTGCCTTTAAAGTAAAAATGTACAGAGGCTCCTTTCGCTCTAAAGAGAATAAGCCTTTGATATAGCTGTTTGAATTTACAGGGAAATAACTTCTCAAATATTAGTAGTTCTAGTGGTATTTACTTGTTAACAAATACCCCACATTTAGACTATCTTTGCCCAACTGTCTTTTCTTTTTTCTCTAACTTGTTGTAGTTGCAAATGAAGGGTAAAAATAATTGATTTATAGATGTGCTTATCATTTGTCGATCCAGAGTTTTATGAGGATTATTTTTAGTTCAAATTAAGAATTTCAGAGAGAGTGAAGATCTATGCTATAATCTTTACTATTTTGTAGTAACGAGTCATTTTATTTTTATTTTTTTATATGAAGGAAAGTTTATTAAGGATTATTGACTTATGATCACAAGGTGAAGTCCCACAAGAGGCCATCTGCAAGCTGAGAAGCAGGAAAGCCAGTCCGAGTCCCTCATTTTTAAATACTGTGTTTTCATAGAGAAACCACGAAAAGAACTGATCAAATTCATCAACTTTAGAGTACTTATATAATTAATGTATATTTTTAAAATATACCCAAATTGAAACAATGGTTAATGGTCATAAATCAAGTAAAATATTAATGTCTTCCTTTATAATTTTTTTTTAGTACAACACCTCAGGTATTGAGCCCCACTATTACATCTCCCCCAAACGCACTGCCTCGAAGAAGTTCACGACTCTTTACTAGTGACAGCTCCACAACCAAGGTAATTTAAAGATTTCTGTATGTCACATTTACTTAATGCTTCGCCTGCTAACATTTCTGTTCATTGATGACTCCATTCCTAATAAGTTAACAAAGAGACTATTTCGAATTTTAAAATGTTTTAATTTAGAGGGCCATCTATGATTTTTGTGAAGTTAATTAGTCCTTTGGTAAATATTATATAATATTCTTTTTTAATTAAAAAATTTTTTTTCTCAAGTTAAAAATGACATAGGAATAATCTTGAAATGGCAAAATTATAGGAATGGACAACAGATCAGTGATTATTAGGAGTTAGGCCTCTAGGGAGGATGTTACTATTAAATCATGGCACAAAAGAATTGCATTGTGGTGGTACAACAGTCCTGTATCCTGATTGTGGTGGTTGATTACACAGATCCATTCACGTGATAAAATTTTATAGAACTATGCACACACATACACACACACGGGTTTATATAAAAACTGATGAAATCCATGTAAGGTCTTTAGCTGATAATATTGTACTAATTTCAGTTTCCTGGGTATGATGATATACTATGGTTATGTCACATGTTATCATTTGCAGAAGAGTGAGTCTAAAATTATTTGAAAATAAAAGTTAAAAAAAACTGGAGACCCGGCGGACGCAGTGGCTCACGCCTGTAATCCTAGCACTTTGGGAGGCCAAGGTGGGCCGATCACTTGAGCTTAGGAGTTTGAGACCAGCCTGGTCAACATAGCAAGACCCCATCTCTGAAAAAAAAAATTAGCTGGGATGGTAGTACTCTTTGATCCCAGCTGCTTGGGAGGCTGTGGTGGGAGAATCACTTGAGCCTGGGGAGGTCAAGGCTGTGGTGAGCTCTGATTACATCATTACACTCCAGCACGGGCAACAGAATAAGATCCTGTCCCAAAAACAAAACAAAGGCCGGGCACGGTGGCTCATGCCTGTAATCCCAGCACTTTGGGAGGCCAAGGCAGGCAGATCACCTAAGGTCAGGAGTTCGAGACCAGCCTGACCAACGTGGAGAAATCCAGTCTCTTCCAAAATAAAAATTAACCGGGCGTGGTGGCTCATGCCTGTAATCTCAGTTACGCGGGAGGCTGAAGCAGGAGAATCGCTTGAACCCGGGAGGCAGAGGTTGGGTTGCGGTGAGCTGAGAATTACATCTACTTATTTTCTTACTTTTAAATAATAAATGAGAGTTTGATATACTTTCACAAGAGGGCTACACTTAATGCTGACACACCTTAGTCACTATTAGTTAATGTAATTTATGTTCAGAATTACTGTGTTTAAAATTAAATGACTTTGAAGACCTTTGTTTTTATAAACTCTCTTCTGAAAAAAATATAGAATTAATCAAGATTGTACATTTATTTTATATCTAATACTGGAGAAAGGGCTGAGGAGAAATCTAAAATACATGAGTATAACAGGTGTGAAATTTCTTCCCTTTTACAGGAGAATAGCAAAAAATTAAAAATGAAGTTTCCACCTAAAATCCCAAACAGAAAAACAAAAAGTAAAACTAATAAAGGAGGAATAACTCAACCTAACATAAATGATAGCCTGGAAATTACAAAATTGGACTCTTCCATCATTTCAGAAGGGAAAATATCCACAATCACACCTCAGATTCAGGCCTTTAATCTACAAAAAGCAGCAGCAGGTCTGTTTTAAATGCTTAATATTATCTTTGTATTTTATTATGTACTTATTTTAAGTAAATTTCTTTATGTTCATTACAGTACCTTCATTGTTTTTTATATAGATGTTGGAATTTTTAATAGATTAGTTTGTAATTACCTTTTCTAGAGAAGCAGACTAGTTTATTGCGTTTTTTCCTTTGTTTACTATGTTGTTTTCTCCTAGAAGGTTTGATGAGCCTTCTTCGTGAAATGGGGAAAGGTTATTTAGCTTTGTGTTCATACAACTGCAAAGAAGCTATAAATATTTTGAGCCATCTACCTTCTCACCACTACAATACTGGTTGGGTACTGTGCCAAATTGGAAGGGCCTATTTTGAACTTTCAGAGTACATGCAAGTAAGTATAGAAAATGGTTATATATGCCTTTCTAGAGATAATTTCAATTTCATTAAAATAAATGCCCATGCTTAAGAAGGCTAGATCTAAAAGATCAGTATTTATTATGTAATGTCTATATATTTATTTTGTCAGTATTTATAATTTATAGATATAGTTCTTTCTTGTGTTAAGGAGTAATTTAAATTCTTTGCAACTTCTCGGAATAGGTTTATAGAGACCCAAGTCATCCAGACATTCTTACGTAGAGTGTGTCCTATTCAGTTGTGTCTGAAAATACATATTTATATTTACCATGTAATAGGATTTATTTATTTTTCTGCAATATACAGAGTTAATTACTGGGGTGAATTTTTGACATCGAATATGTTTTATAAGCTTGAAGAATGCTATAAAGAAAATTGTGCTGAATTGAGGACACAATGTCTTTAATACAAGGCTTTTTACTCTTTGGATTTTAATTAAATTTGTTGCTTAAGTTATCTGTCTATACCAGAAAAGGAGAGAATGATTAACCTAAAGCCAAAGAAAATTCTAATTCCCAATTTATATTACCCCTTAGTTCTTCCCAAAGCATTTTCTCCACCCCCAACTTAAAAAAAGAAACCTTTTAGAAACCTATATATTAATAAAATATCTCTAATATGGATTAAAGTTGATATGATTCGTTTTTTGCTTAATTTGCTTTCAGTTCATTTATTCAATATATATCTCTGTGCATATGATATCCTGGACTCTCTTCTAGACTCTGTATTACAGCTAGTCAGACAATTTCTTGCCTCTGTGGAGCTTACATTCTAGCAACAGACAGATTATAAGCCAATAAATGTATAAGAACAGGTAGCAATAAGTCATGAAGAAAAATGAAGCATGGTGAGGAAACTGGGAGACAATGAAGTATGGTGTTTTTGTTTTTATGTACTCAGAGGGAAGGTTACTCTTCCCTTCATGATCCATGCAAAGATCTAGGGGAAAGGTGTTCTTTCCCACAGGGAATACATACAGAGGATACCTATTCATATAATTTAATTTTGAATAGTACAGAACAGAGAGTTGAAGACAGAAAGTCTTATTCATTGCTACAAAACCCATGTTTCGATTATGGTCCTTTACTGGTATGTAGCATATACACAGACAGGCAAGAGCTGTGTTCGGAAAAGCCATTTAAAAAATTATTTCTAATTTATTGTTTCACAGCTACTTTAACATAAATGAATTTTATTGTTTCCCCTAGTTATAGTGGTGACCCAAATATTTAATTAAAGAAAGCCTCTGTTTCAACTTAATTTCTGAGTTTTTTTCCCATTTTTCTTTTTGTCTATGCCATAATCATTTTTCAGAGGAAGCAACAGATTCTGAAAACTTTGAAACCAAAAGGTACCTACCTATATTTGGCTGGTAGGTCTTTTATCTTGTTACCATGCCTGAATGAAAAACTTGGCCAGGTGTGGTGGCTCATGCCTATAATACCAGCACTTTGGGAGGCCAAGGAAGGGGGATCACTTGAGCTCAGGAGTTGGAGACCAACCTGGCCAATGTGGTGAGACCCTGTCTCTACAAAAAAATGAAAAAATTAGCTGGGTGTGGTGGCACTCACCTGTGGTCCCAGCTACTTGGGAGGCTGAAGTGGAAGGATCACTTGAGCCCTGCAGGTCAAGGCTGCACACTTACCTTTATAACTTTTAAGAGATTGCAAGGAAGTTACAAATCGTTAAGCTATTCCTATATATCATATGACCACTTCTTGGAATTAAGCACTCAGTTTTAAAATGCTCTTATTTTCTGTCATACTCATTTCATTAAGAATAGTCCAGATATTCCTTATTATAAACTAAACTGTGAAAATTTCTTTTCCTTTCTTTTTTTTTTTATTACCTAGACCTTTTCTGGCAGCTGAGAATTTTGAACTTGGTAAATTGATAAACTAGGAAACTGATTTTATATAACCTAAATCCTCAAACTTTAGAGGGAGAGAAACACAGTTCTGGGAGCTGTGAATGTGATGAGGAAAAAAATTGATGAGGCAGCTGAGGAGAGACCCTGAAGTCAAGAGAGTGCTGCAAAGGAAAGGATAATTAATAGGTAGGGCCTATGATTCCTAGCAGACACAATATTGGTGTGTATATTCAGGGCTCAATAGGATTTATAACCATAGGATTGATAGCCAGCTTAACCTGTTTCTTCCCTCTAAATTTTCTGGCACAACCTCTCGGTAAAAATTGTTCAAAAATAGATTTTATGTTACAGAAATCATTCTTCCATCATCTTTCCTAAAAGAGTTATTCTGGCCAGGTGTGGTGGCTCATGCCTGTAATCCCAGCACTTTGGGAGGCCGAGGCGGGTGGATCACAAGGTCAGGAGATCGAGACCATCCTGGCTAACATGGTGAAACCCTGTCTCTACTAAAAAATACAAAAAATTAGCCAGGTGTGGTGGCAGGCGCCTGTAGTCCCAGCTGCTTGGGAGGCTGAGGCAGGAGAAGGGCGTGAACTCGGGAGGCGGAGCTTGCAGTGAGCCGAGATTGCGCCACTGCACTCCAGCCTGGGCGACAGAGTGAGACTCCATCTCAAAAAAAAAAAAAAAAAAGAGTTATTCTGTAATGCCATTATTAAAACTTGGAAATGAGGTTTTTGAGAAGGAAATATTGACTTTTCTTTTGAATTGTAGCTTTGTATAGATTTCTCTTCGGTCTTTTTGGTAGAAACTCAAATTTCCTTTTCAGAGTTCATGTTCTTACCATGGCTTGTATATAAATACTAGGTTGACTGTCAATATGGTTACATCACTATTTGACCTGCCATAGTAGATTGCTGAATTTGTCCTTGTGTTAATACTCATTCACATAAAAACCATAATACAAGGCAGCATTTAGATCCTGTGAAGATAATGACCAGGGCTTTCCCTGTGTATATATATAAATTGTATCAACTTGTTTTCTCTTACTAGTTTTTTTTATTTCAGGCTGAAAGAATATTCTCAGAGGTTAGAAGGATTGAGAATTATAGAGTTGAAGGCATGGAGATCTACTCTACAACACTTTGGCATCTTCAAAAAGATGTTGCTCTTTCAGTTCTGTCAAAAGACTTAACAGACATGGATAAAAATTCGCCAGAGGTATGTTAACCAAAATACTTTGCTTATATAGTTACCTTTTTGATCACCCTCAACAGATAGAGATGAACCAAGCAATTCAAACACTATTTAGTGTCACCCACGCTTATTTCTTTTTTTTCCTCTCTCTCTAGTCAGGGACTCAGAGAGGAAGAGAAAGTCCTAGAATGTGTGGTGCAGATTCACAAATAGAAAAATCACAAAGCAGCTATTTCATTCAGGATTTATCGAGATTTGACTACGTTAAATTTGCTGTTGTCACCAAGATTAGGGTTCGTTGAGCAGAAGTTACATAGATTGAAAAAATTAATAATTTTAAATTAAAATAAATTAGTATTGTCATTGTAAGACATAGGTGCAATTAATGTACATGCTCTAATCTTGTAAGATTGTATTTCATTGCATCTCAAAAATATTTAATGATACTTTTGTAACATATCTAAGCTTAGAATTAAACACAGTCAACTCCCATTATTTGCGGTAATTCTGTAGTCAACATGAACACTGAATTAGTGCTACTGAACCAATGTTCCTGGGAGTGATGGAGAGTTTGAAACAGAGATAGATTGTGGATTATAATCTTGAATCCTAAAAATAACTCATCCTGGTAGATCCTATTTTCTTTACAAAAGAGAGAATGCTGCTGGGTGTGGTGGCTCACACCTATAATCCCAGCACTTCGGGAGGCTGAGGCAGGCGGATTCCTTGAGCTCAGGAGTTCCAAGACCAGCCTCGGCAACATGGCAAAACCCTTCTCCACAAAAAATACAAAAATTAGCCAGGTATGGTGGCTGGCATCTGTGGTCCCAGCTGCTCGGGAGGCTGAGACAGGAGGATCACTTGAGCCTAGGTGGCGGAGGTTGCATTGAGCCAAGATCACACCACTGCCCTCCAGCCCGGACAACAGAACAAGACCAGATCTCAAAAAAAAAAAAAGAGAGAGAATGAGGTTCAGAGGTGACTTGCCTGAAGCCATCCTACTTAAAAGTGCCAGCAGTGGGATTCAAATTCTGTCCAACTGTCCCCAGAGCCAAAGCTTCTTGCACTACACTAAACTAGCCCACAGAGTTTCTGTCCCTGGTCATCTCTGCATGAGAGCTAAAACAAGAAGGTAGAGTCACATTATTCAACCTCAAATGAGAACATACCTTTTGATGACTATGAAAGCACTGCAAGTATTGATTTTGGTTTTACAAATAAATTTTAGCAATCAGACAAATTCACAAATATGGAATCTGTGAATAATTAGAATTGAGTATCTACTGAAGCTCCTCCATTTTTGTCTTTCTGTTCTAAGTTGAGGCTTGATTTTAGTCATAGATTTGGTTTTAGAAAAAGTAAAATTTTAATTCTGTTTGGTTTTTGTTCCCATTTTTTTAAGGCCTGGTGTGCTGCAGGGAACTGTTTCAGTCTGCAACGGGAACATGATATTGCAATTAAATTCTTCCAGAGAGCTATCCAAGTTGATCCAAATTACGCTTATGCCTATACTCTATTAGGGCATGAGTTTGTCTTAACTGAAGAATTGGACAAAGCATTAGCTTGTTTTCGAAATGCTATCAGAGTCAATCCTAGACATTATAATGCATGGTAAGTGGTAATGAAGTACAAAGACAAAGTCGTATTGATGGTGCTGGTACTTACTAATTTTTCTTGTTAGATAGCTCTTTATTATCATGAATTTGGTTACTTATACTTAGGGATGGTACATACTGGTCAATAACTTCTAACTAAAATGTTTTCTTATGAAATGTACGTCTTTAACAAACTCTTAAATTAACTAATGATAATAGAATACCAGATCCTTATACTCAACAGTTTCAGCCTTCTACCAAACTTTTGCAGATACTGTAGTTGTTTTTTGTTTGTTTAGTTTTGTTACTTTGTTGCTTTTTCTTCGAACACCGAAATGGTGATTGGGATGAAAAGTGCTTGGGAAATTGGAAAGGAATAGCATAATTCACTTATTGGATAATAGGAAAAAAAATTGAAAAAATTTACTAGTTGCTGCTTTTTGACAGTGTTCTGGTTTATTGAGTTACTATTAAGAACTTAGTGTACCCTTTTATTTAGCAGTATCTCTATTTTACTTTTTTGTACTTGTGTATAAGTAGACACATAGGAAATTACTACCTAGGTCATATTGTTATCAACTGAATAAGATATGAAAAAGTTTGGTCCTATTTCTGCCTCAACACCATACTTACTGTTGACATTTATTGTATTTTTCTGGACTGACTTAATAGTTTAAATATCAAGATAAGGTATAATTCTGAAGCCATAACTCTGTGGTAGTTTTTTTGTCAGATACGGTTATCTTTGGGGTTATTATAGCAGTTGAGTTGTATCATTCTATTTGCTTCTAAATCTGAAGCATTATATTACTAAAACATTTTTTGATTTGTGAATATGTTGTTAATGGATTATGTCTCATTTTGCAGTAGTAGTTACATTGCCTGAAAGATGGCCAAAAAAATAGTGCTAGCTTTTGCTGACCAATGTAACAATCAACTTGCCAATGCTGCTGTCTCTTCCGATAGCTATGTTCTCTGTAATATTTTAAGAACTCAGTTTTTTTTTTGTTTGTTTGTTTGTTTTTTGAGGCAGAGTCTCGCTCTGTCACCCAGGTTGGAGTGCAGTGGCGCCATCTTGGCTCACTGTATGCTCCGCCTCCCAGGTTCACGCCATTCTCCTGCCTCAGCCTCCCGAGTAGCTGGGACTACAGGTGCCTGCCACCATGCCCGGCTAATTTTTTTTGTATTTTTAGTAGAGACGGGATTTCACCATGTTAGCCAGGATGGTCTCAATCTCCTGACCTCATGATCCACCCACTTTGGCCTCCCAGTGCTGGGATTACAGGCATGAGCCACCATACCCGGCCAGGAACTCAGTTCTTAATAAGACTTGTGTTGTTTTTGATTTTTTCCCAAGTCTGGTTGATCCTTGTGTTGTTTTTTTTTTAAATGTGTATTGTCTGTTCAGCTATTTTGCAGGAGTTGCATTCTTAAAAAACTTAACCATATCAAAAATTGTGTTTAAAGGAGGATTATTCAGATTGGCAAGCTTTTACTAGGAGGAGTTTAAATGCTGACGTATTTAGGTAACTAAATACTGAGCAACTTTATTCTAAGTACAAAATAGATAGCCTTTCTTTTGTTTTCACTTTCACTATCATTAGCATAGTGTTTAATACCTTTTCTTCATCTATAACACAAGTATAATGATATATAAAGCCACTCAAATAAAGCAGATATGTTGTGCTTTTTTCTTATTCATTTGATGCTTATTCCCCATCATCATCATCATCATCATCATCATCATCATCATCATCATCTAGTTATGGCCATGAGAAGTCTCCGTAATATAAACCATCCACACTATATTCATTTGACATTTTGAAAATTCAGGAGAAATACCTGCATATTAACCTAATACACTATTACATAGCCTTTAGAAATTGTAATTTTGAGGTCTATAAGTATAGGAGCATGCTTTTGATAACAGTAAGTGGGGGACAAGGAAGCCAAACATGACACTATGTATGCTATAATTATAATAATATAAAACAGAAATGTGGGAATAGCATTGTTAGGAGTTCAGCCTTTAGAATCATTAAGGAAGAACCTGGTTAGAATCTTTATTAGCTGTATAACTTTAAGCAAGTTATTTAACTTCTCTAAGTTTCAGTTTCCTTATTCGAAATAAGGATGATAATGGTACCTATGATTCCTCTAGGGATTAAATGAGATAATTTAGCAATGGTCTTGGCACACATGTAATAACTACTCAGTAAAAATTAGCTGTTAAATCTAGAATATGACAGGTATGGTGGCTCATACCTATAAGCCCAGCACTTTAGGAAGCTGAAGCTGGAAGATTACTTGAGACCAGGAGTTTGAGACCAGCCTGGTCAACATAGCAAGACCCCTTCCCTAACAAAAAAAAAAAAAAAAAAAGAAAACAATTAAGGCCGGGCACGGTGGCTCACGCCTGTAATCCCAGCACTTTGGGAGGCTGAGATGGGCGAATCATGAGGTCAAGAGATCAAGACCATCCTGGCCAACATGGTGAAACCCCGCCTCTACTAAAAATACAAAAATTAGCTGGGTGTGGTGATGCGTGCCTGTAGTCCCAGCTGCTTGGGAGACTGAGGCAGGAAAACCACTTGAACCTGGGAGGTGGAGGTTGTGCCACTGCACTCCAGCATGGCAACAGAGTGAGACTCCATCTCAAAAACAAAACAAAACAAAACAAAACAAAAAAAAAACAATTAGGCATGGTGGTGTATGCCTGTAGTCCTAACTACTCAGGAGGCTGAGGTGGGAGGATTGCGTGAGCCTAAGAGTTCAAGGTTACCTGCAGTGAGCTATGATCACGCCATTGCACTCCAGCCCGGGCGACAGAGCAAGACGTTGAATTAAAAAAAAAAAAAAAATCTATATGGGTTTAGGGGTGTGGTTTCTTTTTTCCTTATTATCATAGTTTGATTTGATTTGATTTGATTGTTTTTGCTTGTAAAAGTGACTCTTTAAAATGTTTTAATGGTCTGGGCATGGTGGCTCATGCCTGTAATCCTAGCGTTTGGGAGGCCAAGGTGGGAGGATTGTTTGAGGCTAAGAGTTTGAAACCAGCTTGGTCAACATAGTGAGACCTCGTCTCCACAAAAAATTAAAAATATGTTAATATAAGAAGGCTGGGGGTGGTAGCTCACACCTGCAATCCCGGCACTTTGGTAGGCTGGGACAAGCAGATCACTTAAGGCCAGGAGTTCAAGACCAGCCTGGCCAACATGGGGAAACCTCGTCTCTACTAAAAATACAAGAAAATTAGCTGGGCGTGGTGACACATGCCTGTAATCCCAGCTACTTGGGAGGCTGAGGCACGAAAATCGCTTGAACCCAGGAGGCAGAGGTTGCAGTGAGCTGAGATTGCACCACTGCACTCCAACCTGGGTGACAAAAAGCAAGACTGTCTCAAAAAAGAAAAAAAATATATGTAGGCCAGGTGTGGTGGCTCATGCCTGTAATCCCACCACTTTGGGAGGCCGAGGCCGAGGCGGGCGGATCACCTGAGTCGGGAGTTCGAGACCAGCCTGACCAACATGGAGAAACCCTGTCTTTACTAAAAATACAAAATTAGCTGGGTGTGGTGGCGCATGCCTGTAATCCCAGCTACTCGGAAGGCTGAGGCAGGAGAAACGCTTGAACCTGGGAGGCGGAGGTTGTGGTGAGCTGTGATCATGCCATTGCACTACAGCCTGGGCAACAAGAGCGAAACTCCGTCTCAAAAAAAAAACAAAAAAACAGCTTGGCACCATGACTCACACCTGTAGTCCCAGCACTTTGGGAGGCCAAGGCGGGCGGATCACCTGAGGTCAGGAGTTCAAGACCAGCCTGACCAACATGGAGAAACCCCGTCTCTGCTAAAAATACAAAATTAGCCGGGCGTGATGGTGCATGCCTGTAATCCCCAGCTACTCGGGAGGCTGAGGCAGGAGAATTGCTTGAACCTGTGGGTGGAGGTTGTGGTGAGCCGAGATTGCACCATTGCACTCCAGCCTGGGCAACAAGAGCAAAACTCTGTCTCAAAAAAATACATATATATTATATATATATATATATATATATATATATATGTATATTTGTGTGTGTGTGTTTGTGTGTGTGTGTGTGTGTGTGTATATGTATGTGTGTGTGTGTGTGTGTGTGTGTGTATATATATATATATATATATATATATATATATATATATATGCGCCTGGGCAACATGGCAAAACCCCATCTCTACAAAAAATACAAAAATTAGCCATGCCTGGTGGCGTGCACCTGTAGTTGCAGCTACTCAGGATGCTGAGGTGGGAGGATTGATCACTTGAGCCTGGGAGGTCAAGGCTGCAGTGAGCCGTGATTGAGCCACTGCACTCCAGCCTAGGCAACAGAGTGAGGTGCTATCTTTAAAATATAATAATAATAATAATAATAATAATAATAATAATAATAAACTGCTTTAATGGCTAGGCATTGTGGTTCATGCCTGTAGTCTCAGCTACTCTGGAGGCTGAGGCTGGAGGATTCTTTGAACCCGGAAGTTCAAGGATGCAGTGAGCTATGATTGGCCCACTGCACTCCAGCCTGGGTGACAGAGTGAGACCCTAATTCAAAAAAAAATTTTTTTATTTAAAAATAAGTAAATAAAATGCTTTAATGATTTTTATCATAACTGGTATTTTTTGCCTCTCCTCTAAGACCACCAGTATTCCACTGGATTATTAAAATGCCAGATTCTATACTTGTTCTTTTACTAATTGAACTAAATTAGCAACCTAAACTTTATATTTTTAAAATTATACTTTGTTTTATACTTTCAGGTATGGTTTAGGAATGATTTATTACAAGCAAGAAAAATTCAGCCTTGCAGAAATGCATTTCCAAAAAGCGCTTGATATCAACCCTCAAAGTTCAGTTTTACTTTGCCACATTGGAGTAGTAAGTAGCTTTCTAAACATTAATACTCTATTAATCTCCCTTTTGAAATATGTTTGTTATTGATTTAATTGCTGTGATAAAAATTGGTCCTTTTTTGTGTTGAAACAGTATTCTGGAGCCTATTACACCCAAAAATACTACCCATTTGGCTTAGCATAAAAAATCACAGAATTGCCCTTATCCCTTGCACAAGTCACTTCATTGCTCTGAGCTTTTATTTTATGAATGTCATGTACTACTTGCTTACCTCATAGGGTTGTTCTGTGACTCAAGTAAGATATCTCCTGGCCAGTTGCAGTGGCTCATGCCTGT
The DNA here is from genome assembly GCF_000001405.40 of Homo sapiens. Taxonomy (NCBI): domain Eukaryota; kingdom Metazoa; phylum Chordata; class Mammalia; order Primates; family Hominidae; genus Homo; species Homo sapiens. The sequence continues at coordinate 47,131,944 of NC_000017.11, read as the reverse complement.
AATGCCAGCGCTTTAGGAGGCCGAGGCAGGTGAATCACTTAAGGTCAGGAGTTGGAGACCAGCCTGGGCAACATAGCGAGACCCCATCTCTACAAAAAAAATTTAAAAATTAGCCTGGCATGGTGGTGCACACCTGTGGTCCTGGCTACTTGGGAGGCTGAAGCACAAGGATCACTTGAGCCCAGGAGTGCAAGGCTGCTGTGAGCTAAGAAGGTGATACTGCACTCCAGCCTGGGCAACAGAATGAGACTCCATCTCTTAAAAGAAAATAAATAAATTTTACTTTAACAGGAGAAAAGATATGTACATTATGTTTGTTTGCTTTTTAAAATCGCATTTATTAGCTTCTGTGTAAGTACGGTACCTTAAGTTCTTGTTCTCATCCTCTCATCCCTTTCCCCTTCTCCCTCCCCTCAGCTTCTCTCTTTTTTTCCCCCTAGCAAGTTTAGCTTTTGTGGGAATGGTCATACAATGTGAGGAAATTGTTAGTTTGAAATGTCACTATCTTGGGGAGAGTAGAATTCTAATTCTCTATTGACTATAATGACATTGACCATGATAATTTTCTTAAAAATGGACATAGTCCAGCACCGTAAGACAGGGCAAGAAAAAAAAGTTGACAGTAACTTCTTTTATAGTTAGCTACTACGGAAAAAATGGAGAGATAATGTGTCTACTTAAAATTATTTTTTGTTGTCATCACCTTATTTATTCAATTCAAAATTAAATCTCTTGACACCTTTTGGTGAAGTTGAACACTTTTTTAAAAATAGGAATTCTTCTGAACTTATTGTAGAACAGGTTGTTTTAAATTTTTGAGTGGTTTATTTGAAGAAATTGTCAGGTAAGAGAGTAAGCTTTTCTCTTTTCGGGAACTAGTATTTAGGGTCTCAGTCCTGTGGGCAGAATATTTGGCCACCATTAGATCATTGCGTAGATGAGTTTAGCAAGCAGACGTTGGCACTACCTATTCTCACATTCTTATGACCATGATATTTGTTAAAGTTCTGCAGCCACATTCATACATTCATTCACCCCACTTTTTTAATTTAATTTTTTTTTTTTTTGAGATGGAGTTTCGCTCTTGTTGCCCAGGCTGGAGTGCAGTGGCACAATCTCAGCTTACCACAACCTCCACCTCCCAGGTTCAAGTGATTCTCCTGCCTCAGCCTCCTGAGTAGCTGGGATTACAGGTGCCCGACACCACGCCTGGCTAATTTTTTGTATTTTTAGTAGAGACGGGGGTTTCATCATGTTGGCCAGGCTGGTCTCGAACTCTTGACCTCAGGTGATCCACCCACGTTGGCCTCCCAAAGTGCTGGGATTACAGGCGTGAGCCACCGGGCCCAGCCCACCCCACTTTATAACATATAATTTGTCCAAGGAGGAGCATAGCAGAATATTAGTATACACATATGAATGAATAGTGAGGTTTGGTACTTTTTAAATCTTTTAAATTTTAAGTTATTTAAAATATCTTAAGTTATTTGCTTCCCAGTATTAGAGATCAGTGATTTTCAATTATGTAAAACAGTAAAATCATTTTTCTTTTTTTTCTCTTTTTTTATTTTTATTTTTATTTTTTGAGACGGAGTCTCGCTCTGTCGCCCAGGCTGGAGTGCAGTGGCGCGATCTTGGCTCACTGCAACCTCTGCCTCCAGGTTCAAGCAATTCTCCTGCCTCAGCCTCCCAAGTAGCTCGGACTACAGGCGTGTGACACCACGCCCGGCTAATTTTTTGTATTTTTAGTAGAGATGGGGTTTCACCGTGTTAGCCAGGATGGTCTCGATCTCCTGACCTCGTGATCCACCTGCCTTGGCCTCCCAACGTGCTCAGATTACAGGCCTGAGTCACCGCACCTGGCCAGTAAAATCATTTTTCAAATAAATTCCTAAAATATTGAAAATATAATTGTTCTGAGTGAAACAAGGTTTGTAAACAGGAGTGTTAACACAGTTTTGAGAAGTCTAATATTTGAAAGACCGCATAAACCTGATGAAATGTGAATATTATCTGGCTAAATAGTACAGATCTTTTTTATGAATAGAACACCAAGGTTTTGCTTGCCTTTTAGACTTAAAGGTAACCAAATATCTGCTCTAAAGATAGACTATTGATTATCATCATAGGTATGTACCAGAGGACCTAGATTTTTATCACAGAGCAAATTATTTAAGATCTCTAGACTTCAGTATTCTCATCTTTAGTGAAGCAGTTGAACTAGAATTAGAAGTGATTTTAGAGATAATCTATTAATCATTTGGTAATTAATTACTAAATCCACTTAATGCAGTGGACAATCCAGTTAGACCCTACAACCTTATCTCTAATAATTTGATTATGTTGGTTTTGAGTCACGTTGGTTCTCACCTTTCTTCATAAATATCAAGAGGGAGTATTAACATGATCTTTATTTCTTACAGGTTCAACATGCACTGAAAAAATCAGAGAAGGCTTTGGATACCCTAAACAAAGCCATTGTCATTGATCCCAAGAACCCTCTATGCAAATTTCACAGAGCCTCAGTTTTATTTGCAAATGAAAAATATAAGGTAAGATAAATATCTTAAGGGTCTTCAGTGTTGTATTGCTTAAAAACAACGTTATCCCTTGTTTTCAATAAACTGAAAGTTATTTATTTAATTTTGATCTGAGACATTTTTCCAAGCTGTTAATTTCATTTTTTGTGATTTTTATGTCTTCATGAAATACTCATAGGAAGGATAGGTGTGTGGATATTTAGGAATATATAGTTATCCCTTGTAAAGATGTCTTATATAGAAAGGCAGTTTTTTCATCAGGTAGTTATCTTAAAGTTATCTTAAACCATCCTCTTAGGACCAAAATAAGTGAACAGATGAAAATGAATGTATGGGCCAGGCGCAGTGGCTTACGCCTGTAATCCCAGCACTTTGGGAGACCAAGGCGGGCGGATCACCTGAGTCAGGAGTTCAAGACCAGCCGGGCCACATGGTGAAACCCCATCTCTACTAAAAATACAAAAAATTAGCTGGGCATGGTGGCAGGTGCCTGTAAGTCTCAGCTACTGGGGAGGCTGAGGCAGGAGAATCACTTGAACCCAGGAGGCAGAGGTTTCAGTGAGCCAAGATCACACCACTGCTCTCCAGCCTGGGCGACAGAGCGAGACTTCATCTCAAAAAAAAAAAAAAAAATTAAAAATTAAAAAACAGAAAAAGAAAACGAATGTGTGTGCATTATTCAGCTTTTATTGATTACCCAGTATGTGTCAGGCACCAGGAATATAGTGGCAAGTAAAGCAATCATCTTTCCTGCTTTTGAGGGGCCTACTATCTAGTACTCTCTAGGAAAACAGACATTAACCAAATAATCACAAAATATAATAAATGTTTAATACATAAAGGGAAAGTGTATTAAGTTATGAGAGCTTATAACACGGAGACTAGTTCTAGTCTGATGTGTCTTTCTCTTTACTTCTCACTCTTTTTCAAATTATGTATGCTTAGCCTGAAACAAGTATTGAAAAAAGAAGATAAGGAAACTGAGAAAGAGATAAGAGGCAAAAAGACACGAGATTTTTGTTATCATTTATTCAATCAGAAACCATGAAGCAAAATCTTTTAAAATAAATTCAGGGCTGGGCGCAGTGGCTCACACCTGTAATCCCAGCTCTTCGGGAGGCCAAGGTGGGCAAATCACTTGAGGTCAGAAGTTCGAGACCAGCCTGGCCAACAGGGTGAAACCCCATCTCTACCAAAAATACAAAAATTAGCCAGGCATGGTGGTGTGCACCTGTAGACCCAGCTACTTGGGAGGCTGAGGCACGAGAATCACTTGAACCCAGGAGGCAGAGGTTGCAGTGAGCCAAGATTACGCCACTGCATTCCAGCCTGGGCAACAGCAACACTCTGTCTCACAAAAGAAAAATAGAAAGAAATATACCAAACCAGTGATAACTTTTTTTTAATACTAATAAAAATCCCTATAATCCCGTCACTTTGGAGGAAGAGGCAGGCAGATCACATGAGTCCACGGAACTTGAGACCAGCCTGGGCAACATGGCAAAACCCCATCTCTACCAAAAAAAATACAAAAATTAGCCAGGTGTGGTGACGTGTGCCTGTACTCTCAGCTACTCAGGAAGCTGAAATGAGAGGATGGCTTGAGCTCAGGAGGCGGAGGTTGCAGTGAGCTGTTTTCGCGCCACTGCACTTCAGCCTGGGCCACAAAGCTAGACCCTGTCTTAAAAAACAAAAAAAAAATAGGGCCAGGCACAGTGGCTCACGTATGTAATCCCAGCCCTTTGGGAGGCTGGGGCGGGCAGATCACGAGGTCAGGAGTTTGAGGCCAGCCCGGCCAACTTGGTGAAACCCCGTCTCTACTAAAAATACAAAAATTAGCCGGGCATGGTGGTGGGCACCTGTAATCCCAGCTACCTGGGAGGCTGAGGCAGGAGAATCGCTTGAAACTGGAAGGCAGAGGTTGCAGTGAGTTGAGATCACACCACTGCGCTCCAGCCTGGGCAACAAGAGTGAAACTCCATCTCAAAAAAAAACGTAAAAATAGGCTAATAAAGATATACAAAGGGATTAAATATATAATTTATCTAGTAATTCCTTTAGTTTTATTCTATCTTCTTTATGAAGACACGGGTTTCTATTTTTACTGGTTTTGTCCTTTTAAAAAGCTTGTCTTTCTTTAGTTTTTGTTTTTCTTGCTCTGTTGCCCAAGCTGGAGTGCAGTGGTGCAATCATAGCTCACTGAAGCCTCAAATTCCTAGGCTGAATTCCTTGTACCCAGGACTACAGGCATAAGCCACCATGCTCAGCTAATTTTTTTATCTAACTGGAGTCTTTAAAAACCTTCTTTTAGGGCCAGGTGCCGTGGCCCATGCTTGTAATCCCAGCACTTTGACAGGCCAAGGCAGCCAGATCACTTGAGGCCAGGAGTTCAAGACCAGCCTGGCCAACATGGTGAAACCCTGTCTCTACTGAAAATACAAAAATTAGCTGGGCCTGGTGGTGCACTCCTGTAATCCCAGCTACTCAAGTGGCTGAGGCATGAGAATCGCTTGAACCCATGAGGCGGAGGTTGCTGTGAGCCCAGATCACACCTCTGCATTCCAGCTTGGGCAACAGAGGGAGACTCTGTCTCAAAAAAAAATTTTTTTCATAAAGCTTATTTTAAATCTAATAAGCCCGTTTCAACTTTTAACTACTCTTTGAAGTACTATAATTGCAAATCAGTATTTGTTTTTATGTATTTGCTTTATGTACCTCTTTAGATATGAAGGACTTTATTCATTATTCTTAAAGCCATTTTAATACCAACATACCTACCAGATAGGCCACATAAATCAGCGTTTACTTGCTTCAAGAAACCCAAGTTCTAATCTCATCAGTTGTCTGGACTATGATATATATAGTGATAGCCATTTTTGTGGGGTTTTCTTTGATTGTTTAATTAGGCAGCCTTCCAATCCAAAGTAGGACCAGAGAGACTCCCTCTTTTGTTGTTATTATCATTATCATTATTATATCAGGCAGCCCCCTGAGCCACAGTAGACTCAGAAAAACTCCCAGTTATAGCCATTTTTGGGTATGAGCTTGGGGCTTCGCTGAATTATGAGGCCTAATTTGCTGCATGGATTAGATATAGAAATGTGACTGTATGAAAAGGGCATAAGGAAAAGTTAAAAGGTACATGTTCTCAGGATCTCCTGGGGCTGTGTCATTCCCTGGTCACTTGAAAAAAAGAAAGAAAAGTTAATGATTGCTTCTGAGATTTTCTGGCTCCAAAATGAAAATCAAGGGGGCCATTTCAACATCTCTAAAACATTGCTAGCCATCACCTTATTTAATGTGCTGTACTGATATTTAATTATTTAAATCTTAAGTCTTTAAGGTAAAAGTAAGAGCTCTGATGCTATGTGAGACACTATTTCTCAATGAGTCCTTGTAATTAGATCGCTGGGGGTGGGGATAGGCATGCTGGTTGCATGAAATGTTGATAACAATTATAATATGCAATCATAGAAAGAAAACATATCAATTCTGAATTGTGTGTGTTGTAGCAGTGAAGGAGGATTGGAGTGTGTCATCTTAGAGATTAAGATTTCTTTAAAGGCCAGGCGCAGCAGCTCACGCCTGTAATCCCAGCACTTTGGGAGGCTGAGGCGGGTGGATCACGAGGTCAGGAGTTCAAGACCAGCCTGGCCAACATGGTGAAACCCCATCTCTACTAAAAATACAAAAATTAGCCAGGCATGGTGGCGGGCGCCTGTAATCACAGCTACTTGGGAGGCTGAAGCAGGAGAATCGCTTCAACCTGGGAGGTGGGAGTTGCAGTGAGCCACTGCATTTCAGGCTGGACGACAGAGCAAAACTCCATCTCAGGGAAAAAAAAAAAGATTTCTTTAAAGGCTAGGCATGATGGCTCACGCCTGTAATCCCAGCACTTTGGGAGGCCAAGGTGAGAGGATCACTTGAGGTCAGAAGTTCGAGACCAGCTGGCCAATATGGTGAAACCGCGTGTCTACTAAAAATACAAAAATTAGCCAGGCATGGTGGCACACGCCTGTAATTCCAGCTGCTCAGGAGGCTGAGGCAGGAGAATCACTTGACACTGGGAGGGAGAGGTTGTAGCGAGCCAAGATCACGACACCACACTCCAGCCTGGGTGATAGAGTGAAACGCCATCTCAAAAAAAAAAAAAAAAAAAAAAAAAAAAAGATTTCTTTAAAGTAAGGCCGGGTGCAGTGGCTCACAACTGTAATCCTAGCACTTTGGGAGGCCAAGGCAGGTGGATCACCTGAGGTCAGGAGTTCAAGACCAGCCTGGGCAACTTTAGTGAAACCCCATCTCTACTAAAAATACAAAACAAAATTAGGCATTACAGGTAAGCCCCTGTAATCCCAGCTACTCGAGAGGCTGAGGCAGGAGAATCACTTGAACCCAGGAGGCAGAGGTTGCAGTGAGCAGAGATCGCACCACTGCACTCCAGCCTGGGTGACAGAATGAGAGTCCATCTCAAAAAAGAAAAAAAGATGTCTTTAAAGTAATAATTCTCAGAGTGGTCTGGGAATTTCTGGGGGTCCCTAAAATCCTTCCAAGGAGTCCTAGAGGTCAAAGCTATTTTTACAATAATATCTTGACGTTATTTACCTTTTTCACTCTCATTCTGTCCAAATGGACAGTAGAATTTTCCAAAAGCTACATAATATGTGATATTGAAACAGATTAAATGGAGAAGCAGATAGATGTGAGAATCTAGCTGTCTTCTACTAACAGAGACTTGCAAAAATGTTAATGCCACTCTTCTCAATAACTTTTTGTTGTTCTGAAAAATTATATAGTTATTTTTCGTTAAAAAATAAATCACTGGGCCGGGCATGGTGGCTCACGCCTGTAATCCCAGCACTTTGGTAGGCTGAGGCGGGCAGATTACTTGAGGTCAGGAGTTCAAGACCAGCCTGGCTGACATGGTGAAACCCCGTCTCTACTAAAAATACAAAAATTAGCTGGGTGTGGTGGCGCATGCCTGTAATCCCAGTTACGCGGGAGGCTGAGGCAGGAGAATTGCTTGAATCTGAGAAGCGGAGATTGCAGAGAGCAGAGATGGCGCCACTGCACTCCAGCCTGGGCGACAGAGCGAGACTCCACCTCAATAAATAAAAATGAATAGATAGATAGATAGATAGATAGATAGATGACCAAAAGCAAGGATTGTTACCACCTGCATATTTCACGAAGAGGGGTGTGTGTGTGTGTGTGTGTGTGTGTGTGTGTTTTCAGTGTACTAGAGTGCCTGCCATTTCTTAGTACCTATTGTCATATAAGTATGCATTTTATTTTCACAGCAATAAGAACTAATACAATAAGGAAGTATATTGATTAAGATTTAGTTAGCTTTTGTGAAGATGATTTGGGAAATCAAATAAGTAAAAACGCTTGGTCAAAACTTTAAAAATTTTTGCTACTTTAAGGTTTTTCTTTGCCTTTTTCAGTCTGCTTTACAAGAACTTGAAGAATTGAAACAAATTGTTCCCAAAGAATCCCTCGTTTACTTCTTAATAGGAAAGGTAAAGACTGGGGTCATGGTCCCAAACAGTGACTTTCATAGCAAATAATGACATTTTATAAGAATAAATGTAATACTTCCTGTACATATCTATTGAGCAAATTAAACTAAAGCTCCGAACTGAGTGCTCTGGGAATAACAGATTTAGTTCTAACACTTAAGAAAATGATATCCTAGCCAGGCATGGTGCCTCACGCCTGTAATCCCAGCACTTTGGGAGGCCTAGGCAGGTAGATTACGTGAGGTCAGGAGTTTAAGACCAGCCTGACCAACATGGTGAAACCTGACCTCTACTAAAAATACAAAAAATTAGCTGGGCATGGTGACACATGCCTGTAATCCCAGCTACTCCAGAGGCTGAGGCACGAGAATCACTTGAACCTGGGAGGCAGAGGTTGCCATGAGCCAAGATCACCCCACTGCACTCCAGCCTGGGCAAGAGAACAAGATTCTGTCTCAGAAAGAAAAAAAAAAAAAAAAAAAAGTAGAAAAAAAAGTAGAAGAACATGAATGGCACTGTGTTGTCTTGATTAAGAGAAATGGCTTCTGAGAGTCCCAAGGCCAGACTAGTCAGTTTTTTACAGACTAGACCTCCATATGCCAATTAGTTAAGGTGACTGTGGACAGTTGTAAAGAGTTGATATAACTCAATTTAAAATCACTGTAAATGAAAGTTAATTAAGCAGTTTATAATCCATTTAATCCCATTATCATTGCTCCAGTCAGAGTGATATTTATTGGAAACTTACTACCTGAAAGATAGAAGCAAGGAATTCTGAAAATAATGTCTGATTATATTAAAAGGAACTCAAAAGCTGGTATGAGTTCATCTGTAGGAAGAAAATGTCCTACCCTTAGAATGAGTTTAGAGCACATAAATCAGGAGCCTAATTTAAATTATAAATATTTAGAATTGTAGAGGCTGGGCGCGGTGGCTCACACCTGTAATCCCAGCACTTTGGGAGGCAGGTGGATCATCTGAGTCAGGAGTTTGAGAGTAGCCTAGCTAACATGGCAAAACCCTGTCTCTACTAAAAATACAAAAATTAGCCAGGGGTGGTGGTGGGCACCTGTAGTCCGAGCTACTCAGGAGACTGAAGCAGGAGAATCGCTTGAACCTGGGAGGTGGAGGTTGCAGTGAGCCAAGATCGTGCCATTGCACTCTAGCCTGGGTAATAGAGTGAGACTCCATCTCAAAAATAAATAAATAAGTATATATATAGTTAGAATTTTATAGTTGAAGCTCACAACTTAATGAAAAATGTAGTGCTGCTGTTTATTTTTAGGTTTACAAGAAGTTAGGTCAAACGCACCTCGCCCTGATGAATTTCTCTTGGGCTATGGATTTAGATCCTAAAGGAGCCAATAACCAGATTAAAGAGGCAATTGATAAGCGTTATCTTCCAGATGATGAGGAGCCAATAACCCAAGAAGAACAGATCAGTAAGTATCATACATATGATTTTGAGTATTTAGAAAGTTACCTTTTGCATAAGGATTTGTAGGCTACTCTTTTATTTTATTTTTCTAACCATGGTGTTTTCATTATACCAAATGGACTTTTAGGGAAATTGAACAGGGTGATGTAATAACAAAATGCATATAAAGTCAGATAATGAGTCTCTGTTCTGGATCTAGTTTGCTGTGTGACTTTGACAAATTCATTGCTAAGTTTTACCTGGACCTCAATTTATGTTTGAATATGTAACCAGTACTGTTTTATCTGCTTCATAAAAATGTAGTTTTTTAAATAACAGAATGGAGAAATTTCTGACAAGATAAATTCTGATTAGATGCCTTTGTTCCAGAAAACTTGGTGAAAGGCTTTAATTAAAATTATAAGCCATGGGGCCAGTCGCAGTGGCTCAGGCCTGTAATTCCAACACTTTGGGAGGTGGAGGTGGGTGGATCACCTGAGGTCAGGAGATGACACCAGCTGACCAACATGGTGAAACCTCGTCTCTACTAAAAATACAAAAATTAGCTGGGCGTGGTTGCGGGCGCCTGTAATCCTAGCTACTCGGGAGGCTGAGACAGGAGAATTGCTTGAACCCAGGAGGCTGAAGTTGCAGTGAGCCGAAATCACGCCATTGCACTCCAACCTGGATGACAAGAATGAAACTCTGTCTCAAAAAAAAAAAAAAAGTATATATATGCCAGGCATGATGGCTTGCGTATGTAATCGCAGCTACTCAGGAGGCTGAGGTGGGAGGATTGCTTGAGCCTAGGATTTCACGACTAGCCAGTGAGACCCTGTCTCTAAACAAATTTTTAAAAGTAGCTGGCTGTGGTGGTACGTGTCTATAGTCCCAGCTACTTGGGAGGCTGAGGCAGGAGAATCATACCACTTGAGCCCAGGAGTTTGAGGCTGCAGTGAGCTATGATTGTGCCACTGCACTCCAGCCTAGGTGACAGAGCAAGATAGATGATTGATTGATTGATTGACTGATAGACTGACCCCATAAACCTTTTGAAACTGAAGGTTATAGTCTGTGTTTCTGTGGACTAGCAGGGAGTATTCTTAAAGTGGAGTCAGTGATTGGAGGTTGGGGGAAATGTCAATTTTTTTTTTTTAATGTCTCAGAGAACTAGCTAGTTGTAATTCCTAGGGCAGGAATAAGGAACTCATTAGGAAGAGGCAGTTTTGGTAGTTAAAACTTAAAGGTAAAATGCAGTAAGCTAATATCAGACCTATTATAAAGTTAGGAAACTTGAGTTGCATTTTATTAAAGGATATGAGGATTTTTAAGGGCCTTTATTTAGGGTTTTATCTCTCTGAATATAATACAATTTTTCTTACTTGTTTTCATGAACCAACAGGACATATTTGTCAGAAAACTTACTGTGGACTTCTGTTTTATTTTTAAAGTGGGAACAGATGAATCCCAGGAGAGCAGCATGACAGATGCGGATGACACACAACTTCATGCAGCTGAAAGTGATGAATTTTAACTTCTGGAAATCAGACTTTTACAACTGGATGTGTGACTAGTGCTGACGTGTTTCTTGTCCCTCTGTATACTGAGTCTTTACTCTTGAGCTGGCGGTGTCATCGTCCGTCACTTATACCATGAGTGTGCCACTTTCATTGGACCCTGACTGTATACAGAATGAAAGGCAGTGCAATATTTAGCTGCTAACAAGACTGGCTCTTTTACCAGTATGAATGACAATTTATGGGGGGTAGGGTGGGGAACTTTCTTTTCTGTTTTTCTTTAATCTCCCTTTGTTGGAAAGTATCATGAAAGGAAGAGTTATGCTTTATCTTGAAGGAACCATTAGATATGGAAAATAGTGATGAACCAGAGTTTCTTGGTTGCTTTTTCAAAAATTTGTTTTTATTTGGTTCTGTTCCTGATAAACAGAGTAACTGACCTTCATTTCTAGGTTCTTCAAGAATGGTGTTTGCAAGTGCCAGATGGAACAATAAAAGACGTTGCCTATAACAGTGACTTGATTGCCAAGGAATGTAAATTACCTTAAACTTGCAGTATCTCCCATAAACAAATGTAATGGGCATATTGGGACTCGTATGTAGGAATCAAATATCCCTCCATACAGTGTACTCTTATTCTTGGCAAGAATGCTTTAATGTCTAACCAAGAATTTTAATTTATTCATCTTGCTTCAAAGTGTTGATCATTGTTGTCTTGGTATTGCAAACTTTAAAATTGTTTCTTACCATATTGCCTCTTCTCTTTGAGCTCTGTGGGATCACCTTTAACATTCAGAGATGATAGAGTGGTTCCCCACTGAGAAGCCAAAACAAGGCCCTTAATAACCCCTTAAGTTCACCATATGAATCAGAAGGAGAACACTAAAGTGGAGAGACTTTTAAGAGATCATGATAGTGAAAGCCTTAATATAATCAGAATTGTACCATAACCTTGAATCTATATTTGTTCAAAACATCCCTTTGACTTTTCTAAGTGTTTGCTTAAGCAGAGTGTAAGAATGTGTGGTTACCTTTGGTTGAGATCCTTTCCATTCTTTTTGACTCTCTGCTTCAGATTTTTTCAGTAGTGTGAGTCACCAAAACATTTACTAAGAGTAATTGGGTTTAGGATGTTGGAAATTTTTAGCTTGGGGGAAAAAACATTCTTATGAAGGAGATAGGTTCTCTTCTGAGTTTGTCATAATATAGATTGGTGTCTTTGGAAAATGGCCACAATTTTAAGAATTCAATTATGCATATAAAATGATAATTATTGGAATTCCACAGTAACAGATTTAAACAGTCTTAAATTGTTTATCTCCTTTACTGTAATGTATTGAAATTTTTAGAGAAATTTTAGTTGTTAACATTTTATTAAGTGCCAGTGTCAGAATATAACAAATTATAGTTTCTTATGAATGACAGGCCTACAGTTATTATTCTGGATTATTTGATGGAGGACAAACTTACCTGTATTTGTTAGTCAAGCTGTGAAAATAAGGTGGATTACAAAAGATGTGAAAAAAATTTTAGTCTGTAGACTCAGTAATTTTCTATAATTTACTGTTAATCTCATTTGAACATGGATTAGGTACAATTTATAAATTAATTCAAGTCAGGGTCTTTAGGTATCAGGTGCCAGAGAGATATTTAACAGATTTCCCTACCTAAATTTATGTATATGTACTGTCTAAAACAATACTTTTTTAAAAAAAAGGAACAGTTGGGAGAAAATAAATATAATGAAAAATTCCCAGAGGCTAGCACTTGGATTCTAACACGTATGCTATTGTATTATCCATTAGTTCTGTAATATTTAATTTTAGATTCTTTTATTTTTTTAATTGGCAAAGCACAAGGTGCTGTATAACAGTGTCATTTAGAGTTTTATAGAAAGCTTCAACCTGAGTTCTGCGTTATAAAGCCTGGAGAAAGCTAAGCTTAGAACATAACTTGCTGAAGTATAATTATCTTTTTGTAGCAGGAATTTATGTGCCAGAGGTGAGAGTCTTTCTGGTACTGATTTTTTGAGACCAAGGATAAAAGGATCGTTTTGTAAGACATGCCATGGCAATGGCTGGTTGGGGGACAGTTTCCGCCCAAGCTTGGCCTATTTTATTTTTCCTCATACCTACTTTCAAAGTCATTTAGGTATTTGAAGCCTTATTTCCCACGTAGTAACACTTTCTGGCTTTTGCAGTTTCTTTTTTTGTTTGGTTTTGTTTTTTGCATGGAATGGGGATCAAACAACCCGAAGAAGAACACATTTTGATCAAGCAAAATGTTTGCTTCAAATTTCAGAAGTTTATTTTACAGAAATTAAATTAAGTAGTTTGACATCCTTTTCTCTGTTTCACACATATATTAGGTTGGTGCATAAGTAATTGTGGTTTTTGCCATGACTTTTATGGCAAAACCTGCAATTACTTTTGCACCAACTTAATACATCTATATACATATATATATACGCGCACACACTTGTTCAGAAGTTATGTTGTGGCCTTGGATTTGTTTTTCCCCTTGGAAATGGTTCTTAACTCTGGGATTTTAGAAGGTTAGAATATTTTTTCAAGAGAACAGTGGTACTCAAAAGAATGAAAGGTGGTCCCTACATTTTCTGTATTCATCACTTAAAATTTTTAATTTTTCCGAGAACTACAAGTAACATTTGAACCATGCTGCTGTTGTACCTTAAACAAAAACTCAGTGATAACCAGTATTTAGTCTATTAAAAATGCTCTTTTTGAAGAAAAAAGTTTGGAAGTCTCTGATTAGCCAGAGTATAGTATGAGTCTTCACTGAGAAATATGGTGACCCATTTTCTTTGTGAAAACCTGGGAAAATGCAAGTGTGGGTATGAAGTGTGTGTTCTGTTTGCATTGAAACAATGTAATTTTGTGTCTTCTTTTTGCTTTAACTGACTTATTTCAGAAATTGTACAGTGTTGAGGGGGAAAGTCTTTTCTGTTAATATATTTGCAATTCATTAAAGGATATGGAAAATCCAAATAAGTTACTTTTGAAAGCAATTTATAATCAAGTTGTTAAAGCTATATGAAAGCTGTGCCATCTGTATTTTAATAAGAAGGCACAGAAAAACAGAGATACAGTTTTATGTTTCACAAAAAACTAGAGCAATGTTTATCTAATTTTTTAAAACTTACACTCTTAATATATTTATATTTTTAAACGGTCATACTCTTTTTTAGTATTATTTGGAATATCAAAATAAATACTATGACAAAAACAATGGTAATTTTTAGAATACCTTTTTTCAAACTACAGAAGCCCCTTACCAACCAGCAGCTGCGAATTTGCAAGTCAACTGCTTATTCTTTGATCACGTGATTTCTGAAATTTCTTCAAAAGGGACACAAAGGTTTTTTTGTTCCAATTAGAATCTATTTAAAAAGGTCAGGATCTGAAAGAAGTAAGATGTAGAAACTAAATTTTACTCTAATTTGAAATTTTTTTTTTTTTGGTATCTTGGAGAAAGTACAAAGAGCTGAAGGGTTTTATTCAGACTTGAAGAAAAGGCAGTAACAGGGAAAAACATGTGAAGGTGGGGTGAGCTGGGCAGTTCCAAGGGGAACAATGCAGACCTCATAACCTTCCCTAGGACCTGCCATTTAATGTCAGCTGAACAAGGATAAACAGCAGCTTAGACATGGAGCTATTCTTTGGCTTGTTTAGCTGACAACTTATGGTTCATGAAGGTTCAGTATAGGTTTTATTTTTCTTTGTAAGTGCAAACTTTGTTTAAAAGCTATGTTTGCTGAGATCCTGGTCTATGGATTGTGTTACTTGCTTTGTGGATGGTATTTTCAATTCTCATCACTAGAAGGTAGGTATTACTTCATTTTACAAAACAGAAAACAGGCTCAGCTATTAAATGATAAAACTGGGCACTTTTGGCATTAGTGTATGTTCAGAATCTTATATTTTAGTTTTGGACTTCCTCTGGAGGTTTCAAGTCATATTTAATGGTAACTGTAAGTTGTCTTCTCTAGCATTTTTTTAAAGACAGTCTCGCTCTGCCCCGCATCCTGGAGTGCAGTAGTATGATCATAGCTCACTGCAGCCTCGAACTCCTGGACTCAAGCAATCCTCCCACCTCAGCCACCCAGGTAGCCAGGACTAAACATGCACCACGACACCTGGCTCATTTTTTATTTTTTATTTTTGTAGAGTCAGGGTATTGCTATGTTGCCCAGGCTAATCTCAAACTCCTGGCCTCAAGCAATCCTCCCACCTCAGCCTCCCAAAGCACTGAGATTATAAGCGTGAGTCACCTCACCCAGCCCTCTAGCCTTTTTTTTTTTTTTTTTTTTTTTTTGAGATAGAGTTTCGCTCTTGTTGCCCAGGCTGGAGTGCAGTGGCGCGATCTCGACTCACCGCAACCTCCACCTCCCAGGTCCAAGCGATTCTCCTGCCTTAGCCTCCTGAGTAGCTGGGACTACAGGCATGTGCCACCACGCCCAGCTAATTTTTGTATTTTTAGTAGAGACGGGCTTTCCATGTTGGTCAGGCTGGTCTCAAACTCCCGACCTCAGGTGATCCGCCCACCGTGGGCTCCCAAAGTGTTGGGATTACAGGCTTGAGCCACCGCATCTGGCCCTCTCTAGCATTTTTTTTTTTTTTTTTTTTTTGAGACGGAGTCTCGCTCTGTCACCCAGGCTGGAGTGCAGTGGCGCAGTCTTGGCTCACTGCAAGCTCCCAGGGTTCACGCCATTCTGCTGCCTCAGCCTCCCGAGTAGCTGCGACTACAGGCGCTCCCCGCGACGCCTGGCTAATTTTTTTTGTATTTTTAGTAGAGACGGTTTCACCATGTTAGCCAGGATGGTTTTGGTCTCTTGACCTCGTGATCTGCCCACCTCGGCCTCCCAAAGTGTTGAGATTACAGGCGTGAGCCACCGCGCCCAGCCTAGCATTTTTAAATATAAAGTCTACTGTAGGCCAATATCAAGGTCCAGGTTTTACAGAGGAAACTTTATTATTAATCAGCCAGATCTGTTGTAGTATAGTCCTTTGTTAGGGCTTTGATCTATGTGCTGCTTCTCTTCTGCCACTGAAATTGGAATATATTTTCCCTCTTTGAGTGACTAGGATTTGCTTTAAAGTAGAAAGTTATAAATCTTCAATTTTCTTTCAGTTCTTGCATTTTTATTAACTTCCTCTATTGCAAGCATTCTTTTTTTTTTTTTTTTTTTTTTTTTTTTTTTTTTTTTTGGAGACAAGGTTTTGCTCTGTTATTCAGGCTGGAATGCAGTGGCACGATCACAGCTCACTGCATCTTCTACCTCCCAAGTTCAAGGGATCCTCCTGCCTTAGCCTCCCAAGTAGTTGGGACTACAGGCATGCCCCACCACTCCCAGCTAATTTTTTGTGTTTTTGTAGAGATGGGGTATTGCCATATTGCCCAGGCTGGTCTCAGACTCATGGGCTCAAGCAGTTCGCCCGCCCCAGCCTCAAGCATCCTTTTAATATTCAACACTCTTAGGAAAAATGTAGGCCAGACGTTGTGGCTCACACCTGTAATCCCAGCACTTTGGGTGGCCGAGATGTGCGGATGAGCCCGAGTTAGAGACCAGCCTGGGCCGCATAATAAGACCCCGTCTGTATTAAAAAAAGAGAGGGAGAGAGAAAAATGGGCCGGGCGCGGTGGCTCACACCTGTAATCCCAGCACTTTGGGAGGCCAAGGCAGATGGATCACGAGGTCAGGAGATCCAGGTCATCCTGGCCACCATGGTGAAACCCCGTCTCTACTAAAAATACAAAAATTAGCCAGGTGTGGTGGCGTGCGCCTGTAGTCCCAGCTACTCTGTAGGCTGAGGTAGGAGAATCACTTGAACCTGGGAGATGAAGGTTGCAGTGAGCCGAGATCGCACCATTGCACTCCAGCCTGTGTGACAGGGCGAGACTCCATCTCAAAAAAAAAAAAAAAAAAAAAAAAAAAAAATAGAAAAGAAAAGAAGAAAGAGAAATGTAGGCTGGGCACCGTGGCTCATGCCTGCAATGTTAGCACTTTCGGAGGCTAAGGGTGATGGATCACTTGAGCCAAGGAGTTCAAGACCAGCCTGGGTAACATAGTGAGACCCCCATCTCTACAAAAAATGGGTAAAAATTAACCAGGCATGGTGGAGTGCACCTCTGGTCCCAGCTACTTGGAAGGCTGAGGTGAGAGGATCACTTGAGCCTCAGAGGTTGAAGCTGCAGTGAGCCATGATGGCACTGCTGTACCCAGCCTGGGTGGCAGAGTAAGACCCTGTCTCAAAGGAAAAAAGAAAAATGTATTTATGGCCGGGAGCGTGGCTCACGCCTGTAATACCAGCACTTTGGGAGGCCAAGGCAGGCGGATCATGAGGTCAGGAGATCAAGACCATCCTGGCTAACACAGTGAAACCCTGTCTCTACTAAAAAAAAAAAAAAAAAAAAAAAAAAAAAAAAAAAAAAAAAAAATTAGCTGGGCGTGGTGGCGGGCGTCTGTAGCCCCAGCTACTTGGGAGGCTGAGGCAGGAGAATGGCATGAATCCAGGAGGCGGAGCTTGTAGTGAGCCGAGATCGCGCCACTGCACTCCAGCCTGGATGACAAAGCGAGACTCCGTTTCAGAAAAAAAAGGAAAAAAAAAAAAGAAAAATGTATTTATGACACTTGCTAAAGATCATAAGACACAATGGGGGGCATGGACATAGGTATAGGGCCTACTGCAATGGGGTCTTGCAGTAGGGGAGAGAGATAGGACTCTGATTTTAACAGGGACAAGTGGAGGTGTATATCCAAGGAACAGAATGGGGTCAGTTGATGGAAAATTACTAAGAGAAAACATCAAAGATAAGGGGTTTCTGGCTAAACTGACTTGATAGGATTATTGCTGGAAGCTGACTACATTGATAAGATATCAAAGATGGGAGATTTTTTCTAAAATGATTTAGCAGGATTTTTTTTTCAAACTATATTCTACAAGGACAGAGAGGGAAGCCCAAGGTCAGGCCTAATCAGAAAGGACTCAGAGGGGCCTGCCCAAAGTTTTGGTCAAAGGAGAGAATCTTGTCAACATCATCAACATAGAATTTTCAATTGAGAGTAAAAGCTGTATTTGAATCCCAAACAAATTCAGGGAAAGAAAAAGCTGTATTTGAAAATTCAAGGCCTTGAAAATGCAGAATTCAGTTTGAATAAGAAAGGGAATAATAGACCCAGTGCTTTGGGAGACTGAAGCAGGAGGATCCTTTGAGGCCAGGAGTTCAAGACCAGCCTGGGCAAGGTAGGGATACCCCGTCTCTACAAAAAAAAAAAAAAAAAAAAAAAAGGAAAAATTTGCTGGGCATGGTGGCATGTGACTTTAATCCCAGCGACTTGGGAGGCTAAAGTGGGAGAATCATCTGAGCCCAGGGAGGCTGTGGCTGCAGTGAGCCATGATTGCACCACTGCACTCCAGCCTGGGTGACAGAGCCAGCACTTTGGGAGGCCAAGGTGGGTAGATTGCGAGGTAAGGAGTTCAAGACCAGCCTGGCCAAGATGATGAAACCCCACTCTACTAAAAATACAAAAATTAGCCAGGGATGGTGGCGGGCACCTGTATTCCCAGCTACTCGGGAGGCTGAGGCAGAGAATTGCTTGAACCCAGGAGGCAGAGGTTGCAGTGAGCCGAGAAAAAAAAAAAAGAATAGATTTGCTGTGACCAATTTTGATATTATTTATTTTTAGCCAAATGTATTGACCAAGAATGACCAGTTTAGATAAATCATGGTCCTGCGATGGAACACAAAGAAACTGGAATTTTATTAGCAAAGGAGAAGGGGAATGGCTATTGAACGTTGATGTTGTGTTCAATTTAGTGAGGGTTTTTTGCTTTGTTTTTTGAGACAGGGTCTCAGGGTCTTGCTCTGTCTCCCAGGCTGGAGTGCAGTGCAGTGGCATGATCATAACACTGTAGCCTTGAACTCTTCAGGCTCAAGTGACCTTCCCACCTCAGCCTCCCAAGTGGCTAGGACTGCAGACATGCACCGCCACACCCGGCTCATTTTTTAATTTTTTGTAGAGATGGGATCTCATTATGCTGCCCCAGCTGGTCTCAAACTCCTGGGCTCAAGCAATCCTCCCACCTTAGCCTCCCAATGCACTGGGATTACAGGTGCAAGCCACTACACCCGGCCTGAACTTTCTTATTCTAAGGATTTGCAGAGTTTCTGTTTAAGCCATTATCTTCAAATAATGATGTTAATTTCTTTTTAATCCTTATATAGAATACCTTATTTCTTCTTTATTTATTGCCATGCCAGGATCACCAATACTATATTGAGCAGTAGCAGCATAAAAACTAGTATTTATTGTCTTACTCTCAATATTAAAAAGATGCTTCTCAATTTTCTCAAATTTGACATTTACTTTCCACTCAATGACACAATCTAAAGCCACTAATGTACAGTATGTTACACTCTGTCACCCAGGCTGGAGTGCAGTGGCGTGATCTTGGCTCACTGCAGCCTCTACCTCTCTGGCTCAAGCAACCCTCCCACCTCAGCCTCCTGAGTAGCTGGGACCACAGGTGCACGCCATCATGACTGGCTAATTTTGTTTATTTTTTATTTTATTTTATTATTATTATTTTTGAGACAGAGTCTTGCCCTGTCACCCAGGCTGGAGTGCAGTGGTACGATCTCGGCTCACTACAACCTCTGCCTCCTGGGTTCAAGCGATTCTCCTACCCCAGCCTCCCTAGTAGCTGGGATTACAGGCGCGTGCCTCCATGCCCAGCTAATTTTTGCATTTTTAGTAGAGACGGGGTTTCACCATGTTGGTCAGGCTGGTCTCAAACTTCTGACCTCGTGATCCACCCGCCTCGGCCTCCCAAAGTGCTGGGATTACAGGCATGAGCTACCGCGCCTGGCTGTTTATTTTTTATAACGACAAAGTCACACTGTGTTGCCCAGGCTGGTCTTGAACTCCTGCCTTAGCCTCCCAAAGTGCTGGAATTACAGGCATGAGCCACTGCACCCAGCCCAATACATTACCTTTGCTAATCTTATGGCCATTCCCAACACTCAGCTCCACTTATAACTATCATTTATAACCATTGATAATACCACAAGATCACAAGATACCTCCTTTTTTTTTTTTTTTTGAGATGGAGTCTTGTTCTGTGGCCCAGGCTGGAGTACAGTGGGACAATCTCAGCTCACTGCAACCTCTGCCTACTAGGTTTAAGTGATTCTTCTGCCTCAGCCTCCCAAGTAGCTGGGACTACAGGCAGGTGCCACCATGCCCAACTAATTATTATTTTTTGTTTGTTTGGTTGGTTGGTTGGTTTTTTTTTCTTTTGAGACAAAGTCTCATTCTTGTCGCCCAGGCTGGAGTGCAATGGCACGATCTCAGCTTACTGCAACCTCCGCCTCCCAGGTTTCAAGCAATTCTCCTGCCTCAGAATGCTGAGTAGCTGGGATTACAGGTGCGTGCCACCATGCCCGGCTAATTTTTGCATGTTTAGTAGAGACAGGGTTTCACCACGTTGGCCAGACTGGTCATGATCTCCTGACCTCAGGTGATCTGCCCGCCTCAGCCTCCCAAAGTGCTGGTTTACAGGCATGAGCCACCACACCCAGCCAAGATACGTCCTTTCTATTGCTAGTTTTCAATGGTTTTCATCACGACTAGATACTGAAATGTATCTGTGTATTAAAAGCATACAGGCCAGACATGGTGGCTCACGCCTGTAATCCCAGCACTTTGGAAGGCCAAGGCAGGTGGATCACCTGAGGTCAGGAGTTTCAGACCAGCCTGGCCAACATGGCGAAACCCCATCTCTACTAAAAATACAGAAATTACCCCGGCGTGGTGGCGTGTGCCTGTAATTCCAGCTACTCAGGAGGCTGAAGCTGGAGAATCACTGGAACCCAGGAGGCAGAGGCTGCAGTGAGCCAAAATTGCGGCACTGCACTCCAGCCTAGGTGACAGAGACTCCATCTCAAAAAAAAAAAAAAAAAAAAAAAAAGAAAAGAAAAGAAAAAGAAAACAAAAAAGAAAAGCATGCAGAGACTTCTGGGGCCGGAGAACAATAGCGGTAACCTCATTGTAAATCTGTCCCTCACTCTCCCAAAACAACCATAAAATCAAGTAGGACAAATAAAAATTACACAGGGCAGAATACTGCAACTTCAAATTACCTGTAAGTAGAAGAAAAGGTTTGCAACAGGGATCCTGCCACCACCATAAGCCTGTGGGTGTGTGGAGTGAGGAAAGGGAGGTTAAAGCATTATATGGACAAAGCAGAATGGAGTTTAGGACTTAGAGGAAGCACAGACACAATCTCCAGGGGGGAAAATGTGACATAACAAGTGTAAAATACTGAACACAGGTTAGTACTTGGTAGATCACAGCCCTGTCTTTGGGACACAGCCTTAAAAATGTGTGGTACCAGGAGTGGCAGCCTCATAGAAAGTGTTTCTGGGAGAGAATCGGTTATAAGGAAGGGTGGTGAAAGGAAAAGAGGGAATTGAAGAAAAAGAGAAGAGAAAATGCCAAGTTTTTCCCCCACCCCATCAACAAATATCTTTAAATTGCACAAAAGAGGGCAGAACTGACAAGGCCACTCAAGAATTTTATGAATTGGGCTGGGCGCGGTGGCTCACGCCTGTAATCCCAGCACTTTGGGAGGCCGAGGCGGGCGGACCATGAGGTCAGGAGATCAACCCCGTCTCTACTAAAAATACAAAAAAAAAAAAATTAGCTGGGCGTGGTGGCAGGCTGAGGCAAGAGAATGGTGTGAATCCAGGAGGCGGAGCTTGCAGTGAGCCGAGATCGGGCCACTGCACTCCAGCCTGGGCGACAGAGCGAGACTCCGTCTCAAAAAAAAAAAAAAAAAAAAGAATTTTATGAATTGAATGATTTGGAATAAAGTAGCCAACATCCATAAAAAATTATTGCAAAAGTCAGGAAATTAAAGGTTTTTCTGCTGTTGAAAAGCCTCCCCAAAAACCTACAAAGCTAAAGGAAAAGAAAAATGTCTTTCAAAAAGCATGTGAGAAAGTGAAAAGTCACCTTAAATTAGAAAAAAAATAGAAAGGAAAAATGAGGCCAGGCGTAGTGACTCACGCCTTCTAATCTTAGCACTTTGGGAGAAAGGAAGATCGCCGAAGCCCAGGAGTTCGAGACCAGCCTGGCCAACATGGCAAAACTCTGTCTCTACTGAAAGTACAAAAACTAGCTGGGCATGGTAGTGTGCGCCCGTAATTCCAGCTACTTGGGAGGCTGAGGTGGAAGGATGGCTTGAGCTCAGGAGGTGGAGGTTGCCTTGAACCGAGATTGTGCCACTGCACTGCAGCCTGGACAGCAGAATGAGACTCCATCTCAGAAGCAAAAAAACAAAACAACAAAACAACCAAACAAAAAAAAACCCCACATATGCATCTATGCTTCTATTGAGCAATCCTACTTCTAGGAATTGACCCTGAACATACACCTCAACAACATGAAAATACATATGTGTAGGTTTATTCATTACTGATTATCTGTAATTGCAAAATCTTGCAAACTACTCAAAAGTCCAAGCAGAGGAGGTTGGTTGGATACACTGTGGTAAACACATGCATGTGGCGTACTACATAGCCAAAACATTTACTAGGGGAACTGTGGGGCTTCAGAAGCCAGGGTCTTAGTATAGCCTTTTTTTCTGTTTTTTATTTTTCTTTTCTTTCTTTTTTTTTTTTAGAGAATCTCACACTGTCGCCCAGGCTGAAGTGCAGTGGCTCTATCTCGGCTCAGTGCAACTGCAACCTTTGCCTCCCAGGTTCAAGCGATTCTCCTGCCTTGGCCTCCTGAGTAGCTGGGATTATAGGCACCCAACACCACGCCTGGCTAATTTTTTTTATTTCTAGCAGAGACGGGGTTCTGCCATGGCCAGGCTGGTCTCGAACTCCTGACCTTAGGTGATCCACCTGCCTTGGCCTCCCAAGGTGCTGGGATTACAAAGTGTGAGCCACTATGTCTGGCCAGAATAGATCTTTATGAGACATTCCATAGGCTTTCTTACAAATACAAATAACTTGTTTACTCGATTTCCAGGTAAAAACATTTTTTATCTTTTAGAAACATTTTCAAAAAATACATTAAACAAGTTTTACAGCTGTCTTGAACTGGGGAGGTGGAGGTCGCAGTGAGCCAAAATCGTGCCATTGCACTCCAGCCTGGTCAACAGAGCAGGACTCCATATCAAATAAAAACAAAAAACAATATATATCACTATTTGTCAACCACCAAAGTTATAATTGTTTCAGGCCAGAATAATCATTACTAAAATTAATAAGCAAAAATGTGATTAAAAACAAGATTTGTACGTAGTCTCAAAAGTGCCTCCCCAGGCCGGGCACGGTGGCTTACACCTATAATCCCAGCACTTTGGGAGGCTGAGGTGGGCGGATCACCCGAGGTCGGGAGTTCGAGACCAGTCTAACCAACATGGAGAAACCCCCGTCTCTACTAAAAATACAAAATTAACTGGGCATGGTGGCCCATGCCTGTAATCCCAGCTACTTGAGAGGCTGAGGCAGGAGAATTGCTTGAACCCAGGAGGCGGAGGTTGCGGTGAGCCGAGATGGAGCCATTACACTCCAGCCTGGGCAACAAGAGCGAAACTCTGTCTCAAAAAAAAAAAAAAGTTCCTCCCCACAAAATGGTTATTATTTTTCCTAGTAATATATATGGAGAAGTACACAGCATCACTTCTGGATATTCCTGCCAAAAATTTTTCCTAGTAATATATATGGAGAAGTATACAGCATCACTTCTGGATATTCCTGCCAAAAATGCATAACCTGAATCTAATTATGAGGAAATACTATGCAAACTCATACTGAGGGACATTGTACATAATAAGTGGTCTGTAACCTTCAAAAGTGTCATCAAGGTTATGAAAATCAGACAGACCAAAAAACTATTGCATATTAAAAGTGACTACATTGACAAGTAAATGCAATGTGTGATGCTGAATTGGATCTTGAGACAGAAATTTTTTAAAATTTTTTCTTCTCCTATAAAGGACATTACTGAGACAGTTGGCAAAATTTGCATAGTGTCTAGATTAAATAATAGTACTCTGTCAAAGTTAATTTCTTGATTTTGATAACTGTACTGTGATATAAGAAAATAGGCTTACTTTTAGAAAGTACGAGTAATGGGCTGGGTGCAGTGGCTCATGCCTGTAATCCCAGCACTTTGGGAGGCTGAGGTGGGTGGATCACAAGGTCAGGAGTTCGAGACCAGCCTGGCCAACATAGTGAAACCCCGTCTCTACTAAAAACACAAAAATTAGCCGGGCATGGTGGCACATACCTGTATTCCCAGCTACTGGGGAGGCTCAGGCAGGAGAATTGCTTGAACCCGGGAGGTGCAGGTTGCAGTGAGCTGAGATCTTGCCACTGCACTCCAGCTTGGGCAACAGAGTGAGACTTCGTCTCAAAAAAAAAAAAAGAAAAGAAAAAAGAAAGAAAGTACGAGGAGTAATGAGGGACAGGGGAATTGTGCATGCAATTTATTCAATGATAGTTTTGGGGAAAAATGTGTGTGGGGAGTGAGGGGAGAGACAAAAATTAAAAAGCAAACGGTAAAATGTTAACATTTGAGGAATCTCAATGAAGAGTAGATGGATTCTTTGTATTATTTTTGCAACTTTTCTGAAATTATTTCAAAATAAATGTTAAAATAATAAAGTATACTCATGTAACTCTTGACCAGGCATGGTGGCTCACACTTGTAATCCCAGCCTATACATACATATATATATACACACACACACATATATACATATATATAATTATATAACTCTTTCAAGGGAAAATACTAAACCATGCTTAGGAATACATACACAGTCAATATAAGTACAAAGACAAGCAAGAAAAGTATTTACTATAAAAGTCAGAAGGCTGGGCACAGTGGCTCACACCTGTAATCCCAGCAATCTGGGAGGCTGAGGCTGACAGATCACTTGAGGTAATGAGTTCAAGACCAGCCTGGCCAACGTGGCGAAATCCCGTCTCTACTAAAAATAAAAAAAGGGCTACCCTCTTTGGGTCCCCTCCCTTTGTATGGGAGCTCTGTTTTCACTCTATTAAATCTTGCAACTGCACTATCTTCTGGTCCGTGTTTGTTACGGCTGGAGCTGAGCTTTTGCTTGCCGTCCACCAGTGCTGTTTGCCGCCATCGCAGACCCGCCACTGACTTCCATTCCTCCGGATCCAGCAGGGTGTCCACTGTGCTCCTGATCCAGTGAGGTGCCCATTGCTGCTCCCGATTGGGCTAGAGGCTTGCCATTGTTCCTAAACGGCTAAGTGCTGGGTTCGTCCTAATCGAGCTGAACACTAATCACTGGGTTCCACGATTCTCTTCCGTGACCCACGGCTTCTGATAGAGCTATAACACTCACCGCATGGCCCAAGATTCCATTCCTCGGACTCCATGAGGCCAAGAACCCCAGGTCAGAGAACACGAGGCTTGCCACCATCTTGGAAGCAGCCCGCCACCATCTTGGGAGCTCCCGGTAACAGGAGTGGCGATCCTGGGTTCATAAGGTGGGCCAATGTGATAACGAGGCTCCTTATCAGAGGGAGGCAGTGGGATCAACAGTCAGGAGTGGAAGATGTGATGAAGGAAGTAAAAGGTGGGAGTGAAGCAAGGAAGCAGCCATGAGCCAAGGAATGCAGGTGGCCTCAGAACCTCCAGAAAGGACCAGTTCTACTGACACCTTGACTTTAGCCCAATGAGACTGATTTTGGACTTCTGACCTCCAGAACTATATAAAGAAGATGACAATTAGCGTGTGGGGGGTCCACAAGACATTGTGATGTTAAATGTGGGTCCTTCTTCTTGACAAGGGATACCCACCTACCTACTGAGAGACCTCCAAACAGAGACATCAACATAGAAACCTCAGCAGAGATAACCAGATCTCCATATGCAAACCCATGCAAAAAGAAGCCTAGAGAAACAGACGCCCAGATGAAGAGGGGCGTGAGTATAAGCTTTGCAGTTGGAGCTACCGCCGGGAAAGACTCAATGTGCTTCATTGGCTGATGCCCACTCCTCAAAAAACAAAACAAAACCAAAAACAACAAGTGGTGTACAGAGAAATGAGAATTGCCAAAAGGGAAAATTACTTGGTCTAGAATTATTTTGTGATTTTCCAACTACCTGCACCAGTGTCTGACTGATAACGCATACTCAGTAGATAGTGAATGAATACATGTGACATAATCTGATGACCAGACTGTAGCTTGAGTTTAGAATAGTAATTCTGTCTGCCTTTTTCTGCTTTGTTTTTCTCCCCTGCCCCTTTGATCTTTGTATATTCCTGTCCTTTGGACACCCATCTCCATCAAAATGTCATAGAAAAATTCTGTGAAACTTGACTGCAGGGTCAAAGTGATGTCAAAGGGAGGTTTGGGGAGAGGCATGTGATAAAAATAGCCCAGCTGGGGTTCCCATCTGTTTCCCATGCCATAGCACTACACCCTGGGCAGTGTTTCTCATCAGTATCAGCTGGGTTGTTTGTCAAAAATTCCAATTCCCAGGCCACACCCCAAAGAATCTGATTCAGTGCTTCTGGGCTGGGGCACTCTAAGTAGTTCTGCAAAACGCAGCTTGAGAATCTCACTTGTAGATTAAGGAGAGTGAACAATCTTTTATCCTTAATCCTGAAATCTGAAGGGTACTGAAAACTGAAAACTGCTAGGTTTTCATAACTCATTTTGGTGGCAAAATCTGATCCATGAAGTGACATCACACTATAAATGATCCTTATTTATTGCACATAATGTGGACATTCACACACTTTGCTGCAGAAATATTAGTGTGTTTGATTAGAAGTAGCTCTCCCTGGCCGGGTGCGGTGGCTCACGCCTGTAATCCCAGCACTTTGGGAGGCCAAGGTGGGCAGGTCACGAGGTCAGGAGATTGAGACCATCCTGGGTAACAGGGTGAAAACCTGTCTGCACTAAAAATACAAAAAATTAGCCGGGTGTGGTAGCGGGCGCCTGTAGTCCCAGCTACTCGGGAGGCTGAGGCAGGAGAATGGTGTGAACCTGGGAGGTGGAGCTTGCAGTGAGCTGAGATCGCGCCACTGCACTCCAGCCTGGGCAACAAGAGTGAAACTCCATCTCAAAAAAAACAAAAAAACAAAACAAAACAAAACAAAAAACAACAAAAGAAATGAACGGCTGGGCGCAGTGGCTCACGCCTGTAATCTCAGCACTTTGGGAGGGAGAGGTGGGCAGATCATGAGGTCAGGAGATCGAGACCATCCTGGCTAACACAGTGAAACCCCGCCTCTACTAAAAATACAAAAAATTAGCCGGGCATGGTGGTGGGCACCTGTAGTCCCAGCTACTCGGGAGGCTGAGGCAGGAGAATGGCATGAACCCGGGAGGCGGAGCTTGCAGTGAGCCGAGATTACGCCACTGTACTCCAGCCTCGGTGACAGAACGAGACTCCGTCTCAAAAAAAAAAAAAAAAAAGAAATGATGAACATATTGTTAGATAAAGACTTTGTGATTAGCAATGCAGTTAAAAATTCACAAAAAAGAATAAAAGTTGTCCTTGCCTTAGGGGACACTACTTCTAGGGAAGAGGATCACCGAATTAGGAGGTTTGGGTGCATACAATGCTGAAAAAAGGAGGGTGGAGTTCTCATAGTTCCCATGCTGCTCCCACATTTGTGCTCCTCCAATCTTATATACAATCTTTTTCTTTTGAGGCCCATGTCATTGAGCTACAAGACCCCATTGTCCACCTCAACTCCATCATCTCCCAACTTTCCATCCATTCCTCCACGTTAATCTATGGTTTGAGCACCTAGGTTTGTATCTTCCTTTCCATCATCCTAGCTACCGTTAACATCTATGCTGCATCTTCCCTCACTCTCTTCAACTCCAGTAACCTTCTCGTCTATAGCGGCCTCCACCCATGACCATGGAAAGGAGCTTCCCAGACCCTGGACCAGCTCCATGACTGAAATCCTAGCTCCCAGCCTTCAACTCTCTGACCTATAACCTTAGCCCCTCTCAACTTTTCTTCCTTACTCCAATTTCCTCTGTTATTTCATCTTCAGAGGCAAGATCCTATTATTCTTTTTAAAATATATATTTTTTTTTATTGAGATGGCATCTTGCCATGTTACCTACGCTAGTCTCAAACCCCTGGGCTCAAGCAATCCTGCTGCCTCTTTCTCCCAAAGTGTGGTATTACGTGTGTGAGCCAGCATGCTTACCTCTTTTATTTTAAATTATTTTATTTCTTGAGACAGAGTCTTGCTCTGTCACCCAGGCTGGAGTGCAGTGGTATGATCTCGGCTTACTGCAACCTCCACCTCCCGGGTTCAAGTGATTCTCCTGCCTCACCCTCCCAAATAGCTGGGATTACAGGCGCCCACCACCATGCCTGGCTAATTTTTGTAGTTTTAACTTTTAGTAGAGACGTGGTTTCACCATCTTGGCCAGGCTGGTCTCGAGCTCCTGACCTCAGGTGATCTGCCCACCTTGGCCTCCCAAAGTGCTGGGATTACAGGCATGATCCACTGTGCCAGCCTTTTTTTTTTTTTTTAATCTGTCTTGATTTTGCTCCCTTCCTAAACAGTTTTGGCTTCATGATCACTTAAGCCAAGAGTCACAAACTAAAATGCCATCAAAGGGCCAAGCAGGTAGCAAAATTTGAGTGATACAGGCTCAATGTCTTAGTCGCCTCAGGCTACAACAAAATACCATAGACTGGGTAGCCTAATAATACAGATCATTTTCTCATGGTTCTAGAGGCTGGAAAGTCCAAGATCAAAGTTTCCAAAGGGTTAAGTTTCTGGTGTTGACACAGGGCCGCGAAGCCCCCAAACTGGGGTTTAGCCTGAGAAGGTTCTTGGCTTCACCCAGGAAAGAATTAAAGGGCAAACCAAAGATGTTAGAGGCCAACTTTTTTTTTGTTTTTTTGAGACAGGGTCTCACTCTGTCACCCAGGCTGGAGTACAGTGGCTCACTGCAGAATCTATCTCCGAGGTTCAAGTAATTCACCCCACTCAACCTCGTGAGTAGCTGGGAGTACAGGGGCGCACCACCACACACAGCTAAATTTTTATATTTTTAGTAGAAGATGGGGTTTCACCATGTTGGCCAGGCTGCTCTCAAACTCCTGGCCTCAAGTGATCCACCCACCTCAGCCTCCCAGGGTGCTAGGATTATAGGCATGAGCCCCTGCACCTGGCCTAGATGCCAACTTTTATTGAAGCGGTGACCTACAGCAACAGCAGAGGGACTGCTCCTTGCAGAGCAGGGCTACCCTATAGGTAGTGTGACCAGAGCAGCAGCTCAGGGCAGTTCTACAGTCATATTTACATCGACCTTTAATTATATGCAAATTAAGGGGCGGACTATACAGATGTTTCTAGAAAAAGGCTGATAACTTCTGGGTTGTCGAGTTGTTGCCATTGAAAGGGGTGGTAGGCTGGGCGTGGTGGCTCACACCTGTAATCCCAGCACTTTGGGAGGCTGAGGTAGGTTGGCCACGACATCAAAAGTTCAAGACCAGCCTGGCCAAGATTGTGAAACACTGTCTCTACTAAAAATACAAAAGTTAGCCTGGCGCAGTGGCAGGTGCCTGTAATCCCAGCTACTCGGGAGGCTGAGGCAGGAGAATCACTTGAACCTTGGGGGGGCAGAGCTTGCAGGGAGCCAAGATCGTGCCACTCCAGCCTGGGTGACAGACTGAGACTCCATCTCAAAAAACAAAAAAAAGAAAAAGAAAGAAAGAAAAAGAAAGAGGTAATTCTGGGTGCCGCCATGGAAATGGTAAACTGACATGGTGCACTGGTGAGCGTGTCTTATGGAAAGCTGCTTTCACCCTGTCCCTGTTTCAGCTAGTCATCAATTTGGTCTGGTGTCCAAGCCCCACCTCTGGAGTCCAGTTCCACCTCCTAACTCAGTGTGGGCTTTATTACCTGGCTTGCCTTCTTGAAGTGGCCTCGCATGGCAGAGAGAAAGCTAGAGACCTCTCTGGGGCCTCTTCTCATAAATATACTAATTCTATTAAATCAGGGCCCAGTTTTATGACCTTATGTGACCTTAATTACTTCCCATAAATCCCTTTTTTTTTTTTTTTTTTGGAGACAGCGTCTTGCTCTGTCACCCTGGCTGGAGTGCAGTGGCATGATCTTGGCTCACTGCAACCTCCACCTCCCCGGTTCAAGCAATTCTCCTTCCTCAGCCTCCTGAGTAGCTGGGACTACAGGCGTGCACCACCACACCTGGCCAATTTTCATTTGTTTGGTTTTTTTGAGACTGAGTCTTGCCTTGTCACCTAGGCTGGAGTGCAGTGGCACGATCTCGGCTCACTGCAACCTCCACCTCCTGGTTCCGGTGATTCTCCTGCCCAAGCCTCCCAAGTAGCTGAGATTACAGGCGTGCACCATTGCAGCCGGGTGATTTTTGTATTTTAGTAGAGATGGAGTTTCATGATGTTCCCAGGCTGGTCTCGAACCCCTGACTTCAAATGATCAACCCGCCTCGGCCTCCCAAAGTGCTGGGATTAAATGCGTGAGCCATCATGCCTGGGCAATTTTTGTATCTTTTTAGTAGAGACAGAATTTCACCATGTTGGTCAGGCTGATCTTGAACTCCGGATCTCAAGTGATCTGCCCGCCTTGGACGCCCAAAGCGTTGGGATTAGTGGCGTGAGCCACTGCACCTGGTCAAATCCCTTTTTTTATTTTTTACTTTTTAATTATTTTTTTCTTTTGAGATGGAGTTTCCCTCTTGTTGCCCAGATTGGAGTGCAATGATGTGATCTCGGTTCACTGCAACCTCCGCCTCCTGGGTTCAAGTGATTCTTCTCTCTCAGGCTCCTGAGTAGCTGAAATTACAGGCATGCACCACCACACCCTGCTAGTTTTTGTATTTTTAGAAGAGACGGGGTTTCACCATGTTGGTCAGGCTGGTCTCAAACTCCTAACCTTAGGTGATCCACCTGCCTTGGCCTCCCAAAGTGCTGGGATTACAGGTGTGAGCCACCGTGCCCGGCCCAAATTTCTTCTTGAAATAACATTTTAAATGAATAAAATAAAAGATGTATACTCAACAAATTAGGAACAGAAAGAAACTTCCTCAACCTAAATGAAGAGCATCTATTAACAACTCACAGCTAATACTTTGTGTGTGTGTGTGTGTGTGTGTGTGTGTGTGTGTGTGTGTGTGTGTGTGTATTTTATATACCTATATAACATCTCTCCCTATGGCTTTCCGGCCTGGAGTTTTCATCACGTCGCTTCCTGGATGAAGGAACCTCGAGGGGTGAGGGGCAGGGGTTGGGGGTGATGGAGAAGAGAACCTAAAGGGGACTTAGGTAGGGGGTTCAGAGTAGCCGACTGGCGTGACGCTTTGCCGGGATTCCTATTCCTATTCCTCCCACCTCAGGCCCCCTTCTAGTCCTCTCGGCCAAAAGCCTCTCGTTTCCAAGGGCCGAGATAGAGACAGAGACAGACAGATACACAGACACAGAAATGCCAAGGCACCAGCTTCCCTCTCCCCTTTCTGTCCCGCCCCATCGCTCTGACGGACACCATCAGTCAGCCAATGGCGCTCACGATGTGCCCCTGAAGGGCCAATGAGCGCCAGAGGAGGGCGGAAGATTCCCCGCCCCCACTTCTAGGCTTGGTTGAGCCGCGCAGGAAGGTCCGAGGCTGGGGGAGCAGCCGTTGGCTCTGGTGCCCCTGGGGGTGGGAGCACGAGTGGGCAAGGATGATGGTGAGGCAGAGGAGGCGGCCCCGAGGGAGCGCCCGGCTGAGAGGCGGGGGGCCGAGGGGCCCGGGGAGCGGGCGTCACCGAGGGCCCTGGAAGCGGCAGGGCTGGGGGAGAGGAGACGCGTGTGTGGAGCATGGGGACCCCAGCCCAGCTCCCACTTGCAGACCTGGGCCGCGGGCTGCCGGCCGAGTGGCCGGGGGGCCTGGCTGCCCAGGAGGCGGGCCGGGGCCGCGGCCGGGGGCGCGGAGCGGAGTTAGGGTCGCCAGGCCGAGCCGAGGTGGGACGGACCGACGCAGAGAGGAAGGGAAGCCACCTGGCCTGAAGATCCTGTCTCTAAGATCCCATTCTGAGGTACTGAATGTTAGGAGTACTACATATCTCCTTTTTTTTTCTTTTTCTTTTTTTTTTTGAGACGGGGTCTTCCTCTGTCATCCAGGCTGGAGTGCGGTGGCACTTGGATCACTGCAACCTCCAGCCCCCTCATCCCCGGGCTCAAGCAATCCTCCCACCTCAGCTTCTCGAGTAGCTGGGACTACAGGTGCGCACTACCACACCTGGCTATTTTTGTGTATTTTTAGTAGAGACGGGGTCTTGCCATGTTGCCCGGGCTGATCTTGAACTCCTGAGCTCAAGTGATCCTGTGGCCTTGGCCTCCCAAAGTGCTGGGATTACAGGCATGCGCCACTGTGCCCAGCCCCCTGGAGTACTACCTATCTCTTTTAGGGAACAAAAGTCAGCCCAGAACAGGTGTATGTCATTTATCATGGGTACTAGACCCTCAACACCTACACATAGGAAATGAAAATTGATAGCATGAATTAAAGTAGATTATTTCTTTAGCGTCTCATGTATTCTTAACAAGATTTTTGTTTTATCTTTGAAACTTTTTTTTTGAGACGGAGTCTTGCTCTTTCGTCCAGGTTGGAGTGCAGTGGCGCGATCTCGGCTCACTGCAACCTCCGCCTCCTGGGTTCAAGCGATTCTCCTGCCTCAGCTTCCCCAGTAGCTGGGATTACAGGCACCTGCCACCACACGTGGCTAATTTTTGTATTTTTAGTAGAGACGGGCTTTCATCATGTTGGCCAGGCTGGTCTCGAACTCCTGACCTCACGTGATCTGCCCGCCTTGGCCTCCCAAAGTGCTAGGATTACAGCCGTGAGTCACCGAGCCCGGCTCATACTCTTGGTTTCCTCTGCAGACTTATTTCCTCTTTTGCTCCTAAAAACATTAGTATTTGCCTTCCCTTGACCCTTTCTCCTCTCACCCTGTGCAGTTTCTGAGGAGCATTTCTAAAAAATTATCAATCTTCTGTTTATACTTCTTCATTTGGGGAAGTACCTCAGCATCTACCCATAATTATCTGTGTCTCAATTATGTCCAGTCTACAGTAAATGTACTCATTCTGTGGCCACTCAGGTCTTTAAAAAAATAATCTTTAGGGCCGGGTGTGGTGGCTCACTCCTGTAATCCCAGTGCTTTGGGAGGCTGAGGCAGGTGGATCACGAGATCAGGAGATTGAGACCATCCTGGCTAACACGGTGAAGCCCCGTCTCTACTAAAAATACAAAAAAACAAAATTAGCGGGGCGTGGTGGTGGGCGCCTGTAGTCCCAGCTACTCGGGAGGCTGAGGCAGGAGAATGGCGTGAACCCGGGAGGTGGAGCTTGCAGTGAGCCGAGATCGCGCCACTGCACTCCAGCCTGGGCGACAGAGCGAGACTCAGCCTCAAAAAAAAAAATCTTTACTTAGAATCTTATCAAGAGTTTTGTGAAAGCTCACATAAATTATATTCACATATTTATTTTCTCAGAGAATTTGGGTGAACTGGTGTGGTGTGATTTCCACTTTTAGAATCCATGTTGTCTTTTCCTCAGAAGGTTATTCATGCTGGTATGTCTTCTGAGCCCATCTTTATTAGAGATTTGCCAGTTTGGGCAGTTTGAAGTTGCAGCCTACTTGAGTGGATGGGAGTTACTTTGATGACAGCATTTTTTTGTTCATTTTGGTTCAGCACATATTTGTTGAGTACCTAATATGCCAGAAGTTGAGCAAGGAAAATGTTGATAAAGGAAAAGTGGATTCTATCCTCCTGGCATTTAGAGAAGGTCACTCATATGACCGTCAGCTAATATGTTCTGTCCTGCAGTTTAATAATTTATACTTAAATGCCTTTAAAACACAGAGAAGGGGCCAGGCGCAGTGGCTCACACCTGAAATCCCAGCACTTTGGGAGGCCGAGGTGGGCGGATCACTTGAGGTCAGGAGTTTGAGACCAGCCTGGGCAACACAGTGAAACTCCATCTCTACTAAAAATACAAAAATTAGCCGGATGTGGTAGCGCACGCCTGTAATCCCAGCTACTTGGGAGGCTGAGGTGGGAGAATCTCTTGAACCCGGGCAACAGAGCTTGCAGTGAGCCGAGATGGTGCCACTGCACTCCAGCCTGGGCAACAGAGTGAGACTGTCTCAAAAAGCAAACAAACAAAAAACCCATAGAGACTATTTTGGGTCTTCATGACTACCTGACATCTGACATGTCAGTTTGAGGAATTTAGTATATTTAATGATGCATTTGATTCACTATTAGTGATTTGTATGTTTTAAAGAGTAATTTAGATAGCTTTTTCCCCTCTATCTTCCCCAGTAAATATTGAAGCAAATAAGAATTATATATACCAGCTGTCTTGCTTTTTATCCACTGTTTATATCCTGTTTATCAAGTGACCCACCCAGTTTTATTTGGCACTAGCTTTTTATATATTTAAACTGTCTCTGAGGTCGCTTTGCATTTTCTTTTTTTTGAGATGGAGTTCTGCTTTTGTCGCTCAGGCTGGAGTGCAATCTTGACTCCCTGCAACCTCTGACTCCCAGGTTCAAGCGATTCTCCTGCCTCAGCCTCCGAAGCAGCTGTGAGTGCAGGCATGCGCCACTACGCCTGGCTAATTTTTGTAAGTTCTTTTTTTTTTTTTTTTTAGTAGAGATAGAATTTCACCATGTTGGCCAGGCTGGTCTTGAACTCCTAACTTCAAATGATCTGCCTCCCCTCGGCCTCCCAAAGTGCTGGGATTACAGGCGTGAGCTACTGCGCCCGGCTTGCATAATTTTCTTGGAAGCTTTTTTTTTTTTTGAGAGAGAGTCTTGCTCTGTTGCCCAGGCTGGAGTACAGTTGTGGGATCTTGGCTCCCAGCACCCTCCACCTCCGGGTTCAAGTGATTCTCTTTCCTCAGCCTCCCGAGTAGCTGGGACTACAGGCGTGTGCCACCACACCGGGTAATTTTTGTCTTTTTAGTAGAGTCAAGGTTTCACCATATTGGCCAGGCTGGTCTCGAACTCCTGACCTCAGGTGATCCATCCACCTTGGTCTCTCAAAATGCTGGGATTACAGGCGTAAGCTACCGCATCTGGCCTCTTGTAAGGTTTTAATTGTTGTTTTGCCTGCATAGGTCTTAGTGCCCCTGACCACTTTATGGTCTTTTATTGTTTTTCCTCATTTGCACTATTCTTCTGTTTTGAGGAAAGTTTTTCATCCCACTTCCCCCTTTCCATGCTCGTTAGAAATTTAAGATTTTTGGTTGAGGCTGGGCATGGTGGATCACACCTGTAATCCCAGAGTTTTAGGAGGCCAAGGCAGGAGGATTGCTTCAGGCCAGCAGTTCTAGACCAGCCTGGGCAACAGAGTGAGACCCCTGTCTCTACAAAAAATAAAAACAATTAGCTGAGGATGGTGGCACACGCCTATAGTCCTCATTACTCAGGGGGCTGAGGCAAGAGGATCACTTGATTGAGCCTAAGAGTTTGAGGTTACAGTGAGCTCTGATCACACCACTGCCCTCGAGCAGCCTGGGTGACAGTGAGACCCTGTCTCTAAAAAAAATAAAATAAAAATTTTGGTTGGGCACCTGTTTTGATCTATTGCTCTTAGTAAAATATTTAGAAGTCCATCCATATCTACGCTTTGTATGGCACATTTGCTTTTTTTATTTTTATTTTTATTTTTGAGACAGGGTCTTTCTCTGTCACCCAGGCTGGAATGCAGTGGTGCAATCATGGCTCACTGCAGCCTCAACCTCCTGGGCTCAAGTGATCCTCCCACCTCAGCCTCCCAAGTAGCTAGGACTAAAAGTATGTGCCACCATGCCCAGCTACTTTTAAAATTTTTTTGTAGAAATTGAGTCTTATTATATTGCCCAGGCTGGTCTCAAATTCCTGAGCTCAAGTAATCCTCCCACCTCAGCCTCCCAAAGTGTTGGGATTACAGGTGTGATCCACTGTTCCCTGCTATTTTTTTTTTTTTTTTTTTTTTTTGTAGAGATGTGACCTCCTTATGTTGCCCAGGCTGGTCTTGAACTCCTGGGCTCAAGCAGTCCTCTCTCCTTAGCCTCTGGAAGTGCTGGGAGTACAGGTGTGAGCCACTGCACCTGGCCCTAAACATTCTTGTGTAAGTTTTTGTTTGGATACCTCTTTTCAGTTCTCTTGGGTATATTCCTAAGGCTAGAAGTGCTGGGTGATATGGTAATTCTAACTTTTTTAGTAACCACCAAAACTATTTTCCAAAGCAGCTGGACGATTTTGTATTTCTAGCAGCATGTGAAGGTGCCGGTTTCTCCACAGTCTTGCCAACACTTTGTAATTGTCTATCTTTTTTTATTTTTTGATTATAGCATCCTAGTGGATGTCAAGTGGTATATCATTGTGGTTTTGAATTGAATTTTCCTGATGACTAATTATAAGATATCTCCCTCCCTCCCTCCCTCCCTTCACTCCCTCCTTCCCTCCCTCGCTTTGCTCTCTCCTTCCCTCCTCTCCCTCCCTCCCTCCCTTCCTTCTTTCCTTTTTCTTTTTTTTCATTTTGACAAAGTGTTGCTCTGTAGCCCAGACTGTAGTGCAGTGGCACGATCACAG
Source organism: Homo sapiens (assembly GCF_000001405.40). Lineage (NCBI taxonomy): Eukaryota > Metazoa > Chordata > Mammalia > Primates > Hominidae > Homo > Homo sapiens. Next base: position 47,095,284 of record NC_000017.11, on the reverse strand, counting down.
CTTACTGCAGCTAAGACCTACTGGGCTCAAGTGATCCTCTCACCTCAGCCTCCCAAGTAGCTGGGACTAGAAGTGTGTACCACCACACCCAGCTGGTTATTTATTTATTTATTTATTTATTGAGATGGAGTCTCACTCTGTCACACAGACTGGAGTGCAGTGGCGTGACCTCAGCTCACTGCAGCCTCTGCCTCCTGGGTTCAAGAGATTCTCCTCCCTCAGCCTCCCAAGTAGCTGGCTCTACAGGCCCTCGGCTAATTTTTGTATTTTTAGAAGAGATGGGGTTTCAGCATTTTGGCCAGGCTGGTCTCAAACTCCTGACCTCACGTGATCAGCCTGCCTCAGCCTCCCAAAGTGCTGGGATTAAAGGCATGAGCCACTGTACCTGGCCTTTTTTGTATTTTTTGTAGAGATGGGGTTTTGCCATGTTGCCCAGGCTGGTCTCAAATTCCTGGGCTCAAGCAGTCCCTGCACCTTGGCCTCCCAAAGTGTTGGGATTACAGGCCTGATCCCCTGTGCTCAACTTGATGAGATCTTTTCATGTGCTTATTGGCCATTCATATATCTTCTTTGGAGAAATGTCTATTTAAATTCTCTGCACATTTTAATTTTATTTTTATACACCTATTGTTTTTTAGGCTAGGTCTTGCTCTGTCGCTCTGGCTAGAGTGCAGTGGCCAATCGTAGTTTTCTCTTTTTTTTTTTTTTTTTTTTTGAGATGGAGTCTTGCTCTGTCACCCAGGCTGGAGTTCAGTGGCACTATCTTGGCTCACTGCAATCTCTGCCTCCTGGGCTCAAGTGATCCTCTGCCTCAGCCTCCCAAGTAGCTGGGATTAGAGGCACCCACCACCACGCCCAGCTAATTTTTGTATTTTTAGTAGAGATGGGGTTTCACCATCTTGGCCAGGTTGGTCTTGAACTCCTGACCTCATGATCCAGCCGCCTTGGCCTCCCAAAGTGCTAGGATTACAGGCGTGAGCCACCGCACCTGGCCCAATCATGGTTTCTGGAACCTCAAACTCTTGGACTCAAAGGTTCCTTCTGCCTCAGGCTCATGAGTAGCTAGGACTACAGGTGTGTGCCACCATGCCTGGCTAATTGTTTTTTTTTATTATTATTAATTTATTTTGTAGAGACAGGGTCTTGCTATGTTGCTCTGGCAGGTCTCAAAATCCTTGCCTCAAGGGATCCTCTCCTTCTGGTGTGAGCCACCGTGCTCAGCCTTTGCCCATTTTAAAATTGGATTCTCTTTTTATTGTTCAGTTGTAAGAGTTCTTTAAATATACTAGATGCAAATCCCTTGTGAGATACATGATTTGCAAATATTTTCTCCCATCTATGGGTTGTGTTTTCAATTTCTTGATGGTGTCCTTTAACATACAAAATGTTATAATTTTGATGAAGTCCAATTTACTTGTTTTTTCCTTTGTTGCATGTGGTTTTGATGTCAGGCCACCAAATGAAATGAAGATTAGCTTTTGTTTTCTTCTAGGAATTTTATTGTTTTAGCTGTTACATTTAGGTCTATAATCCATGTTTAAATTTAATTAGAATTAATTTTTGTGTATAGTGTGAGATACAGTGGTCCAACTTCATTCTACCGCATGTGAATATTCAGTTGTCCCAGCATGGTTTGTTGAAAAGACCATTGTTTGTTTCTTGTAGAGATGGGGTCTTGCTTTGTTGCCCAGGCTAGTCTCGAACTCCTGGCCTCAAGCAGTCCTCTTGCTTCGGCCTCCCAAAGTGCTGGGACTACAGGTGTCAGCCACAGCACTTGGCTTAAAAAGACCATTCTTTCCTCCACTGAATTCTCTTGGCATTCTTGTCAAAAAAATCAATTGACTGTCAGTGTAAGGGTTTATTTCTGAACCCACAATTATATTCCATTGATCTGCATGTTTATCCTTATACCACTACCACACTGTCTTGATTTCCGTAGCTTTGAATTATGTTTTCAAATCAGGAAGTGTGAGTCCTCCAGCTTTGTTTTTCCTTTTCAAGATTCTTTTGGGTATACTGGGATCCCATTGGTGGTTCTGTAGATCAATTTAGGGAATATTGCCATTTTAACAGTGTTACATCTTCTAATCCATTCTCATCCATGAACATAGGATGTCTTTCCTTTTTTTTTTTTTTTTTTTTGAGACACAGTTTTGCTCTGTCATCCAGGCTGGAGTGAAGTACAGTAGTGCAATCACAGCTCACTGCAGCCTTAAGTAGGTTCAAGTGATCTTCCCTCCTCAGCCCCCCAAGCAGCTAGGACTACAGGTGCATGCCACCACACCTAGCTCATTTTTGTATTTTTTGTAGAGACGAGGTCTTGCCATGTTGCCTAGTCTGGTCTTGAACTTCTGGGCTCAAGCAGTCCACCCACTTCAGTCTACCAAAGTGCCAGGATTGCAGGTGTGAGCCATCACACCTGGCCTTTCCGTTTAGTTAGGATTTCTTTAACTTCTTTTGGCAATTTTTATATATTTCAGAGTATAAGATTGTCACTGCTTTTGTTAAATTTATTTCTGATTATTCTTTTTTTGTTTTGAGACAGAGTCTCATTCTGTCACCCAGGCTACAGTGCAGTGGTGCAATCTCGGCTCACCGCAACCTCTGCTTCCAGGTTCAAGTGATTCCGCTGCCTCAACCTCCTGAGTAGCTGGGATTACAGGCACCCGCCACCACACCTAGCTAATTTTTGTATTTTAGTGGAGACAGGGTTTCACTATGTTGGCTAGGCTAGTCTCAAACTCCGGACCTCAAGTGATCCGCCTGCCTTGGCCTCCCAAAGTGCTGGGATTACAGGTGTGAGCCATCGTGTCCGGCTTTCTATGTGTTTTTTTTTTTTTTTTTTGGATACTATTGTAAGTGGAATTTTTAGAAACTTTTCATGTTCAGAGTGCTTATTGCTTGTGTATAGAAATACGATTACTACTTGTATATTGAGCTTGTATCCTGTAACTGTGTTGGATGTGTTTATTGGGTCTAATAGTTTATTTGTGGGATTTTCTTTGGATTTTCTATATACAAGATTATATCATCTGCAAATAAAGGTAGTTTTACTTCTTTTTTTTTTAAGCCTGAGTGATTTTTATTTCTTTTTCTTGCCTATTTGCCCTGGCCGGAACCTTCAGTGCAGTGTTAAACAGAGTGGTAAGAGTGGATATCCTTGTTTTGTTCTTGACCTGAGAGAGAAAGCATTCAGGCTTTCTCCATTAAGTATGATTTTAGCTATGGGGTTTTTGTAGGTATTCTTTTTTTTCTCCTATAGGTATTCTTTATTAGGTTGAAGATGTTTTCTTCAGTTCCTACTTTGTTGAGTGTTTTTATCATGAAAGCAAGTTGGATTTTGTTAAGTGCTTTTTCTGCATCTATTCAAATGATCATGTGGTTTGTATCCTTTATTAATACCGTGTATTACATTAATTGATTTTCAGAAGTTAAACCAACCTTGAATCCCTGGGATTAAGTCATACTTAGCAATGGTGTATAAGCCTTTTTATATGTTGCTGGATGCATTTTGCTTTGTTGAGGACTTTTACATCTGTATTCATAAGATATATTGGTCTGTAGTTGTCTTGTGATATCTGTGTCTGGTTTTGGCATCGGAGTAATAATGGCTTTATTGAATGAGTTGAGATGTGTTCTTGGCTTCATCTTGGACTAATTTTGGTTGAACTTTGAACATTCATTTAGCAATCAAATTCTAATTGCCTAATTACTGAATGAAGATAATAATTAAAGGTATAACTGTTTTTTTGTTTGTTTGTTTGTTTGAGATGGAGTCTCGCTCTGTTGCCCAGGCTGGAGTGCAGTGGTGTGATCTCAGCTCATTGCAACCTCCGCTTCCCAGGTTCAAATGATTCTTATGCCTCAGCCTCCCAAGTAGCTGGGATTACAGGCACCCGCCACCACACTCAGCTAATTTTTGTTTTTAGTAGAGACTAAAAATACAAAAATTTTATCATGTTGGCCAGGCTGGTCTCGAACTCCTGATCTCAAGTGATCCTCCCAAATCGGCCTCCTCAAGTGCTGGGATTACAGGTGTGAGCCACCACGCCCAGCCTTTTTGTTTATGTTTGTTTGTTTTAGAGATAGGGTCTTCCTATGTTGCCTAGGCTGGAGTACGGTGGCCTATGGTTTCAAGCACTCCTCCTGCCTCAGCTTCCCAAGTAGCTGGGACTAGAGGCACATGGCACACCCAGCTTGGTTGCCTTCTCCCCGCTCCCCCACAAATAGGGTCTTGCTATTTGTCCAGACTAGTCTAGAATGAGCCTCTCCACCTCAGCCTCCCAAGTAGCTAGGATTACAGGCACATGCCACCACACTTGGCAGTCAACTGTTTAAAAAACATCTATTATTTAACATTCAGGGTAGAGGTTCCAAGTATAGAACTTTAGATCCTTACTGCCTGCTTGGTTCCCTGGATTTTTTCTCCTAGTTTTATTTGGGGTACTTACTTTGTTATTTCATTTTGGTTATGCCTAAATAACACCCAATTTTAGCATTCCTGGGATGATTTAGGCAAGCTTCAGAAAAGAGGCCAGAAGAAAATGGAATTGGAAGCATAAAGCCACTAAAATTTTTTCATTGTTCTCTGATCATTTTTTAGCTTTGGATTTTTTGATCATTTAACGTATCAATGAGTAGAAAGGATTTTTCTTGACTACCACATAGCTTATAAAGTGACCGAGTATTCTTTCCTTAGAGATTCTACAGTGTTTAACATTCATTAGGTACTCAGTATGTTTATGAATGAATATATATTAATGGTAGGGCTTTAATAGGGTCTTATTTTACTGAAAATTGAAGACATTCATTCAAATTTAGATTACAAGTATTTGTGTTATGTTATAAACATTTAATGCCTTGGCCTAAATATTAACAAGCATGGTCATATTTTGGCATTGCCATGGTATGTATTCTGGGAAGTGTGAGTAGGATTTGGAACTTGGTGTTCACTGATTCCAAACACCTACTCTTTTCCAATAAACTGTATTTTTAAAGTGAGAAAAAAGATGTTTTTCTATTCAATTTAGTATTAAAATTCTCCTATTCTTCTAGAGATAGCTGGAGGCAAGTTCTCCCTATGGAATATGTGGGGCTGGGGTAGGGATGGGAGGGAGACCATGTCTCAATACATTGTACTTTTCTGATCCTTCACTCTTCTGGGTTTTGTTTTGTTTTGTTTTTGTGACAAGGTCTTGCTATGCTGCCCAGGCTGGAGGCAGTGGCTCAATCTCACTGTGCACAAGGCTCACTGCAGCCTTGACCTCTTAGGCTCAAGCGATCGATCCTCCCTTCTCAGCCTCCTGAGTAGCTGGGACCACAGGCTTGCACCACTATTCCTGGCTAATTTTTGTATTTTTTTGTAGAGACGGGGTTTCACCTGTTGCCTAGGCTGATCTTGACTCCTGAGCTCAAGCAATCTTTTTTTTTTCAGAAGGGGTTTCACTCTTGTCACGCTGACTGGAGTGCAATGGCGTGATCTTGGCTCATTGCAACCTCTGCCTCCCGGGTTCAAGCAATTCTCCTGCCTCAGCCTCCCAAGTAGCTGGGATTACAGGCACCCACCACTACTATCTGCTAATTTTTGTATTTTTAGTAGAGACAGGGTCTCACCATGTTGGTCAGGCTGGTCTAGAACTCCTGACCTCAAGTGATCTGCCCGCCTCAGCCTCCCAAATGCTGGGATTACAGGCGCGAGCCACCGTGCCTGGCCTCAAGTGATCTTTTTGAAAGAGAAATTAATATAACATATAGAATTCGAACATTCTAACCCCAGTTTGACTTTTGAAAGGAAGAAAAGTAGACAGAAAATTGATTCACTCTGGAGGAGCTACTCTGGAATGGCAGTACTTTAAATAACCGAGAACCTTTCACTATTAACTTTGCCATTTCCTTTATTCTTGAAACATACCAGAGTCTTATTCTCTAAAAAAGACAGAGTAGACCGGGTGCGGGTGCTCACGCCTGTAATCCCAGCACTTTGGGAGGCCAAGGTGGGTGGATTATCTGAGGTCAGGAGTTTAAGACTAGCCTGGCTAACATGGTGAACCTAGTCTCTACTAAAAATACAAAAAAATTAGCTTGGCTTGGTGGCAGGCACCTGTAATCCCAGCTACTTGGGAGGCTGAGGCAGGAGAATCGCTTGAACTGGAGAGGCAGAGGTTGCAGAGAGCCGAGATCGCGCCATTGCACTCCAGCCTTGGCGACAAGAGTAAAACTCCGTCTAAAAAAAATTAAAAAGACACAGTAACTAGGCTAGTGTTTTGTTCGAAATCTTCGTGCTCAAATTCCATGTCCAGTCGTACAGCCAGCCAAGAACTGTAAGCCATTTCCATATTTCTTTGTCATGCCATTTTTTCTCCATTAGAATACTTCAGTTAGGTGTTTTTAAAATATAAACATTTGGGAATTAGACATGATAAGGCATCAGCTAAATCTCTGTCATATTGTTTATATTTTTTGCAAATTTACTTGTAAACTACATGTGTGCAGACACCATTAGAAATTGTTTTACAGTTAAATCACGTGGTAGTTCCTATAAAAAGGGAAGGATAATCTAGTTGGAGACCAGTCGTATACATGACATGACTTGGAAATAATAGCACAAACAAATAACAAAATAAGAGGATCCAACTAAGCTTGAAGAATACAAAGTAGTGAATTGTGAGGTACGATGCACAAGGAAAAACTTTCCTGGAGAGACGTGGGTTTCAGTGTTTATAAGATGCTTCTGGGTATTTTCAGGTTGGAAATTTGCATAGGGTATGACAATTACATTTCTTTTATTGTGCTAGGCAGAGTATATAATATGTATATGTTTACCATGTTTGATGAAAAATCTGACTGATGGGTATTGAAAGGAGTTTAAAGTACCTTAAATGATTCTTTAAAGATTGAGTGTATTTTAAAACATATCTCAGTCTTAATCTTAAACATGTAAAACTGTAATGTACAAAAAGAATAATTTATGAGCTGACTTACAGAAAACAAAATATATCAAACTACTAAAGGTAGTTTGTTTGTTTATTTATTTTTGAGACAGAGTCTCACTCTGTCACCCTGGCTAGAGTGCGGTGGCATGATCTTGGCTCACTGCACCCTCCACCTCCTGGGTTCAAGCAATTCTCCTGCCTCAGTCTCCCACATAGCTGGAACTACAGGCCCATGCCAACACACTCGGCTAATTTTTTTGTATTTTTAGTAGAGACGGGGTTTCACCATGTTGGTCAGGCTGGTCTTGAACTCCTGACCTCAAATGATCTACCTGCCTCAGCCTCCCAAAGTGCTGAGATTACAGGCATGAGCCACCACGCCCAGCCTAGAAGTGTCAATTTATCAAGTTCAAAAGTATGGGCTTTGTGTTAAAGGTACAGTCAGCAAAATCCACAATGTAGGATATTCTAGAGGACAGATAGCGCTGTCTCTTCCACAAATTGTGAGGAAGGAAAAGGAGGAAGAGGAGGTGCGTGTTACAAGCTTGAGATGTATTAACCAAATGAATTGTGTGGATATTATTTGATTCTGATTTGGAGAAAACAACTGAGACAGTCCAGGAAATTTAACCAGTAACTGGATATTTTACATTAAGGAATTATTATTTTTTAAATTATGAAATATATCTGTACCTATTTTTAAAGACCTTACATTTTAGAAACACATACTGAAATATTTAGAGGTAATGATGTGATGTTGGGAATTGGCTTAAAAATAATTCATAGGGGTAGGAGATAGATGTTATAGATGAGGGTGGGATTCACCAAAAGTTGATAGTTGAAATTAGTTGTTGGTTATGTGGGAGTTTATTACCTTTTAGCTTGTATTTGTAAATTTTCCTTCAAACAGGGTCTGAGATAAATAAAAGAGCGTGAGGGAAGATGAGGATTGCTTATATTGTTTTATAAGATTAACATGGATTGCCAGGTTCTGTGTGACCTGGCCCTGCCTACCTGTATCCATTGTCAAGTTGAATGAATTCTTTTCATTGTTCACTGTTGGAGCTCTAACAACATAACCATTGTATACATGTCGTTTCTTCTTTGTGACACACCACAGTTCCACCTAGTATCTTCTGCTCCACATCCCCAACCCCTACCAGTTTGCGCATCCAAGTCCTAATTTATGCTTCAGAGGTCTGTTTAAATGTTTGTATCACAAGTCTTTCTAGATCCCCCAGTCTAAATCTGACATAGTTAGGATCTCTTATCTTACATTTTATATGATTATTTGATTATTAACATCTATCTTCCACATTAAATTGTGAACTTGAGCCACAGTTCTTTTTGTATCTTTTTGTATCCCTCATCTAACTCTTGGTAACTAATAGTTGTTTAAATACTTGTTAAATGGAAGGAAGGAGGATAGAGTGAGTTCATGGTGGGCTAAATGCTTGGCTGAAATAAACTACCAAAAATACACAAATTTCATTTCTGTATTAGAGGTAACCTGGTCTAACCAGTAAGATAAAAGTGCTGTGTTCAATTTCAAGGGTCTGTCAGGATGAACTGGCAGTCTAGATATAATTGGTTCTAGGGCTGGGCACGGTGGCTCACACCTGTAACTCAAGCACTTTAAGAGGCTGAGGTGGGCAGATCACTTGAGGTCAGGAGTTCGAGACCAGCCTGGCCAACGTGGCAAAACCCCATCTCTACTAAAAATACAAAAATTGGCCAGGTGTTGTGACAGACCTGTAATTCCAGCTACTCAGGAGGCTGAGGCAGGAGAATCGCTTGAACCCGAGAGGTGGAGGTTGCAGTGAGCCGAGATGCTGCCACTGCATCCAGCCTGAGTGACAGAGCGAGACTCCATCTCAAAAAAAAAAAAAAAAAAAAAAAAAGAATGGGCTCTGGTACATTTGTTCCACATTACTACAGGTATCTATAGGAAGCTGACACAACCTAGGTCATGTGACAGATGAGAATGGGTTAAGACGAAGTGTGTATCCAAGTTTCTTCCTGCGTTTTACTTTACAACTAAAATGTGGGATATTTAACTCTGGACAGTTTGGTTCTCTTCTTTTTTCCTCTTTGTGCTTTATTACCTCCATCGTTTCAAATTTGGGGGTAATGTCACTAATAATGCAATGTCTATTCTACTAGACTACCTTGATTTTTCTGTTTAGAGTGGAACTTTTAAATGACTGTAAAGTTCAAAGCTCAAGAAACTCTCAGAATATGGCTTGTTGCTAACTGAAAACACTTGTTTCCTGAATTTATCTGAGAGGTTTTTCTTTAATCTTATCCTGTTTTTCTTCCTTTTTTGTACCTTTTTGGTATGGAATTTAATCCATGGTTATAATGACTAAATAAATTGTTATTCTTATCTAATACACACATTTTAGGTTGCAGTTAGGATTACATCATTGTATGGCTATCACAACTTTGTGAAGTAGATGTTGTTCTTATTTCCAGAGATCAATTTATATGTTTAGGATCATATAAAGTAAGTAAAAGTGAGAACTTGTCTCCTGATCTTTCCTCTATTTGTTTCACACTGCTTTTGAGCTAGGTAGTGAGTACTTGCGAGTCAAGGAGCAAAATATGAGTTGAAAAGAATTCCCACTCAGGTGATCATTACAGTACATACAGCGCATACTTTTGTATGGACTGGGATAAAGCACACAGTAAAATCAAATGTTCTAAGGCATTCTAGTGTCCTACCCAGACACATAATTAAAACAGTTATTTTACTAATAGCACAGAAACAAGCAACAGGAATGAGTTGACTCATCAATGTCAGAATCCACATGATTTTCTTCATTATTGATAATGACTGTATTAGAAACCAAGTCCTCATTGTATTTAAAGTATCATTCTACAACCTTAGTCCTGTGTTCTTTCCTGAAGTCTGTATAGTATAACATTAAACATGTCCCTAATGTTCAATCAATGTCCCTTGTTGAGCTGTAAATTGTCAGAGTAATAAATTTACCTTTTGAATGTTAAGGAGGAAGTCTTATCTTTACCTCTGATAAGCTGAGTTTGTATGGCTTGTTTTTAAGGAACACAAGAATGTGAAGCTTTTATTCTTGTGATATTATTTTGTGATGCTCTGCTCTGCCACTGGAGTATGAAAGCTAACTTACTCCAAACTTGTTAACTGTACACCTCTCACGTTTAATAACAGCTTAGTTTTCTGCTCATATTGCTGGCATTTTGAACACAAGATACTTTTTGGACACTTGAGTTGAGGTTTTCCATTTTTCATTGGAGATGATCAGAGTTTGAGCCAGCATTATGGAAGAACAATACTGTAACAACTTTCTCCTAGAAATCACTTCCAGTTCTAAACCATCATATCACAGATACACTGGTAAAATGAAACTTGTTCATAAATTGGGAATTGTTAGTATTCCTTAGTGCTGCCTTGCCTTTCTTTAGTTATTTATTAACCATATTATCCAAAACATATTATCAGGAGGCTCACTTTGTATTGTTATTTAGGGAAATACCTGTGTAGGGGATGTAAGACTTTCATTAATATCCAAGAAAAAATGTATTTATCAAAGTTCTTGTGAACTAAAATGTTTTAAGTAATTTTATTTTCCTTTTTTATTTTCAAACAAAGGAAGTGTGTGGTTCCTTAAACATTAGAATACCAGGATGAAAACAGTTTGAGGGGAGTTGATTGAGGAAAAGTAGTATGATTGACTGGTGTTGGGAAGAGCAGCTAAGGAGGCTGTTGGGGTTGTCCAGTGGTGATAGATGGGGACCTGGTGTGGTGGTAGTTTTAGGAATGAAAGGAATCTATAAATCCAAAAGATTTTGCAGGATAGAAAGGTGGTAAGCCTTGAAGAGTAAGGAAAGGTGGGAATAAAATATGAGGGTTAACTAGTTTTGTCTCTTTGTGGGTAGGGGGCATTTTTCTTGTTCAAGAATGATCCCTAGGTTCTTATTGATCTCTTGAGATCATTTCCTGGATTTAGGGTAGAGCTAGACCTGCAGCCAACATTGAAGCAGATAACTGTACTTTAAAAGTATCTTTTTATCTTGAAGAGGTTCCACCAAAATTAGGGAACTGTAAAATGTCTTCTTTCTAAAAGAAGAGACATAATTGATAATACTTTATCACAGTGGTTGATTTGAATGGTTTATGTTTGGTCCATACAAAAGTTAAAATACCATTGCTATCCTTGGTCTTAATTATTATGGTATGATTAAGTTTTAATTTACGTCTTACCCTGTTGCGGTCAGATTTGTTCTTTTTTATTTTTGACATTTTGTATTTTGCCCCTATGGGAGACTGTGTTCAAGTTCACCTATAGTCACAAGTTTTAGTAGTGAGTGTGTGTATCCTGATGGGAAGTGGGGCTGAGGGCTGTGTGACTGCTGCTGCTTTCTGGGAAAACAGTTTTGTGGTGGATTATGAAGTATTTTGATTACGGAATACAGTAGACACCATGTAACCCCAGTCTTAATATTTAAAGAATGTTAATGTTGTCACATTTCTATCTTTTGTTTTTACATGAGAAGTCAAACATTACATTATAAGTAGAGCTAAAATCCAACCTCTCCATCCCCTTTCCAGAGCTAATGAGGAGCTTGATTGTAAATTTGTTGTATATCAGCTCTGTGCATTTTAAAATATATTCATCCCTTATCTGTATTGGTAACAATGCTTATTAATGTTTATCTGTTTATTATTTTTGTTTTCATTCAGCTTTTGCATTCCTCATTTCTGAGATTAGGTCATGTTGATACATACAGTAATTAAATTGCTAGATAGTATTTCGTCAAATTCCTTTACTACTTGTGTGTACTTAATCTTGTTTAGTATTTTTTTATTGTTTCATTCAACAATATGTTCTGAGATTGAGTCATGTTGATACATATAGTTAATTTTATTTTTATTACTATAGAAAGATCTGTTAAATGAATATAGTCTATTTACCAACTTCAACAGAATTATAATATAATTAGTTTTTAGCTGTTAGAGACTCTACTCCAGTGAACCTGTTTCCTCATTCAGAGGAATGTATAGTTTATGTTCTCAGAAACAGAATTTCATGGCTGGGCATAGTGGCTCATGTCTTTGGGAGGCCAAAGGTCAGGAGTTTGAGGGCAACCTGGACACCGCAGCAAGACCCCATCTCTACAAAATTTTTTATTAAAAATTAACCAGGGCCGGGTGCAGTGGCTCATGCCTGCACTTTGGGAGGCTGAGGTGGGCGGATCACCTGAGGTCAGGAGTTTGAGACCAGCCTGACCAACATGGAGAAACCCCGTCTCTACTAAAAATACAAAATTAGCCGCGTGTGGTGGTGCATGCCTGTAATCCCAGCTACTCAGGAGGCTGAGGCAGGAGAATTGCTTGAACCCAGGAGACGGAGGTTGCAAAGAGCCGAGATTGTGCCATTGCACTCCAGCCTGGGCAAGAAGAGCGAAACTCGGTCTCAAAAAAAAAAAAAAAAAAAAATTAGCCAGGTACAGTAGTATGCTCCTGATCCTAGCTGCTTGGGAGACTGAGGTGGGAGGATAGCTTAAGCAAAGGAACGCTAGGTTACAGTGAGCTATGATTGCACCACCATAATCCAGCCTCAATGATAGAGTGTGAGACCCTGCCTCTCAGAAAAGGAGAAACAAACAAAAGAAAAATGAAATAGAATATCATGATGATTGGGTATGCACATTTTACGCCTAGCCAAGTACTTCCAAATTATTGTTCAAAAATGGTGTTGCCAGTTTTAACTGTTACCAGCAATGTATGAATTGTACTTATCCATTTCTCACCACCTGTTGGCTTTATCGGACTACGTGTTTTCCCATCCAGATTTGAAACAGCATCTTAATGTTTTACCTAATATTTACATTTTAACTAAATTTTAATGAGATGACACATTTCTATATATTTATTAATTATTTGCCTTTTATGTGAATTTTCTATTTCTATTAAGATTGTCATTTTTTCTTTTGACCTGTTTCTTTTTTTTTTGAGACAGAGTTTTGCTCTTCTTGCCCAGGCTGGAGTGCAATGGCATGATGTTGGCTCACCACAACCTCCACTTCCTGGGTTCAAGTGATTCTCCTGCCTCAGCCTCCTGTGTAGCTGGGATTACAGGCATGCTCCACCACGACCGACTAATTTTGCATTTTTAGTAGAGACGGGATTTCTCCATGTTGTTCATGTTGGTTTCGAACTCCCAACCTCAGGTGATCTGCCTGCCTCCGCCTCCCAAAGTGCTGGGATTACAGGTTGTGAGCCACTATGCCCGGCCTCTCTTAATCTATTTCTGAGAGTTCTGTTACATATTCTGATGTTTAATCTTCAGTTATATGTATTAGATATCTTCCACCAAAGTACAGTTTGCCTTTTAATTTTATTAGATTTTCTATTGCATGTTGAAAAGTAGGTGATATTTTTGTGTCTTATCTAAGAAATACTTCCTGCTCTAAGTCCCGAAGATGTTCTTTTAAGTTTGGCTGTTCATGTTTAGCAATTTGAAGTGCCAAAATTTTGTAATTATATCATGAAGAAGGGAACTAATTTTACTTTTTCCTTCTAAAGAACTGGCCAGTTTAGTACTATTGAATAGTTTCATTTTTTCCCCACTGATCTGATTAAAAGAAAATTTCCCGGTATCTTTTATGTATCTAGTTCTACGTTTTGAGGCTCTCTACAGTTTTGCAGCAAATCTGGCTATCTGGTAATGTGTATTTGCATCATGCCTTCTTCCAAATTTCTTGCTGTTGGTCCTTTATGTCATGTGAACTTTTGGATCTGTTTCTCAGCTTTCATTAAAAATACTGTAGGCAATTTGACTGGAATTTCTTTGAATTTATAGATGTTCATGAGAATCACCATCCTTAAAAAATGTATCCTACCATTTGTATAGAGCTTCATGCTTTCAGGCATTACTGTTTTCTCTATAAAGATTTTAAATATATCATTAGTTTTGTCGTTGTTATGAATGATACTTAAAAAATGAATATTTTCTACTTTTTTATTAGTTTTCAAATATTCTTTACTGAACACTTTTGCTAAATTCTTTATTAGTTTTAATAGTTCTTATTGTCAGTTGGATTTCCTGTATAGATTATTCTTAATATATGTTTTATTTTAACATGGACAATATTTTTATCTCTAGAGAAATTAATGCAATTTCAGAGAAACCGTGTGCCGCAGGATCAGGATGGTAGAAGGCAGTTCCACTTAATTTGGGAAATACCTATTTGAAAGTTTATATCCATGTGCATCCTGAGGAGTGGGGGGTATCTGTCTCTGTCTGTTTTGGGTTTTTCTTGACACTAGAGTTAGTCTCTGCAAGGGCCTTTAGAAGTTAAATTCCACCCTCCACCCCCAAGTCTGGTATAGATATTACTACTACTCTTGGACTTCACTCAATTTATTTCTTTTTAGGAGACACAGGTCAGAATGGAGATGGGCTGCAGACCGGGCAGCTATTGTCAGCTGCTGGAACTGGCTTCAGGCTCATGTTTCTGACTTGGAATATCAAATTCGTCAGCAAACAGACATTTACAAACAGATATGTGCTAATAAGGGATAGGTGTCTGGTGTTTTTTAGTACAGCTGAAAACTATCATTATTGCTTTTCTCCCATCCCCTCCCACCTCTTTGGTAATCCCCTCCCCATAACCCCCTTTTTAACTATTTCAAGACAAGTGGTTTAATGACCTGATATAGTGGTTTAATTTGTTTAAGAACCTGATGGGATCACACGTGGTGGCTCACTCTGGTAATCCCAGCACTTTGGGAGGCCAAGGCAGGAGGATCATTTGAGCTCAGGAGTTCGAGACCAGCCTGGGCAACATAGTGAGACCTTGTGTTTACAAAAAATACAAAAATTAGCTGAGCATGATGGCACGTGCCTGTAGTCCCAGCTACTGAGGAGGCTGAAGTGGGAGGATCACTTGAGCCCATGAAGTGGAGGTTGCAGTGAGCCAAGATTGTGCCACCACACTCCAGCCTGGGCAACTAAGACCTTGTCTCATTAAAAGGAAAACACTATTAGAATATAATGGTTAATTGAACGTGTATTTAGAACAAAACAGTGTGGGTATCTGAGTTAACAGGAAACAAGAAAAATGCTGTATAATGCAAGCAAGCCATTGATGTAACTGTCATATTTGTTAGATTTATGGAAAAGTGCCTACTATGTCTCAGCAGCGTTCTCCATAGTAGGGTCACAATAGTGAACAAAAATCCTACCTTCATGAAGCTTACATTCTTGCAAAGTATTTTTTATATTAGCTTGGTATGGCTGAGCTCTATCTTTATCTAGACCCATGTCTAGAAAAAGTCTGTGGCTACTAAAAATAAGGGTCAAAATGCCTTTTTGACCTTAGTACTAGTCAAAGCCTTAAGAAAATGGCTTTCCTGTGAACAGTATCCGTTAAATTAGTAGGCCAAAAGTTAACGGTTGATCAACTGATAAAATGAACAGAATGATCAGGGTTTGAAGTGAAAGTTCTGTGGGCTGTCTAATCATTTAAACTTTTATTCCAAAAATTTCACTGGAGACTTCTACCTTCTTTCCAGATTGGAGATACATATATATATATATATATATATATATATATATATATATATATATATATATATATATATTTTCCAAACATTTGATAGAGCTACTTTAATTGAGGACACAGTTTTTATTATTAATTTATTCCCTTAGGGTAGTGTAAAAATTAAATCCTGATTTACTTATTTAAAAATTAGCTAAATCCTGATTTACTTATTTAAAAATTAGCTAGAACAAAACTAATAAACATTCTAGATTTGGTCAATATTTTGCTTTCTCAACTCTTCACAAAGGAAATTTTAAAGTGAGATTTGTAGAACTTGAACTGGATTGGTGACTAAGAATAACTAGGAGGTGACTGGATATGCCTGTACTGAGGAGAAAAACACAGTCTTTCTCTATCAGAGACACCTCTTCGGTGTCTGTTTCTAGGTTTTTATAGCCAGTAGTTAAGTGGGAATTTCTATATTTGAGAACTAGAGTCTCTTAGTAACAACTGAGATTAGTACAATAGTAGTCATAAGTGTTGCTTCATCTTTTTATATACATTCATAAATATATATATGTAAGTTTATATATGTGTATATGTTATGTTATTTTAGTTGCCTGTTATAAAACTGCCACACTTCATAGAACTTAAGATGCTATTGATTGTAAGATGTACCATTATTTTAAGTACAACAAAGAAATTATTTCCATTAAACTAGGGCATAACAGCAATTGTAAGATGCATCTTGTTTTAAAAGTTGTTGACGTGGGGAAAGTACCTCTTAGAACTGAAGAAATACTGTGTATCAATTCTCAGGAAACTTTGAAATTACACAGAAGTATAAAAGACACACCCTCCCCCCGCCCCCCCAAAACAAAACAAAACAAAACCAACAGCTCAAAATTATCTCGCTACCCACATTATGGTACATTTTCCTAGCACATGAATAATTTGTTTAAACACAGTCATGTTATATATGTGCCCTGAATATTTCCCAGTTGGTTTTTGGAAAACATTTTTAATGGCTGCCTGCTATTGGCTTTCCTCGTTGACTATTTAAGTTACGTTTATTATTAAAATTAAGTATGCCATGATAAACATCTTTATCTTAGTCAAAGGTATGAATGCTCTTTTATGTTCTTAATGCATACTTTAGAGAAGTATTTTGGTCGTGTCAGTTTATAGTCTCACTAGCTGTGTATAAGAAGATACCTCATTTGGTTCATGCTTTATTCTTCAGCTCATCACTCAGAAGTAATGACAGAGCAGTTTTCAGAAACTTTCAAAATATCTGAAAAGTATTTCTAAATATCTGGAAAATAATCTGGAGTTTTGTGTATACCGTCACACATTGCTTAACGAAAGGGAAACCGATAAATGTGTTGTTAGGTGATTTCATTGGTGTGTGAATGTCATAGAGTGTACTTAAATACAAGCTGAGGGTTGGGCGTGGTGGCACACGCCTATAATCTCAGCACTTTGGGAGGCCGAGGCATGGGAGGGCAAGGTGGGTGAATCACCTGAGGCCAGGAGTTCGAGACTAGCCTGGCCAACATGGTGAAACCCCATCTCTACTAAAAATACAAAAAAAAATTAGCCAGGTGTGGTGGCGAGTGCCTATAACCCCACCTACTTGGTAGGCTGAGACAGGAGAATCACTTGAACCCGGGAGATGGAGGCTGCAGTCAGCCAAGATCGTGACACTGTACTCCAGCCTGGGCAAGGGCAGAGCGAGACTGTCTCAAATACATACATATTTACATACATATAAGCTGAGGTGGTATGGCCTACTATACACTTAGAGAACATGGTATAGCCTATTGCTCCTAGGCTATAAACAAGTACATCATGCTACTATACTGAATGGTATAGGCAACTAGTGGTAAAGATTTATGTATTTAAACATATCTAAACATAGAAAAAATACAGTAAAAATATAGTAGAAAAGATAAAAATGGTACACCTGTATAGGGCACTTACCATGAATGGAGCTTGCAGGACTGGAAGTTGCTCTGGGTGAGTCAGCGGGTGAAGGGTGGCTGAATGTGAAAGGCCTAGGACATGACTGTACACTACTATAAACTTCATAAACACTGAACACCGAGGCTACACTACATTTATTTTAAAGATTTTTTCAATAATAAATTAGCCTTAGCTTACTGTAACTTTTTGCTTTATTAACTTTTAAAATTTTAAAACTTTTTGACTCTTTTGTAATAACACTTAGCCTAAAACACAACCACATTGTAATTGTACAAAAATATTTTCTTCACACCTTATCCTACAAGCTTTTTTCTACCTAAACTGTTTTGCTAAAAACTAAGACACAAACACACACATGAACGTAGGCCCACACAGTGTCAGATTTGTCGGAATTACTGTCCTCCACCTTCACATCTTGTTCCACTCTTAGGTCTTCAGGGGCAACAACACACACGGAGCTTTCATCGCCTGTGACAGTGCCAACAGAAGGACCTGTTGGAGGCTGTTTCACAGTTCACTGGGTTTTTTTTGTTTTGTTTTGTTTGAGATGGAGTCTCACTGTGTTGCCCAGGCTGGAGTGCAGTGGCATGATCTTGGCTCACTACAAGCTCCGCCTCCCGGGTTCACGCCATTCTCCTGCCTCAGCCTCCTGAGTAGCTGGGACTACAGGTGCCCACCACCACACCCAGCTAATTGTTTTTGTATTTTTTTAGTAGAGAGAGGGTTTCACCATGTTAGCCAGGATGGTCTCAATCTCCTGACCTCGTGATCCACCCGCCTAGGCCTCCGAAAGTGCTGGGATTACAGGCGTGAGCCACCACGCCCGGCCCGACAGTTAACTGTTTTTTAATTGAGTAGAAGTACACTCTAAAATAACGATTAAAAGTACAGTACAGTAAATACATAACACTTCTTCTTATCATAAAAAATAAGTTTTTTTTTTTTTAACAGTTAACAGTTCTTGGCCAGGCACAATGGCTCACGCCTGTAATCCCAGCATTTTGGGAGGCCGAGGCGGGCGGATCATGAGGTCAGGAGATCGAGACCATCCTGGCTAACACTGTGAAACCCCGTCTCTACTAAAAATATAAATATTAGCTGGGTGTGGTGGCAGGCACCTGTAGTCCCAGCTACTCGGGAGGCTGAGGCAGGAGAATGGTGTGAACCCAGGAGGTGGAGCTTGCAGTGAGCCGAGATTGCGCCACTGCACTCCAGCCTGGGCAACAGAGTGAGACTCCGTCTCAAAAAAAAAAAAAAAAAGTAACATAGTTCTTATTATCAACTATTATATTCTTACTGGACATAATTGTATGTGGTATACTTCTATATGAATAGGAGCACTGTAGGTTTCTTTACACCAGCATCACCACAAACACATGAGTAGTGCTTTGTGCTAAGATAGGAATTCTTCAGCTGTATTACAATCTTATAAGACCATCATTGTTTATGTGGTCTGTCATTGACCATAATGTTATTTGGCACATGAATGTATGCTGATTGTCCAAGAGTTTCATCATTCAAAGCGAATTGTATTAAGCACCATACTTGGACTTGGTAAAGTTTTGCTTCTAGTCATGGCTTTACTACCAGATGCTTACATGTCACAGCTATTTAACATGAACCTTGACAAGAAAAGTCACTCAACATTTCTGAGCTTCAGTTTCTTGGTCTGTAAAATACAACATCATAGATAATCTTTTACTTAAAGAAGATGGCTTAAAAAATCAGAAATGTGTTCTCCCACCATTCTGGAGGCCAGAAGTCTGAAATAATGGTGTTAACAGGGCCATGCTCTCTCTGGAGGCTCTAGGGAAGAATCCTTCCTTGTCTTTTTCCAGCTTCTGGTGTTGTGCCAGTCCTTGGTGTTCCTTGGCTTGTAGCTACATCACTCCAGTTGCTGCCTCCATCTTCATATGACCATCTTTCTCTTTGCATCTGTGTCCAGATTTCCATGTTAGAAGAACATCAGTCATATTGAATTTAGGGCCCACACTAAAAGGCTCATCATAACTTTATTACAATTGCAAAGACCCTGTTTCCAAACAAGGTCATATTCACAGGTTCTGAGCGAACATAAATTTGGAAGAGAATATTCAACTCGCTCTAACAAGCCATGGAATTTCCCCCCAATGATATAGTCACATGCATTTAGTCTTTATGTAACACTATAATTAATAGAAGTTTTTGAGCACTTGTGATATGCCAGGCACTGTGCTAAGCATTTTACTCTCATTCACGATTTTCAAGATAAACAATGGAAGATCAGAGCAGTCAAGTAGTTTGTTCACGGTTATACATCCAAGTGAGTGCAGAGCTGAGATTTGAGTATCAGGGTGCAGAGCTATTGCTCAAGTTAGTAATCACTTTAAGTGCTTGTTGTTTTTTTGTTTTGTTTTTTAGTTACTGAAATGGAAGAAATTTTTTCTTATGTGTTTTGGTTAAGTGGGTTGGTGTTCATGTTTTCCCTGCTGCACCAAGATTTGCCAGTGCTTCCTGGGTTGTACAGGCCTTTTTTTTTTTAGATGAATCTAGATGATGGGCTGAATCTTGGTGATAGGCTGTTGAGTTATAATTTGTCTTTGGGTGGGAGATTGCAGGGATGGTGGGGCTTTTCTTTTTCTTTTTAAGGATTTACTTTGTTGCATGTTAACATTAATTTTCTTTAAGTGGCGTATTACCAAAAAAAAAAAAAAAAAGGTATTTGTGACTACTGCTAGGTGATTCTAGGATCCAGACGCCAGTTTCTGTTCTGTCAGAGGTAGGTATTACCTTCCAAGCTGTGAAGTGAATAGAGTCCCTTTTGGGAATAACGATTCTTGTTGCTCCCTGGAGAAAGAATACAATTTCTAGGAAGTCCTCTGTGCTACTTCTGCATGCGGTTGTGTTCTTTTAATTTTCATATTTTGTCAGCTTATTTAAAAAAAAAATCTCTTCCATGCTTTAGAAGGAGAAAGGAAAACAATGTATGTACCTTGAGTGTATACTAATTAAAGGTTTACTTATGTATGTTTGTTTAATGTTCAGAGTAAATCTTCAGAGGCTTGTAAAAGGCAGAACTAAATTTAAACTCAGGACCTTTTATCTGATTCCAAAGCATTTTTTTTCTAACATACTTTGCTGTTGTGTCCTTTTCATCATTTCACTGAAACATATTTATTTATTGAAAATTTTGTTTATTGAAATTTCACACCTGCTAAATAAGGGGAAAGAATAGGGACTAAGCAGGTTGTAAGAGACAGGGTCTTGCTCTGTTGCCCAGGCTGAGGTGCAATGGCCAGATCATAGTTCCTTGTAACCTGAAACTCCTGGGCTCAAGCTATCCTCCTACCTTAGCCTTGCAAGTACAAGCAGCTGGGACCACAGGCGAGTGCCATTATGCCTGGCTAATTTTTAAAGGTTTTTTTTGTAAAGATGTGGTCTCATTATGTTGCCCAGGCTGGTCTCAAACTCCTGGCCTCAAGTGATCCTCCTTGCCTTGGCCTCCCAGAAGCACTGGCTTGACCCTTAGGTTGTTTTTAAAAATCCCTTCTCCTGACTACTTTCTGAGATTACACAGCTGTAGTTGAGGATGGAAATGTTATTGAGGATGGGAGGTGGAAGAGCATTGAAACTTTTGAATACGGAAGGAGCTGAATGGGAACTGCAGAAGCTTAGGACACCTTTCTCTCCAAAATTTTTTTAAAGGTGTTGAGGTTCTCATCTTAATAGGGTTTTTAAAGCATTGTAGACAGCTATCTTGTTCAGGAAGCCCAGAGTAATTCTTGTGGAACTGGTCTGCAGTGGGGTCACTGGTTTATTTTGAGGTGCATAGGGAAGATTGACCTGATAGAGTGATGTAAGGAAGTATGTGAAATTGCCTGTTAGCTGTATTGCAAATACAGTTAAGAGAGGGTTCATCCACAGAGGAATCACTTAGGAGGTATTAAGGTTGCATGTAACTGTGACCCATTCCAGTTCCTTTGGTCCTTGTGTAAAGCAGAAGCTTGCTTCACCCTTGGAGTTTTCTAGGCCTGTGCAGCCTAAGCATGATCCTGGCTCTGACTCGGGACATGGCGAAGGAAAAGGAGACTCTTGATCTTTTTCTTCGGCTTCTACCGGTTGCTATTTCATAGTACAGCAGCCCTAAGTTTATTGGCACCAGGCTAATGCCACAGCTATTCAACACTGACCCAGTTTAAACCTGGAATGTTAGGGAAGCCCATGTTGGGGTAGCCATGACAGGTGTGGAGTAGAACATTATGAAGTTTTCTCAGCTAATGCTAACCTTTCTTTTCATGGTTATTAAACATGAGTAAACTTTATCCGAAATAAATGTTATTGTGGCATATGAAACATTGTATACAGAAAAGGGCAAAGTCATTAAGTGTATAGTTAATGAATAAGTATAGCTCAAAATACATTAAATATATTTTGGGGAATGTTAAGTAATTATGTAGACCTCCTCTGTAAAGCCTCACTTTCATCAGTCTCTTCAGTTAGGCTCTTTTCTGCTCTGACATCACCTTCTCTCAACTTCTGTTATAGCACTGTCATAATACTTTGTCTACTTGTCTGTCCAAGGCCAGATGAACATAAGCTCCTTATGGTAGAATATGTTTTATTTATTTTATTACTTGCTCCTCCCTCACCCACCTACCGGGATGGCAGCCCGGGGGTCCAGTCCATTTTCCACCACTGAGAGCATCTCCACTCACGCAGCTGCTCCCTCAGAGAATCACATGACATCTGAAGAGACAGATGGCAGCCAGATGAATGGGCAGGCAACTTCCCCCCAGCCAGAGTCCATTCCCAGCAAGCAGTAGGAGGTCAGCCCCCCTTAAACCACAACCGAAAGGCCTTTGAGGAACACGAAAGTAAAAATTGAGAGTGGATTTGAAAGAAGGAAGCAAGGAAGGAAAGCCCAGGGGGCTCAGTCCTTGGGAGGCAAGGAGTCCTGGGTGCCAGGGGTGGGTCCACCCCAAGGAGTAGGTGGTAAGGGCGCTTCACATCAAATGCTGCCCAGAAAGCCAGGGCCCTGTAGGATCTAAACCCGTAAGCAGGGAATGACAGGCTGATTCAAATACAGAGCTGTGGGTTCGAGGTGGAGGCTGCAGCTGAAGGTGGCAGGAACCCACTGGGACCAGGAAGCAGGGGTTCACAAGTCACATTCAGGGGCTGAGTCCTGCAGCACCCTCCCCCCACCCCTCATTCCTGTCCCAGTCCAACATCTGTCACCTCAGTAGTTAAAAAGTACGACTGGAATGACTTTGAAAGGGAAACACTTCTGCTTCTCCTTTAGGCTTCGAGGGTCTGGCTTGAGCAGCACAGACAGGGACGTGTCTAACCGGGATGACCATGAGGTCTCATCGCAGTTTGCCACTAACCAGGTAGGCATGCTCAGACCTCTCAGATGGAGAATGTGTAAAATGCCTGTCACGAGGCCTGATATGTACCTGTACCTGATATGTTGTACCTGGTATCTGTCATCCCAGTGGATGTGGCCACCTAAGTGTACAGACCAAGAATGTCATCGCCTAAATGGGTATGCAGGAAGAGTTGAAATCAGTGAGTGGTTAAATCCCTCAGGGCTGCCAGCTTCCTCCTGGGAATGGGTGGGCTGTGGTGGGGTGGGGTGGGGACTTTGGCCTGTGCCTGAGGGGACTGCTGGCTGGCTTGGCCCCACCCCAGCAACTTGGACAGACCTGGGCTAGGGAGGCACATTCACACGTAAACAAATCTGTCCCAAATGCCTGGCTGAGCATCAGGGGAACGCCGGGAAAGGTGATGGCTGTCTCTCAGCTCTCAAACAATCACCGCATAAAGAAGTTAACAAAACCGGCCGGGCGCAGTGGCTCACACCTGTGAGCACTTTGGGAGGCTGAGGTGGGCAGATCACGAGACCAGGAGTTCAAGACCAGCCTGACCAACATGGTGAAACCCCGTCTCTACTAAAAATACAAAAATTAGCCGACATGGTGGCGCACCCTGTAGTCCCAGCTACTCAGGAGGCTGAGGCAGGAGAATCGCTTGAAACTGGGAGGTGGAGGTTGCAGTGAGCCAAGATCGTGCCACTACACTCCAGCCTGGGGGACAGAGAGACTCCGTCTCAAAAAAAAAAAAAAAAAAAAAAAGAAGTTAACAAAACCAAGAAAAGTTAAATGGGCTCAGTTCTCTTTACATATATTGCCTAATTTATGTTCCTCCTAAGGACCCTAGGAGTGCTGTTTTATTGTCTCCACCTGACAGATAAGGAAATGGCAGCTGACCCAGGTCAAGGAAGTTCCTGAGGTCCCAGGGCTAATAAGTGGCCTGACTCCACCACCAGCCCCCAGGAGGAAGCCAACCCCAGCCCTAGAAAAACCCAATTCCTGAGTGAGTGCTGTAAACCAAAAATAAAATTCTAAGCTTCCCAACTGCCTGAATGAACCCCCTCTTGGCCAAAGGGATTTTGAAAAAACCTAAAAACTGAGTTCAGGCCATGACAGGAAGTGGGGCGTAGGCCATGACAGGAAGTGGGGCGTGGGCCATGCCTCATCCTAGCCTCTCCCTTTTGGAGCTTAGACACAACTGACCAGCATTAACATTAAAACAGAATCCTAAGACTGACAGAACAGACTCTCAGCAATTAAGATACCAACTCCAACCTGACTGGTCTATCATCACATGGGAGATGACAGATGGTCTCTTATCAGACCCTAAAAAGTGTCAGACTCTTAGTTAAATCTCTCCTAGATCAGGAAAAGGCCTAGAAAGGGAAGGGAGTCTGCAGGATATAAATTTCCCCCACAAGAGATGGCTTTGCAGGGCCATTCCAAAATATGTCAAAGAAACATATGGTTTCTTCATCCCAACTCCCGCATCTTCCCCTGGACCAAATGGCCTCAGGTCTTTGGCTCAAAGAATTTCAGGCAAACTATTACTTCCTCCTCAGAGGTACTCGGAAGCTCCATTTCATCACAGAAGGTCAGAAACCAACATGAAACAGTTCTGCCAATCAGATTTATAGCCCCAACCAGCTGAGACCAGGTCCTACCAATGCTCCTGAAGTCTCAGAGCTATACTTTCTTAAATGTTCCAACATAGTTAGGAAGGAACAGTTCCAGTTGGTTTCCTGCATTATACTGCCTGGCCTTCTCTATATGTCCAATTTCACTTCCTCCAGAGATCAAGGAAGCAAAAAAAGAGAGTGACTTGGATGAGACTTACGTTAAAAGAAGAAAGGGATAACCTGGTTTCACCACTCTCAAAACACTCTACCATCAGTGAACAGCAACCTCTTCTCTTGAGGGACTTCTCAGCCACTCCCTACGGCCTTCTCTCCACTGCCTGAATTGTGTACCTGGCTGTTCAGAGCCACAGCCTGGCTTTAAGCCATCCAACTGCTGTACCAATTGATGAGTCACGTTTTTTCAATTGGAAAAGAATGACAAAGTTACCCTCTGATTCAGAAAGGCAGCTGATCTTTCAGGCATGTGAGTGCTGACTGAGGAAACCGCACCTCTGTCCACCTGAGGAAAGTTGGATTTCTGTGATGGGTGGGGTGGTGGGGGTTGGAGCTTTGAAGTAATTAAATACCAGATGAAGGGTGAGAAACTTCTAGCTTGTGATTCCCAGACTCAGGGCTAGTGGATGAGGGCAGAATCTTCTCTATATTCTTGTCCCATATCCCAGAGGATTCTAACAAGGACCAAACTCTGAATGAAAACAGGACCATTGCCTGACCCATTCACCAGTGTTTGGCACACACTGGTGCTCAAAAAATAAGCTGTTGAATGAATTGATTAATAAAATAAAAATGAGGCACGGGGCAGGTATCTCCATTTCACACACTGTGGGAAGTTGGGGTATATAACTCTGAAGTGTTAAGATGACTGTGGAGCTCCTTCCATTAAGTCAAGCTGCCAATAAGGCTGAAACCAACTTAAATATACTAATGGGAGGACATTGAAGGTAAACAGCATTCATTTTTTCAACGGAATAAGACTATAAATGGCAAGCAGAGACAAGGTTCTTTGGGGCCCTTTAAAACTGTGGTCAAATGGCCCACCCATCTGATGCCAGGTCCTCAGGATTCAGAGAACATGTGTACCAAAAAGCCCCCAGGAAACTAAATGCTAGCATGGGACTTGGGTGCCTCTGGAATGTCCTTCTGCCTCAGCTACTCTGAGATAACATGGTTCCCTGTGTTCATGGAACCCAGATGGCCAAAAGTCAATGATCCAGCACTTATAAGAAAAGAAAGCCATTCAAGAGCCTCTGTACCCACCTAGGCCTCAGCCTCCCCAGGACCTACTCACCTATACTCTTCACAACAGGTAACATTGCCTCTGGCACCCATCACATCCCCTGAATTTGGCATCAGGATTGATCTGCCATCAGCTCTGGCAGGGAGAGGCCCTTACAAATGCCAGGAAAAGAAACATGAACAATATTCTGTGACCACAGCCAACACCACACAGAACTTCCCAGAGGCTCTCCAGGGCAAGAACACCAACCAGAAGGAAGGGGCAGCTTCCATCATTCTGTGCTAAGTGAGCTGAGTGAGTGGCCATCTCTCACCTTCCAGATATTTGAATGATACCTACCATTCCAGCAGCCAGCACAAGTCATTTAATATGAATGCCAGAAACACAATCCCTGAGGACAGGTGCAGGAGACCAGATGCCAGGAAAAACCCCGGCTGACCCAAGAGTTGGGGAGAGCCCACTGCTCCTCCACCCTTATTTACCACCTGAGCCCCTGCACCCACCAATCATGCTGCTCAGTCTCTAACTGTGGGTCTGAGTGAGCACCTACATTTGGCTGTTGAGGGGCAGCTGGTGGAAGGAGACTCTGCACTAAGTTCTCAGGTTGAATGGGAGTGGGGTCGAGGGAAGCAATGGACGCAGAGTTGGGGTAAAGACATGCGGTGGTGTCAGCGGGGGTGAAAGGACACGGAGATGTCATTTTTTAACAAGATTGGGTGAGGGTGGTAGGAAAGGAGGCAGTAAGAGTTCAGGACAGTTTAGCAAAGACTTAGGGATGGGGTGTCCTCAGGACGGCAGGAGACGGAAAAGAAGGTATACAGTGGCTAGGAGACTAAGGATGAGAAGACACTGTTAAGACTTGGAATAAGGCTGAGATCGGAGTTATCCAGAAGAAAGCGGTGAGCTCAACAGGGCACCAACTTCCTGGGGCTGGACTACGGCTGCGCAAATCCCACCCAGCCCAAAAAAGTAAGTGTGAGGAGAGAAGGGAAAAACTAAAAAGGAAAATCAGAAAAAAACAAAAGAGATGGACGGCAGTGCGTGCGCAGGGGCAGTACCCATGCCGTTGCCCGGCCTGCCAGCTGCAGGAGCAGGAGAACTCGGGAATGAGGAAGAAACCAGGAAATGACAGAAAGAAAAAAAAAAAAGAACGCAAATAGAGAAATGGAAAAAATAAGAAAGATTGGAAAAAACAGAAATTTTGAAAAAAGGATAATACTAAAAAAATAAATAGTATAAAAGGAAGGCAAAATGTTAAGGCATGTCAAAAATTATCTGTAAAAGTCATAAAAAATGCTATAAAAAGAATTTATGCAAAACATATTATATAATTTAAAACTAATTTGGCCTCCTAAATGTAAAACTATTAAGTTTATGTGCAAGGTGTATAAGGAAAATAAAATACACTTTTAATAAAAGGATTATAAAGAGGCATAAAAATTTGAATTCTTACCTACATTAAAAGGTCAAAAAAATTTGTTTTAAAAGTTTAAGCAAGTTTTAAAATGTTAATTATAAAAAAAATTCTGTGTATAAACATATCGGCTAAAGTTAAAGGGGTATCATCCAGTTTTTCTATGAACTGAACATAAAAATAAAAGCACAATAGGTTTTTCTTAAAGCACTAACCTGCTCTTTAACAAAAATTATAAAGGGTTAAAAAGAATCTATAAAAATCTTACCTTATAGTCAAACGTTAAAATTAAATAATATCTACAAGGTTTTATTAAAATGTAGTTTAACATTAATAGTACACTAATATAAAGGTAAAATTTAACTTATCTCTTATAAAATCATACAGGAAACATTATCAAACATAAAATGATGTTTGACTTTCTTTATTCTAAAAACTAATAAAAATAGGTGCTAAAAATTTTCCAAATGAAAATAAATATTGCTAAACCAAAGAGAAATGTTATCTAAGCCCCGTATAAAAAATAAATAAATCTTGTTCCAATTGCATCAAAAAACCCATTAAGGGCCCTCCAGCACAGGGTTAATACCAACGAGTTTCCACCTCCAGCTGCTCCTAGAGTGGCCACAGCATGAGCCATCTGGTGGGGGACCTAGCCGCCAACAGACACTTCCTGTACAGGGGAGGGGGGAGGGGGCCAGGCAGCCGTTAGACAGCACAACCGAACCCAACACCGGGGCCCAACGGCAGGGGCTTGGGCAGGAGCAAGGTCCGAGGGCTGCCAGGTAAGTCACAGGGCCACTCATCCCTAAGGCCACAACGCAAGGGAGCAATAAAGGCCACAGGGAGGCCAAGACCTTAAGGGGAGCCAGGCCGCCGCGTCCCCTAGGCAGCGCTCAGCGGGGAAGGAGTTGGAGGTGTCACTATGGGGCCTCAAGCCCCAAGATGTACAAAGTTCTAAGAAAAAACCCCAAAGTTTCCTTCAAAAGCAACATAAGAAAAAGTTAAAAAAAAAAAAACTTAAGAAGGCACTAAGGACTTATAGACCAAAAAATACCTATAGTTTGCCTTACTTACATTCTACTGCTAATGTCCCCACATTTAAAACAAAAAATCAGTTTCTCAAAAATTATATACTTATTTTCCACTTTCCCTTCCCTCAAAACTAAAAGCCTTTTAGCACAGGTACCACCCCTAACATTTCCAGTACACCAGCACCAGCTTGAAAACCACGTCCTTATCGAAAGATGTAAAAAAAAGAAAAATGCAAGCCAGCCTAGGAAGAAACCTACCTTAAGCTGCTGACCACCAAGACTGCCATTCGCACAGCAAAAAAATAAATTAACACGTCGTACCCAAGTCGAGAAAATGTCATCACCATAAAAGTCATAGGCCATTGCTCCAGGGTCAAGCCCTACCAAATTAAAACTAAAAAAACTTTATCTATCTTTTCTCTCCTTCAACTACTTCCCATCTTATTAATGTAACTAAATCTAACTCACCTCAAATTATTACTTTTAATGCCTGTTTAGTTATCACTCCTCTCTTACCAAATAACAAAACCAAAGTCTCTATAGTAAAAGTAAAAAACCTAAGGCAAACAACAAGACATCAAAATATAAATGCCTGGCTAAAATAAATGAAATATTCCGTTCACTCTTTAAACAAAAACAACTGTTACACTTGTGCGCACGGTGAACCAGAGGTCCAGGTTATCCACTTTCCACTCAAATAGTCTTCTAATCAACAAGACATAGACGACATGGTATCTCCTTTTCAAAATCCTACAGCCTAGGATAGTAAACTGTACCAAACTCTCTCTGCTATTTCCTGAAGTGCAGTAGTACCCTGCGGGTCTGCTCCCAAGAGCCATCCAGCCTCCCATCTTCCAAGGCGAAGTTTGCCTCGTGTCTCTCACCACAAGGGGAGAACTTAGCATTCCTTGAAGATTTAACAAAATGCAGTGAGGTCAGGCACTTCCAAGAGCTGACCCATCAGTCCGCCCTTATTCATCCCCAAGCAAATATATAATGGTATTATGGAGGGCCTTTACTGAACGCTGTGCCAAATAATTAGAACAATACTTATGCTCTAATTCAGTTGGCTATCCCTTTTACCCTAATATTTCATCAATCAAAAAATAAATAAACAGATAGAAGAAGCCACAAAAGAAGCAGCAGACCCTTATGGATCTTTTAATTCCCATGTCTATTTAAATGCAACTAAAATTCCTCGTGAAATACCAAATACATTTAAAGCCAAAAATCAAATAGTTGCAAGTCAGTGTTTTAGTGGGTAATAATTAATAAAAGTATAGGTTAAACTACATTTATTACAACCAGCAACGACTTGTTAACTATACCAAAAATGCTATTAAAAAAATAGCTAAACAAAAGCCACTAATCAAATAGCCTAGAAGAATAAGATAGCTTCAAATATAATATTAGCAAAGAAAGGTGGTATTTTCATTATAATCAAAACTCAGTGTTACACCTTTATCCCAAACAACACTGCTCCCACTGGGAGCATAACAAAAGCCCTCCAGGAACTTACTACCTTATCAAATAAGTTAGCAAAAAATTCCAGCATTAACAACCCTATTTCAAATTCATTCAAGAAGTAGTTCTGCCAATGGCCGGGAACTTAAACAGAAACTGATAAACACAACTCTTATTAAAATATCCCCAGCCCCTCCTCCACCCTATTGAGAAAAACTATTCCTTCTAAAAGATCAAACAAAGCAGCTAAACCAAAACATATTAAATAAGTTTAAAAATTATGTAAAAGAGAGAAATTATAAAAAGTAAAAGTTACTCTTCAGAGTTTCCCTTATTGAAAAATCGTAAGTGTTAAAAATAATAATTTCTTTTAAAAACTTTCTTCAAGCCCCCTTGTTTTATGCTAATAACTGTTTTGTTAGGCCCTATCCTATGTAGCTGTTAAACATGGTCACAGGCATGTAGTACATTCTATGTCCGTATACTTTAACCAAAATATCTGTACTGGACGTGCTCGCAGGCATGTCCCAGCTCACAGCCTATGCCCCTTTTTTATTTCGGAATGTTATTACTTTTCTAAGTCCTTTTGTAAACTACTTCCTCTTTTCCCTTGTCTTTCCATTACTTTTACCTGTTTTAAAAAGTTTTAAACTGTTACCCAATCAAGTTTTAGTTTAAATTTTAAGATCTGGCTCCAGCCAACGGAGACACAATACAATTACAAGGACAAACTACGTAAAGAATAAAAATTGCATCCCTCCTTTATTTAGATATGCTCTCGCCATTGTTCCATCTATGATGAGCACCCTTTCTGCAGAAAGTAAAAATGGCCTTACTAAGAAAATTAAATTTATATTCTAGTGCTATTTCTTTCTTTCTTTCTTTTTCTTTTTTTGGAGATGGAGTCTCGCTCTGTCAACCAGACTGAAGTGCAATGGCATGGTATCGCCTCACTGTAACCTCTGCCTTCTGGGTTCAAGCAATTCTCCTGCCTCAGCCTCCTGAGTAGCTGGGACTACAGGCACACGCCACCACGCTTGGCTAACTTTTGTATTTTTAGTAGAGATGGGGTTTCACCATATTGGCCAGGATGGTCTCAATCTCCTGACATCGTGATCCACCCACCTTGGCCTCCGAAAGTGCTGGGATTGTAGGCATGAGCCACCACACCTGGCCTTCAAGTGCTATTTCTTTGCAGTACCAGGGGACAAGCATTCTCTTTCTAAATAAACATTTTACATATAACAGCTGCTTCCCAAAGAGTGCCTCATGATCTTTCCTTTTCTTTCAGTGCCATCGGCCATTATCATGCCCTCGTTCTCTGCCAGTGCTCTGGAAGAGCGGGTGGGGCCCATGCCCACAGTGCCCTCTCCGAGTTCTGTCCTCCATGTGGTCAAGTTACCCCCTAAGCCTGTCACACGCAGTCATCCTGGAACTTTGCTTAACTGCTTCCTGGGTTGGGGCCTTTATTTCCAGCCTGGGCAACATGGTGAAAACCCGTCTCTACAAAAAATTAAAATATTAGCCAGGTGTGGTTGCACACACCTGTAATTCCAGCTACTCGGGAGGCTGAGGCAGGAGAATCGCTTGAACCTGGGAGGCAGAGGTTGCAGTGAGCCGTGATCATGCCACTGCAATCCAGTCTGGGCGACAGAGTGAGACCCCCTCTCAAAAAAAAAAAAAAAAAAAGTTGTATCTTTAATATCCATTAATTGAAAAACAACAACAACAAAAGGCCCAAAAATTACCATGAGGACACACGTGCTTTTAAATGAATTTGTGTGTTATTTACCACAGTAACATCTATGAACTTGTGAAAAACTGTTACTGGTTTAGGCTTAAGGGTTTGCCCAGTCTATCTTCAATCTTAAATGGGTGGGCGCAGTGGCTCACACTTTGGGAGGCCAAGGCAGGAAGATTGCTTAGTCCAGGAGTTGGAGACCAGCCTGGGCAACATGATGAAACCCCCATCTCCTCAAAAAGTTCAAAAATTAGCCGTGCGCGGTCACGCGCGCTTATAGTCCCAGCTGTTGGAGGGCGTTTGGAGGGTGGGTGGCGCTGAGGCGGGAGGATCACTTGAGGCCAGGAGGTCAAGGCTGCAGTGAGCCGAGGCTGAGCCACTGCACTCCAGCCTGGGTGGCACAGCAAAATTCTGTCAAAAACCAAAACCAAATCCAGCCAAACTAACAAAAACCAGAGTTGGGTGCAGTGGCTCACATCTGTAATCTCAACAACTTCGGAAGGCTCAGGCAGGAGGATAGCTTGAGGCCAGGAGTTCAAGACCAGCCTGGGCAACATCATGAGACCCTTGTCTCTGAAAAAATTAAATATTAATAAATAAAAATGAACACCAGTAGCTTCAGTCTTTGGTTCTGCATCCCTCATTTCATCCCCTTGTCTTCTGGTAATAGAATTTCCTTCTTGTTTTTCTTTTGGGATGAGCCACCTTCGCTCCCTGGGATTCCTCTGGGATTGAGTTACCGCCTCAAGCGATCCTCCCACCTCAGCCTCCCAAGTCGCTAAGACCACAGGTGCATGCCACTATGCCTGGCTAATGTTTTGTATTTTCTGTAGAGCCGGCGTTTTGCCCTGTTGCCCAGGAGTTTTTCCTTTAATGTTCTCCTGCTACTTACTAATTTGCTTTGTCACCCTCTGAGCTCATAAGAGCAGAGAGATAGCAACAGGACCTAAGTAGCTCTAAGCTGTGAAAAAATATTAAATATGAAATCATGGTAGCTATTAGCTTAATTTGTTTTAGGCAAATTGCAAAGTAATTTTTTGGGAACCACTGTCCCACTGCAGTGATTCCATATGGGGATTCCTAATTTCCAGTTTGTTTTTAAAATAATTTGTGAACACCTAATACAAACACATGATATGAAATTCAAGAGGTACAAAAGGACATACAGCCCTGCACCCTCCCAATTTCCCTCCCCGAAGGCAACCACCATTACCAGTTTCTCGTGTGTGCTTCCAGAAGTATTCTGTGCCAGTTTTGTCCAACAGAACTTCAATGATGAAAACAGTCACCCGTGCTGCCCAGTTTGGTAGCCATTAGCCACATGGGGCAGTTGAGCACTTGATATGTGGCTAGTGTGTCTTAGGAGCTAACTTTAAAAAAAGTTTTTTTTTTTTTTTTAAGACACAGGTCTTGCTCTGTTTACCAGGCTGGAGTGCAGAGGTGTGAACATGGCCTCAAACTCCTATTTATTTATTTTTTGAGACAGGGCCTCACTCTGTTGTCCAGGCTGGAGTGTAGTGGTGCAGTCATGGCTCACTACAACCTTGACCTCCTGGGTTCAAGAAATCCTCCCACCTCAGCCTCCTAAGTTGCTGGGACTACAGATGCATGCCACCATGTTTGGCTGATTTTTACATTTTTAAATTTTTTGGCCAAGTGCGGTGGCTCACACCTGTAATCTCAGCACTTTGGGAGGCTGAGGCGGGCAGATCACCTGAGGTCAGGAGTTCAAGACCAGCCTGGCCAACGTGGTGAAACCCTGTCTCTACCAAAAATACAAAAATTAGCTGGGTATGGTGGTGCACACCTGTAGTCCCAGCTACTAGGGAGGCTGAGGCATGAGAATCGCTTGAGCCCAGGAGGCAGAGGTTGTAAGAAGCTGAGACTGTGCCACTGTACTCCAGCCTGGGTGACAGTGAGACCCGTGTCAAAAAATAAATAAATTAAAAATAAATAAAATTTTTGTAGAAAACAGGTTTCACTATGTTGCACAGGCTGGTCTCGAACTATTGGCCTCAAGCTATCTTCCCACCTTTGCCTCCCAAAGTGCTGGGATTACAGGCATGAGCCACCAGGCCCAAACTAAATTTATTTGTAAATAGCCATATGTGGCTAGTGGCTACTGTATCAGACCTCACAGTTCTGTACAGATAATGCACAGCGCACAGTAGCATACTATACACGCCCCACTAAATCTTGCTTTGTTCCCTTAACAGCACCTATGCATCTTGGAGATAGATTGTCCCAGTCTGCCTCATTTTTAAGAACTGCTGCATAATATCCTCTTATAATCCACGAAGGCAATCCCAGACCCAGCCTGGAGAGCCATGGGTCATCACTTTTTACAACAAGCTCTAAAATCTTCCACATATACCATAATCAAGGCACTTCAGAACAATCCTAGGTTCCTGATTCCTCCACTGAAGTCCCCATGGCATCTCTGCTCCCTCCCTGCTCTCTCTGCAGTACCGCAGAGTGAACATAAAAGGGTTTAATATAGGCTTCACCGGGCGCGGGGACTCCCGCCTGTAATCCCAGTACCCTGAGAGACCAAGGCGGGAGGATCACTTAAGGCCAGGAGTTCAAAACCAGCCTGGGCAACAAAGCCTGTCTCTGCAAAACAAAAAAATGAATAAGAGGTCCCTTTTTCTGTGAGATTGATGTAGGGGAGCGGGCCTGTGAGTTAGAAGGGAAGCATTGAGGATCAGCCATTTAAAGCAGCATCCAAGGATGTTCAAGGCTAGAGACCCACAGGTGTATTTTCAGAAACTGAATTGCCTGGCGGCGTTCAGTGGCTCACGCCTGTAATCCCAGCACCTTGGGAGGCCAAGGTGAGCGCGGATCACTTGAGGTCAGGAGTTCAAGAGCAGCCTGGCCAACACGGTGAAACTCTGTTTTATAAAAAAAACTGTAAAAATTAGCCAGGCGTGGTGGTGGGTGCCGGTAATCCCAGCTATTCGGGAGGCAGAGGTTGCAGTGAGCCAAGATCACACTACTGCACTGCAGCCTGGGCGACATAGTGAGACTGTCTCATTAAAAAAAAAAAAAAAAAAAAACCAAGCTGGGCGCAGTGGCTAACACCTGTAATCCCGTAATCCCAGCCCTTTGGGAGGCCGGGGCAGGTGGATCACCTGAGGTCAGGAGTTCGAGACCAGCCTGGCCGACATGGTGAAACCCCATCTCTACTAAAAATGCAAAAATTAGCTGGGTGTGGTGGTGTATGCCTATAATCCCAGCTACTAGGGAAACTGAGGCAGGAGAATTGCTTGAACCCAGGAGTCAGAGGATGCAGTGAGCTGAGATTGTGCCATTGCATTCCAGACTGGGCAACAAGAGCGAAACTCCATCTCAAAAGAAAAAGAAATAAAAAACCCAAACAAACAAAACCCCTGAATTTCCCTGTGGACACCTTTTCTCTGGCAGCCTTTTTCACTGAGGGCTATGTTTTCTCCAATACTATATGGCCTGCAGACCGCTCAGCTTTCATTCCAGTGAAAACATTCCAGAACAAACTCCAGGTCAATCCCAGGTCTTTCTCCAATCAGCTCAGGATGATGGTGTGTCACCTGCTGCCCAGCTAGAGTGACACCTCTCCAGGCCTCTGACTTAGCTAGGTCTCCACCATGTGACTCCACCGTAGACTCCACGCCGCCTTCTTTTGCAAAGCCTCAAATACCCAAACGCCTACCAAAAGTGGGTAGGGCGCCAGGACACCTCCAAGTATAAGTGGGGCTCTCCAGCACGCCTGGACGTGGAGGTGTGATGCAGAGTGGTGGCTGCTCGTGACACTCATTTCACCCCTTTCTGTGCAGGTGCCAGAAGCCCAGGAAGCACACATCAAGGCTCACTTGCCAGCAGGGTGCTGCCAATAAAATGTAGTCACGTGGAATTTGGAATGTGGAAAGGAGGTAGAAGTCATCCTTTCCTTCCCCATAGCAGCAGGCGTGCAGGCTCTGGTGGTCAGCTGGACTCCATACTCCCCCACCAGTCACCAGCCTGGGGACGGTGGGGCTGCAAGGACCTCAGCAGCGGTTTCCCAAGTTTCCTGCCTTCTTCCATCCTCTGGAAATCAGCTGTGTAGCCTGAAAGCCAGTGGTGCAACCCCGTCCCCACAACCTTCACCACCTCTAGCCCCTCCAGTGATAAGCACTAATTGCCTATATACAACCCCTTTTGTTTGAAATATCTAGAGTAATTTCTGTTTTCCTATCTGGGGTAGTGTAACATAAGAAGAAATATATATTTGGTCTCTGCCCACAGTTCCTAACACAAAGCTCCTAAAACCCTTGGAAATTCCTGAATGATGGGGGTGCTAGGAGCATTGTCTTCTTTTTGTAAAAAATGTATCATTTTTCTTTTCTCGAGTGGTTTTTTTCTTTTAGGAAACAAACTTTTATTTTAGGTTAGGGGATACATGTGCACGTTCGTAATATAGGTACACTTGTGTCATGGCGGTTTGTTGTACAGATTATTTCATCACCCAGGTACGAAGCCTAGTACCCAGTAGTTTTTTCTGCTCCTCTCCCTCCTCCCACCCTCCACTCTCAGGCCCAGTGTCTGTTGTTTATGAGTTCTCATCATTTAGTTCCCACTTATAAGTAAAAACATACAGTATTTGGTTTTCTGTTCCTGTCTTAGTTTGCTGAGGATAATGGCCTCTAGCTCCATCCGTGTTCCTGCAAAAGACATGATCTCGCTGTTTTTTATGGTTGCACATCTTTTGTTCTAACGTTTGGTCTTTGACCCTGGTTCCTGACACAGAGCTCCTAAATCCCTTGGAATTTTCTGGGTGATAGGAGTGTCCTTTGTTCTCATGAGGTGACTCTTGGTGGGCTCCTTATTTGGAGACTGGTCATCAAAAAACCTCACTATGGGTGGAAGCGTTGTGCTGTCAGCCCCATTCCCCATCCTCTGGGGTAGGAAATGGAGCTGGAGCTCAATCATACCTACGTGATAAAGCCTCCAGAAAACTCCTTGAAAGACAGGACTTGGAGAGCTTCCGGGTTGGCGAACACATCCATGTTCCAGGAGAGTGGTGCACCCCAACTCCACAAGGACCCTTCCAGACCTCACCCTGTGTATCTTTTCATCTGGCTGTTCATTTGTGTCCTTTAAAGTATCGTTTGTAATAAATCAGCAATAGTAAGAAAACTGTTTTCCTGGGTTCCATGAGCTGTTCTAGCAAATGTTCAAACCTGAGGAGGGAGTTTTGGGGACCTCCAATTTATAGCCAGTTGGTCAGATGCATAGGTGATGCTTGGCCTTGCACCTGGGGTCTGACGTGGGGGTGGTCCGATGTGACTGAGCCCTTAACCTGTGGAGTCTGGTGGTCACTCTGCTTAGGGCTTCTATGCCTTTGTAGTGTCCTTCTAGAAGCCCTTTCCTTCCTCTTGTCAGCTCAGAAAACTTTTCTTCCACTTCCCTTCTTCTAAGCCATCCCTTACGTCTCCTTTCCAGCCGACCAAGAGCAGAACCACGGCTGGCTCCACTGCCACCATGCTGTCCCACACTGTCTCCTCAGGATGTATTCAGATATCCAGCCCTCCCCCCAGTCTAGGAGCCCTTTGAGGAAAGGGATGCTGGCCTAGTCAACTCTTTCCCAGCACCAGGCACAGCATCTGGCACGTTCCATCTTTTTCATGGACTCTCCCCAGGCGGCCTGACCTTCCCTCCTCTGAACCAGTGCATTTCTTGTCTGCATCATGTTTGCCCTAATCAGATATCGGCTTATTTCCATCTTTTAAAAAATGCTTTATTTCTCTGGCAGGCTTCGTTGGAATCACAATTTTCATTCATTTAGTAACTGTTGGCCTCGTATCCACCTCTCTCTGGCACTCAGGTCTCACTTAAGAGCTGGCTGTCTGAACTGTGATTTGCGATCAGTGAGATGGAGACAGAGGCAGCCCTAGGCAGTCATGTTTTGTTCCACATGACCCCGGGTGCCCCTCCCCCCCCCCGGCTACAGGCAGGCATGGGCACCAGCCTGGGAGAGACAGCTTATCCATAGTCTGGCCCAGCAGAAACTCTGGGCTTAGACAAAACTGCTCAATTGAGGACAAACTAGGCAAAGTAGAATCTTACTTTGGGAGTTTTTAGAAATATGGTGGGGTAGTGAGAGGTGACAGCATGCTGGCAGTCCTCAGAGCCCTCGCTTGCTCTCGGCACCTCCTCTGCCTGGGCTCCCTCTTTGGCGGCACGTGAGGAGCCCTTCAGCCCACCACTGCACTGTGGGAGCCCCTTTCTGGGCTGGCCAAGGCTGGAGCCCACTCCCTCAGCTTGAAGGGAGGTGTGGAGGGAGAGGCGCGAGCGGGAACCGGGACTGCGTGCGGTGCTTGCAGGCCAGCTGGAGTTCCGGGTGGGCGTGGGCTTGGCGGGCCCCGCACTCGGAGCAGCCGGCCGGCCCTGCCGGCCCCAGGCAGTCAGGGGCTTAGCACCCGGGCCAGTGGCTGCGGAAAGTGTACTGGGTCCCCCAGCAGTGCCGGCCCACTGGCGCTATGCTCGATTTCTCACCGGGCCTTAGCTGCCTTCCCGTGGGGCAGGGCTCGGGACGTGCAGTGCGCCATGCCTGAGCCTCCCACCCCCTCCATGGGCTCCTGTGCGGCCCGAGCCTCCCCGATGAGCGCCACCCCCTGCTTCACGGGGCAGTCCCATCGACTGCCCAAGGGCTGAGGAGTGTGAGCGCATGGTGCAGGACTGGCAGGCAGCTCCACCTGCCGCCCCAGTGCGGGATCCACTGGGTGAAGCCAGCTGGGCTCCTGAGTCTGGTGGGGCCTTGGAGGACCTTTGTCTAGCTCAGGGATTGTAAATACACCAGTCGGCACTCTGTATCTAGCTCAAGGTTTGTAAGCACACCAATCAGCACCCTGTGTTTAGCTCAAGGTTTGTGAATGCACCAATTGACACTCTGTATCTAGCTGCTCTGGTGGGGCCTTGGAGAACCTGTGTGTCGAAACTCTGTATCTAACTAATCTGATGGGGACGTGGAGAACCTTTGTATCTAGCTCAGGGATTGTAAATGCACCAATCAGCACCCTGTCAAAACAGGCCACTTGGCTCTACCAATCAGCAGGATGTGGGTGGGGCCAGATAAGAATAAAAGCAGGCTGCGCGAGCCAGCATTGGCAACCCGCTCGGGTCCCCTTCCACACTGTGGAAGCTTTGTTCTTTTGCTCTTTGCAATAAATCTTGCTACTGCTCACTCTTTAGGTCCACGCTGCTTTTATGAGCTGTAACACTCACCGCGAAGATCTGCAGCTTCACTCCTGAGCCCAGCGAGACCACGAGCCCACCGGGAGGAACAAACAACTCCAGACGCGCTGCCTTAAGAGCTGTAACACTTGCCGTGAAGGTCTGCAGCTTCACTCCTGAGCCAGCGAGACCACGAACCCACCAGAAGGAAGAAACTCCGAACACATCTCAACATCAGAACGGACAGACTCCAGACGCACCACCTTAAGAGCTGTAACACTCACCGCGAGGTTCCGCGGCTTCATTCTTGAAGTCAGTAAGACCAAGAACCCACCAATTCCGGACACAGTAGCATTTGGGAATAATAAGAATTGTAGCTGGGCATGGTGGTACACGCCTGTAGACCCCTAGCAGCTGCCATCATCCTCACCATCCGCATATTATTGATATATTAACTCTTTGATGGCAACCATAGCTTATCCCCCTTATCTCCCTATGCCCTACAGCAGGGCAGTGGAATGGTTAAGAGGCTTTGAAGTCTAAGAGTGCTGGCTTAAAACCCTAATTTGTCATTTTGGATGTGTGGCTTTGGACACTTGGGGCAGGTCACCTATGTTCTTCAAGCCCTGTATCCTTATCTGTCAGATGATGATTTTTTTTTTTTTAGACGAAGTCTCACTCTCTTGCCCGGGCTGGAGTGCAGTGGCATGATCTCGGCTTACTGCAAGCTCCACCTCCCGGGTTGACGCCATTCTCCTGCCTCAGCTTCCTGAGTAGCTGGGACTACAGGCTCCTGCCACCACCCGTGGCTAATTTTTTTGTATTTTTAGTAGAGACAGGGTTTCACCATGTTAGCCAGGATGGTCTCGATCTCCTGACCTCGTGATCTGCCCGCCCCAGCCTCCCAAAGTATCAGATGATTTTAACAACTATGCTTCCATGACTTGCTGGGCTAGATGATATGACTGTAAAATGCCTAACCCATGGTTTAGCATCAAGTAAGCAAATTGTAAATGGTAGCACTGCTCTGCCTATGACTATTTAGTCTTGTGCTTTAAACTCAAATATTTGTTGGCCTACTGAAGTCACCACACAGAGAAAGATGCTTTTCATTCTCAGTAAAGAACTTTGGGAGATAACTGGGGCAGGCAGCAAGAGAACAGATGTCATATGTCTAGCATCAGCAAACTCATCAGAACTGATGGGCAGCTCACTTTGCTTAGAACCTGCACCAGCATACACACGGGGCTGCTTCCCAGTCACACTGCTCCTGGGAAGGTAGGGGGGCTGCTGTTCTGCAATTAGCGCGGTTCTTTACCTCCTATTACCGAACTGCCAGAGTTCATTTGTGTTCAGTTAGGTAGATGACCAATTCTTGTTCATTCCTATTTTCTTTTGCTCACTAATGTGTTTAACGTTCACTAACCTACCAAATGTGATTTATTAGCGACTTTTTCTTTGAAGATGGAGTGGAGGAATCCTAGCGCTTTCTGCAACATGCTACTGCTGTTATGGAACAGTGCAGATATGGAAGTGCATCAGCCGGGGATGGGGAGAGGCTAGGGCAGTACATGTGAATGGAGAGGTAGCCCCACCAGTGTGTTTTCTGAAATACAGTCCCGCAGAGGGCAGTCTTGGGAAATTACTGTTCTCACACACTCTTCTTGACCCTACCCCTCCAGCACCTCCCTTGCTATCCAAGGGTTGGGATTTTTAAAAAGAAAAACAAATTTTAAAAAAAGCAGTGTGAATCTTTTGCCATCTTGTAAGGGTGAAAAGCCCCCTACCAAGTCGGGATGAACATTCATGCGTGTGCTTGAGGGCTTGGGAAAAAGACAGGGCTTGGCCCCACAGTGCAGGTAGGCCCAGTGATCCTATAATAGGGGCCAGGAGATGGGAGGTCCCCTGTGGGCAGGAGTTCAAGTATGTGGTATTATATGACTGGTGCTTGATGAACCCAGGGAGAGGGCACCAAAAACAATGGTATTTAATTGTAAAATCTCCACCCCCTGAGGATATGTTTTCAGGTCTGGGTGACTAATTAGACTGGGAAACAAGGGCAGGAACGATGGCCCTGTGCT
The DNA here is from genome assembly GCF_000001405.40 of Homo sapiens. Lineage (NCBI taxonomy): Eukaryota > Metazoa > Chordata > Mammalia > Primates > Hominidae > Homo > Homo sapiens. Next base: position 47,054,690 of record NC_000017.11, on the reverse strand, counting down.
TGCTCTGCCCGCTGCCTCTGTGGATGTGTGGGCTGCTGGCTTCAGTCCTGCTTTTCTTTCTGATGGTATTGTTTATGCTATGTGTTTTTGCAGGAGGCCTGAGGTGGGCTGGGTTCTCCTCCTATGGCAGGGCTTCACTCTCCTCCTCCTTCTCTGTTGGGGCTTCACTGTCCCTGGGATAAGAATAACAATGCCAAGGTTTTCATTCTTGAAAGGAGCAATTAAGCGTCTCACCCCCTCCTCATTTTAGATGGGAACTGTGAGGGTCCCGTCATTTACCCAGGGTCCCTGTTGAGGATCTTGTCCTCATTAGATGACTTCTTGTGCAGCTTCCATGCGTGATTCTTTACTCTTGTGGCACTGAGAGGTTTGTACATGTCTTTAAGCCAGAGCGGCTTTCTGAATGAAAAAAGTCCATCCTAGAAGATAGAAAGGGAAATATTAATTTTGCATGTCCTCTGCTTTCCCTGGTCACAGCAATGAATCCTCCAATGTACCTGACTCTCCCTTTGCGAAGAGCATCTCCGTGGCAGAAATCTGAAAATGCCCCTGGGGAGACACATGCACAAGACAGTGAGTGATGCAGCCGTTTCCCACGTATCTCACAATGTACTTCTCTGGTCTTATTAGAACTAAATGAGTATCTCAGTCCATAATCACAGGGAGAAGAACCACCACAGACCACATACCTGGGGTCTTGAAAATAATTCCATGCATGTGGGACTTTCAGAAGCTCTCCATGTCTGTCCAGAAGGGCCCCACAATATACTGGGGGGACTTTGTATGTGGCTCAGCATGGAGCAGGGGCAGGATGTTCATTCCCACTCATCCCCTTGGCCAAGTGCCCTTGTGCAGTGAACAAACTGCACAACCATGCTGGGCAGAAGCATTTTATATCAGTCCCCTTCGGACTTAGTCTCACAGGCATCATTTGATGGGGGGTGGGAGATGAAGTGGTTCTTCCTTTTCTAGATACTTTATTCTATAAGTTGGATCACCTCAAGCAAATGCCTGAGTGCAGCTAGCCAAGTTCTCTATCTCACAGTCTTCATACAGCTGGCTGTCGCTGATGAGTGAGTGAGCTGCGAAATCAGCTTAAACCACAACATGTTATTTTTGAATTTGAATAAAATAGGAAAAGGCAGAGTGCATTGTGTGACCATGGGGTAAGACACTCTCCCTTTCTCCTTCTCAGTTTTCCTGTCATAAAAGGACAAACTACTATCTAAGTTCTCCGTAGTTAAAATTCTTTTTTGTTGTTTTTTTTTATTTGAGACAGTTTGGCTCGTTCCCCAGGCTGGAGTGCAATGGTGCTATCTTGGCTCCCTGCAACCTGCGCCTCCTGGTTTCAAGCAGTTCTCCTGCCTCAGCCTCCCAAATAGCTGGGATTACATGCCTGTGCCACCACACCCAGCTAATTTAGTATTTTTAGTAGAGATGGGGTTTCACCATGTTGGTCAGGTTGGTCACGAGCTCCTAACCTCAAGTGATCCCAAAGTGCTGTGATTACAGGCGTGAGCCATCCTGCCTGGCCTTTCTGGTTAAAATTCTGTGAGGTTTGTGTAAAAGGAATAGAGTGGGGGCGCAAAAACCAGTAAGATGAGAAAATAGTGTTTCCTCAGTTCTAGTATCCAGGGGAAAAAAAGAAAAGAGAAAATACTGTTTCCTGCCACTTAAGAGGAAGGACTCACATATCCTACCTTCCATCAGCCTTGAAGGAGACAAGTGCCCTCTCTCTCACACCCGGTGGCCTTCCCTTCCCCTTTCCCAGAGCCTCCAAGAAGGCCCCTGGCCTGGCCTGATGCCCACCATCAGCAGCAATAGGCACCAAAACCTTTCTCCTTCCTATCCCTCCCCACCTCCCAAAAGGGCTGGGGACAGCAGGTGTATCCTTGTTAGTTCCATCATGAGACAGCACATTCCTACAATGTCGTACAGATGTAAATTCTCAAATTAATCTACAAATTTAACGTAATCCTATTCAAATCCCAAGATAGTTTTTGGTGGTGGCTGTTTTTAAGACAGGGCCTCGCTGTGTTGCCCAGGCTAGAGTGCAGTGGTACGACCACAGCTCACTGCATCCTCGACCTCCCAGGCTCAAGCGATCCTCCCACTTCAGCCTCTGAAGTCTCTCATATGGTGTCCAAGAAATGGTGACAAATCTCACAAAGGGACTAGGCTCAGCACGGCTGGAATATTCAGGGAAGGTGTCAAGAAGAAAGATGAACTTGTGTTGGCTTTTGAGAGATGCATAGGACTCCCACAGGCAGAGTGAAATAAGGGCATTTTAGATGGACAAACACACAGACAGAAGCAGAAATGTGGGTGGTGTGACTGGGGTATAGTGAGGGGCTGCTGTGGCTGGAATGGAGGGCTGCCACAATAATGGAAATGGTAAATGAGGCAAATAAGGTTGGACTGGTGGCATAGCGTCAAGGTTGCCAGCTTTATTAAATCACTCTTCCAATATGCTAGCACTGGCCTGTTGGGAAAAGTAATATATCATGTAATCGAACAAAAGACAAACAGAGGCAAGCTCCAGGAATGGGCACTGTAAACAGGACTTGCCCCAGAGTAGCCAGATGTAGGCTTTAGATAAGTTGATGCAGGCTGAGCATCTCTAATCTGAGGGGGAATGTCTCACATGGTGTCCAAGAAATGGTGACACATCTCACAGAGGGTCTAGGCTCAGGAGGGCTAGAGTATGAGACGTTCCCCCTCGCCTGTGAACTTAAAAATGTGGCCAACAATTTTTGTAAAAGATGGCTACTCTGTAGTGCTTTAACTGGACCTATTTAGACAATGCCTTACACACTGGAGGACGATACTGTGTAAATCTAATAAGTCTACAAGACAATACTTCTGTCTTTTGGCTCTCTCCTTCCTCTCCAGGGTGATGACAAATCCGTGAGGGTGGAGATTATACCTCTCTCATCATTTCAGCACCAAGGAAATAAATTAGTGGCAGAGTAAGGGTGACTTGATGAGTACATCCAATTGTTGACATAGTTTTGGGTGGAGAAATTTTGCTATTATATCGACTTCTTAAAATAGTCTAGTGGGATTAACTTGGTTTCAATTCACAGAGATCTGGAAGCGAGGATCTTTTAAAAATCCTGAAATATACACTGCAATAAAAGAACAAAGCATACACCTCAGCCTTAAATGACTGAAGAAGTATGTCAAGTAGCAGCAGGTGGGAAAGTGGCTTTGGTTTTCAGTTTGTGAGCTCTGAATCCACACAGAAACAGGACTGCATTCTGACAACCTGAATTAATTATTGTCCTTACCACAATGAGGCAGAAAAGTATAATAAAAATCATTAGTATTTCAGTCACAATTAATGCCAAGATGAGTTTGTCAGTATAGCCATATCCTGGAACTTATTTTGTGAGCTAAAAAAAACAAAAAAACAAAACAAAAAAAAACACACCAGAATGAGAGCTAACTATTCAAAACCCCAGTATTCCAGGTGAGTAGCTTACAGGTTCTTTTTTATTTTTTTGAAAGAGGGTCTCACTCTGTTACCCAGGCTGGGGTACAGTGGTGCAATCACCGTTCACTAGACTCGACCTCCCTGGGCTCAGGTGACCCTCCCACCTCAGCCTCCCAAGTAGCTGGGACTACAGGCACGTGTCATCAACCCAGCTAATTTTTTTATTTTTTGTGGAGACAGGCTTTCACTATGTTGGCCAAGCTGGTCTCAAACTCCTGACTTCAAGTAATCCACCCACCTTGGCCTCCCAAAGTGCTGAGATTACAGGCATGAGCTACCACCCCTGGCCTACAGTTCATCTTGTGCCCTAATCTATATTTCACTCTCTACATGAGCAAAGTGGGAGATCACTGTCATGACCAAAGTTACATGGCCAAGATAAGCTATGGCCTGGGAGTCCCAGATTCTTCTGTGTGGGCACTTTCCTGGGATATGCTAAATGATGGGAAATCTGGGTCTCATGTTTCTGTGTGGTCCTCACCTCAAGCGACTTCTCTTTCTGTTCACTCTGGGCTTCCGTGCTCTCATTAATGTAGTTCTGAGTCTTCCATTGGTCCGTATCCCATTCTATCTCAGATGCCTTTACTTCCTGCTGCCCACTGAGAAGCTTCATCAGGTGGCCTGTCCTGGAGATGAGCTTGGCACAGGTCACTTGCACATGGGCCCCAGAGCAGTCCATCTTCAAGGTCCGGATAACATGAGAAATGAGCCTTCTCACATTGTTGGGGATAAGGGACTGTAGCTGCTGGGTTAGCTGAATTTCAAACTGAGCAATGGGTAATTGAAGCTTTTGGGCTCGGGGGACAGGTCAGTGCCCACGTTGTTGTATTCCCATTTTGTCTCAGTTTGTTTAACAGTTGGCCCTAAGTTGAATGCAGTCCCAGCGGAATCTGCCTCAGGAGGATGATTGTAGTTTGTGTTTTCAGAGATGGTGACTTCTGGCATGTTAGTGTTTTCCATAAAAACATTTTCTTCCAAGGCATTTCTTGCAGTTGTGTCTTTTATATTAGTGGTTTCTATAAAATGTTCTGAAGGAGCAGATACTTCCAGAAAAGGGTTTTCTTGAGGACTCAGGTCTCCTAAGGATGAAAAAGCCCCTTGTGAAGGGGAATTTATGAGGCTCTTCGCTGCAGAGAACGGAGGCCTGTTTGCGAGCATCAGTCTACTCAGATAACTTTTCTTTCTGAACTTTGGACTCTTTTTGACCTTGGGTGTTCTGTGGGTCATGCGGGAGCGAGTTTTGTGAAAGCGGTATTTTTTTCTGGAATGTGAAATTGGTTTAGAAGCCTTCATATTTGTAACTCTAGCCTTTGCACTTTCTAAAATGGAAATAGTGTGTGTGTTGTCTTTCCATCTGTCTCTCACCTGTGGTAGGGCTTTTGCAGGGCTGGAGGTAGAAGGCGCGCCCTTGGAGAAGGGTGTCAGCACAGAGACTGCTGCCTTATGCTCTTGGGTGAACGAAGGCTTGGTGTAGATGGCGTTTCCCGCTAACTTCTCAGGCCCCTGCTGTGTGTGAGGCTGTTCCAGCTCCCTTGGGGCTGGACTCCCGAGCCTTTTTTCTTCGGCAGCGTTCTCCACAGATGCCTGGGCACCCTGTTCCCTCCTGATGCTCTGCCTTCCCACCTCTTTGAAGTGCCTTTTCTGGATGCTCCTTGGGCCCATGAGGACTCTATTCACTTTTTGCTGGTTTTGGCCTACAGTTTGAATCTTTGCCAGGCTGTTTCCTGTGGTTGGCAGTTTAATGAACGGTAGTAACATTGATTCCACATCTAGGTTTACTGCTGAGAAATATGGCAAATGTAACTTAGTGCACTGATAACCTCACTCTCGTCATTGGTGTCTAGCTGCTCACTCCCAAAGCCTGACAAGTTGATGCCACTGCTGTCTGAGGGCTCCTCCGGCTCAACAGTCAGCTCAGTGCTTGTGTAATTCTTCCGGGCTTGTAACGTCTTCATGAATGCTCCTTCTGGATTCCCTACAGATTCTTCTTCAGCTGTCAAAAAAGAGACTGCTTTGCTCATGAAAGATGATGGGATGGGATGCATCAGTCCATAGCTGTACACCCCAGTCACACAGAGTAGGAGTCAGCAAACATTTGAGTGCCATTCAGAGAGGAGACACACACACCCAATCCTAAACCTATGAAATGGCAACAACAAAAGGAGAAAATATATCTTTTGAAAACACGGCCATCTACTTGGAACATTCCATAGTGTGACATAGAGTAACTCTGCTTAGGATTATTTCATTGATCCCCAGGGTCCAATTGCCCAGTGCTCAGTCAAAGCCCAAGGTGGAAGACAAGTGCTTCCCTGATGAGCTGATGAGCTGGCCTCTCTGCAGACTGCTCCATACCCTGTGCTGTCCTGCCTCAGATGCAGAGAGAGCACAAGGCTCCCGCTCTCCTCGTCCTCGGTGCGCCTGTGTTCTTGCTACCATCACAGCTGAATGCAATGAAAGGCGGTCCTCTGAGAGGAGCAGGGTGGAGATGCTAAAGTGGAGGCCCCCTCCCATTGCTGATAGATCCTCATCTGGCATGCGCTCCACCCTCCCCATTCTCTGCTCCCACATATCGTAGCCCCATCACAGAAGATGCGACATGGAAAAAAGCACTGTGTCCACCCTAGTTCTTAAATTTGGGCAGGGATTTGGGGTGTATGTTAAGAGTTTTTCAAATTTGCCAGATTGCATGCCTATGTTGTTAAATACACAGTGAATCTCTGGTATGATAACAGTTTCTGGATAAACATTACTTGAGGTCCTAAAATGCAGAAGGGAAAAAGCAACTTTTGTCAGATGCCTACTTTGCTTTCATTTCATCTCTAATATTTTGGATGGGGAATCAGCCAAAGCTTCTGACTGCATGAAGGTCAAGTGTGCCAGTGTGCAGCTGGGTTTCTTTTCCAGAATTAAAAGTATTTTGGGTGGTGGTGAGGGTCAGAGGAAGAAGTAAAGATTGTGAGAAAGTGGAAGAAGCATGGGCTTGGGGAGAACCCAGAATTGGGGCCAGAAGACCTGGCACTAGGCTACAGCACTTAGCACCTCTGATCTTGTTTTTCTTCATCTGTAAAAGGAGGTTAACAAAGCTTTTCTGCCCACTTCTTGGGGAGAAGGGAATAATATAATTGGTAAAAAAAAAAAAAAAAAGTTTTGAAAAATAAGCAACACTGACTTTATGTAACCAAGCATTATTAATTCTCCACCCCATATCACTGGTAGATACCTGTATTCAAGCTATCTGGACATGAAAGTAGTCACATTTTAGAAGTCATGAAGTTGATGCTAATAAACCTAATCTACAGAAACACTCTTGAAAGCCCTTGAGCATTTGTTCTGTGAACAGAAAGGTTTGAGATTCAGAGCAAGTTCAGAGTTGGATGGTCTAAGAATGGAAAAGCCCTCCATTCTATTAGAAGAGCCAGGTAGCAATTTCTGGTTATGGAACCAGAAGCTCTCAGGCTTCAAATAAAACAGCATCACTTGTACTCTTATAAAACTGTAAAAACAGAAAAACCGAAACCGTATCTACATCTGTCCTATAAGGCAGAGAGTACTTGAGACCTCATGAATTTAAAACCACCTTACAAACTACTTTGCACTATATGAAGAAATTATCACTGTGGGCAAAGCATCAAGCAGAGAGCACAGTACACAGTGTGTGGATGTTAATGTTATTCTCTAGCCTTCCCATTCCTTTGTCTTGGTCCTTTGTGCATATGGAACAGTTCTATTATTAAATTTTGTAATAGTAACTGAGAACCTGACTCTCAGCAAGGGAGTAGTTCAGAAATTGAGGGAGTTTAACTCTGAATGAGTAAATAAAAATAAAGCAATTATGTCATTAGCTTAAAATTTTATCATCATTAAAAATAAAAAGTTTAAAAACAAATACTTAATGTAACAATTTATCACCGCGCAATTTGGACTCACGACAATGTATGGTGTTTGTCAGACATGCACTGTTGCAATGCAGCTTGACTGTCTTGCAGACAGCCTCAATGCTGTTTTTAAGTTGGCAGAGGCAGCAGGCCATATGGCTAGGTAAGATCCTATAGATGAAAACAGAGAGCAATAAATTAGCGGTAAAGCGGTTACTTGAGTAGGTAAAGGAGGCAGCCAACGCTGCCACAGGTGTGGGAAAAAGGTGTCATTGAAGCCTATGGACTGGACAGTTGGGTAGGAACCAGAAGGCCAATAGGAAGGAGGGCAAAGGTGCCCAACTGAAGGGTAAGCATGGCAGTGAGTATGGTATGCCTAGAATAAAGATGGTTGGGATTAGAATTGGGTGACAGTGATTAGTAGTTTAATTCAGAAGTATCTCTTCCCAACTCAAAAGTCTCACTTTGGGCTGAAAGTACAGAGGAAGAAGGTAGACTTTTAAGAAGTCTGAATAAGCCCCCAACTTCTGGAGTCCCTTTCTCAATTCCTGTTGGGAGTGGGAAATATTATAAATTACTCTGGGCATTAAAAATAGCTTAGTTTAACCTCGATTGTGGAGTTAAAAAATAACAAAGATTGCATTGGTCAAATCTGGACAATTTGAGCATTCAAAAGAATAACAACAATAAGTTACAACATATTTAATATAAAGAAGAATCCACGAAGAGTGATATAGAAAAAGAAAGAGGGGGAGTTCTTCTTCAATGAAATAATGCCAGCTAGTAAATGTAGAAGGAATGACAGAATTTTTAAAATTGTCACTTTGCAACCATCAGTGTAATACAAATTCATTCAGACAAGGATTATCACTGATGCACATTTGGGTGAAAAGACATTTGAGAACAGGATCTTCACTGAACTCAAAGTAACAACCCACAGATTATTTATTAATTACCAAGCGGAAAATTATTATTTTTTATTTTTATTTTGTCACCCAGGCTGAAATACAGTGGCAAAATTATACCTCATTGCAGCCTCAACCCCCCTGGGCTCAAGGGATCCTCCAAATTCAGTCCCCCGAGTAGCTGGGAGTATAGGCTTGCACCACCATGCCCAGCTAATTTTTTTTTTTTTTGTACTTTTGTATTTTCAGTAGTGACAGGGTTTCCCCATGTTGCTCAGGCTGGTGTAGAACTCCTGGGCTCAAGCAATCCTCCCACCTCAGCCTTCCAAAGTGCTGGGATTACAAGTGGGAGCCACTGTACCCAGCAAAATAATTACAATGGAGAGATCTGGAAGTTCACCTTGGTCAAGTGATCAAACTTAGTATTACAGGCCATCTGCAGTTACGAGGCAGGAAGGATACATCACCTATGCAGTATTTTTCCCAAAAATGCTTAACTTGAATTTCGTCATGAGGAAACAGACAAATCCGGGTTGTGGGACAATTTACAAGACAACTATCTTTGACTCTTAAAAAATGCCAATGTCATGAAAGATCAAAGAAAGTAGAAGCATGTTTTAGATTAAAGGAAATGAAGACATGACATGCAGTGCCTGATCTTTGATTAGATTCTGTACTATTCTTTCATCTTTCTGGCTTGTTTGAATTTTTTTCAATACGTAAATTTGGGCAAAAGAGGTAACCGAGACAATTGATTAATTTATTGTTGTGGCTTATTGGGGGCACTTTCAGAGAGATAAAAACAATCCCTGTAACTGAAGTAAAAGGTTAATCTTAGGCAGTATAGCATGGTCATTAAGAATACAGATTCCATAGCCAGACTATGCTTCAATCTCAGCTCTGCTAATAATGTGAATTTGGGCAAATTGTTAAATCTCTGTTCCTTGGCCTTGTCATTATAATAGTACCTACCTCTAATGAATTTTGAGGATCAAATGAATCAATACCTGAAAAATGCCTGGTGCACAGTGAGTGCTCAATAAGAGTTAACTATAATTATTATGTTGCAGAGGTTGTGGGGGGCCTTTTCTGAGTCCTCCAAAAGGATGGCTTTATTGGGGCCACATTGAGACTGTGAAAACAGAAGAGGGTTTCATGGATACAAGAAGTCTATGAATTGGGAGTACAATGTATAGAGTTTTAGATTAAAACTGCATCCAATGAGTTGGCCTGACACATCTTTCAAACCTATAGAGGAACAATCACAAGTGACTAGTATTATTCCTTTGGGTCCAGTGGAAGCCTCTGATCTTCATATGGAATGGACCCGGAACCGTAACCCAGCATTTTGTTATATAGCAGCCTTACCTCTGCCACAAAGGTGTTTCTTTTGTTTATTTTGAGGCCAGGTCTCGCTCTGTTATACAGGCTGAGTGCAGTGGTGCAATCTTGGCTCACTGCAGCCTCTGCCTCCTGTGCTCAAGTGATCCTCCCACCTCAGCCTCATGAGTAGCTAGAACTACAGGTGTGTGCCACCACGCCTGGCTAATTTTTATATATTTTGTAGAAATGGGGTTTCACCATGTTGTCCAGGCTGGTCTCGAACTCCTGGGCTCAAGCCACCCTCTCTCTTTGGCCTCCCAAAGTGCTGGGATTACAGGCTTGAGCCCAAAATTTTTGGTATTCTTTTTCTGCCCCCAAGTTTTTATTTTAAACATTTTCTTTTTTTCCTTTAAGCCTTAGAATGGCTGGGAAACATTTTCAAATGGTATAATGAACACCTGTATAACTTTCATCTGGAATCAGTAGTTGCTAATACTTTGCCACATTTGCTTTCCGTGTGTGTATGTCTATACATTTTCTGGACAAAACCATTTGAGAGTCAGTTGCAGACATAATGACCCTTCACCATTGAAGACTTCAGTGTGCAGCCCCTAAGAACCAAGGCATTCTCCGACATAACCAGAGGACTATCATCACCCAATGGAACTTCATATTATCATTGTCTACTATGTGGTCCATATACACATTTTCACAATTGTCCCAATCATAACATGGCTTAAAAAATTGAGAATCCAATCAAACATCAGACATTACACTTAGTACATGATTCTTTAGTCTCCTTCAATCTAGAACTGTTACCAGGATTGTTTTAAAGTATACTGACAAACCTTTGAGACTACAAGGAAAAAAAAAGTGGATAGCAAAGAAAAAATATGCCACAGAACTTTTCAGGTCAAAAACCCTAAAAGTGACTATGTTGGTAGGAAGCCCTGACTGTGGAGGAAACACTATTTCTAGCATCCTCCATAATTCAATTTGCTCATCATAATTCGTTGTTCATCTATTTTTTTTTTTTTTTTTTTGAGATGGAGTCTCACTCTTGTTGCCCAGGCTGGAGTGCAATGGCTTGATCTTGGCTGACTGCAACCTCAGCCTCCCAGGTTCAAGTGATTCTCCTGTTCTGCCTCAGCCTTCCGAGTAGCTGGGATTACAGGCACCCACCACCATGCCCAGCTAATTTTTGTATTTTTAGTAGAGACGGGGTTTTACCATGTTGGCCAGGCTGGTTTTGAACTCCTGACCTCAGGTGATCTACCTGCCTCAGCCTCCCAAACTGATAGGATTACCAGCTTGAGCCACTGGGCTGGATGCTTGTCTTTTATCTTTATAAAGTTTTTAAAATTCATGGCTTAATTTGCACAGTTAAAAAAAATAGGACCAATTCTTTTGCTTTATAGCCAAAGAAGAAGGAATAAATCTAAGAGGAGGAACTGGTCAAAACCATACTCCCACTTGTCTTCTTGTATGACATCACAGCCTTTCTTACATTGCATGTAATCACCTGTCCACTTGTCAGGCTCCTGGACTATGAGCGCTTTGAGGGCAGAGACCACATTTTTTTTTTTTCCTGAGATGGAGTCTCACTCTGTCGCCCGGGCTGGAGTGCAGTGGCGCAATCTTGGCTCACTGCAATCTCCGCCTCCCGGGTTCAAGCAATTCTCCTGCCTTAGCCTCCCGAGTAGCTGGGATTACAGGTGCCCGCCACCATGCCCTGTCATCCCCGTGCCTGGCATGATGTCTGAAATGTATTAGGCATTTAACAAATGTTTATTGAATAAACAAATGACATTTTGTTTATATGTCAATAAAATGAATAAATTGATTTTGATGCAAATTTTTATTCCAAAATGCTGGAATCGATTTTCTTTTTAATTCTTTAAGGTGAACAAGAAAAATAAAAGAAACAGGAAGAAATAAAAGAAAATCTGCCTTTAGGTTGACCCAAGAATCATCTTTGTACTTAGGCAGAAATTATAAAAATAATAATTATTACAGTGAGTATCTACTGGGTTGCCAGGTATTTGTGATCAGCAAATACCTTATGTGGTAGATATTATTATTGCCCTATTTTTAAATGAGGAAACTGAGGCACAGAGAGGTTATATAACTTGTCCTGGGTCACCAAGCTATTAAGCAGCAAAGCTGTAATTTGAACTCATGTGTTTATATATGAAGAAAAAGGGTTTATTTTAACCTTAGGTTTTTAAAAAATTTTTATTTTCGTTCTTCATTCTTTTTCTTTCTCTCTCTTTTTCCTTCCTTCCTTCCCTCCCCCTTCCTTCTTTCTATTTTCTTTCCTTTCCTTTCTTTCCTTTCTCCTCTCCTGTCCACTCCCCTCCCCTCCCCACCCAAACAGGGTCTTGCTCCATTGACCAGGCTGGAGTGCAGTGGCGTGATCTTGGCTCACTGCAACCTCCTCTTCCCAAGCTCAGGTAACCCTCCTTCCTCAGTCTCCCAAATTGCTGGGACTATAGGCACGCACCACCACGCCTGGCTATTTTTTGTGTTTTTAGTAGAGATGGGAGTTTCGCCATGTTTGCCAGGCTGGTCTTGAACTCCTGATCTCAAGTGATCCACCTGCCTTGGCCTCCCAAAGTGCTGGTGTGAGCCACTGGGCCCAGCCTTAATATTGAGAAGACTAAATACAGAAGTGCCTTTCAACCTTCTTCTACTCCTCTGGGAGGACCTCTATGAGAATTACAATTTCTCATTAGCAGGGCATGGCAGCGCTTGCCTGTAATTCCAGCTGTTTCAGAGGCTGAGGCAGGAGAATTGCTTGAACCCGGGAGGTGGAGGTTGCAGTGAGCCAAGATCAAGCCACTGTACTCCAGCCTGGGCGATAGAGCAAAAAAAAGTGGATTACAGTTTCTCTTTTTATGTCTTTCCCCTAATCATTTCCCATGATTAAATAGTTAATTAGTCTGTGGTCGATGAGACTTCTTTTTTTAAGAGACACATTCTCACTCACTGTGTTGCCCAGGCTGGAGAGCAGTGGCTATTCACAGCCATGATCCCACTAGTGATCAGCATGGGAGTTTTGACCTGCTCTATTCCTGAACTGGGCTGGGACACCCCTTTTTAGGCAACCTGGTGGTCTCCTTTTCCCGGGAGGTCACCATACTGATGCTGAACTTAGTGCGGACACCCAATCAGCATAGCATGCTACAGCCCAGAATTCCTGGACTCGAAGGATCCTTCTTCCTTTGCCTCCCGAGTATCTGGGACTACAGGCATGTGCCCAGTGAGCCTTCAGAGATTTAAAACCATGTTGTAAGTGACATCAGTGAAAATGGTGGAATAAAGACATCGAGGCTGGGCGCAGTGGCTCACGCCTGTAATCCCAGCACTTTGGGAGGCTGAGGCAGGTGGATCACGAGGTCAGGGGATCGAGACCATCCTGGCTAACAAGGCGAAACCCCGTCTGTACTAAATATACAAAAATTAGCTGGGCGTGGTGGCAGGCGCCTGTAGTCCCAGCCACTCGGGAGGCTGAGGCAGGAGAATTGTGTGAACCCAGGAGGTGGAGCTTGCAGTGAGACGAGATTGCGCCACTGCACACTCCAGCCTGGGCAACAGAGTGAGACTCTGTCTCAAAAAAAAAAAAAAAAAAAAAAAGAGACATCCAAAAATTCATCCCTTCATAAAAGCAACAAACACCAAGAAAAGGGCAAAAAAAAAAATTGACCATAATAAACTTTTTCAGAACTCTAGAAATGTAACCAAAGTCTTGCAGCAACCCGAGGAGCATTTATTCAAGAAAAATTTCTGTAAGAACAGTGAGATTTGTGTTAACTTGCCTTAGACCATTCCTCACTCTCTAGCTCAGTAGTTGCCTTGAAAAACAGCCCACATCCCCAAGCAGAGGGAGCAGAATGGAGCTGGAGCTCCTTCAAAGCCTTATTCTCAGTTAACTGTCATGATGTCATCTGTCTGGTGGTTCCCTGGAAGACCTCATTTGAAAGGTTTGTCTTTATTTGACCAGAATGAAAGCTGTCTAGTGCTAAAGCCTCTCCACAGAGGGTGTTTTTGGAAAACAATTACAGACAAGTGTTTTAACATGGCAACTGTATTCGGCAATGAATAACAGTTTGGGGAAAAAAAGCCTAATCGAAAAGCTTAATAGGAAAAGCTGAGTAATAAGATGTCCACAGGAATTTTGAAACACTCTGATATATGCTTGGGAAACTAGAAGTCCATAAGACATATTCCTGGCAATTTGCAATGTCATGCGCATGCATAGGGCAGGCTGCCAGCATGGTCAGGAAAGACCTACTAAGTTCATAAACTCTCACCCCTGGCTGATCTTGAGGTTCTGCACAAGCAAGAAGTGAAAGCTAAGGCATGGCTGTAAATTGTCTAGCTGAGTGCTGAAGGTATGCCCCAACATGTACACAGAGCCCCTTGGCAAAAACTAGGAGACTTATCAGTTCCAAGAATTTAAGTAAATCTTCATTTAATCATTAGCTGATCGGTAAGCTAACCAAGGAGATACTTTAGTGGCAACACATGACATATAATGCGAGACTTTACAGAAGAAGTTCAGAAAAGTCACTAAATAAATAGCAACTACTAACACAAGCAGCAGTAACACCAAACCCTGGCAGCATGGATCTGATTTTCAGAATTGCTACATTATGTTATTTAAAATATTCAACTTTTAACAAACATTTATGAAAGATGCAAGGAAACAAAGTATGGCCCAAACACTTGGTGGGGGGAGAAATAAGCAGAAATTGTCCCTGAGAAAGACCAGATATTAGACTTACTAGACAAAGATTTTTTTATTTTTTATAGTTGGGGTCTTGCGAAGTTACCCAGGGTGGTCTTGAACTCCTGGCCTCAGCCTCAACCTCAGCCTCAGCCTCCCAAAGTGCTGGGATTATAGGCATGAGCCACCATGCCTGGCCTAGAGAAGGATTTAATTCAGCTATTTAAAATATATTCAAAGAGATAAGAGAAATGATTCAGTTCTGTAGACTAGAGAACTAAAGGAAAGTATGAAAGCAATGTCTCATCAAATAGAGAATATCAATAAAGAGATAGAAACCATAAAAAGGAGCCAAATAGAAATTCTAGAGTTGAAAAGTATGGTAACTGAAATGGAAAAATTATTAGAGGTTCTCAATGGCACATTACAGCAGGCCGAAGAAAGAATGGGGAACTTGAAGGTTAATTGAGATTGTTGACCCTGAGGAACAGAAATAAAAATGAATGAAAGTGAATGGAATCTCAGAGACCTGTTTGTGGAACACATCATCAAGCTTACTAACATACACATAATGAGAGTCCCAGGAGAAGAAAAACAGAAAAAAGGAGAAAGAATATTTGAAGAAATAATGGCCCCAAACTTCCCAAACATGATGAAAAACAATCTGCATATTCAAGAAGCTCAAGGAACTACAAGTAGGAAAAACTGAGGGATCCACATCTAAACATACTGTAATCAAACTGACAGAAGCCAAAGACAGAATATCTTGAAAGCAGCAAGAGAAAAGCAACTCATCACATACAAGGGATCCTCAATAAGATTAATAGCTGATTTCTCTTCAAAAACAATGGAGATGCT
This sequence comes from Homo sapiens, assembly GCF_000001405.40. Classification (NCBI taxonomy): domain Eukaryota; kingdom Metazoa; phylum Chordata; class Mammalia; order Primates; family Hominidae; genus Homo; species Homo sapiens. The sequence goes on along the minus strand of NC_000017.11, from coordinate 47,039,501 downwards.
GGGCATGGTTGCTCACACCTGTACTCCCAGTGCCTTGGGAGGCTTGAGGCTCAAGAATTGCTTGAAGCCAGGAGTTGGATACCAGCACTGGCAATAGAGTAAAACCCTGTCTCTACAAAAAATTTAAAAATAACTGGGCATGGTGGTGCATGCCTGCAGTCTCAGCTACCCAGGAGGCTGAGGTGACAGCATTGCTTAAGCCTGGGAAGTGGAGGCTGCAACGATGTGAGTGGTTGCACCACTGCACTCCAGCCTGGGTAACAGAGCAAGTCCCTGTCTAAAAACAAAGCAACCACACACAACAGTGGAGGACAAAAGGCAATGAAATGGCATATTCAAAGTGCTGAAGAAACTGTCAACCAATAATTCTATACCTGTCAAAACTACCTTTGAAATTGAAGAGAAATTAAGATATTCTAGATAAATAAAAACTGAGAGACTTTGTTGCTAGAAGACCTGCCCTATAAGGAGTACTAATGTGAATCTGCACAAAGAAATAAAAAGCACTGGTTGGGCGCAGTGGCTCAGGCCTGTAATCCCAGCACTTTGGGAGGCTGAGGCTGGAGGATCACTTGAGGTCAAGAGGTTGAGACCAGCCTGGCAAACATGGTGAAACCCTGTCTCTACTAAAAATACAAAAATTAGCTGGGTGTGGTGTTACGTGCCTGCAGTCCCAGCTACTCAGGAGGCTGAGGCACTAGAATCGCTTGAACCTGGGAGGCAGAGGTTGCGGCGAGTAAAGATTGTGCCACTGCACTCTAGCCTGGGCAACAGAGTGAGACTCTGTCCCAAAACAAAAAAAAATAAGAAAAAGATACTTACATAATGCAATAATTATAAATCTAGTTGATGAACATAAAGTATATAAAGATGTAATGTGTGACAATAACAGTATAAAGGAGGGGGTGAGAGTGGAGCTTTAGAGAAGCGAAGTTTTTGTATACCATTGAAACAAAGTTGGAATTAATCTGAACTACAACGTTATAAAATTAAGATGTAGCTGAGACGACAGGTGCGCACCACCACACTCGGATAACTAAAAAAAATTTTTAGAGATAGGGTCTCACTATGTTGCCCAGGCTGGTCTCAAACTCCTGGCCTCAAGCAATCCTCCTTCCTTGGCCTCCCAAAGTACAGGGATTATAGGTATGCACCACTGCATCTGGCCACAAACATTTTGTTTTTTTACTGTTCATTTTTCAAGACAGGTTTTCACTCTGTTTCCCAGGCTGGAGTGCAGTGGCACAATCATGGCTCACTGCAGCCCTGATCTCCTCAAGTGATCCTCCTGCCTTAGCCACCAGAGTAGCTGTGACTACAGGCGTGTGCCACCATGTTCAGCTAACTTTTAATTTTTTTTTGTAGAGATAAGGTCTCAGTATGTTGCCCTGGCTGGCCTCGAACTCCTGGGGTCAAGCAATCCTCCCACCGCAGCCTCCCAAAGTGCTAGGATGACAGGTGTGAGCCACTGCACTGCACAAATACAGAAGACCAAATTATTAAAATTAGAAATGAGAGGGGACATTACTATTGTTCTTAGAGACATAAAGGATTATAATATGATGAAAAGGATTATACATATAAACAATATATGCTAATAATTGGATAAGCTGGATGAAAGACACATTACCAGAAAGATATGAACTACTGAATCTGACTTGAGAAAAAAACAGAAAATCTGAATAGACAGACCTATGTCAAGTAAAGAGATTGAGGTAGTAATCAAAAAACTTTCCACTAAGAAAAGCTGAAGACCAGCAGGCAGCCTCACTGGTGAATCTACCAAATACTTACAGAAGAATTAACACCAATCCTTCATAAAGTCTTTCAAAATACAGATGAGGAGAGAACATTTCCTAACTTATTCTATGAGGGTGATATTAACCTGGTATCCAAACTAAAGACATCACACACAAAAAATTACAGACCAGTATTTCTTATGAATGTAGATGGAAAAATGCTTGACAAAATCTGGCAAACCAAATTCAACAGAGTATTCTGTAAACATGAAGCAGATAATAATAGCACGATTCTCCAAATTGATCTATGGTTTCACTACAATTGTTGTTTTTTTGAGTGAAAAAGTTTTCATTTATTGGCCGGGCACGGTAACTCATGCCTGTAATCCCAGCACTTTGGGAGGCTGAAGCAGGTGGATCATCTGAGGTTAGGAGTTCGAGAGCAGCCTGATAAACGTGCTGAAACCCCGTCTCCATTGGAGTCTCACTCTGTTGCCCAGGCTTGAGTGCAATGGCGTGACCTCGGCTTACTGCAACCTCCACCTCCTGGGTTCAAGTGATTCTCCTACCTCAGCCTCCTGAGTAGCTGGGATTACAGGTGCCTGCCACCACCCCCTGCTAATTTTTGTACTTTTAGTAGACACGGGGTTTCACCATGTTGTCCAGGCTGGTCTCTAACTCCTGACCTCAGGCAATCCACCTGCCTCAGCCTCCCAAAGTGCTGGGATTACAGGTGTGAGCCACTGCGCCCTGCTAACATATCCTCTTTCTAAAAAGCTACATATATTGCAAAGTATTGGAATAGGAATAACATAGCAGTTAGGTTGGGCATTTGGGTTGATTACATATCTTTGCTATTATCAGTACAATTCTTATCAAAATCCCAGCTGGCTTCTTTCCAGAAAGTGACAAGCTAGTTCTAAAATTATAATGCAATTTAAGGCACCCTAAATAGGAAAATAATCTTGTAAAATAACAAAGTGGGAAGACTCAAATGTCCCAATTTCAAAACCCAAATCAAATCTACAGCAATCACAGTGTGATACTGGAATGTGGACAGACAAATAAATCAATAGAATAGAATTGACAACCCAGAAATAAACCCTCACATTTATGGAAAATTGATTTTTGACAAGGGTGCTACAACAATTCTACGTGGAAATAATGTTTTTTTTTTTAAATGGTGCTGGAACAACTGAACATCTATGTGCAACATAATGAAGGTGGACCCCCTACATCTCACACAATTATAAGAATTGATGCAAAATATGTCAAATACCTAAATGTAAGAGCCAAAATGATAAGACTCTTAGACAAACACATGGGAGTAAATCTCATGACCTTAAATTAGACAACAGTTTTTTCTTCTCCAAACTGGATTTTTTTTCTTTTAAAACAATTTTGTCTTTTGAATTTAATGAAGTATTACTAGCTGAAGGCAGCCTGACATGGTGACAAGAATGTCAGACAGATGAAAGGGACACAGCCTGATTTAAAACCAAACACTGAACCTTTTTAAAGAAGAGTAAGACATTTTATACACACACATGACACCAAAAGCACAAACAACCAAAGGAAAAATAGATACATTAGATTTTATCAAAATTAAAAACTTTTGTGCATCAAAGGACACTGGCAAGAAAGTCACAGAACTCACAGGATGAGAGAAAATATTGGCAAATTATCTGTTAAGGTCTAATATCCAGAGTATCCAGAAGATATAGAGAATTCCTATAATTCAATAAAAAGACAAATCAATTTTTTAAATGGGCAGAGGCAGAGGATTTGAATAAATATTTCTTCAAAGAAGATATATAAATGGCTCATATACACATAAAAATGTTGAATGTCTTAAATCATTAGGGAAATGTCCATCAAAAACTGCAGCGAGATACTACTTTACACTCACTGGGATGGCTATGAGAAGAGACAGACAACGACAGTGTTGACAAAGACCCGGGGAAATTGAAACCCTCAAACACTGCAGATGGAAGTGTAAAATGGAGCAGCCACTGTGGAAATCAGCCTGACAGGTCCTCAAAAAGTTAAACATAAGAGTTGCCATATGATCTAGCAATTCTGCTAGGGATGCACCCTAGAATTAAAAACATGTCCACACAAAAAGTAGTACATGCATGTCCATAGCAGCATTATTCATAAAAGCCAAAATAAAGTAGAAACAACCAAATGTCCACTAAGTGATGAATGGATGAACGGATATAGTGATGGCTCCATACAATGGAATATCACTCAGCCTTGCAAAGGAATGATCCATGCTGCAGCATGGGAGGACCTTAGAAACAACATGCTTCGTGAAAAGAAACTAGACACAAAAGGCCACATACTGTATGATTCGTTTATATGAAAGATCTAGAATAGGCAAATCCATAGGGACTCAAAGTAGATTAGTAGTTACCTGGGCCTGAGGGAAGACAGCACTGGGGAGTGATGGCTAATGGGTACCATGTTTTTTTGGGGGATGATGAAAATGTTCTGGGGTTAGATAATGGTGATTGTTTGCTATACAACCTTGAGAATATACTAACCACCACTGAATTGTACACTTTATAATACTGCGTTGATGGTATGTGGATCAAGTCTCAATTTAACACAAAGAAGCATGTTGTGCTGTATAGAACACCAGGTGCCAGAAGACCAAACATGCTGGCAGATGGAAAGAAGAGGAGTGAAGATTCACTCTCCCTTGACCAAGATCAGAGTGAGTCAGTGGCGAGGCTGGGAGCCACACAGCTTGTCCTGCCTTGTGATCCCCCTCCTCTTCCTATTCCAGATGGTTTTTCAGTGCCATTAACTTGTTTTGTAACACTAATATTCAATAAGATGATGTTACAAAGAGAAAGAATGTGAGTGCCACATGACTGGTTAAGTATGGATTCTCAAACTAGGGCTTTAAATATCCTTCGTGATTTTTTTTTGGCATGAAAAGTTGTAAGACCACTGGTGGGCTCTGTACAAAGTCGGCTACCTCTTCATTCTATATCTTCCTCTGCCCACTTTCCTCCCAGCTATTAAAAATGAATGTAGGCTGGGCACAGCATCTCAAGCCTGTAATCTCAGCACTTTGGGAGGCCAAAGCAGAAGGAGAGCTTGAGCCCAGGAGTTTGAGACCAGCCTGGGTAACAAAGTGAGACCCTGTTTCTATTTTTTTCTAAACACCAAAAATAATGACTGTAAGGCAGTATGTAGCCAAACAACTTAGCAAAGTTTGTTATCTTTCCTCCAAAATTCTCTCACTCTCCAACCTTCCCTCTTTCTTGATAGCTCATCCATAGCCTTGAGCTCAGCATTACCTCTGAACTAGGAAGCTCTTCTCCAGCTGACATTAGGATCTTTGCATTTGTCCCTAATGAAATCAAAATGTAGGGCCATTCGATATTATCCTCTTTTCCTCCTGTTCTAAGGCATTCTTTTCTTGACTAAGGTTGTGCCTGGGCCATGGAGAGACTGAGTGGGAACTGGCTCAATGGCTCAAGTTTGAGGACTCTACAGCAACTCTTTTCCACAAACCAAATGATATGAATGTTTTTATTTATTTATATTTATGTTTCCACTTTTTAAAAGTCTTTTTGTAGAGATTGGGGTCTCACTTTGTAGCCCAGGCTGATCTTGAACTCCAGGGGCTCAAGCGATCTGCCTGTCTTGGCCTCCTAAAGTGCTGGGATTACAGGCATGAGCCAGTGTGCCCAGCCTTGAGTGTTTTTAGATTCACAGTAGATGATCATTTCCATTTCTGGTTCAAGTCCTTCATTTTATACATTAAACTAAGGTGCACTGACTCCCAGTCCATCGCCTTTTTGGTATCTTTATGGGAGTAAAATGTGGCAAGCTTTTTTCCAGCCTCAAAGACTGTCTCAGAGTAAAAGTTTAAGAAGTACTGCTCTAAATAATTTTATTAAATATGCCTTATTAGATGAGGAAAACTGAAATATTTTTATACAAGCCTTTTGCTGTAGAACAATGGGACAGAATAAAGGTAGCTCACAAAATAAGGGAACATTTCTTGCCTGTTCTTTTTTTTCCCTCCAAATTCTTCTGTACAGGTCCAGATAGATGGGCTATGTTTCCTTTCTATTAACTGAGGAGAGAGAGATGAAAGGACTGGAGCATGTCATCACTGTCTTAAATGTACTGAAATTCTAACAGCTCTAGCTGAAAAAATGTCCAAAGCAGGCCGTGAAAATAAATTTAAATGACAAACTCCAAAATGATCTATGCTAGAATCCCAAGGCTGTCAGGGAAAACTGGTTCCATGGAAGAAGGTAGTCAAAGAAATAAGCAGATCAGATGACCTAGACCCTCACCCAATATGCGCGATGTACTTGGGGAGAAAGTAACCTCTTTCCTTTATTCACCTACATAGGTTCGTGAGCCACACATCTCCCCACACCAAGCTCCTCCATACAAGACCTCGGACTGCATCACGTAAATGCTTTTTCAGGGGCAAAATCTAGAGAATCTGAAACGGTGAGCCTTTTTTCTTTTCTTTCTTTCTTTTTTTTTTTTTTTTTTTTTTTTTTTTTGAGATGAAGTCTCACTCTGTTGCCCAGGCTGGAGTGCAGTGCAGTGGTGTGATCTTGGCTCACTGCAAACTCCACCTCCTGGAGTCAAGTGATTCTCCTGCCTCAGCCTTCAGAGTAGCTGGGATCATAGGTACCCGTCCCCATGCCTGGTTAATTTTTGTATTTTTAGTAGAGACAGGGTTTCACCATGTTGGCCAGGCTGGTCTCGAAATTCTGAGCTCAAGTGATGCACCCACCTTGGCCTCCCAAAGTGCTGGGATTACAGCATGAGCCACCATGCCCAGCTGTGAGCCTGTATCTTAATCAAAGTCCTGAGAATAACCTTGAAGAAGACTCCCTTGCAATGAGGAACAACAGAAGAAGCAAGGGACCTGGAATCTGGCAGACCTGGGTTTGAATTCTGGCTCTGTCACTTTCTGGTGAAGTGACTTGAGTAATGAACATGAGCCTTTCTGGGTAGCATTTACAGCACAAAGCAATTTGAGGAATAAATGAAAGAGCACGTGTCTAGTGCCTAGCAATGCGCTGGACACAGTGCCGGTGCTCAGCCATCATGTCACACCAGCACTGACCGGTGAGCATAAACCCTGGGGATGCCCAGAGCTGGTACAGCCAGGAGCTCCAGAAGCGTGGGATTCTCAGAGGGAAGTGGAGCTCACTGCTCTACAGGTCCTGTTCAAGTTAGAAAGTAAGATACAATGCACACAAAGCCAAATTGTCATCATTCAGCTCCTATTACAGGAGAACTAAGAGCTGCATTGAAAATTACTTGCAAAGCTTGTAAGTGGTTCTGCCACTTATTAGCCGTGTGAACCTTAGCAAATTACCTAGCGTCTCTGAGTTTCAACTTCCTCATCTGCAAAATAGAAATGATAATAATAACCGCATCGCAAGAGTTGTTGGAAAAATGAAAATGAGGTATCATAGGAGGTAACATGTATGGAGCATTTACCATAGGCCAAGCACTGTTCTAAGAACTTCGGACATGTTATCTCACTTGTATAAGTACTTAGGTGCCTACAACATAAACAGCACCTGGTAAATTAAGTATTGAAAAAATGCTATGGGGCAGAGGAAGAAATGCTAAGCTTCTGTGAGAAGAGAAGACAGCTTGTTACACAGGTGAAAAGAACAAGCTGCAGCTGAGAGAAGAAAAGTATAAGAGTTGCTAGGTGTGACAATCTCAAGACTTTTCAACCACTACAAATTTAAACAGCCACCCTAAATCACCCCAAAGGACAGACTCGAGTTGTTCTTTTTGTCTTTAATGTTTGCGCCTCTCCGAATCAGAGAAGAAGCTGCCAGGATTCCAGTACATACCAAAACATGATGACAATACCCTCAACTGTGCAAGCTTTTGTGCATCTACCGCTATGTAAAGGAAGCTGATGTCAGTAGACTGGGGGGAACAGTAAGGCATGTTTGTGACCGAAGCTCAATTTGCCATCACAGTGTGGCCACACCTACCTCACTAATATTCTAATAGTGGGATAAATAATTCAATAGGGATAAAGCCTGGATTTTCCTCTTATTCTCTCTTAGTGCTTACATTCTTGGCATGATATCGATGTGCCATAGACAAGCCAATATATGAGTGTACTCTATCTGAATAAAGTATAGCCTTTCTACATTGCAAAGTCATCCAGTTTCTAAAATTATTGTTAGAACCAATGAAGTGACTAAGAGAATTTTAAAAAATAAGCCATCAGTCTGGACCTGTGTATAGGAATGAAGGAGAAGCACTTTAAAGTCAGGGAAAAAATATAAACATACTTAACATTTAGGATTATCAACCATTGCTGCTTTTCCATAAACCATTTCATTCATGATTTCATCTGTAAGAGATATGATTATTGCCCCCATTCAGTGAGGGACTTTGATAGTTAGCCACCTGGTCCTTCTTGCTTGGATGCCCTGCAAATAAATGTCCTCCTTTCCCCAATGCAAAACCTCGATATGGTTGTTTGACTTTACTGCGCTTGGGCCAGCAGAATCCAGTTAAGTCCACGAATAAGCTCTTGGCCTGTCTTTGAGATGGATTTCAGATTCAAAATAGACTGACCCTATCACCCTGCTAATTTGGCCAGTCAGTATTTGTCAATAACATAGAGGCTTCATTCAAGAGATTTACTGGGTTGTAACTATTGGAACCCAGGGATGATTTCAGGATTTTGTGGGGCCTGAGCCTTATCTTGTAAAAACATTAAAAAAATTATGACTACAAAAATTTCCAGGGGCCCTCCCAGGACCTTGGAAGGGCCTGTGCAAGTGAGAAGCCTGGAAGGTTAGGCTCTATTCAATTCATCATCGATCAACCACAGCTGGGGCCTCTTTTTTTGTTTGTTTTTTACAAACTTGTGTAATGCAGGGAAATATATTGTTTCAACTTACAAACACCACAAAATGGTGTCATATTGGTCATAAAATTACTGGCACCTTCCCTTGGCATCTTGCCTTTGGAAGGAAATGCAGTGGGCCTATATGTCACATATGCCAAATATGACTGCAGTGTAGCTTTGTTTACCAGGAAGATTTGACTCCAAAGGAGCCCAGCCCCTAACATACACTTGGTGTGTTGAGACCCTTGTGCCAATCTTTGAAAGTAACTGTGACTTAGTTTGAAGGGTACAGCTCTATTCTGTTTATATGAAATGAGTGCTAGTTTCCAATATCAGCTAGCTCTGATTTTTTCATCACCATGAAGCAAATGCCTTTTTCTGTTGTTTAAGATGAACACAGAAACTCAAGATAAGCAAGTTAGTGTCTCTCAAGTCTTTCTTAACCCAGCCCCCATTCCTGCTTTGTCCTCTCCTTGTCACCCTGCCGTACAGATCCCCACATGGCTCTCATATGTTTTCCCATCAGCATCCGCTTCCTCCTTGAGGAATGAAAGTCCCCTGGGGACAAAGTCCTCATCTTGGTGTGTCTTTGAGATGGATTTTGTAGCCCCAGCACTTAGTACAGTACCTGGCACAAATGGACATGGCACTCTGAATGTTTTTGAGTGAATTCATTAATTTTTATCAACTGTGATTCCAGTGTTTTCCTGGTGTTGCCTACATAATTGTAGTGAAGCTGGCTAGATGATGATGATGATGATGATGATGATGATGATGATGATGATGATGATGATTATTATTATTATTATTATTATTATTTGAGACAGAGTCTCACTCTGTCCCTCAAGCTGGAGTGCAATGGTGCCATCTCGGCTCACTGCAACCTCCGCCTCCTGGTTTCAAGTGATTCTCCTGCCTCAGCCTCCTGAGTACTTAGGATTACAGTTGCCTGCCACCATGCCCAGCTAATTTTTGTATTTTTAGTAGAGACAGGTTTCACCATGTTGGTCAGGCTGGTCTTGAACTCCTGACCTCAAGTGATCCACCCACCTGAGCAAAGTGCTGGAATTACAGGCATGAGCCACCGCTCCCGGCCACCAGATTTTTATGAGGGACTCCCAGTTGTATAAAGTGCTTAGTAAAGATGGTGAGTTTAAAACATTTGTATTGATGCTACCTAAACCTCTTCGTGGAGGGACCTAATGAGCCTGTTCTCTGGTGTGAGGGAAAAAGAAAAACAGACCTTTAGTGTGCTTTTCCTAAGTTATGCATCAGCAAATTAATGAGGACAGAGGGGAGCATGTGCAGAAACTGCTGCTCTAGTCCAGACACATCCTGAATGCTTCCCTCTATCTCGAAGTGAACTGTGTGAAACTAGATTTCTGAACCACAAGGCAGGTGGAAAGTCTTTTCTAAAGTCAGATGTAGAGGAGAATCTTCACCTTGAGTCCCCTTCAGGCCACTGAATATACCCACTCTGATTTGATGGGTATGTTATACAAAGAAATCATAGAATTTTTGCAATTATGGTAGAAGAGTAGTCAGGAAAGTATATGGAATTAAGATACAGCGATATATTTTCTTTACAAAAGTTTTTTTTTGCACAATAGCTTAACATAAACACCATCTTGGCCAGGCATGGTGGCTCACACCTGTAACCCCAGCACTTTGGGAGGCTGAGGTGGGTGGATCACCTGAGGTCACAGGAGTTCGAGACCAGCCTGGAGGGGAGGTTGGAGTGTAGTGGCACAATCTCGGCTCACTGCAACTTCCACCTCCCGGGTTCAAGCCATTCTCGTGCCTCAGCCTCCTGATAGCTAGGATCACAGGCGCCCGCCACCATGACCTGCTAATTTTTGTATTTTTAGTAGAGATGAGGTTTCGCCATGTTGGCCAGGCTGGTCTCAAACTCCTGACCTCCAGTGATCCTCCCACCTTGGCCTCCCAAGGTGCTGGGATTACAGGCATGAGCCACCATTCTGGCCCTACAACTTTGGATTTGATTCCTGCTCATATGCAGAGTTTCTAACTGCTTAAATGTCTGCAACATTTAGCTGCAAGGAAGGAAGCTTAACACAAAGTCCTCCAGGGAGCAAAAAACTGCACCACCACGCCCAGCTAATTTTTTTGTATTTATAGTAGGGACAGGGTTTCACTATGTTGGCCAGGCTGGTGTTGAATTCCTGACCTCGGGTGATCCACCCACCTCGGCTCCCAAAGTTCTGGGATTACAGGTCTGAGCCACCCCGCCCAGCAATAAGGCTAATTTGAGGGTCACCTCTTTGATGCCTTTTCTTGCCCATGCTATAGGTCAGAACTAGGACAAGCAGAGGAGGTCATATATAAGCTATGTAAGTCTCTTGGCCTCTTTGTACCTTAGCTTCCCCATTTGAGAAAAATGAATGGATCTTAAGACACGCTTTTCAGAGTTGATAATGGGCTTATACCCAGCTACCCAATAATTGTATGAGTTTTTGTAGATAAATAGTTGTTTACATGTATTCATCTTCTATTTCACTTACAACTTATGTAAAAACTGCATTTCGTGCCAGGCCTGAAATGTTCCAAAGCTGAGTTCTGTAATTACATTGCAACTAAGATTTCTAAAAAAAAAAAAGACACAAGCCAAAGGAAAAAAATAATTATTTCAGAACATTTATCATTTGCCATGATTCTAATTTATACAGGATGGAACATAACCTCAATCCTTTCTCTATGCACTAAGGAAATCTCACTGTGGAAGATACTGGCTTATGATTTATACTTTAACACTGCACACGTGGTGCATTAGATACAAAACAGTGAATGCTCAGTAAATACCTGTGTTAAGTGATCTTTATTTCTCTAGAACAGGATTTCACAACTTCAGTGCCATCAACATTTTGGACTATATAACTCTTTGCCATGGGGGTTTGTCTTATACCTTGAAGGATGTTTAGCAGCATCTCTGGCCTTTGCCCACCAGATGCCAGGAGCACACTCACAGTTTTGTCAACCAAAACTGTCTCCGGACATTACCAGATGCCACCTGAGTACAAAATCACACCAGCTGAGAACCACTGCTCTCTGATGATTCACTAAGATCTGTGTAATAATTCTCACAATAATCCTTGCTAGAGACAAAAAGGATTTGCTGTATAATTTTAGTAGCTTTCTACTGGTAAAATTTTAATTATATTTCAAGAATAGCAAAGAGGTTTATAATTAAGTTTTATAAAAATTCCAAATGTAATCAAGTTATATTTGTAACTTACATAAACTTCAAAAATGGTAGTGGTTCAAATGTATGTCTTTCAATAGACTGTATTTTATTGCAGGATAAATCTCTAGGAAAAGGAAAAGGAAAATATTGCCTTGATTAGTTATTAAATGTTGATTGGTATGAATAATAGCAAGAGTTTAGAATAATATTGGATACACATTTTTTATCTCAACTCTAAACGTTTGGACTTGTATTTGAACTTTCCAGAGCCCCTAACCCTACCCATACCTCTCCTAGAGTCTCACCTTCATGGTTTTAATAAATATACAACATAATAGACTTTGGAATTAATTTTTCCTGAGAGCAGTAGACTTGATTAGATGCCCTTTTGTAGTGTCATCAAATCTTAGATTATGAGCTCAAAGATTTTATCTCTATATATACAATTTCTAATATTAAAAAAAATAGTCGGGCCGGGTGCGGTGGCTCAGTCCTGTAATCCAGCACTTTCGGAGGCCGAGGCTGGCAGATCCTGAGGTCAGGATATTGAGACCATCCTGGCTAACACGGTGAAACCCCGTCTCTACAAAAAAATAGAAAAAATTAGCCAGGCCTGGTGGCACGTGCCTGTAGTCCTAGCCGCTCAGGAGGCTGAGGCAGGAGAATGGCATGAACCCAGGAGGTGGAGCTTGCAGTGAGCCGAGATTGCACCACTGCACTCCAGCCTGGGCGACAGAGCGAGACTCCATCACAAACAAACAAACAAACAAACAAAGTCTCACATTTCTACACCTTCTTAGTTTAGGTCTGTTTTCCTAAGCCAGTTCAATATCAGAAGAAATAAAAGACATCCTTTCACATCATTTGAAAGGAAGCTACCCCTTTACCTAATACATAACTTTGAACTAATTCAAATCATATTAATAGAATTAATTTCTATCATATTAATAGAAATTCATTTTTGGTTTTATATTGCTTTAATATTTCATAAAAGAAATTTATTCAGTTATACAGTGATGGAGTTTGTCCCTCCCTCTTTACCTGGATGGTGTAACGTTGTCTGGCTGATGTCTCCATCTCTAGTCTCTCCCTTCCTAAACTATCCTGCACACAGTCATCATATAAACTCTCCAGAAGTGGCTTGCAAAGACCAGCATCTCCTGGGAAGTTACTGAAGATGCAAATTCTTGGTCCCACTCTAGACCAACTGAATCAGTAACTACGAGGGTGGAGTCCAGAACTGAGTTCTAACGTGCCCTCTCAACGACTGTGATGCAGATCTACCTTACAGCACTGCTGTGGTAACATGGTTCCCCATGTTGGCTCCTCAGCTTGGCATTCAAAGCCCTAGAAGATCTGGCTCCATTTTCCTACTCTCCCTTCTTGTACTCTACGGGTACTCATGGCATTCCTTGAATACTTTCCTGTGTTTTGCCCTCCCATTTTCCTTTTGCAAGTTTAGAGTATTTTCCCCAAGATGTCTCTCTGATGTTACACAATGGCCCTTCAAAGTCCTATTCAAATGGCATTGTTCTAGTAACATCCTCCTGGGTCCAAATTGAAGGCATTTTTTCCTCTTCTATGTTCGAGAAACAATTTATCCCTCCTAGTGCCCACATCCATTTCTTCTTCTTAATGTAGTTATTTTGTATCCCATTTCTTCTGAGCATAAACAGGTCCCTGAAAGCATGGACTAGGTCTTGCTCATCTGCATTGCCCACCATGTTTAAAACTGACACATGGAAATAAAGCAAACTCAAATATTTGTAAAATAAATGAATAGGGGGGAGTGAGTAGAAGGAAAATAACTATTTTAAAGGAAACGTAGTTTTATTATTTCATGGTCTCTGTAGCACTTTGGCATCCACCTGAGGGTCTTTACACCCACTTTCCTTAAGCCTTCTATATTTGAGAGAATCTGTTTGCAAAAGAGCATCACTAATGAGCTTAATAAGGATTAATGACATACACACCTCTATGGACAAAGGGTAAGAATCAAGCATTCATAGCAATGAACATAGTATCTTCTTGTCTCTAAACAGACAGAAATACAGGGATCCCTTTCTTGGTAACAGGGCTGGGGCGATCGTTATTTTGTAATTAGTGAAGAGTTAGGGGCATTTCTGATGTGCTTCTTAGGGTAAACATTTCTAGCTCTACCACTTAACCATCATTTTAAACATCTGTATTAATATAACAATTCCTGAAATGAAATCCTTAATACCAGTCTATTCTCTTGGTAGCTTAATATTCTCGATAATATTATTGATATAATTCAGCTGATTTTTAATATTTAAATGTTAATTTAATTCCGATTAAATTACCAAAAATTCTGGAATAATGATGTTCAAATGAATGCAGGTGGTCTCCATTTTCTTCTCCTTTAGGCAACAATCTGAAGTTAACTTTAGTTCCTTTCATCCTACTAAACCAACTTTTTGAAATTTTTTTTGTGAAGGTCAGACAGTAAATATTTTAGGCTTTGTGGGCCACATATGATCTCTCTCACATATTTCTCTTTGTTTCTTTTCTTTTTCTTTCACAGTCCTTTAAAAATGCAAAAACCATTCTTAACTTAATGGGCTATTTAAAAATAGACCATAGATTAGATTGGATCTATTGGTTGTAGACCGCATAGAAAAAGAATGATATGTGAACCCTTATAAAACAAGGTTCATATGGGTGTCAGTCACTGCTCAGATTTTCTTACCATGTGAAATGTTTTTGTCTGTATTTTGTCTATATAACTTAAAAACTGAAAATGCACAGGAGGTAGCTAGTGCTAGAGATGGGCTGAGACCCTATACAAACTTACAGAATTGCAGAATTTTATTGCTCAAAGAAATCTGAGAGATTATCTAATTTGAACCCCTTATTCATTGTACAGATAATATGACTAAAAACTCATAAATATAATTAACTAACTTACAAATACTGGAGGGATAGCAGGCCTTCAAATGAATCCTTGTGTAATTCAGTCAAGTTATTTTCTCTGAGAATTCTGGAAAATGAAGAAGTTATTTCTAGATTAAAATGCAAACTACAACTATTTGCTACACAGGACTGTCTCCTGCATGTGGAGGAAAGCTGGGTCATGGTCACTTCAAGATGGTGGGATCTGCTCTGCTTTCATTCAAACCTTTTCTTACATTTTCCTTTTTGTGTCCATCTCTCTCCACCACCACCACAAACACACACACACACACTCAAGCACACCCCTACCCACTCTTCCCACCAAATTGTATTATTTCATGCCTCCTGTCTAGATCACAAAATCCCTTTTAGAATCAACTCTGGGTGGCACCAAGATCAGCAGAACCTCCATTTCCTCCTCTCTTTTCCCAAACCTTATTATGAAAGCCCCACATGGAACCATGTCAGGGCTGCAAGTGAAGCCATTCAACCTTTTCCCCTCCATCAAAAAAATTGGAGAACTATAATGTGCATAAAGTGCACATAACATAAATGTTGTTTATATTTAATTTAATTTTTGAGACAGGGTCTCACTCTGTTCCCAGACTGGTCTCAAACTCCTGGCTCGAGTGATCCTCCTATCTCTGCTTCCCAAAGTGCTGTGACTGCAGACATGAGCCACCTCACCTGGCCAAATATTCAGTTTAATAATTATAAAGCAGATACCCATGTAAACATCGTTACAAAAGATCATTTCTAGCTTTCCAGAAGCCCCAGTGTGCCCCTTTCCAATCATATCCCTCTCTCTAACCCTAATAGGTAACCACTATCCTGACCTTTGTAATAATTTTCTTGTTTTTAAAATGTAGTTCTGGCCTGGCGTGGTGGCTCATGCCTGTAATCCCAGCACTCTGGAAAGCCAAGGTGTGTGAATCACCCACGGTCATGAGTTTGAGACCAGCCTGGCCAACATGGTGAAACCCTGTCTCTACTAAAAATACATAAATTAGCTGGGTGTGATGGAGGGCACCTGTAATTCCAGCTACGCGGGAGGCTGAGGCAGGAGAATCGCTTGAACCCGGGAGGTGGAGGTTGCAGTGAGCCAAGATCGCACCATTGCACTCCAGCCTGGGCAACAAGAACAAAATTCCATCTGAAAAAATAAATAAAGCAATTCTCCTGCCTCAGCTTCCCAAGTAGATGGGATTACAGGCACCCACCACCACACCTGGCTACTTTTTGTATTTTTAGTAGAGATGGGGTTTCGCCCTATCGGCCAGGCTGGTCTCAAACTCCTGACCTCAGGTGATCCGCCTACCTCCCAAGGTGCTGGGATTAAAGGCGTGAGCCACCGTGCCTAGCATATGTTTATTTTTAATTTAGAACTCATCATGGCTTGTCTATATACATTGAAATAATGATGTGACACACAAACTGTTGTGAAAAATGTCAGTTACTTTGAATGTAAGCATTTTTTCCAAAATCACTTATGTGTCTAAACCAATTCCTTCTATAAATCAGTAAGAAAATGATAAAACAATTCAACAGGAAAATGAACAAAGGCCAGAAAACTCAGAGAAGAAGCACAAATGTTCAACAAACGTATAAAGATATTTAATTAAATTCATGAGTAATCAGAAAAATTCACATTTAGATGGAATCCCTTTTATTCATCCATAACTTCAGCAAAAAGTTGGAGAATACCCAGCAGTGAAAAGGTGTCGGGAAATGAATGCTGTCATATTCTGCTGACAATAGAGTAAGTTGGCACAAAATTTTTGAAGGCAATTAAAATTTTATATCTACATAGTCTTCACCCCAACAATTCCATTTCTAGATATCTATGCTACAGGAATACTTGCACATGTTCACAAAGAAGCATGTACAGGGATTTCATTGCAGCAATGCATGTAACAAGAAAACTAAGCATAATCTAAACATTCATCAATGGGGGAATTATTAAATAAACCATGATGCATCCATACTATGGATTATGCAGGAGTTTAAATGAATGGGGTGACCCTCTAAGTACTGGGAAGGAAAGAAATCTAAGGCATATCATGAAGTGAAAGAATCACGTTGTAAGATGTTACCCTTTATGTGAAGAAAAAATTTTAAAAACCACAAAACAAATCTATTTTGCTTTATGTAAATATGTATGTAGGTAAATGGGGAAAAGTCTGGAAGCATGTATACTAAATGCAGAGTAGCATTACTTCAGGGATGAGGGAGTAGGGCACAAGGAGAGTTTTTGTTATATCTGTTATTGCATTTTTATACATTAAAAATGGAATCATGGGCTGCGGGTGGTGGCTCATGCCTGTAATATGAACACTTTAAGAGGCCAAGGTGGGAGGATCACTTGAGCCCAGGAGTTCAAGACCAGCCTAAGCAGCATAGGAAGACCCTGTCTCTACAAAACATACAAAATTAGGTGGGTGTGGTGGCATGCACCTGTGGTCCCAGCTACTGGGGAGGCTGAGGTGAGAGGATCACTTGGGCCTGGGAGGTGAAGGCTGCAGTGAGCTGTGATTGTGCCACTGCACTGCAGCCCAGAGGACAAAGTAAGAACCTGTCTCTGGAAAAAAAAAAAAAAAAAGAGAACAAAAAGGAATATAACCATGTATTATTTGTATGATAAAAAATAAATTTAAATTGCCTCTTATTTTAAAGAGAGCCTACCAAATTTAATTTTAAAATAACCATACGATTGCAGTCAACAGTGGTTGATTTGGGGCATGGAGGAGAAATATCTTTCCTCAGAGGTACCGACCTCAAAATGCTGGACCAAGAAAGATCTTACAATGCAGTTAGCTTTTTGTCATATTTGGAGAGAATATACTCACAGTTTCTCGGTCCAACTGTACACTTTCCATACATTTCCATCAATGTAAGAAATATAGTTTCCTTGGAAATTTCTGTGAAGAAACACAGTTTATATCCTTGAATAGGTAGGAAAACAATGAACACGATAAGTAAAAGAATCATTGCAACCTTGTTGGGGATATTCAGAAACAGAAAATAACACCTGCTTTCTCATTTCCAGAGCTATCAGCTTCCCAGTTTGCACAATTCATCAAGAAATTATGCGGGGTCACTGGCACAAATGATGAGGCATCTCCTGGAAGCTTAACTTCTTATCCATCCCATCTCTTGGACAGATGATGCCAGTTAATTACTTTGAATGTAAGTATTTTATCTAAAAGCACTTATGTGTCTAAACAGACTTCTACAAATCAGTACCAAAATGGTAAATAATTCCACAGAAATATGGGCAAAAGCTTATCATTATCAACAAATGAGAAGAAAGAAACCCTATGCCAGGTAACACCAAAGCTTTGGCCCAGTGCCCTCTGTTGAAACATCCTAGGCTTTTTCTTTCCACTCCTATTACAACTGATCTGATTTGGCCCCTTCACACTTCACTCCTAGATTTTGCTAGACCTTTCTATTTTGTCTCCCTGAATTAAGCTTTTCCTTTTGGACACTTTACATATGGATTCTAAAACAATCCTCTGCATGTCTACACTTGCACATAATGCAAAAAACAAAATAAAATAATCTTCCTGTTTTGATCATGTAATCTCTTGCTTGGAAACTTTCAATGGCTTTCCATACCTCATTGTGTAACTTTCAAACTCCTGTAGCTGATAATCAAGGTTTTACAGAATCATATCTTCATTGCTCCCTCACCTAATTCTTTGTAACCACGTTGGTCTACTAAATTCCAACCATACCTGTAGCCAAGCGTTTGCCTAGACTGTACTCCCATTTTTTTTCTATTTAACAAATTATAGCTACTCTTTAAGACCCAAGTAAAGTTTTAGCTTACCCATGTAGCATCTCCACACCTCAAGGATCACAGATTCTGGCAAATTCTAGCACCAATGGTCTGCATTATCTTTTAGTACTTAATTATATATACCTCCCTTTTTATGCCTATTCTCTTTCTTCCCTCCTATTTTTTTTTTTTTTTTTTTTTTTTTGAGATGGAGTCTTGCTCTGTCACCCAGGCTGGAGTGCAGTGGTGCAATCTTGGCTCACTGCAAGCTCTGCCTCCCAGGTTCACGCCATTCTCCTGCCTCAGCCTCCCGAGTAGCTGGGACTCCAGGCACCCACCACCATGCCTGGCTAATTTTTTTCTGTATTTTTAGTAGAGATGGGGTTTCACCATGTTAGCCAGGATGGTCTTGATCTCCTGACCTCGTGATCCGCCCACCTCGGCCTCCCAAAGTGCTGGGATTACAGGCGTGAGCCACCACACCCAGCCTCTTCCCTCCTATCATTTTCGTGTTCTGGAGACAGTAGCATACTTGGCCCTGGGTTTGACATAAAACTAGTTCTACATATAGAAAGCTAGGGACAAAGATGAGTTCTGGACAAAACTAAAGGACTGAATAATCATGTGAACAGCCAACTCTCCTACATATGCTAAGCACTGATGAAGTGTTTCATATATTCACTCACCTAAATTTCACAACAATCCTATGAAATGCAAACTAGCATGATCCCCAGTTTAAAGGTGAGGAAATTGAGTCACAGGCAGAATAACTTGCTCTGGGTCACCAAGCTAATAAATAGATCTGGGTTCAAACCCAGGCAGCCTGGCTCTGGAATCAACTCTTAACCACTTAGAGCATCATCACTGAGATCGGGAGAGGGACAGGCTGCTGTAAAGAGGGTGAAGCAAAAATGGGAGGAGAGCAGCGGTTAAGCAATGATGTGATGGGGCTAAATAAAAATGGATACGAAAACGAGTAAAAGACCAGAGTAAAAGGAAAAGACTGGAGAAGGGGCCTAACATTAAAGGAGAATGAGGAGAAGGGAGAGTTGACAAGCAAAGGTGAAAGCAGAAAGTCAGTTGTCCATATGGCTTGGGGAGATAAAGAAGGCCCAGGAAGGCCTCCAGGAAAAGGCTGCCATGTCAGGCAGGACACAGAGGGCAATTGAGGAAAGGTGATTCTTACAAGATGGTGAAGGTGCCATTGTGGGTGTTGGGCTCTGGCACAGGCACTTGCGGAGCCTCTGCTCTGGGTTGAGATCAATACATGACAACATCTCATCTCCGCAGGTACAGAGCTCACATATGTTGGTGCTTGTGGAGGCCTTCTGTTCCTCTGGTGCAGTTAAAGCCTTATCTTGGATGTAACTTTCAGACTGCACCAATGAATCCTGACTAGGTTCTAGCACAGTAGGTGGACCTGTGACTTCAGTCAGTTTTCGATGCAGAGTCTGAAGCTGATCTGGATGAGGAGCTGTAGTCTTCTCCAGGGCTGTAGAATGTCCAATCTCTGTAGTGGGCTCTGGAGTTATGGCAAGCCCTAGGTCTGGAGGCTGAGTTGAGGTCTCCTCCGTGGTTGGAGATGGTTTAACCTCTGTAGTAGGTATTGTAGTTATGGTAAGCTCCAGGTCCAGAGGTTGAACGGTGGCTTGAGTCAGGTGTGAATGCTGAGCCTGACCCTTGTCTGAAGGTGGAAGTGTCACCTCAGGGTGTCCTGGAGGAGGAGCTGTAGTCATCAGGGCTGTAGAAGGTTCAACCTCTGTCATGGATTTTGGAGTGATGGTAAACCCCAGGTCCAAAGGTTGAACTGTGGCTCGAGTCAGGTGTGAATGCTGAGTCTGAACCTGGTCTGGATGTGGAAGTGTCACCTCAGGATGCTTTGGAGAAACTATAGTCCTCTTCGGGGGTGTAGAATGTCCAACCTCCGTAGTGGGTTCTGGAGTGATGGTAAGTCCCAGGTCCAAAAGTTGAACTGTAACGCTGGGTGACACTGGATGCTGAGCTTGATCCTGACCTGGTGTTGGATTTGTTACCCCTTGATATATTCGAAGTTGGGGTACAACTTTCTTAGGAGGCTGAGTTGGGGTCTCCTTCATGGTTGGAGAAAGTTCAACCTCTGTCATGGATTCTGGAGTGATGGTAAACCCCAGATCCAAAGGTTGAACTGCGGCTTGAGTCAGGGGTGAATGCTCTGGAGGTTGAGCTACAACTACATTAGGAAACTCTGGAGTCTGAGCTGGGGCCTCCTGATGGGTTAGGGAAGATTCACCCTCCTCAGCGGTCTGTGGATGCTCAGCTGCAGCCTCCTGCTGGGTTGGAGAGGGGTTCTCATTATTAATAGGTTCCGGAGACTGAAATGAAGTCTCCTGTTGAACTGCTAAAGGTCCAGCTTCTTCCGATGACTCTGGAAGCAGATGTGGGCCCCCGTGCTGGATGGTGGGAGGTTCTACATCATTACCTGACCCTGAGAGCTGAGCTGTAGCCTGCTGGTGGACTAAAGAATTTCCCACCTCTGCACTAGGCTCTGCTGCTATGGTGAGCTGCACGTCTGGAGGCTTCACAGAGACACTGGGTGAATCTAAATGATGAGTTTGATGGTGACCTGGAGGTGAAACTGTGACTTCATGATGTTCTAGAGGCTGACCTGGGGTCTCCTGCTGGGTCAGAGAAGATTCGACCTCCCCAGAAGACTCAGAAGGCTGAACTGGCTGCTGCTGCTCACTGATGGAAAGTTCATGCTCCATAGGAGGAACTGGAGGCTCAATTGGGGCCTCCTGTTGGGTTGCAGAAGGTTCCACCTCCTCTGGAAACTGAATTGGGGTCTCCTGCTGGGTTTGGGAAGATTCTGTCTCATTGGTAGGCTCTGAAGTTATGGTAACCTCCACATCTGCAGGTTTAACTGTAATGTTGGGCAAGTGATAATAAGCTTGATCCTCACCTGGAGGTTGAACTGACACCTCATGATTCGGTAGAGTTAGACTCTCCATAGAGGACTCTGGAGGCAGAGCTGGGGCCTCCTGCTGCATTGAAGAAGGTTCTTCCTCAAGGAGCTGTGGAAGCTGTGCTGGGGCTTCTTGTTGGAGTGAAGAGGACTGGATGTCTTCAAGGGTCTCTGGATTTTGAGTTTCGGGCTCTAGATGGAATTGAGAAGGTCCAACTTGCTCAGAGGGCCCTGGAGGCTCATCTGACTTCACCCGGAGTTCTGGAGGCAGGCTACCGGGATACGGTGTATCTGTACTGGAATATTCATTCTGCAAATTCTGTTTCTGACTATGAGGTGTGGATAATTGGCGTATAATTCCAATAATCTCAGCAAGGCTCCAACGCTGAGCTGGATCTTTCTTCAGCTTCTTGGGTGAAACAGGGAGCCTTTCCTGTGGACTCAGCTTGTCCTTTAAATCCTGCTGTGAAGCCAAGAACTGCTCTGGCTCCAGGGGCAGCTCTCCAGCTGAATCCCAGGTGTCCAGGAATGGAACCAAATTTTCAGTCGATTCCTGGGGTGGGGCTGGCATCTCTGAGGAAGCAGAGGGCCCCAGGTGATCAAAGTCCCACGGGTCTGCTGGGAGAGTAGGCGCATGGGGAGATTCCCGTGGGAAATGGGAGGAGTGGGAAGACCAGGGCTCAGGCGGCCCCAGGGGGTTAGAGGTCAGCTGGAGCGGGTCCTTGACCCACTCCAGAGGCTGAGCCTCCTTGACTAGTAGCCACAATAGTTGCCACATAAGGAGGGGCCATGGGCCCCAGAAACGCAGCCGGGACATGACACACGCTAGTGCCGGGCACTGAGCGGAAGTCATTCTGGCAGCTCCGAGACACTCGTGCCCCTTGTAAGCGTGAGTCCCGCCCTGTCTTTATGACACCTGTATTTATGCCACAGATCTGCTCCATGTCACCAGGGCACTCTTATGTCACAATCCCGCCCAAGCACGCCTTCCCATCCTGCCCTGCCGGAACACCCCTCTCCTCCCCTTAGTGAGGAAGGATTTGGGCCTCAGACCCTGGTGGTCCCAGGACTCCAGCGCCTGCTGTGGTGGGGTAGGGTGGGGTAGGGTGGGATGGGGGCGCGGCAGAGCTTCCCAAGGAAGTCACCGGACCTCGCCTCAGGATATTCAGAAGTGCTAGTTCAGTTCTGGCAGCCTTCCTCCTTTAAGGTGAAATCCGAGAACACTCTTCCTTCCAGGGAGAGCAACTGACCTGCAAAATGGGCGCCAGGATGCACATTACAGTCATTTATTCCAAAGTGTTGCCATTTTCGCTAAACTGTCGCATGTTTGATAATTAATTCACCACCCTATTAGGTAGGGGCTGCCAGGGAATAAGCGAGGACTCCAAATTTTCTGTAGGAGGGGTGTTGGGAGTTGGCAATTCGGTCTGGGAGAGAAGGTTTTAATCCGAGTGAAGAGCCCTTTGCACTAGCCTGGGAGGAGGCTGAACTGTCATCCTGCCTTGACTCAACACAGCCATTCCCCTAGAAGTTACAGCACTTCTAGGGTCACCTGTGTTCAGAGATCTACCCTGTGTGCACACATGGAGAAGAGGCTTAGGTTGTTAAAGTCAGCATGTTAAATCATTTCCTGAAATGCGACTGTAACTAGAACCCAGCTGACTTCCCCCACAGCCGTTCTTACCTATTTTATTACTGTCTGGCATAATTACCAGCATGTAAACTCCAAGAAGGTGCTTCATCTTATTCCAGTGCCTGGCATAGGCATAGGGTGCATAGTGATGGCTTTAAAATTGAAGGGGGGCCGGGTGTGGTGGCTCACACCCATAATCCCAGAACTTTGGGAGGCCGAGGTGGGGGGATCACTGAGGTCAGAAGTTCGAGACCAGCCTGACCAACATGGTGAAACTCCATCTCTACTAAAAATACAAAAATTAGCCATGTGTGGTGGTGCATACCTGCAATCCCAGCTACTCAGGAGGCCAAAGCAGGAGAATCGCTTGAACCTGGGAGGCAGAGGTTGCAGTGAGCCGAGATCGCAACATTGCACTTCAGCCTGGGCAACAAGAGAGAAACTCCATCTCAAAAAAATAAAATAAAATAAATAAAATGGAAGAGATTCCAAGATTCACCTCATTTAGGGATGGAGCTATTGTTATAATCAGATTTCTGAAATGAGTGCTGACTTCCTCTCACATTTCACAGGAAGCTAGACTTCTTAAAGCTTGAAGTCTCCTTGGTGGGTTTTATTTAAATTGAATTAAAATTATTATTTTACAGGGAAAAATTTCAAAACACTTTGCAACTTTGGGGTAAAAGTTAAATAAAACACTGTAGCCCCAAGTTAAGTTCCCACTGAAATGATACTTTTGCTCCTTTTTTTAAAAAAGTTTCCATAAATAGTAAATAATGACTGTTTTGAGATTAATTTAGAAACAATCCCTATTTAAGAGCTTTCATATGCAGTCATGCATTGCTTGCCACGTGAGGAGCTTGAGAAATGCGTCACTAGGTGATTTCACCATTGTGCTAACATCATAGCATATACTTACACAAACCTAGGTGGTGTAGCCACCATACCTAGGGTACACGGTATGGCTTAGGACTCCTAGGCTACAAACCTGTACTTTATGTTACTGTACTGAATACTAAAGGCAACTGTCACACAATGGCAGGTATTTGTGTATGTAAACATGGAAAATATATAGTTAAAATACTGTGTAAAAGACAAAAATGGGGCCTGGGCGCAGTGGCTCATGCCTGTAATCCCAGCACTTTGGGACGCCAAGGTGGGTGGATCACTTGAGCTCAGGAGTTCAAGACCAGCCTGGCCAACGTGGTGAAACCCCATCTCTACTAAAAATACAAAAATTAGCTGAGTGTGGTGACGCGTGTCTATAATCCCAGCTACTCAGGAGGCTGAGGTAGGAGAATCACTTGAACCCGGGAGGTGGAGGTTGCAATGAGCTGAGATCGTACCACTGCACTCCAGCCTGGACAACGGAGTGAGACTCCATCTCAAAAAAAAAAAAAAAAAAAGATAAAAATGGTATACCTATATAGGGATAGCTCCATTATACGCTTACGGAACCACCATCATATATGTGGTCTACTGTTGACCCAAACTTCATTTTGCAGCACATGATTGTAAATGATTGACAGAAAGATCTTCGGCAAAATATTCCACCCAAGATACGTGGGAGATATTGAGATCCAAGCAATAAGCCATATTTGAAAGGCATTATAGTTTTTGAAAGCTGTAGCGCAATCATTCTTAAGGCCAGTTACCTTCTCCCCACATCTCTGGGATCCTGTTTGAAGGGAGTTCTAACAAGGCCTGTGTTCGAGCAGCCCAGCATCCCTTACTCCTGGAGCGGGGGGAGACTAACCCCTCTCCTGTGTCCACAACTGTAGTAATACAATCCTCAGTTCTGCTCTCCAAACTTCAAATAAGGGGTCAGAGCCAAGGGTCAAGACTTTAGGAAAAGCCCCAGAAATACCCTGCACTCAGAAAGCAGTTTCAGAGTTTCACATTTTCCTGAGAATGAAACAAATTATCCTCCAAATTCTGCTGCTTGTTTTGAATTATGGTTACACTGGCTATGTTATCCGACCCTTGAGTTGTTTTTCTTTTTTCTTTTTTTTTTTTTTTTCTCGAGATGGAGTCTTGCTCTGTCATCCAGGCTGGAGTGCAGTGGCATGATCTTGGCTCACTGCAACCTCCACCTCCTGGGTTCAAGCGATTTTCATGCCTCAGCTTCCCAAGTAGCTGGGATTACAGGTGCCCGCCACCACACCCAGCTAATTTTTGTATTTTTAGTAGAGACGGGGTTTCACCATGTTGGCCAGGCTGGTCTTGAACTCCTGACCTCATGATCCGCCCACCTTGGCCTCCCAAAGTGCTGGGATTACAGGCATGAGCCACTGCACCTGGCCTGTTTGTTTGTTTTTTGAGATGGAGTCTCACTCTTGTTGCCCAGGCTGGAGTGCAATGGCATGATCTGGGCTCACTGCAACCTCCGCCTCCCGGGTTCAAGCGATTCTCCTGCCTCAGCCTCCTGAGTAGCTGGGATGCATGTGCCACCATTTCTCCATGTTGGTCAGGCTGGTCTTGAACTCCCGACCTCAGGTGATCTGCCTGCCTTGGCCTCCCAAAGCACTGGCATTACAGGTGTGAGCCACCGCGCCCAGCCCTGTTACTCTTGAGTTTTTATCTCCACATACTTGAATTAAACTGTGTAGTTCTTTTTCCCATCTGATATTTACAATCTCTTCACTGGGTCATACTCCACAGCTATTTTACCACTTTCTGAAATAAAGTTAGCAAGGATCAATTCAGAATCTTTTTCATTCTAAAACTTCCTGCATATACTGGTCGCACCCCACAATGAGACATTCTTTTGGTTTCTAAAAGCAGAAAATAAGATGTGATGATTAAATGAAATAATGGCCAGATCTTGGTTCACATTCCACACAACAGGGAACCACGACTCTAGGGAATGTGGCTGATTCCCAGGCTGTAGCAGGAAAGGGTTATGAGATCAGTCTGGATTCTTGTTGTACCAGAAATTTTAAAAATGCTCAAAGTATGGATTGGGGCATGTCAAATGGACACAAGAGCTAGCTCAAAGAGGCACTGACTGGCCAGATCTTGGACAATATTTTTTGGTAACAGCTTTATTGAGATATAATTCATGTATCATAGAATTAATTCCATTAACGTGTACAATTCAATGGTTTTTAGTATATTTGCAGAGTTATGCAACTACCACCTCACTCAGTTTTAGAATATTTTCACCAATCTAAAACAAAACCCCATTTAGCAGTTACTGCCCACCCCGCTCCTCCCAATGCCTGGCAACCACTAGTCTACTTTCTGTCTCTATGGATTTGCCTACTCTGGACATTTCATATACATGGAGTTACATAAAACATGGCATTTTGTATCTGGCTTCTTTCACTTAATGTTTTCAAGGTTCATTCAGGCTGGAGCGCATAATGATACTTTATTCCTTTCTATGGTTGAATAATATTCCATTGTATGAATAGACCATATTTTGTCTATCCATTCATCAGTTGATGGACATCTGGGTTATTTCTATTTTTGGCTATCGTGAATAATGCTGCCATGGACATTCACGTATAAGTTTTTGTGTGGATATATGTTTTCATTTCTTTGGAGTAGAGTTGCTGGGTCATGGGGTAACCCTAGGTTTAAGCTTTTGAGGCCTACCAGATTTCCAAAGTGACTGCATCATTTTGCATTCCCATCAACAGTATATGAAGGTTCTAACTTCTCTACATCTTCACCAATATTTGTTATTGTCTGTCTTCTTGACAAAAGTTCTCCTAGTGGGTGTGAACTGGTATCATTTTGTGGTTTTGATTTGCATTTCCTGGATGGTTATGAATGTTGATTTTACTTTCATGTGCTTATTGGCCATTGTATATCTTTGGGAAAATAGCTATTTTCCCAAACTTTTGCCCAGTTTAAAATTGAGTTTTCTTTTTATTACTGAGTTGGAAGTGTTCTTTATATATTCTGGATACTAGACCAGCAGCAGATATATGGCAGATATTTTTTCCCATTCTGTGGGTTGCCTTTCACTTTCTTGGTGGTGTTCTTTGAAGCCCCAAAGTTTTTAATTTTGATGATATGCAATTTATCTATTTTTCCTTTTGTTGCATGTGCTTTTGGTGTCATATCTAAGAAATCATTGCATAATGGTTTCCAAGGTAATCTGGGACTATTAGACCATCAAAATAGATGATAGTAACAGATTATACATTGAATGGAATAGGAATTCATGAGCCCATAATAATAATAAATTGACAAAAAGATACATAGTGTGGAGCTGAATTGGAAACCTCTTCCTGACAATAAAAGGTTGACTGATAAATGTGGAAGAAGTCATGAAGTTGGAAAATAATAATCATTTTTCAACCATCATAGATTGATTTCAGCAAGAATCATCATCGGATGCTAAATCTGAGGTGGTGGGAAGCCTGCTGAAGAACTGGATATGTCCACGATCTTATAGGGTCTCCCCAGAGATTGTTTATTCATTGCATAGAAAAAAATCAGTAACTATACAATGGATAACCAGACATTTTTTGATCTTGCAATCAAAATTAACATCTCCAGTGAGGGACAGAGAGAGAGTGTGTGCCCCCAAGATGTGATTCCCAGGGAGGACACATCATTTATGTAGTATTCTATCCAGGGATGCATAGCCTGTGTCTAATCCTGAGGAAACATCAGAGTTGAACTCACTGAAAATCTTTAAAATTACTGGTCTGTATTGCTCAAAATGGCCAATGCCATGAAAACTGAAAGGCTGGCCTGGCGTGGTGGCTCATGTCTGTAATCCCAGCACTTTGGGAGCCTGAGGTGGGAGGATCGCTTAAGGCCAGGAGTTTCAGACCAACCTTGGAAACATACCAAGACCTCATCTCCACATTAAAAAAAAAAAAACAACTTTTTTTTTTTTTTTGAAACAGAGTCTAGCTTTGTCACCCAGGCTGGAGTACAGTGGTAGAATCTCAGCTCACTTCACCCTCCACCACCTCCCAGGCTCAAGCGATTCTGCTGCCACAGCTTCCCAAGTAGCTGAGATTGCAGGCACCCACCACCACACCTGGCTAATTTTTGTATTTTTAGTAGAGATGGGGTTTCACCATGTTGGCCAGACTGGTCTCAAACTCCTGATCTCAAGTGATCTACCCACCTTGCCTCCCAAAGTGCTGGGATTACAGGTGTAAGCCACTACACCCATCCTGGAAAAAATATACTTTTGATAAATCTGAAAATCTGGGGCTGTTTCTGTCACTGAGGGAAGGTGTGTCTTTCCCCTTAAAGTAGGTGTATGTTGCTAAGGAGGCAGAGGGCTGAGTTCTTCCATCCATCGCCTTCAAGTGTCAGGCGGCTTCCGGTTGGACAGGATGGCTACCCTTGTGGGCTTGTTTCCTCTCTGGTCTCTTTTTCTGTCTAAGACTCACTCCACACCAGCCTGAGCTTGGGACCATTCTTTTGCTCCTCTCATCCTCCTACCCCTAGAGCTGATAAAATTTAGCAAATAAAATTTACAAGATCCCAGAATTTCGGACAAACAACAATCCACCCCACACTGCCTCAGGAGGGTCCCTCAGAGATAAGTGTCACTGAGCCTCGGGAAGGAGGAAGGTCCATCCCTGCCCATTACGCCCCCTCTCGGGGTTTTCTCAAGGAAGACAGTGGTTCCAGAAGGTGTGTTCCCACCCCCTTTCATAGCCTACTTCTCTCCCATCCCTCTCTGACCCCGGGTTCCAGGTGGCCTAGGGATTTCTGGGAGGATCCGAAGAACAAGGCTGTCTGCAGTAGGAGCCTCCTGTTCCTCGCCACCTAAGCTTCAGCCCTGCCCAACTAACAGCTCTCCATGTTCTAAAGAAGGTGGGAGTGCTGGACCACCCCAGCCTTCTGGAACCCCAGTTCTGTGACATTATCCATCTCCTGGAAATATGCTGGTTTTAACCATGCAAACTGGCCAAGCATCAGGCAGAAATAGCAGCTGTGCCTGGAAGGACAGGTGACATCTGTGAAGAAAATGGCCAAGCAGGACAGGGTGGAGAGCACGGGCTGTTCCCTTCCTTTCTGGGAACAGCACCACCTTTGGGGGAACTCCTTCTCTCATGGGGTTTTAGGCAGGGGCTGCCAGTCCCAGGGCCCTGCCTCCTGTCACCCCCCATATGCATAGGAACACTTGTGCACCAGTCGCTACATTTGCAAGTGGAAGCTGGTGGAGCTGCTCAGCTCCCAACAGGAAGCCCATGTGTGCGGGGCCAGAGGACACAGCCCATCTGAGGCGCTAAGCTTCTGTGAAGAGGGAGTGGAGTCTGGATGGGATTCCAATCCCACGGTCCACCCCTTCTGGGACCCAGACTCACCCTTCCCCTTCCTTCAATTCTGAGAAACAATAAATGTCCCTACTTGCGAACAAGTTTGAGTTGGGTTTCTGTCACTTGCAGCCAAAAGAGACCTGCCAGCTACAGTCAGCATCGGTCAACCATCTGTGAAACTGTGAGCTGACAACTTGTCCCCTCCCGGCGAAGGCCACAACATCCCAACACCATTAGTCACCAAGGAAGTCTGGGAGAAGTTTCTACCAACTGTAGCGAAAAAGGTGCAAGGGAGGAAACATTTTGTTACTGCTGGCCCACTCTTCCCTCCGAAACAGCGCGGCAGCATCTGGCAGAAAGAAAGTACAAGGGACTTCTAAGTGGGCAATGCTGCCCCGTGCCCTCCAGACTTCTCATCCCAGCAGGGCAGCAGCACATGGCGCCCTGGGACAGGAGGCCTGCCGGGGCGTGGGGGCGGAGGCTGAGCTCCTGGGGGCACCACTTTATGAGGAACCATTTATGGCCAAAACTCTACAGGGGCTTCAGGGACCTGAATGAATGCGTCTCTGTAGAGTGAGAGTCCTGGGCAGGAGGAGAAGTTTCCATAGCTCAGGACCACATGCTGGAAATTTGGTCTCTGCAGCTTAAAATCTGAGAGAAGATGGTGTCTGCAGCATTCAAAGGGGGACCAGAGGGACCCTCCACCCCCAGCTCCCCAGCTATGACAAACATGAGCTCTGGGTAGATTCCTATCCATTCAAAGAACTGGAAAAGCCAAGCTGGGGCCCATGAGTCAAGTCTGGATGTGCGGCTCAGGGCAAGAGGACAGATGGATGCCACAGGCCGTCTGTCTAAATATTTGCAAGTTATAAATTAAACTAACAGGGTGTTAAATAAAGTATATTCTAGCCTCAGCCCCTGACAAATATTCCTTTAAAAGGATAAAATTTTTTAGATGTGTATGAAGCTATGATTTGTAGATAACAGAAAGTTAGCAAAATGTCAAAGATCATACAATTTCTTTGCTTTTTTTTTTTTGAGATGGAATATCACTCTGTTGCCCCAGTTGGAGTGCAGTGATGTGATCTCAGTTCACTGCAGCCTCTGCCTCCCAGGTTCAAGCAATTCCTCATATTGAAGCGAGTAATAAAATAAAGAAATGTGTAATTTATAAATTACTGAAAGTATTCCATGAAATTTATTTTTCTTATCTTCCTTTCAGCAAAATCAATTATGTTATTATTGTCAAGATTTAAAATACATGTAAGGATTAAAACAGTCATATTCAAAGTACAAATATCTTAATATTTTAATCAAAAATATTTTTATGTAAAAAATTTAATTTTGTCAGAATCTCAAACAATATTCTTTTCAAATATTGAAAAGTATCTATTGCTGGGCACAGTGGCTCACGCCTATAATCCCAGCACTTTGGGAGGCCAAGGCAGGCAGATTATGAGATCAGGAGTTTGAGACCAGCCTGGCCAATATTGTGAAACCCCATCTCTACTAAAAATACAAAAAACAAAACAAAACAAAAAAAAAAACTAGCCAGGCATGGTGGTATGCCTGTAGTCCCAGCTACTTGGGAAGCTGAGGCAGAAGAATTGCTTGAACCCGGGAGGTGGAGGCTGTAGTGAGCCAAGATTGTGCTACTGCACTCCAGCCTGAGCGACAGAGCAAGACTCCATCTCAAAAAAAAAAAAATAAGTATCTATTAAACCAATATGCAACATACAAATTGGAATTAATCAAATTTGGGCCAGGCGTGGTGGCTCACACCTGTAATCCCAGCACTTTGGGAGGCCAAGCCGGGCGGATCACGAGGTTAGGAGATCAAGACCATCCTGGCTAACACGGTGAAACCCCGTCTCTACTAAAAAATACAAAAAGTTAGCCGGGCATGGTGGTGGGTGCCTGTAGTCCCAGCTACTCGGGAGGCTAAGGCAGGAGAATGGCATGAACCCAGGAGACAGAGCTTGCAGTGAGCCGAGATTGCGCCATTGCACTCCAGCCTGGGCAACAGAGTGAGACTCTGTCTCAAAAAAAAAAAAAAAAATTAATTAAATTTGTACATCAAAATGATTGAAATAAATCCATTTTATTTTGATTTTTGAAAACTTAATTAAATTTTATGAAATTAAAATTCATAATTCTAGCATTCAATGACCACCTCATTGCCAATGCAAAGAATAAGCATCACTGTTTGTCTGAGGGCTAGACATAGATACAAATTTAAGAGTAATGTGTAATGTGATTTATTTAATCCTTTTCTCATTTGCCCAGAGAAGACTCACTGGTGGCACCTGCAGCTGCGGCGTTTTCCCCAAGGTAACTTTGCCACAAAATATCTCGCTTTATTATTATTTTTGCATCACTCTAGTATATCCACTTTGGAAACAAAAAATATTATTCTATTTATAGCATTGTGTTTTTAGTGGCGGGATTTCCATTTACAAAATACATTAATTGTTCAAGCTGAAAATATCAAATCCTAGAAAATGTAGCATTCCTACACGTGATACTAACATCATTCTCGAACAGTTATTGGCCAAAGATTCATTTGATGTATCTGATTTTCCAGAATAGACTATTCTGATGATTCAGATGATTCTGATGTTAGTTCTGTTTAGAAATAATTCCAATAGCAGTTTTTATATTTTATTTTCAAACTGAAAACCATTCATATTTGCGGCCAGGCGCAGTGGCTCACGCCTGCAATCCCAGCACTTTGGGAGGCAGAGGCAGGTGGATCACCTGAGGTCAGAGTTCCAGACCAGCCTGGCCAACATGGTGAAACCTCATCTCTACTAAAAAATACAAAAATTAGCTGGCTGTGCTGGCAGGCACCTGTAATCCCAGCTACTTGGGAGGCTGAGGCAGGAGAATTGCTTGAACCCAGGAGGCGGAGGTTGCAGTGAGCCAAGATCACAACACCGCACTCCAGCCTCGGCAACAGAGCAAGACTCTGTCGAAGGAAAAGAAAAGAGAAAGAAAAAAAAGAAAGAAAATCAGATTTGCTTCAGCCTCAAAGAGCAGGTTTCTGTAAAATTAAATGAGCACTGGCAGTGAGCTGCCCTTTTTTTCCTAAATGGGAAAAGGGTTAATACTGCAAACTTTTCCTCAGCTTCTATGCAACTGAGGCAAATACTGTGCTAACTCTTGAGAACCTCTGGAACCATGAATAGGAGCACAAAAACAAGAAGAAATTGTATTCTCAGCACTATTCGGAAATGGTACTTCATAATGTTTGAATCGATTGTATTCACACTATCTGAGAGGAAAGATCTGGTAGATACATTAACTTGTCTTTTATCTAAGTCCTTTTCTGCCCACAGCTTCTGTGTACTTTCAAAATAGTGCCTGGCAGAGGCCCCATTCAACATTTAGATGTAGTTATTTTTCCCATAGACCGAAGATAAGGTGTGAAGAAGCACGTCTCTGGGGCCTGAACATTGTCAGTCAAGAGAGGATGCATAGGGTTAGGTGGTGCTGCGCCAATGCCAGGCACCAGATCCAGACTAGCAGAGGCATCCTGTTGGCCTTTATTTATTTATTTGAGACAGAGTCTTGCTCTGTCACCCAGGCTGGAGTGCAGTGGTGCGATCTCTGCTCACTGCAACCTCTGCCTCCCGGATTCAAACAATTCTCATGCCTCAGCCTCCCGAGTAGCTGGGATGACAGGCATGCACCACCACACCTGGCTAATTTTTGTATTTTTAGTGGAGACGGGGTTTTGTCATGTTGGCGAGGCTGGTCTCGAACTCCTGACTTCAGGTGATCTGCCTCCCAAAGTGCTAGGATTTACAGACATGAGCCACTGCACCCGGCCCTGCAGTCCTTAATTAATTAATTTATTTTATTTTTTGTATGTAGAGTTCTCTAAATTTCAGGGCCCAGTCAGGGGCTCCTCTTGCCAGCTCGAAGGACAGGACTGGGAAAATATGCTTCTGTAAATAAACTGCTGTAGAAAACAGAGGGAAAAAAAAATTTTTTTTCCGAGATGGAGTCTCGCTCTGTTGCAGAGCTGGAGTGCAATGGTGCAATCTTGGCCCACCACAACCTCCTTCTCTCGGGTTCAAGCAATTCTCCTGCCTCAGGCTCCCAAGTAGCTGGGATTACAGGCGCCTGCCACCCACCTGGCTAATTTTTGTATTTTTAGTAGAGACAGGGTTTGCAACAGAGCAAGATCTTGTCTCACAAAATAAATTAAAAAGATTTTTAAATAGCAGGTTTCTAAAACAATGAGAAAGACAGCATTACATATCAGTGTCTACAATTTAACCAAAGCTATACTTAGAAGTAAATTCATTGTCTTAACTGCTTTTGTTCCAATAAAACAAAATAGCAGGATCCTGAGGCTTTGATGCTATTTTCTTAATCCAGCTGGTCTGTGGAGAAGCCTGGGACAGAAAGAAGCAGCCAGACTCCAGAATCCCCCATTTTAATAGCTATTCTATGCTATGTCCCCGTCTTATTCCTGGCAACTTACCTCTCAGCTCGTGCACTGTGACATTACAGCAAGAAGTACTAATATAAATGACACAAAAGAAAAAAGAAACCATGAGGTTTTGCTTGTTTTATTAACTAGGTGGGCATTGTAAATGTGGAGGGTGGGAAACAATCAGGAGACAGGAATCCGATGAGCATCTGCCATGTATCAGGCACTGCGCAATGTTCCTTACATACCACGATCCCATTTAACCCTCAAAAAACACTGCAGAGGGCTATCACTGCCTTCCTTTTACATACGAAAAAACAGACTTAACAGTTGCTCACGGGAAGCTGAACCAAGAATCAAAACAAAAGACTTTCGGGCCTCAAAGACTGCACTGTTTCCACTGCACAAAGTTGTCTGCACTGTGAGCAACAGAGGAGGGGAAAGGGGACTAAAAACCAAAACCAAAAATCCAATAAATAAAACAAAATAAATGAACTGAGCATTCAACACAAAAAGTTATAAGGAGCAGAGGAAAACATTTCCAAGGAAAACAGGAAGAAGCAAAGCTTAAGAATAAAAGCGTGACTTACACATTTACTTGGATCCAGGGGAAACTGTTGGGGTGAGATGTTAAAAACAGAGTTAGGAAGTGACTGGAGAACTTGTGTATTACATTCCACTTCCTATGGACCTTGGGTCCTTCTCTGTAACACTAATATTGGACTAAATTCTTCAAAGTTTCCTTGCAAGGACAGGCCACTCTGAAGCTAAGGGGTTACCACCAACCAAGAGACTCCTTCAGTAATAACACAGTAGGTAAATTACCCCAGAAGGTAAATATGACTGATTGTCTTACAGTAGCAGGTTTTAAAATCTTGTTGTCTCAAAAGCATTGCTATGGGCCAGGTGCAGTGGCTCACGCCTATAATCCCAACACTTTGGGAGGTTGAGGCGAGAGGATTCCTTGAGCACAAGAGTTCAAGACCAGCCTGGGCAACATAGTGAGACGCTGTCTCTACAAAAAATAAAGTAAATTAGCGGGGCATAGTGGTGTGTGCCTATAGTTCCAGCTACCTGGAAGGCTGAGGTGGGAGGATCACTTGAGCACAGGAGGTCAAGGCTGCAGTGACCTATGATTGCACCACTGCACTCCCCAGCCTGGGTGACAGAGCAAGACCCTGTCTCAAGAAAGCATTGCTAGACACTTTCTTCCATAAAATTATATTCTGCCCTGAGGGAGGCCCCCAGTGGGACTGTGCAGTGCCACCCCTGCTGCTGGCCCCTGAGGGCAGCAGGCAAGGAAGGAGCATATGTCTGTGCTGTGGGAAGTGCCAGGGAAAAGCCCCTGGATTGGGTTACCGTGAAATGCAAAGTGAGTGAAATACAAACATACCTTTAAAAAGGTAAACTAGTTCAACCATTGTGGAAGACACTGTGGCGATTCCTTAAGGATCTAGAACTAGAAATACCATTTGACACAGCCATCCCATTACTGGGTATATACCCAAAGGATTATAAATCATGCTGCTATAAAGGCGCATGCACATGTATGTTTATTGTGGCACTATTCACAATAGCAAAGACTTGGAACCAACCCAAATGCCTATCAATGATAGACTGGATTAAGAAAATGTGGCACATATACGCCATGGAATACTATGCAGCCATAAAAAAGGATAAGTTCATGTCCTTTGTAGGGACATGGATGAAGCTGGAAACCATCATTCTCAGCAAACTATCGTAAGAACAAAAAACCAAACACTGCATGTTCTCACTCATAGGTGGGAATTGAACAACGAGAACACATGGACACAGGAAGGGGAATATCACACACCGGGGCCTGTTGTGGGGTGGAGGAAGGGGGAAGGGAAAGCATTAGGCAGTATACCTAATGTAAATGACAAGTTAATAGGTGCAGCACACCAACATGGCACATATATACATATGTAACAAACCTGCACATTGTGCACGTGTACCCTAGAACTTAAAGTATAATAAAAAAAAAAGGCAAATATAGACCTTAGTGAATGAGTCTGGGTCATGGCTGGATGGGAGAAATCCCAGGGTGAGCCAGCCCAAACACGCCATCCACGTAATTAAAAAAAGAACATGCTACCCCAATGGTCAGCCCTGTGAGAAACGCATCCTTCCATCCAGCTAAAATCTGCCCATGTCCATCTTCTCTGCTCAACACCAGTCCCCATGCATTGGGCGACAGAGCACTGTACCCTCCTGCATGGAGTGGCCAGCCACTGGGCTTCAGAGCCAAACAAACCTGGGCTCAAAGCCCAGCCCTGCCCCCCTGTTGTGTGATGTCCAGGACAGTGGTGCTAGTAGTTGATGTGCTCATCTGCCCCACCTCTGCCTGGCTGTACTCGCAGCTAGTACATGTATAGTATATAAGTGCCCGACTGTATCATTGTATGTTCCAGAGTGGTCAGGGTCAGGGTGGTCATGGCTGAGCTTTTTTTTTTTTTTTTTTTTTTGAGTCTCTATTGTCCAGGCTGGAGTGCAGTGGCACCATCACGACTCACTGAAGCCTCAAATTTCCTTCCGGCCTTAAGTGATCTACCTGCCTCAGCCTCCTGAGTAGCTGGGACTACAGACCTGGACCACCAAGCCTGGCTAATTTTTAAAAATATTTGTAGAAGTTGGGGGGGTCGGGGGGCTCTGTTGCCCAGGCTGGTCTCGAGCTCCTGGCCTCAAGTGATCCACTTGCCTTGGTGCTAGGATTACAGTTGTGAACCATCACACCCAGCTTCCTTGAGCTTTTATACAGAACTCGTCTTTGAGTTAGTTTCTGTTGTATGTTCTAGTTAGGGCATTATATTGATTTTTAAAATTACTATCATTCTGAATGAATAACAAATTGTGGTACATTCATACAATGGAACAGAACTCAGCAATAAAAAGTAATGTGGGGAGGTGGGGATGGTTAATGGGTACAAAAAAAAAAGAATGAATAAGACCTAGTGTTAGAGAGCACAATAGGCTGGCAATAATCAATAATAATTTAATTGTATATTTAAAAATAACTAATGGCCAGGCGTGGTGGCTCATGCCTGTAATCCCAGCACTTTGGGAGGCCGAGGCAGGTGGATCACCTGAGGTCAGGAGTTTGAGACCAGCCTGACCAATCTGGTGAAACCCTGTCTCTACTAAAAATACAAAATTAGCTGGGCCTAGTGGCACGTGCCTGTAATCTCAACTACTTGGGAGGCTGAGGCAGGAGAAATGCTTGAACCCAGGAGGCGGAGGTTGCAGTGAGCCAAGATAGCGCCATTGCACTCCAGCCTGGGCAAGAAGAGTGAAACGCTGTCTCAAAAACTAAAAAAAAAAAATAAAAATAAAAATAATTAAGAGTGTATAATTGGATTGTTTGTAACACAAAGGATAAATGCTTGAGGGGCTGGATACCCCACTTTCCATGATGTGATTATTATGCATTGCATTCCTGTATCAAAACATCTCAGGTATTCCAGAAATACATACCCTTACTATGTACCCACAAAAACTACAATTAAACATTTAAAAAGTAATGAACTATTGGCACACAAAGCAACATGGATACATCTCAAAATAATTATGGTGAGTGAAAGAAACCTGACCAAAAAAATACACACTGTATGATTCCGTGTCTAGAAAGCACTAGAAAATATAAACTAACCTATGATGACAGAAAGCAGATCAGGACCAGGCGTGGTGGCTCACACCCGTAATCCCAGCACTTTGGGGGGCCGAGGTGGGCGGATCACTTGAGGCGAGGAGTTCAAGACCAGCCTGGCCAACATTTGTACTAAATACAAATACAAATACAACATTTGTACTAAAAATACACAAATTAGCTGGGCGTGGTGGCAGGTGCCTGTAGTCCCAGCTACTCGGGAGGCTGAGGCAGGAGAATCTGTTGAACCTGGGAGGCGGAGGTTGCAGTGAGCCGAGATCTCACCACTGCACTCCGGCCTGGTGACAGAGTGAAACTCCATCTCAAAAAAAAAAAAAAAAAAAAAAAGGAAAAAAGAGAAGAGAAAGAAAGCAGATCAGTAGTTGCTTGGGGGTGAGAGGGAAGTAGAAAGGGCAGGAAGCAGGATCACCAAGGGGCAACAAGGAAATTTTTTGGGAGGATGGCTTTCTTCACTATCTTGATTGTGATAATGATTTCAGCTGTATACTAAGGCTCAGATATTATCAAATTGTAATCTCTAGGCAGTTTA
Source organism: Homo sapiens (assembly GCF_000001405.40). Classification (NCBI taxonomy): domain Eukaryota; kingdom Metazoa; phylum Chordata; class Mammalia; order Primates; family Hominidae; genus Homo; species Homo sapiens. Next base: position 47,001,515 of record NC_000017.11, on the reverse strand, counting down.
TTATATGTCAATACCTCAATAAATCTGCCTAAAATGTTCAAAAATTACTGTAATTACACAAAATACATTTTATAAAAAGGAAGTCATGAGTGGAGCATGGTTGAGAACCCCCCAGCATCTGGTAGATTCAGAAGTGGGGAAAAGCATCTCTCACTTCCGCTTTTTCAGGCCGGCGTGCTGTGCAATTTATCCAGTGGCCACTAGAGGACAGCAGCGACTCAGGTACAGGAAGTGGGCGTTTCAGGGCTTCAATACTTAGTATTCCTTGCTCTGTGCTCCCTATCCTGGGAGGTGGACATTAATACCCCCATAATACTCAGTTAGAGCTGAGACTTGGGCCTTGGTCTCTGGCTCCTTATTACGCCTTGTTGGTCCCCGAACACCGGGAGTGCAGGAAGGTCGCCCAGACTGGAGTTCTGTGGCACCATCTCGGCTCACTGCAACCTCCACCTCCTAGGTTCAAGCGGTTCTTCTGCCTCAGTCTCCCAAGTAACTGGGATGACAGGTGCCCACCACCCCGCCCGGCTAATTTTTGTATTTTTAGTAGAGACGGGGTTTTACCACATTGGTCTGGCTGGTCTCAAACTCCTGACCTCATGATCCACCCGCCTCAACCTCCTAAAGTGCTCCCAGATCTTTTTAAAAGAATGTCCTACTCCAGGGAGGCAGCAGCCATAGTTCCCTGTTATCTGCAGGGCTGATATGGAGGATTGCAGATGGCACCAAAGAGTTGTGGTTCTCAAGGTGACTTTGGAAGGCCTCCCACCTTGCCTGAAACCCACGATTATAAAGCAGGTCAAAGTTGTATCATCAGATGCTGCAAGTCATAAGTTAGCATGTCAGTGAGAAAATGACCTACTGAAGGGTCATTTTTATAGGAGAGAGGGAAAGGAGAGAAGGTTCAATTGAGGAGTAGAGAGACATGATGGTGGAGTGCCCATGGGGTGCTGCAATGGAAGCTTCCCCCAAAAAAGTAATCGTGGGCCGGGCACGGTGGCTCAGGCTTGTAATCCAGCACTTTGGGAGGCCAAGGTGGGCAGATCACTTGAGCTCAGGAGTTCGAGACCAGCCTGACCAACATGGCAGAACCCCATCCCTACTAAAAATACAAAAATTAGCCAGGCATGGTGGCGCACACCTGTAACCCCAGCTACTTGGGAGGCTGAGGCAGGAGAATCGCTGAAACCCGGGAGGTGGAGGCTGCAGCGAGCCAAGATCGAACCACTGCACTCCAGCCTGGGTGGCAGAGCAGGACTCTGTCTCAAAAAAAAAAAAAAAAGCAAAAAACAAGCAATTGTCAACATACATTGAGCCACCACAGTGTGTGAGGCATGATGCCGAACACTCTGTGCAGGGAGCCAGCTCATCTTCACAGCACTATTTTATTTTATTTTATTTTATTTTATTTTATTTTATTTTATTTTATTTTATTTTATTTTTTATTTTATTTTAATTTTATTTTATTTTATTTTATTTTATTTTATTTTATTTTATTTTATTTTATTTTATTTTATTTTGAGATGGAGTCTTCCTCTGTTGCCCAGGCTGGAGTGCAGTGGCGTGATCTCAGCCCACTGCAACCTCCACCTCCCAGGTTCAAGCGATTCTCCTGCCTCAGCCTCCTGAGTAGCTGGGATTACAGACACACGCCACCACACCCGGCTAATTTTTATATTTTTAGTAGAGAAGGGGTTCCACTATGTTGGCCAGGCTGGTTTCAAACTCCTGACCTCAAGTAATCTGCCTGCCTCAGCCTCCCAAAGTGCTGGGATTATAGGCGTGAGCTATAGTTCCAGGCTGACAGCACTCTTACTAAATAAGAGTGGTTAAGAAACTAAATGCAGAGAGGTTAAGAAACGCCTAACAGGCCTGGCATGGTGGCTCACGCCTGTAATCCCAACACTTTGGGAGGCCAAGGTGGGCGGATCACTTGAGCCCAGGAGTTCAAGGCCAGCCTGGGCAATATGGCAAGACCCCGTCTCTACAAAAAATTACAAAAATTAGCCAGGCATGGTGGCGTGTGCCTGTAGTCCCAGCTACTCGGGAGGTTTAGGCAGGAGGATCCCTTGAGCCTGGGAGTTCAAGGCTGCAGTAAGCTATGATTGCACTACATCCTGGGTATGAGAGGGACACCCAGTCTCAAAGAAAAAAAGCAACTGTGGACACACATTGAGCCCTTCTGGTGGGTCAGGCACGATGCCAAACACTGTATGAAGGGCGTCATCTCATCTTCACAGCATTCTTAATAAATAAGCTGCAGAGAGGTTAAGAAACGCCCAAAGTCACAGAGCTGGTAGGAGGCAGTGCAAGGATTTGCATCCAGATTTGACACTAACGTGTGGGCCTTGCTACTGCTCTATAGTACCTAATTAAACGGAAGTGTCCTTCTCGATTACTTAGTTCATGTGTTGAACTCGTTGGTGTTGGTAGCAGATGGTGAGTATTGTAGTTCAGCTTTCTGGAGAAAACTCGTCAGGCTTCAAGAGAATGTTAAGCATCCATGATGGTCTGGGAGGGAGGTTCCCTCTCCACCTCTTCACCTCTTCACATGGAGCATTTACAGTGTGTGAGTTTCTGTGCTAAGGATGATTCTTCCATGATGACAGTATCTGAAGTGCAGGTGGGCAGAGGCCAGCAACAAGGAATTGAGGGGCCAGTGAGGCAGCAATTCAGTGACATTGTTCATTTGCACTCACAGGGGTCTGTCACACGCAGCCCAACTCAACTGGAGTCCTGAGAAGGTGAACAGACCAGGATGGATGGCCAGGGAACTCACCAGAAGTCCCCAGGCATCAGAACAAGGTCGAAGCATCCTGGTGAGCAGATAACACGTGCCCATGTTTTGTGGGGGGAAGTCCTCCAGCAGTTTCTCCTTCCCCTTGGCTTTGACCTGGCCTACCTGGGATTATGCAGTTGGTTCTCCAGGTCAGGTGCCTCAGGGAGGTGACCCTTCCTGTTCTGGGTTCTGCAGAAGCCGACAGCTCTGGGCTTGTGCCCATCAAGCACTCTTCTGCCCATTTTATACTCTTGTGGACGCATGGTGGTGTTGATACAGGCCCCGAGTTAAAGGATCCATGGCTGCACGTGACAAGACAAAGCAAAAGCAGGCCAGAGTTAAACACGCCCCTTGGGTCCCCTCCTTCACTTCATAAATGGGAAAACCAAGGTCTAGGCAGGGAAAGGGGCTCAGCCAAGGCTACATACACAGCACACTCACGGCCGAGCCGGGATTAGGACTCCCAGCATACCCCGTAGCCTTCTCTAATAAGAGATAGGCTGCTGGGTTCTTCTTTATCAAGTGTTGGTCACTCATTATTTCTCTCTGTGTTTCTTAAAACAATTATTCTTTAATATCGTTATATATTCAGTAAGTGTTCAAATTTCCAACTGTTTTATGTCAGAAAGCATTTTCTAACATTTTGATTAAATCAAGATCCAAATAAGATGCACACAATATGATTAGTTGATGTCTCTTAAATCTTTTAATCCATGGATTCCTCTTCCATCTTTCTCTTTTTCCGTTTATTCTTTTTTTTTTTTTTTTTCAGATGGAGTTTCACTCTTGTTGCCCAGGCTGGAGTGCAGTGGTGCGATCTCAGCTCACTGCAACCTCTGCCTCCTGGGTTCAAACAATTCTCCTGCCTCAGCCTCCCGAGTAGCTGGGATTACAGGCACCTGCCACCATGCCCGGCAAATTTTTGTATTTTTCATAGAGATGGGGTTTCACCATCTGGGCCAGGCTGGTCTCAAACTTCTAACCTCAAATGATCTACCTGCCTAGGTCTTCCAAAGTGCTGGGATTATAGGCGTGAGCCACCACACCTAGCCTTCCTTTATTCTTGAACCAGCCCTACCATGCATCCTGCAGATATTACCCACGGTCTGGATTTTGATTATTGCAAATCCATGATGTCATTTATACACATTTCTCTGTCTTCTATATTTCCTATAAGTGGATAGTTGGATCTAGAGGCCTGATCAGATTAAGATTTTGAGTTTTTGGCAAGACTTGTTCTTAGTAGGTATTAGGTTTTTCCACAGAAGGCACAGAATGTCTAGTGACTTCCTTTTTGTGACATTAATAGCTATTGACATTCCATATCTAGACCAGTTACTTCACTGGGGGTTAGAAATGGTGATATTCTTTTTTTTTGGTGAGGTGGGGAGACAGAGTCTCACTCTATCACTTAGGCTGGAGTGAAGTGGCAGGATCTTGACTCACTGCAACCTCCGCCTCCTGGGTTCAAGCGATTCTCGTGCCTCAGCCACCTGAGTAGCTGAGACTACAGACATGTGCCACCACACTTGGCTAATTTTTTGTATTTTTAGTACAGATGGGGTTTCACCATGTTACCCAGGCTGGTCTCGAACTCCTGAGCTCAAGCAATCAGACTGCCTCCGCCTCCCAAAGTGCTAGGATTACTGACGTGAGCCACTGTGCCTGGCCCAGAAATGGTAATATTCTAATTCTATCATCCTGTCTTCATTTATTAGCTGGATTACTTCTAAAGAGAAACTCCTCCTCGTTAACTATTCCATGACCTGGAGTCTTATCTCATCAATTCTGGGAGAATTCTGGGTACATGGATTATCCCCACTTCCATGTTAGGCCAGAGGTCAGAGGGGCTGAAGGAACTGTCACCAGCAGAAGAATTGGCTGGCCCCAGTCAACCGACAAAATCATAATAAATAATTAGAAAGTGAGGGCTGGATGTGGTGGCTCATGCCTGTCATCCCAGCGCTTTGGGAGGCCTGAGCGGGAGGCTTGCTTGAGGCCAGGAGTTTGAGGCTGCAGTGACCTATGGTCACACCACTACACTCCAGCCTGGGCAACAGAGTGAGACCCTGTCTCTAAAGAAATTAATAATAAAGTGGTTGTTTTAAGGCCCTAAATCCAGCAGCAGCCCATGGGTGGCAAAACCAGGCCTAGGGGCCCCTGGGCCCTTTCCTACCTTCACAGGAAGTCAGACCTGCACAGAGTCATCAAGAGCATGCAGTTCAGCCTCACCATGTGCAGATGGGACAGCTGAGGACTGGGAGGTGTAGTGACTCATCCAGACTTGGACACATAACCCAGGTCATGGGCATATCCTTAAAGGAAACTCCTGAAAATTCCTTGAGATGGGTTTCAGTGTCTTGGCTGGTTGGGCCTGATGTTCTCACTCTAAAGCCTGTACTTGTAAGTGCTTGCACTAGGCCCACCATTCGACCTGATCTTATTTCCTGTGGTGTTCTCAATGCTGATAACAGATGCTTGGTAAATATCTGCTTAAATGAGTCAATGAATGAAGGAGCCGTTGTTCCTGTATGTCAGGAATGGGCTGCTCCTGGGGAAGATACTGGTGGCATTGGGATATCCAGAGAGCAGCCACTCTGGCAGGCCCAGGGCAGAAGCCAAGGGCACAGGGGTAAGTGGGAAGCAGGGAGTGGGAGGCAAGCAGCAGACCTCACTCCAGGAAAGCAAGCAGAGTGGGAGGCCTGCCATCCATCCTGGCAAGGGGCCAGCCAAGGAACAGAATCCTGCTGAGTGGGGAGGCAGCATGGATGGGGTTCCAGCAGGTAGCAGGGACCAGCCACTGAGGTGGGCCGAGGACAGAACTCCAGTTGCAGGATGGAGCAGGCCAGGCCCCTCCTCCTTACACTGGGCAGGTGACCAAGGCGGGAACTCAGGACCAAGGAGCAAATCCTACTGTATCAGATAGGATTCAGTTGGGTTGAGAAGAATGAAAACCCTCAAATATCACTGGCTCAAACAAGTTTGAAGCTCAGTTTCTCTCTCATGTTTAGCTGTCCTGAGGGAATCATTCCAGAGCCAACAGGGTGCTCCATGATGCAAAGGGAGAAGGGATCTAGGCTCCTGTCTTATTGCTCTGCTAACCACAAACATGACTTCTACCCCATGGTACAATATGGCTGCTGGAGCTCAGCCTTTCCACGCTATATTCCAGGCATCAGGAAGGAGTATGGGAAGGAGAAGAGTACTCTCCTTTTTTTCCCCAGAATTGCACAGACTGTTTTATTTACACTTTTTTGGCCAGAACTGAGTTACATGGCCATGCCTAGCTGCAAAAGAGGGTTGGAAATGTTGTTTTCCTTTAACATATTCATAAGCCTAGCTAAAAATCAGAACCTGTAGCTGAAGAACAAGAGAACATACCTCTAGTGACTCAAATTATGACACAAGGCAGAGGTCAACCAGGGAACTCACAGTTCAGGCCCAGGGGGCTCGGCTGTAGCCATTTATACCCCTGCTGCCCTAGGTCCTGGGGCTTAGACAGCATAGGGTCATATGACTCCCACTGTGGGAGGGAGGGACCGTGGAGCTTAACCAGCTTAGCCTGGCTGTCTGAGTACCTGCAACCATAGCAACAGTGGGTATTGTTTGGGGGAGTGGGGGGACAGTCTCACTCTGTCACCCAGACTGGAGGGCAGTGGCTTGATCTCTGCTCACTGCAACCTCTACCTCCCAGGCTCAAGCAATTTTCCCACCTCAGCCTCCCCAGTAGCTGGGACTACAGGTGCACACCACCATGCCTGGCTAATTTTTTGTATTTTTAGTAGAGACGAGGTTTCACCATGTTGCCCAGGCGGGTCTCAAACTCTTGGACTCAAGCAATCCACCCACTTTGGCCTCCCAAAGTGCTGGGATTACAGGAATGAGCCACTGTACCTGGACTTTTGTGTTTTTTTTGTTTTGTTTTGTAGCTAACCCAGCATTAACCCAGGAAGAAGCCCCAATGGCAAGAAAGTAGGGTTAGTCTGCTCATTGGCAGGGACAGGCACAGACTCAGAGGCCGACAACTGCTTGATGCTGAGAAAAGCATCCTCAAAATATGGGTCAAGGCCACGGACTGCCTTTTCCCAGGAGGCAGTGATGTGGCTGATGACAGCTTCTTTTTTTCTTTAAAATTTTACTGTAGACTAGCATTCATATAGAAAAGTACATAAATCATAAATGTACAGCTCAATGATTTTCACAAAATAAACACACCCAAGTAGCTAGCACCCAGATCAAGAACTAGAACATTATCCAGAACTTCAGAAGCCTCCCCCATTCCTTTCTTCCTGTCCTCTTCCCACCCTCCCCACTCTTCAACTCCCAACCCCCACCAGCATTTTTCTTTTTTTTTGAGATGGAGTTTCACTGTAGTTGCCCAGGCTGGAGTGTAATGGCATGATCTCAGCTCACTACAACGTTCGCCTCCGGGGCTCAAGTGATTCTTCTGCCTCAGCCTCCTGAGTAGCTGGGATTACAGGCGCCCCCCACCACACCTGGCTAATTATTGTATTTTTAGTAGAGACGGGGTTTCACTATGTTGGCCAGGCTGGTCTCAAACTCCTGACCTCAGGTGATCCACCTACCTCGGCCTCCCAAAGTCCCGGGATTATGGGCATGAGCCACCACGCCCAGCCCCCACCAGCATTTTTGTAAATCAGTGCAGGTGATTCCACGGTATAGTCAATGTTGAGAACCACTACTTTCATAACAATGCTTCTCAAACCTGGCTGCACATTAGAATCCACTGGGGAATGTCTGTCTTTTGAAGTAGAAGATGGAACCAACATAGCTAAGAAGGCAGTGTGGCACCTGCCATGGACCAGCTGTGTGACCTTCAAGGAGTTCCTTCAACTCTCTGAGCCTCATCTGGGAAATGGGAACACTCTCACATTCCTGCAGAGTTGGGGCTGAGAGATAGAGGATGTCAGCCCGGGCACATGTAGGGCAATTCTGATACATGGCAGCCACTGTTGTTTTTATTAAGAGTGAGCAGCCCCACGAAGACTTGAAGCCCTCACTTTCTCTACGCAGATGGAACCCATTCTGGGAGTAGGGGATACAGGTTGTGTTGATGAGAGGTCACAGTCCTTCTAGGGAACACAGAAAAATTCCAAGAGCAACAGAGATTCCAAGCCAAGGTGGACAGCATCAGAGACCAGTGGCTGCGGATGAACTTGGGCAGGCCCAGCTTTGGCAAAGCCAATCCTCCTTTGGCAAGAACAGCAAGAAGCTGATTGGCTGCAGGCTGTGACGCTAAAAGCTGCTTATGGAGAAATAAGCAACTTTTGTTGAGCACCTCCTATGTGCCAGACACTATGCATGCCTGCCTTAAATCCTGGGGGTAGGCAGACTGATCCCTTTTTAACAGTTGAGGAGCCTGAGGCTTGGAGGCTGCAGTGCCTGACTTCCTCACCAAGGAAAACCTGTTGTCCCATGAGCCTGGGATCTGCCTCTGTTGGGATGCATGCCTGAAGGCATGCTGCACACATGAGTGACCTGGGGATGTGTTGTTTGATTAGATGCTCCTCTTTGTAGTTTTGCCTAAAACAAAAAGTACATGGCTTTTTAAGCTATTGACAACTTTATTTTTTGCATTTATTATAAGATACCATGTTCATTGTAGAACATCTAAAAAATACAGATAAGCAAAAAAAAAAAAAAAATCAAAATCTCTCCTAGTCCCAGCCTACAGAGATGGCCACTGTCAGTTTGGGCATATATTTTCATACATGTGAGTCTGTTTGCATGTGTGTATAGAAACTTACCAGAAAGGAGTCACATGCTACACATTGTTAGAAAATCTTCTTTGTCTTCAGTTAATAATATATAGTGGCCATCTTTCTGTGTCACTACATATTCTTTTTTTTTTTTTTTTTTTTTTTTGAGATGGAGTTTCACTCTTGTCTCCCAGGCTGGAGTGCAATGGCACAATTTCAGCTCACTGCAAACTCTATCTCCCAGGTTCAAACGATTCTCCTGCCTCAGCCTCCTAAGTAGCTGAGATTACAGGTGCCCACCACAATGCCTGGCTAATTTTTGTATTTTTAGTATAAACGGGGTTTTACCATGTTGGCCAGGCTGGTCTCAAACTCCTGACCTCAGGTGATCCTCCCAGCTCGGCCTCCCAAAGTGCTAGGATAATAGGCATGAGCCACCGCACCTGGCCTCATTAAATATTCTTCTACAACAGTGGCACTGCATTAGAACCCCTGGGGAAGCTTTAAAAATATCAATGCCTGGGTTCCACCCCTAGAGTCAAATTTAATTCATCTGGAGTGGCCTGAGCTTTGGAATTTTTAAAAACCCCCCAGATAGTTTCAGTACGCAGCCAAACCTAACAGCTGCTGAACTAAAACATTTTTTTTTCCCGAGACGGAGTCTTGCTCTGTTGCCCAGGCTGGAGTGCAGTGGCACAGTCTCGGCTCACTGCAACCTCCACTTCCCGGGTTCAAGTGATTCTCCTGCCTCGGCTTCCCACATAGCTGGGATTACAGGTGTGTACCACTACACCTGGCTAATTTATTTATTTATTTATTTAGTAGAGATGGGGTTTTTGCCATGTTGGCCAGGCTGGTCTCAAACCCCTGACTTCAGGTGATCCACTCGCCTCAGCCTCCCAAAGTGCTGGGATTACAGGCATGAGCCACCATGCCCAGCCAGCATTATTTTTCAACAAGGGCCTTGCATTCCATTTGCAAGGTATGTGTTGTAATTTGATCAATCCACTTTCTTGGACATTTAGCTTGGTTCCAATTTTTATATCATTATAAACCAGGAAGTAGCAAACTTTTTTCTGTAAAGAGCTAGGTGGTATTTGTTTTGGCCTTTGCAGGTCACAAGTTCTCTGTTACAACTGCTGAATTCTGCCATTATGGCAAAAAAGCAGCCACAGATCATGTGTACATGAATGCACATAGCTGTGTTTCAATCAGACTTTATTTAGAAAAACAGGTGGTGGCCAGATCCAGCCTGTGAGCCACGGTTCACTGAACCAACTCTGTATAAACATTGTGTAGTACATCTTCATGAAGCTAAACCTTCTAGGATGAAATGATCATTTTCTTGTGACAGTGGTTTTATACTGTTTATTTATTTTATTTTATTTTATTTTATTTTATTTTTTTGAGATGGAGTTTTGCTCTTGTTGCCCAAGCTGGAGTGCAATGGTGCAATCTCAGCCCACTGGGTTCAAGCAATTCTCCTGCCTCAGCGTCCTGAGTAGCTGGGATTACAGGGGTGCACCACCACACCCGGCTAATTTTTTGTATTTTTGATAGAGATGGGGTTTCACCATGTTGGCCAGGCTGGTCTCGAACTCTTGACCTCAGGTGATCCACCCACCTCGGCCTCCCAAAGTCCTGGGATTACAGGCGTGAACCACCGTGCCTGGCCTATACTGTTTCTTTTTAGAAGTAGGACCCTTCTTTAAATGAAACTTAATAAGGCTCATGTAAGCAACAGATAAGAAGTCATTCTGTTGGCATATTTTATAAATTCAAATATGCAGTATTTAGAAGACCAGTTAGGGGTCTTCTAGACCAGTTAGACATCATCTCAAGATGACATCTCAGAAGATGATGACTATAGTTTTAAATCAGCCTCAGTACCAGTGACATTCAAATCAAAGTTTTGCAGAACTAGCAAAGCACCTCTGTAGAACCCCACGGTTCCACCAGGAACATAATTTGAAAACCATTGCAATGGGATAAATTCCTGGAAGTGGAATTGCTGGAGCAAAGGGCCTGAACCTTTTAAAAGCAGTCTGTGGCCAGGTGTGGTGGCTCACACCTGTAATCCCAATACTTTGGGAGGCCAAGGCGGGAGGATTGCTTGAGGCCAAGAGTTCAAGATCAGCCTGGACAACATGGTGAAACCCTGTCTCTACCAAATATATGAAAATTAGCTGGGTGTGGTGGTGCATGCCTGTAATCTCAGCTTCTTGGGAGGCTGAGGCATGAGAATTGCTTGAATCCAGGAGGTGGAGGTTGCAGTGAGCCGAGATCGTGCCACTGCACTCTAGCCTGGGCGACATAACAAGACTCTATCTTAAGAAAAAAAAAAAGCATTTTGTGTGTGTTGTCAAATTGTCCTACAGAAAGAGAGAAATAAACGTGTTTCTAATACTCAAATGAGTGTGAACACCTTCCTGCATCCAGCTGGCCTTGACAGGTGAATGCCCTGGACACTGGTTCCTGGTGTGGTGTGAACCATGTCCTTCCCTTGTCTTACCCCTTACAACGACTGGGGGAAGATCCTTCAAGATTCTCACATTGTACATGCTCAACAAAGCTTTCAACAACATCAATAGTGTGATCACTTTATTCTTGACTTAAGGACATTGGCAAAGATCTTTATGATATGTTATCAGGTGAATTACATAGGACCCTTTGTGTAACTGATAAAAAGTTATCTTGAGGTAGCTGAAGCCATAAAGGGGGATTTAATTTAATACCTTATGTCACCAGACTACAGGAGCGTCCAGGGTTCTAAAAGTTGGGGCTTTCTTTCACTATTGTTTTGACTCTTCTGTGTCTGGGACTTCACCCTTTCTGCCGCAGATAGGTTTTCTCTATCTTTCCACTGTGGAGAGGAATATAATAGGCCTGCGTCCCTATAGCCTTGTCACTGGACAGAACAGAGCTCTTTTCCACCACCTCCGTGTAGAAATTCTCAGGGAAGATTTCAGATTGGCCCACTTTGGCTTATCTTTTAATTATTCCTTATGGTGTAACAACCCCAAAACGGAATGGCTTAACAATAACCATTTAATTATTTCTCATGATTCTGTGGGGTTTTGGGCTCAGCTGCAGAGCTCTGCTGGTCTCGCTCTGTCATTCATGGGACAGGAGTGCCCAAAATAGTTTCCCTAAATGTCAGGCACCGTGGCGAGGATGGCTGAAAGCTAGAAACTTGCCCTGTTCACACGCTGTCTCTAAATAGCCAGCTTGGGCTTCTTGGCATGGCAGCTGGGTCCCAAAAGTGAGTGTTTGAAGAGGACCAGCCCCATTGTGCAAGCGCTCACCAAGCCTCTGCTTACATTACGCTTTCAGTTGTCCCACTGGCCAAAGCCAATCACATAGCCAAGCCCAGCATCACTGTGGGAGTGACGATACAAGGGTATGATACCTGGGGTCAGGGACCCTGGTGGCCACCAACCAGCCTGTCGTGGGTCACATCCCTGTCCCTGAGCTAATCATCAAGGTCAGGCAGAAGAGTACTAAGATTGGCTCAGCCTCAATCATGCATCCCCTTATATCTGGGGGGCAGGGGAAGCCTAATTGGCAGGTCCCACCTTAACTGGTTGGGATGGGGAAGAGCGATTCCTCAAAAGAAAGCAGATGATGTTTAGAGCAGACAAAACAAGGGGCAAGATGTCTTTACAATTCTGAGCACAACTTAGCCAGAGCCAACCTGCCTTGTGCTTGTGTCCCGCCGTGGGATCTGTTCGAAGGGGGTAGTCCCCAGCAGTTGTCCTGACCTGAATATGTTTCTATTTCCTGCCTTCACAGACCCTGAAGCAGGTGACAGGAGTCCCTACAACACGTTCTGTCCTTCACCGGAAAGGCATCTGACTAGCATGCCTACTCAAAAGTCCTCCACCTTGCAGAATCTGCATGGAGTCCTTGGCTATGCTAGCAGAGTCTGAAAATGATTTCCTATGCTCGAGCAGGGGTTGGCATTGCTAAACTGCTGAGGGACAGAGTGAAACACTCATTTCCTGTGTTCTGTTGACCTGCGTCCACAGTGTCCCCTCTGGGTGCCCCCCACATGTTATGTCTTCCTCTATTCGCACCTTCTCACCGTTTATCATTATCTAGTTTCTTTACTTGTCTTCCTCTCCAGACTGAGCTCCTTGAAGGCAGGGACTGGCTTTCACTGTGATTCCCTAGCACTTAGCTGGACACAGAAGATGCTCAGTACGTGTTCAGTGAATGGGTGAACAAGCTGATGACTTCTAAACCTTTATCTCCAGCCCCAGGGTGCCTAAGTTCCCCGGCCATGCCTCCAACTGTCTGCCTGACACTGTCACGTGCACATCCCACGGTCACCTCAGACTCATCATGTTCAACCCTGAGCCCCTCAACTCCACCTTGGCCTGACCACTCCGCCCACTTGTTCACTCCCAGTGAAGGCCAGAAATCTGGGAACCATTCCTCAGATTCACAGGCTCCAGAATCCCCTCCCACTTTCCATCTCCTCTTTCCCTGCCTTTGTTCACCTGCATCATTGCCTTTTTAAAAAAATGACATGAAATACACATAACATAAAATTAACAGTTTGAAAGTGAACAATGTCTTGGCAATTTTGGCAATTTGTGCATTCACAATGTCCATCACCACTTCCAAAACATTTCAGCACTCCAAAAGGAAACCTTGTACCCATCAAGCAGTTGCTCCCCAACTCACCTCTCTCCCCAGCCCCAGCAACCACCAATCTTGGTTCTCTCTTTGGATTTACCTTTTCTGGGTATTTCATACAAATGGAATCATACAGTATATGTTATTTTTTGAGTCTGGCTTCTTGCACTTAACATAATGCATTTGTTTGTTTGTTTGTTTGTTTTTTGAGACAGTCTTGCTCTAGTTGCCCAGGCTGGAGTGCAGTGATGCAATCTCGGCTCACTGCAACATCCACCTCCCAAGTTCAAGCGATTGTCCTACCTCAGCCTCCCGAGTAGCTGGGACTATAGGCGTGTGCCACCATGCCTGGCTAATTTTTGTATTTTTAGTAGAGACACGGTTTCCCTGTGTTGGCCAGGCTGGTCCCAAACTCCTGACCTCAGGTGATCTGCCTGCCTCAGCCTCCCAAAGTGCTGGGATTACAGGCATGAGCCACAGCACCCGGACTTAACGTAATGTTTCTGAAGTTCATCCACATTATTAAAGTATGTGTAAGTATATGCTATAAGGTTTATAGCATGCACACATACTTCACTCCTTCCTATGAATAATATTCCATTGTATGGATAAACCACATTTTGCTTATCCCTTCATCTAGTGATAAATAGCTGGGCTGTTTCTACCTTTTGGCTGTTGTGAATAGTGCTGCTATAAACATGCATGTGTGTATATTTGCTGGAGTGCCAGTTTTCAGTTCTTTGGGTATATACTTAGAGTGGGGTCACTCATCGGGGCCTTTTGCCTTGTCTATTGCAGTAGCCCCCAAACCGGCCTCCTAGAGCCAGTGCACTCTGTCCTCCATATGGTTGCAAGAGTCTTCACCATTTTCCTTTCTTTTTCAAAAAATATAATTTTTTTCTTATTGTAAACTCTATTGTCAAATTTTTTAATGCGAAAAAAGAGTTGTTTTATTTTTAATCTGGGGAAATGTAAATGCCAGGCTGATCGTGTGTCTCCCCTGTGTTTTGGATGAAGTCCTGAGCGTCCTGGCGCCCACATGCCTCTTTAGCCATCTCTTCTGATGTTCTTCCTCACCGCCTCCCCATGCCTGTTCCCCTGCAGCTACAGTTATTATTATTATTATTGTTATTTTTGAGATGGAGTCTCACTCTGTTGCCCAGGCTGGAGTGCAGTGGCACCATATTGGCTCACTGCAACCTCCGCCTCCCGAGTTCAAGCGATTTTCCTTCCTCAGCCTCCTGAGTAGCTGGGATTATAGGCATGCACCACCACGCTTGGCTAATTTTTGTATTTTTAGTAGAGACGGGCCACCGTGTCAGCCAGGCTGGTCTTGAACCCCTGACCTCAAATGATCCGCCCACCTCGGCCTCCCAAAGTGCTGGGATTACAGGTGTGAGCCACCCCCCCTGGCCTGCAACTATAGTTATGCACTCCGCCAGCCTCTGAGCCACTGCACATGCTATTCCTCTGTGGGACTGCCCTTCCTGCCCTTCCAGTCTGATCTGTCCCACTTACCTTCTCTGACTCAGCTCTCCTTGTGACTGTTCCCCCCAGCAGGTCACACATACCTGAAAGTGGCCAGGATCACTGTGTCCAGGACAGAAGGAAAAGGAAGACGCACATAGGATGCAGTTAGGTTTCACTGATTGACCATAAGCAGCACTGGTTTTACCTCTCACTTCTCCGCGGTCTCAGATAGTCCCCACAGTGTCTAAGCTAAATAGGGAACCACCAACCCACCCAAGCTCCGTCATTAGGAGTTGGCATCTTGCTACATTCCCTTGTTGTGACGGCTGGCAGTGAAGCTTGTGAACAAATGGGCAACCCATAAGGAGCTTTCTCTTCCTTTTTCCTTCCTCCAGGCTTGTTTTTTCTACTCGGGAAGCCAGATGCTTTAGAGCTTAATTACACCCTACAGTTGGAAGCGCAGAATGTCAGAGCTGTAAAGGAAGGACCTTATTATAAATAATAGTTACTAGCATTTATTGAGCACTTACTCTGTGCCAGGCACTGCGCCAGGCCCGTTTCCAGGCATTACCTCATTTAACCTTCCCAACAATTCTAGGAGGCAGTTACCATCATCATCATCCCTGGTCTATAGGGAAGGAAACTTAGGCTTGGGGAGGCTTCGGGGCACTTCCTAAACTGTGCTAAATGGTACATAGTGGCACAAAATATTAGTCGGTGTTGGCAAAAAAGGATTCCATTGATAAATGCTGAATCCCGCATCCCCCCCTTGCCCCACCCCCAGGGAAATTCACAATGTACATCCACATACTAAAGGTCCTGAGAAGTCCTATAGCAATGAAATCTGTTTAGGTCAATGTCTACTCTGTTGCAGACCTCGCAGAACTATTTATCCAAAGAGCACAGTTTGGAGAACGTAGGTATTAACCAACTTTCTCATTTTACAGATTAGGGTACCAGAGGCCCAGGCAGTACTTTTGGGGTAGACGAGGTACAGACCTTTGGCTCCTCACTGTCTTCAAGCCCACAAGAAGCATAGAGCAGAAGAAGACAGAGGAGGGCCCATCTGGCCCACTACCTGTTCTTGTAAATAAAGCTTTATTGAAGGTATTCTGATTAAGCTCCCATAGTTAATGAATGAGCCAATGGAAGCCCAGAGAGGATGGTTCACTTGTCCAATGTCACACAGTCAATTAGGGGCAGAGGCAGAAGTAGATCACAGATGTCCAAAATCCAGGTATTCTGTTGGGTTGTGAGCTCCATGTCACCTGGGATGCCTGTCTCATTCTCCACTGTGTAGAACTTAGCCAGGCACTGCTCCCTGTCTGCTACTGCATAGACACCCAACCTGCAAGGCATTTCTTTAAATTTTCTTTTTTTTTTTTTTTTGAGATGGAATCTCACTTTGTCTCCCAGGCTGGAGTGCAATGGTGCGATCTTGGCTCACTGCAACCTCCGCCTCCCAGGTTCAAGCAATTCTCTTGCCTCAGCCTCCTGAGTAGCTGGGATTACAGGCGTGCACCACCACGCCCAGCTAATTTTTGTATATTTTAGTAGAGACAGGGTTTCACCATGTTGGTCAGGCTGGTCTCGAACTAGTGACCTCATGATCCACCTGCCTCAGCCTCCCAAAGTGCTGGGATTACAGGCATGGTTGGCCTGAACTGCCTGGGTACTTCCCTCTGCCTTCAACCTCTGTAGGTAAACTGAGCAGGGGCCAACCTCGAAGTCTCTTAGGGGTCAAAGGCTGAACAGGGCAATCCATGTTTATTTCAATTCCGTACCAGATGCAGTAAAATGTCATTAACTTTCCCTCTGCCAATTTGAAACGTGAGATCATTTGGACAGGAACTGGGCAAACAGGCAGCAGGCTACCTTTGCCCATTCCAGGAAAAGCGTGCCAAACAAATGAAGAGTGTAAACCGGGTCCTAGGGGGGTTGTTTAAAACCACTTCAGAAAATAAATGATGTCCAAAGGCTCTTGGGCCTCCCTGAAGTACACTCTCATATAGTGGTCATCTATTTACTTGTTTCTGAAGGTGTCTGGGTGGTTTACAGTTGAATATGCAAATAAAATCATTCTTATCTCTTCATTAAAATGGCTCATACAAAGAACACTTATTGACAAACGTGAACAATTTAAAATCTCTGCAGATTTAAGCATTTTCCTTCTGGCGGGTCCATCCAGCAAGTGATACTAATTAGGAGCTTTTATTAACCTTGAGATCTGGAGGAGGGGGACTTCTTACTGACTCTGGATGGCTCAGGCATGCCAGAGGGCTAAAGGTTCATCTAGAAACAGCTGCAGAGACAGCAGGGCATAAAGCTCCGGGTGGCAGCTCTTCCTGGGGCAGCCGGACTGCCCAGATGGCCCTTCCAGAGCTGGGAAATGCAGACTTGTCCCTGA
Source organism: Homo sapiens (assembly GCF_000001405.40). Lineage (NCBI taxonomy): Eukaryota > Metazoa > Chordata > Mammalia > Primates > Hominidae > Homo > Homo sapiens. The sequence goes on along the minus strand of NC_000017.11, from coordinate 46,984,501 downwards.
GGTGGAGGGTAAAAATAGTCCCATGTGGGTGGTGGCTTGGCCCAGAGGCACTGGCTTCCTTTTCTCTAGAGCAGGGGGAGGCAGCCAGTTGACAGACTCACCCTTAGGCTCCTGAGCCCCTCTAAGCCCGGCTCGGGGGAGTCTTTCCCCAACAACGAAGCACTCCCACCCCCAACCCCACCCCCAACACATACACATATGCCAAGTGCTGGAAAGACTTTGAGCTTAGTTGTAGGGTAACTAAGGATTTAAATCCTGGCTGTGCTATTACCAGCTCTGTGACCTGGGACAAGATCCTTTTCCTTTCCAGGCCTCTATTTTCTCATCTGTCAACTTGTTTCTTTCTACAAGTCTTGCTGTGAAGATTAAATAACAATAAGAACTGATGTGTTTCACTCTGTATCCTCACTCTTCTGTCCCTCTCCCTTCCAGCCAGGTGCTCACCTTCTAGCACATTCTTCAAGAGTTACTCTGAGGCAAGCCAGCCGCCATGTCATGAGGACACTCAAGCAGCACCATGGAGAGGTCCGATGGCGAGGAACAGAGGATCCCCCTGCCGACAGCCAATGAGGAACAGGCCTCCTGCCAACAGCCGTGTAAGGGGTCACCTTGGAAGCCAATGGCCCCTCCCTGGTCAGGCTTTTACATGACTGCAGTCCTGGCCAACATCCTGACGGCAACCTCATGAGAGACCTTGAGCCAGAGCCACCCACCTAAGCTGCTTATAGGTTCCTGGCCCTCAGAAATCACATGAGATCATAAATGTTTGCTCAATTTGAGATATTTGTGATGTAGCAATAAATAACAAACACACTTACCTTTCAGGGTTATTATGAGAATTAAGAGTTAATACACATCAAACTACAACCAAACTTGCTGGGACCAGAGGCTCAAGAAAGGGCAGACAGGGCCGGGTGCAGTGGCTCATGCCTGTAATCCCAATACTTTGGGAGGCCGAGGCAGGTGGATCATCTGAGGTCAGGAGTTCGAGACCAGCTGGCCAACATGGTGAAACCCTGTGTCTACTAAAAATACAAAAATTAGCCAGGCATGGTGGCGGACACCTGTAATCCCAGCTACTCGGGAGGCTGAGGCAGGCCTCACTTGAACCTGAGAGCTGGAGGCTGAAGTGAGCAGAGATCATGCCACCGCACTCCAGCCTGGGTGACATAGCGAGACTCCGTCTCAAAAAAAAAAAAAAAAAAAAAAAAAGAAGAAAGGGCAGACAGAAACCACAGAAGGAGGAGTGGTTAGCTAGGTCCAGGCCAGATGGGGTCCTGCTCCTGACGTGGATGGTTCTGGGAGACCAAATATGCAAATAGACAATGGCCAGACCACATATTAAAATAGAACTCTGCCCCCAAACCTACAGCACCAGCCCAGGAAGCCAACGAACAACCCCTGCAGCAATCAGCCCCAAATGGCCAGGACTTGATGGTAACTGACAGCTTCCCTAATTTTGTTCCCACTTTCAATGCAGGACAAACCGGAGAAAGCCAAATATGCTCCCCTAACCAATTACTTAGGATGCCCCTCTTCTAATGAGCCCAACTGTAGCTTTCCTGCACCACCAACAGGACGTACCTGAAGCCTTCTCCTTTTTCCGCTATAAAGCCTTCCCCTCGGCCTGCCTTTGAGTCTCCATGAAAAGCAAGTGACAGTGGCTGCCTCCCTTACTGTAACAAGCTCTGAATAAACAGCCTTTGCTTGCTCTCATTTGAGTGGTCTTTGTTTACATCCACAAGCCCAAGGTCTCTCTCCCCCTTCCTGCTCCCAGGTCAAAGATGTCTTTTTCCCTCCCCAGCACCTCCCCCAGGGATGATGGGAGAGAGGGGGACGGGGATAATGAAGAGCGTGGCTTTGGAACAGGACAGATCTGGGCTGAAATTCTGGCTCTGATGCTTAACTAGCTGCGTGATCTTAAGTAAGTCAATTAAACAGTCAGTGCCGCTGTTTCCTCATGTCAAGGGGACAGTCCAGCAGAACCCAAAGGCTGGTGTGAGAGAATTCAGGGAGGTAATGTATTTAATGCACTGGGCATGTAATAGATGCTTAATAAAGGAAAGGTCAGCCATCATGTCAGCCTCCTCACAACTCGCTGGAGTGGGCAGGGCCCCATTCTGCATCCTCACTCACCCCACCCCTTTCCTTTACATCAGGCAGTCTGACTTCAGCTGGATGCAATCAAGGTACGGACTCCAAGTCCAGGGTATAGCAAAAGCCAGGGGTTGGTTTCAGACAAAGGATATAACTGAGCATTTCTCTACAGAAATCCAATTGGGCCAAAGCAGAGGACAGAATGTTCGGGCCAGACACCTGCTGGACTCCCTGTTCTATCCTGGCTCCAAGGGGTGATCAGGGCAGGGGAGACTCTTGCCCTGAAAACTGCATGCCTTTGCGCCAGGCCAGCTTTCCCAGGACTGAGGAGCTTGAGCCAGGTTGTTTCCCAATCTGGGGTGCCTATGTGTGCCTCAGTTTCTTCATCTTTAAAGTGATAATTTTGCCAGGCACAGTGGCTCACACCTGTAATCCCAACACTTTGGGAGACTGAGGTGGTAGATCATCTGAGCCCAGGAGTTCGAGACCATCCTGGGCAACATAGTGAGACCCTGTCTGAACAAAAAATAAAATAAAAAATTATGGTGGCACATGCCTGTGGGCTCAGCTACTCAGAAAGTTGAGGTAAGGGGATCACTTGAGCCAGGTGATCAGGGCTGTAGTGAGTTGTGATTGCACCACTGCACTCCAGCCTGGGCAACAGAGCGAGATCCTGTCTCAAAATAAAAATAAATAAATAAAATAATAATTTTAATAACTTACCAGGATATACACACATGCTTAATGTTCTAATAATGAGTATCAGGATGGGTATGGGTGTCTTAGTCTGCTTTATGCTGCTATAACAGGATGCTTGTTATAAAGAGGGCAATTTATAAATAGAAATTAATTTCTCACAGTCTAGGAGCTGGGAAGTCCAAGATCGAGTGGCCAGCATCTATCTGGTGAGTGCCTTCTTTCTGCATTAAAACATGGCAGAAGACATCACATGCCAGAAAGAGAAGAGAGAGAAAGAGAAAGAGGGGTGGAACTCATCCTTTTATAAAGAACCCACTCCTGAGACAATGGCACTAATCTATTCATGAGGGTGGTGCCCCTGACCCAAACAATGGCAGCATCTCACCCCACCTCCCAACACCTCCACATTGGGGGTCAAGTTTTCAACAGATGAACTTGGGGAGACATATTCAAACCATAACAGGGAGCAGAGGCTCTGTGATGCCTGTGTGTTGGGGCATCCCGAATCCCTTCACTCCAATTTGCCATGCCCTTTCCATCCCCTTGTCTCCCACTTCACTGTCACCACTGGAATTCAAGTCTCCAGGCAGCATCTTTTGCCTGCATTATTGCAATAACAAAGTGCTTTCTTTACTCTCCTGCAACAATCAAAGCATGCAAATTAACATACGGGTGAGAAACCACCCCTGCCCCCACCCCCCTTCGCTACTCAGGCAAAGACTTTTAAAATAATGATAACAATGTTGGGGGTGGGGAGCCCCCTTTCCCCACAGGGCATGATTGTACACTGGTATATTTCTGGAAAGCAATTTAGTAGGAAGTACTTTTTGATTCTTTTTTTCTTTTTTTATTTTATTTTATTTTATTTTTTTTGAGACGGAGTCTCGCTCTGTCACCCAGGCTGGAGTGCAGTGGCGTGATCTCGGCTCACTGCAAGCTTCACCTCCCGGGTTCACGCCATTCTCCTGCCTCAGCCTCCTGAGTAGCTGGGACTACAGGCGCCCGCCACCACGCCCGGCTAATTTTTTTTTTTTTTTTTGTATTTTTAGTAGAGACAGGGTTTCACGGTGTTAGCCAGGATGGTCTCGATCTCCTGACCTCGTGATCCACCCGCCTCGGCCTCTCAAAGTGCTGGGATTACAGGCGTGAGCCACCGCGCCCGGCCTACTTTTTGATTCTACAGGTCCATTTTTCAAAATACAATCTAAAGAAAAATCAGTTTTGGCACAAATACTTTGTTACAAGGCTCCTTATGGTAATATTGTTTCTGATGAAAGAAAAAAGAAGACAGAAAGAAAGAAAGAAGAAAGAAGAGAAAGAAAGAAGAGAAAGAAGAAGAGAAAGAAAGAAGAAGGAAGGAAGGAGAGAAGGAAAGGGAGAAGGAAGAAGAAGGAAAGAAAAACTCAGACATCCAGCAGGAAGCTTGGTTAAATAAACTGTAGTAGTCCATACCTTAAAATGCCATTCCTTCACTAAAAATGATGTTGTAGCTCAGTAGTTTGTGCATCACGTGGGAACTGTTAGAAATGCACATTCTGGGGCCCCATCCCACATCTGATTCAGAAACTCTTGGGGTTGGTTGGGGTGGGGAGGTTGGGGGCGGGAGGTGGAAGCAATCTGGGTTTTAATAAACCCTCCAAGGCAATTCAGAGCCATAGCTGTAGAGGACCATCGCTAGGGAAAGTTACGCTGTTAAGTGAGGAAAGGTTGGGAGGCAGTAAGCAGGAACGGTGCATCCCCATATCTGTTATCTAGAGAAAGGCACAAATAGAAAAAGTCTGGGAGGAGTTTATACCCAGGTGATAACATCGACACTCTCTAGGAGGCAGATTATAAAGTTTTAGAGTAATTTCGGTAATTCATGTTTTCTAAACTAGTCTACAATGACTATGTTTGTGTAAAAAAGAAAGAAAAAAACAGTAATTTATTTTTTAATTTAAAAAAAAAGTTAAATGGGACCAAGTTGAGAGGAGGGTGTAGGGAAGGAGGCAGAGAGCCCGCCTCGCCGCGACAGCTTTCACCCCGGGAAAGCTGTGAGGCAGGACCGCCCAGGAGACCCGGGGCCAGTGGAGTGGGCAGCGCCAGGGGTCCCGGCGACTCATCTGATGTCTAGCAAGGCTTACGAGGGCTTAAATAATAAGCGAAGAGAGTCAGGGCAGATTCCGGAATAACTTCACTGCTAAGGGTATCAAATCCTGGAATGGGCACCTTGGAGAGGTTTTCTAGCCAAGAACGGACAGCGGGTGCCAGGAGGGGGTGGAGTTTCGCCGGCCCGCGGACAGAGGCTGCCGGATCTCCCGACCCCCTCCAGCACCGGGACTCCGGGGAGGCTGCGCCCGCGGCGGGATTCCCGCCCCTCGGAGATGCCGCGGGGACCGGCGGGGCGGGGCCGGGCCGTTGCTAGGGGAGGGGCGGCCAGGCGCGCGAGGAACCCAGCGGGCGACCGCTAAGCACACTAGGTTCTCCGGCTCCAGCTCCTGCGCCGCCTGTTGCTCGCTCCTCCGGGCGGTCGCTTCCCGCCCGGTGCCCAGGGGTAGGCGGCCCGAGAGCGCGCAGGCAGCCAGCCTCCCGCCTTCGTCCCCTCCCCGTACCGCAGGAGCCGGTCCGAGGGGTCCGGAGCGTCCCTGAGAGCGCGGACCCCGGCGAGCAGCCCAGTGCACCCGGGACTGCGCGCCGAGACCCCCGGCGCCGCGCGGCGATGAACGCGACCTTCCTGAACCACAGCGGCTTGGAGGAGGTGGACGGCGTGGGCGGCGGCGCCGGGGCCGCCCTGGGAAACCGCACCCACGGGCTGGGCACGTGGCTGGGCTGCTGTCCAGGGGGCGCACCGCTGGCCGCCAGCGACGGGGTCCCCGCGGGGCTGGCGCCCGACGAGCGCAGCCTGTGGGTGTCGCGGGTGGCGCAGATCGCCGTGCTCTGCGTGCTGTCGCTTACCGTGGTCTTCGGCGTCTTCTTCCTGGGCTGCAACCTGCTCATCAAGTCCGAGAGCATGATCAACTTTCTGGTGCAGGAGCGCCGGCCCTCCAAGGACGTGGGCGCAGCCATCCTGGGGCTGTACTGAGCGCCATCTGGGTCCGCCCTCGCCAGCGCTGCTGCAAGAAGGACCCCGGAGACCCGGACCCTCGCCCCGCTCTCTGCGCTCTGCCGCCGCCTCCGGGCGGGCAGCTACGTGCCTGGGGCGCCCGGGCGGGGACGCGGCGAGACTGTCGGCGGGGGCGCGGGAAGGGACTTGGACGCCCGGCTCTGTCCTGTGTGCGCTGCAGCGTTGCGGGGTGGGAGAATGTGGGGTGAGGGTTCTTACCAGTTTTTTTTGTTTGTTTGTTTTTTAAGACGTTCGGGGCAGGGTGGGAGTGGGTATGGAGATGCAATTTGGGACTGCGGTCGCTCGCGTGGGAGTTTTGTGTGTACGTTGGTGCGGGTGGGTTCGGAACACGGTGCGAGTGGGTGAAGATGTGAAGCGTCAGAGTCGCTGAGCTTGTTGGCCTGATCTTGCGTTTGGAAAGAAATCTTGTAATAAAACTGCAGCCGTAGGGCTTCAGGCAGCTTCCCACCCGCGCCTGTGAGGTGTGTGTGTGTGTTGCGGGGCGGAGGGCATGTACCCTCCTGGCGGACACTTTGAGCCCCGTGGGAGACATCTAGCCCCTGCGTGGACGCCTGGCTGGGGAGCCCACAGGTCAGGTCAAGGATCCTGGGGCTCCACGCGGAGGCCAGAGCGAGGAAAGGCAAAGGGAATCGTTTTCTAACGCCAACAGCGGAGAAGGCAGGTCCTGTGGGACAGCCAGACAGCTGGTGAGATTAATTAAATCACTGGATATATGAGTCTAATATGAGATGAAACAAAATCAGTCAGCTGTGTCCAAAACGAAGAAAATGTGAACAAGGAAAATTCAATTTGGCAGAGGGGAAAACTAGATCTAGTTAAAAGTTTAATTATAAGGCCAAAGCCCCTTCTAAGGGCTTGCTTTGTCCCTACCCTTATAGCGGACAGATGAGTAGACGGAAGAAACCCCCTTGTTGCATCCCATAGGGGTGGGGGTTGGCGGCTTTGTGGTGAGGAAGTCCCAGGATGTTTATTATACAATGGAGAAAATGGCCTCCAAACGCAGTTGCCTGCAGGGGACTTGGAGCCTCCCATTACAGGATGCCCCAGCTGCCCAGAAACCCACGCCTCCTGCAGGTGCTAACTTCCCTTGCAGCAGTGTGGAGCAGCAAGAACTGGCTACTCCCTAGCGGACAGCGAGAGGACAGCTCTGCTTTCTGGAAGTTGGGGACAGGGGGACCTGGGGACACTGGAGGAGAGAAGGCTGGGCTTTCTGGCCTATGTATCCCCCACTACACTTAGTCCTAGTGCCAACCCCGCTCAAGCGGTTCTTGGAAGACTTGGTCGGGGAGAGACTGGATTTCTCCCTTTCTTCTCTCTTTTGCTGTGGGTGGGAGTGAAGAATAACGAGGAAGGTGACTGAAGTCTTAGCTGCTTTTAGCTAAGAGAAGCGAAGGGAATGCGATCCCGTGTATTTGGCACTAGTTTCATTAGGGAGAGGCTTGGCACAGGTGGGGTGGGGGAGTTTCTCGAAGGCACAGATGGTCCCTGGCTATGAAGGATCCAGAGTCGTCCTGGCTCCCAAGTGCTCCTGTGTGGTCAGAATTATCATGATCAGGATGTGCCCCATCCCCCAACCCTGGTCGTCCCAATCTCAGACCTGGGAGAATTCAGGCCAGGCCAGTGAGGGGAGGAACTGACACTCCTTGTAAAGTGTCTCTGGGGGAAAAACCCCGAATGTGGAGAATGTTCTGTTGATGGTTTGGTGTGACTTGCAGGAAGTCCAGCCTGATCTGGGGACAGCAGCCTTCAGTGACTCAGGCAACCTGGATAAGTGGCTTCGTCATGTAGGTGGTGCAGTTATCTGGAGTCTGGGCTGCCCTCAGTGGTTTGGGGAATGCAGCTCAGACAGCTACAGGCATTTGCGTAAAATCCCAAATGACCAGAAAATGGTTTCAGAAAGAACACAGGCTTACACGCTTTTCCACCGGGCCAAGTTAGGGCGAACACTGCGAGAACTCTCCTCTAATAAAATAGGTCTGCTACTAAATGTGACTGGGGCGAGAAGAGAACGAGTCAAGAGTTAAATTTGTTTTTTTGGTTTTTTGTTTGTTTGTTTGAGATGGAATCTCACTCTGTCGCCCAGGCTGGAGTGCAGTGGCGCAATCTTGGCTCGCTGAAACCCCTGCCTCCCAGGTTCAAGCGATTCTCCTGCCTCAGCCTCCGGAATAGCTGGGATTATGGGCGCGCGCCACCATGCCTGGCTAATTATTTATTTATTTATTTATTATTTTTAGTAGAGACCGGGTTTCACCATGTTGGCCAGGCTGGTGTCGAACTCCTGACCTCAGGTGATCCACCCGCCTCGGCCTCCCAAAGTGCTGGGATTACATGTGTCAGCCACTGCGCCCAGCCAAATTTCTTTTTTAAAAACTTTTATCGCCAGGCGTGGTGGCTCACGCCTGTAATCCCAGCACTTTGGGAGGCCGAGGCGGGCAGATCACGAGATCAGGAGATCGAGACCATCCTGGCTAACACAGTGAAACCCGGTCTCTACTAAAAATACAAAAAATTAGCCGGGCGTGGTGATGAGCACCTGTAGTCGCAGCTACTTGGGAGGCTGAGGCAGGAGAATGGCGTGAACCCGGGAGGCGGAGCTTGCAGTGAGCCGAGATTACGCTACTGCACTCCAGCCTGGGCGACAGTGCTAGACTCCGTCTCCAAAACAACAACAACAACAACAACTTTTATCATTTTCTTTCCTTCCTTCCTTTATCTTTCTTCTTTCTTTCTTTCATAGTTCCTTGTCAAAGCAAAGTTAACTGTTCTGAATTTGCTGAAAAGGAAAGCCTTAGTGGGGACACTTTGCAGGATTCTCCCACTGTTTAAAAAAATAGTGAAGACGCGTGTGTACTAACGTGTGTTTGGGTCCCCTGTGGTGTACAAGTCTGCACACGTGGGCACATGGTGTGAGTGTATGCTCACACAAGCAGGCACACACACAGGCACAGGCAGCCTTGTGCCTCAGGAGGAAGACAGCCAGCAAGAGTGGGGTCCTGAGAAGGGGTGAGGGCAAGAGGTCACATTTGTAGACCGTCTTAGTTCTCCCCAGGAGTCCTGAGGCCTGCAGGGTGTTTACTGGGCTGCCTTATATAATCCTTGGGGCAGGGGGCGGGAACACTGAGTTACATAAGGTAAGAGTGAATGAGGAACAGTGCTCCAGGGCAGAGCCAGACAGAGCAGAATCCTGAGCCATCCGAGTGGAGGATGGTTCTAGAAAGCCCCACTCACCCACAACTGCTGTCCATTGAGAGCTCTTCCCAGGATGCACCGATAAATCTCAGAGGGCCTTGGGTTCACAAGAGAGAAGGCCTGGGATCCTGGTCTTCAAAATCCTGGCTGCCCTGCTTCCTAGTTCTGTAACTTTGGAGAAGTAGCTCAACCTCTCTGTGCCTCGGTTTCCTCACCTACAAAATAGGAGCGATAGGGGACCCATAGCTTTCACGACATGATGTGTTTGAAGAAGCCGGCACAATGCCTGGCATTTAATAGACGCTCAATAAGGACAATGAGGGTTATTGTTAGTTTTGTTTATCGTATGAACTCTTTCCCTAAAGTACATTTGGTTCTCTGAAATGGATTCCCTGGACATAAAAAAAAAAAAAAAAAAAAAAAAAAGAAAATAGTAATTCATATTTGAAAAGCATTTGCAGTTTTCAGAGTACTTTCATAAGCATGACGAAAATAGTAGCGAATGCCTAATATGCCAAACACTGAGCTTCCACTCCCTCGAAGAAGGTTTTGTAGCTCCTCCCATTGTACAGATGAGGAAACTGAGGCTCCAAGAGGTTGCCTGAGGTAGCGCAGCTAGAAAGGGGCAGAGCTGGGATTCAAATCAGTTTCACTTGAGATGACCTTTTTTTTTTTTTTTTGAGAGAGAGTCTTGCTCTGTCCCCCAGGCTGGAGTGCAGTGGTGCGATCTGGGCTCACTGCAAGCTCTGCCTCCCGGGTTCACGCCATCCTCCTGCCTCAGCCTCCCGAGTAGCTGGGACTACAGGCGCCCGCCACCACGCCCAGCTAATTTTTTGTATTTTTAGTAGAGACGGGGTTTCACCGTGTTAGCCAGGATGCTCTCGATCTCCTGACCTTGTGATCCACCCGCCTCGGCCTCCCAAAGTGCTGGGATTACAGGCGTGAGCCACCGCGCCCGGCGGAGATGACCTCCTTTGCTCCCCACAACACATTGGTAAGAGGAGCAGATGCTCCTCTAATTTCCTGTTTATAGGAGAGGAAATTAAGATTCTGTTTACTGATCTTGTCCAAGCTCATTCATTCCACCGGTGTCTATTGTAAATCTCCTGTGGGCTAGGCACTGTGCCAGGCACTGGGTGAGCAACGGATGGCAGACCTAGCGTCTGGCCCTGGCCAGCGCCCCAGAAACCCTGGCACTTGCTTTGCTCCCCAGGTAGCTGGTTCCATGCGTCTCAGGGCCTAGGTCAAATCCCCCACATCCTGTCCTCTGAGTCGGGGATAGTACTTCTGGGGTCAGCTGTGCCTTCACCAGCAAGATGTCCCCTAGAACGGGGGAAGTAGGGAGGGCTTACATCACCACATCCACTTACTTTCTTACTTACTTGTCTAAGCCAAGTTCACATAGAGGGGTGCACGGCTGTGGCTGCTGGGGGTCGCCCTCCCCAGACCCCAACTCAGTAGTAGATGGAAAGAAGCCTTGAGCTTTGGGGGTGGCTTCAGAGGCAAAGAATGGAGCATGCGAGGTGGCGGGTACAGCAGAAATGGCCCCCATCCAGCATTCCAGTTTGGGGGAAAGGTATACGTGTACACATGTGTCGCACGCATGCACACACATTTAATAAAAAGGACTTAAGTGGGATTTCCGAGTAGTATCTCTTGAGTGCAGATTCTTGTCAAGAAAGCAAGATTCTTTCTTGTCAATAAAGATCACAGCAGATACACGGGGTGTCCAGGACAGCAAACCCCAGCTCGGCAGACGGGGCAGGTGTCCCAGCCTCTGAGATGACAGCATTGCGGGGTGTTCTGAGGCAGCGCCTGCTCACCCTTGCAGTCATAGTTCTATTACTTAGACTTGAGATCCCATGATAAGTGCACTCCAGTCCATGGATAAGGAGAGTTTAACCCATGGGGAACGCTAGATCTCAACAATTTTCAACAACGAAGCAACAGAGGCTAGGTGTGGTGGCTCATCCCTGTAATCCCAGTAATTTGGGAGGCTAAGGTGGGCGAATCACTTGAGCCCACGAGTTCGAGACCAGCCTGGGCAACACAGTGGGACCCCCATCTATATGGCAAAAAAGAAAAAAGAAAAGAAAAAGAAAAAAGCAGCAGCAGAGTGAGAGTGAGCAAGCCAGCTGTCATATGAGATTGTCATCTGGTTGTGTGGTTAGATAATGGGCTCAAGGTCACACTCAGCTAATGAGTGGCAGAGGCAGTGGGTACAGCAGAAATGGCCCTCATCCGGCATTCCAGTTTTGGGGGCAAGGTATACGTGTACACATGTGGGTTGCACACATGCACACACATTTAATTAAAAGGACTTCAGTGGGATTTCCGAGTAGCATCCCTTGAGTGCAGATTCCAAGGATGCTACTCAGAAATCCCACTGAAGTCCTTTTTATTTGACACTTTCCCACCTGGCTAAGTTAGAGGGAATACTACAAGAAGTTTTACACTCCTAATAAACTTGACGTACAAGACCTAGGTTTGCATGTCAGTGCCAGTATTTTTTAGGTGTGTCTTATGTCGCTCTCCTAATGCTGGGTGCTAAGGAAGTTGCAGAGGTGAAGGCAACTCAGGCTCTGCCCTCGAGATGCTAATAATATGACTGCAGAGACGCTCGTCCACACGGGAGATTGAGTGCTGCCATCCTCTGTGCCTCAATAATTTCTTTTTGGGTAGCCAGCGTCAGCCAGTGGGGTACAGGGTTTGGGGCTACAGAGCAGCTGTAAACCCGGGTTTCTCCTGGGGCTCACTTTGCAGGGGAGTGCCTGGGCAGAAAGCCCGGGACATGGAACCTGTATGTTGACAGCAATGCAGCCAGATGGGCAGAGGCCAACATCCGTCACCAACGGTCACATTGTGCAGACTGCTGGTTCCCTGCTGAGCTGGGGAGGCTGACAAACCTGAATTCCACCTTGTGCTCCAAAGCTGAGGTTCAGCAAGGGCTCGGGGTGCCCAGTGTGCAACCCTTTGCTGGGAATCCTTTCCTGTCCCAGGTTCTCCTTCCCTCTTGGCCAAGAGCCAGAGCTCCTTGCAGGGACTTCTTCCCACTATAGCTGGACTAGAAATGAAGAAGGGAGAGGAGGAGGAGGAGAAAGAAGGGGGAAGAGGAAGCATATGAAAGGACAGCAGGGAGAAGATGGGATGGAAGGAGAAGGGAAGAGAGGAGGAAGAAGCGGGTGGCGGGAGAAGCAAAGCAGGAAGCCAGGGTCTCGCCTCCTGCCCCAGCCCAGCCCCAGGGTTCTGTCAGCACACAGCCTGGGCCCAGCACAGTGCCCACCACAGCAGGCTGTCCCCTCCGGGTGTCTCTATAGAACATAAAGCGGGGAAGCAGCAACACTGAGGGTGATTATGGTTGAGACAGTTCCCTGTCTTGGGAAGGTCCCCCCTCTCCCCCACGTGCCCTGTGCCCTCTGCCTACCCCACCAGCCCCAGGCCTGGCTGTAAGTGTGACCCTTCCTCAGAGCCAGGCCCTGTGCCCTGCCTTTCTCTCTACTTCCTAAAGCTTCCCCCTTGCCGGGGAGGGAGAGGTGCCCAACAGGTGTGGCCCAGAACACAGAAGAAAAACATGCACACAGAACAAACACATGTTAGATGGGTGAGTGGGGGCCTGGTGAGGTGTGCACAGAACCACAGAGCTTGAGGCGTGAGAGACAAGTCTTTGATACAGGCAGGTCGGGGTGCAGGACTTCCCTCCACACTTTCCAGTCATCAGAGAAAGTCGCTTCACCTTCCAAGGCCTGTTTCTTCATCTGTAAAGTGAGGTACTCTAGCTGAGCTCTCTAGGTGGTTGGAAAGTTTAAGTGAGAAAGTGCATGAAAAGCTCCTACATGTACATACATGTATTCATGGAGCCATGCAGCTTTGCCAGGATCTGTGTGGGGTTCAAGGTCAGCAAAGGATATAGTTAGGCCAGGCTAGGGTGGGGCACTGGGTCACAGAGCCCCTAACCCAGCACTGGAGGAGAGCCAAGCCATGCCAGGACCTTGACTATCAGCTCAGAAGAGACTGCAGAAGCCATGGAGTGTGTCCTTATTATATTTTTCCTTTTTAATTAATTAATTAATTAATTTTGAGAAGGAGTCTCGCTCTGTTGCCCAGGCTGGAGTGCAGTAGTGCGATCTCAGCTCACTGCAACCTCTGCCTCCCAAGTTCAAGTGATTCTCCTCCCTCAGCCTCCCAAGTAGCTGAGATTACAGGCACCCACCACCATGCCTGGCTCATTTTTATATGTTAGTAGAGATGGGTTTTCACCATGTCGGCCACGCTGGTCTCAAACTCCTGACCTCAAATGATCCACTGTAAGTGCTGGGATTACAGGCATGAGCCACCGCACCGGCCTATGTTTTAAAGCGATGATACAAGTAATTAACATTTATAGCAACAAAAAAAAGAAAAATGTTGGCAAACAGTAGCCACATTCCTGCAACCTAGAAGGAATCACTATTAATCCTTTGGCATGCAGCCTTTCATATTTTGAGGGATCGATAGAATTAGGTTTGAGATTTTCTCCAGAAAATGTTATTCTAGCATATGCACCACTTTGAACGTATACCGTGATACTGTTTTTCACTTATCAGTGTATGATGACAAAGGTTCATGTCAGTAACTAATATCCACATAAGCCATCCTTCTCAGGCTTGTACCTGGTTCTCTTTTATGCAAACATCACTGATCCCCTATTATGGGGCATAATGCTGTTTCCGGGTCTCTGAGCCCCCGTCCACGTGAGTGGAGCGGCTCCAGTGCACACCCCTGCCTCGCAGACAGGCTTTGATGCAAAAGCTCAGCTGACGACTGATTGTGGCTGGAGTCCTCATGTTGCAGCGTCTCTCCTCTGCTGTCTTGAGTTTTTTTTTTTTTTTTTTTTTTTTTGAGATGGAGTCTGTGTCGCCTGGGCTAGAGTGCTGTGGCTTGATCTCGGCTTGCTGCAACCTGTGCCTCCCAGGTTCAAGCAATTCTCCTACTTCAGCTCACAAGTAGCTGGGATAACAGGTGTCCACCACCACTCCCAGCTAATTTTTGCATTTTTAGTAGAGACAGGGTTTCACCATTGTGGCCAGGCTGGTCTTGAACTCCTGACCTCAGGTGATCCACCCACCTCGGCCTCCCAAAGTGCTGGGATTACAGGCGTGAGCCACCGCGGCTGGTCTTTCTTGAGATCTTTTTGCAGGAAGCATCTTAATGCTTTAGGATGGAAGCTGTACCTGTTTTGAGATGATGGGGGAGATGAGGCAGGACAGCCGTGGGATGGAACCACATTTACTGATCTCCATCACTAAGCACAGTGCTTTACAGATATTATCTCATTACTTAATCCTCCAGCACCACTCTATGCTGGGGATGATCGTCATTTTACAGATGAGAAACTGGAAGCTCAGAGAGGTTAGCTGTAGTCAGCTAGAGCCAGGAGATTTGACCCCCGGTGTCTGCTTGCACAGCCTGTGTTTTTTGTTCCCCCACCCCGCACATCACCAGGGCAGCTGGGGCAGAGGTGGGAGTTGAGGGATGCAGAGTGAGAAAGTGGGCACCAGAGAGGGGGCAAGGGGATCGCGAAAGGTAACAAGCACCTCTCTTGCAATGGGAGAGTTGGGGGACCTCATGCCTTCCTATACACTCAAATCTTCAGGCCAGGCCTGGGAGTCCCCACAGAGGGGGACCCATCTCACTGGTTTGAAGTTATTTGCCAAGCCTCTTTCATTGTTTTGATTCCCGTGAACTCTTCCGTGTTTAAGGCATTTATCCACCAAGCACACTGTCCTTATTGCTGAATAAGGAAACTGTCTGCTGTCTATACCTGCTCATCAGAGCTTCTGGCCATCAGGACAGAGGCTGGTCCCAGCCTGGAGCAGGGAAGCCTGATCGTTCCACGGTTGTTTAGGGTCTCCAGGCATAAGAAAGCAACTCTGGCCCCTCTGCAGGGTGGGGCTGGGGTCCTGTGCAGCTCTCTCACTGTGACATAGGGGAAACAGCCCAGTGGGAGGAGGTGGCGGAACCAGCATTTGAAGGCTGCCTCCTTTCTGGCCACTCTGCCACCTGGCCCACCACCCTCCTTCCTGCTGACACCAGCCAGCCTCCCTGCCCGGCTCTCAGTGGCCCCCCAGGGGGCACAAGGACCAGGGAGTCAACTTGGGGTCTTCAGTCCTCTCCAGAAGGGCAGCTAGAGTGTTCCCCTTGTGGAGAGGGGGAGCTTTGGACCATAAGAAGGCTCTGGAAACCTGGGAAGGTGGATGGAGAGAAGTATCTGGAGTCAGAAAAGGGAGCCAGAGTGGAGGGGAGCCAGAGCGAGATCGGCTTCCGCTTCTCCTGGGAGGCCGGTGGCTGTGAGGACCTGTGCCATGGCCCGGCTGCATCCAGCATGAGAAGCTCAGTACGGAGGCAGCAGAGCAGGTCCACGGTGACTGTGGTGGGGGGCAGGTGTCGGCAGGGATGCTTTCAGGGTAGGACCCATTAGAACAATCATTTTTCAACCTCATGAGAATTACCTGGAGGAGCTTTTAAAAGTCCTGCTTTTGGGGTTGCACCCCAGACCAATTACATCAGAATCCTTGGGGGTCTGGACAGGTCCCAGGATTAGAAGGCCCTTCTGCATTCAATGACTGCAGGTGGTGCTGATCCCAAGAGATGCCCTGATGTTCCAGTCTCAGGTAGCCCCTGCTTTCTGTTTGTGTCCTGAAGATCTGCATGGCCATTGTAGAGGTGCTGGTGGGGAAGGCAGGCAGAGGGCAGGGGACCTGTTCAAGCTGTATGATTACACAGAACCAGCTGTGTGCGCAAGAGCAAGCCAACTAAGTTCTCTGAGTCACACACTAAAATGGGAATCAGAAAGCCCATCCTCTGTGTTTGTCGAGAGGATCTGATGGTGATTGATGAGCTTGGCATGGTGCTCTTCCCATGGCAGGGGCTGGGTGGCTGGTGGAGGGTGTTATGATGGTGATGGTCTCTGCTCCAGCGGTCCCCGCATGGAGGGACACCCCAGGCAGGGCTTTAGGATGTAAGCGTGGGAATGAGTCACACATTCAGTGGGTTGGGGCAGAGAAAGGAGGCAGTGCTGAGAGACAGAGTTGGGACATTTTTTCCCTAAAGATTCAGAAACAGGAGGAGATGTTCAGGGGTGTCCACAGTGCGGAGGGAGAGGAAGAGGCTGGGTCTGGAATGGAGGAAGTTGGAGCAGGGAGGTCTCTGGACGCCTCCTTCCCTGTGGTTCCTTACTCAGAGGTATTCACTGAGTGCCTGACTGGTGCAGGGTGCTCTATGGGGCTTGTTGGAGCTGAAGAGAAGGAACAGCAGTGAGGGACATACAAGGGTCTGCACTGGGCCATGCCATATGCCCCAAGCTGAAGAAGGCCCCCATCCCAGGCTGGTCCTCTTCCCAGGGTCCTGATTCTGTAAGAGCATCACCACTGTCATCTTCCCAGCCACCTAGCAGGAAACCCTGTCTGACTCTGCCCACTCCTTCACCAAGCCTGTCGGATTCTGTGTTCACAGTGGCTCTCCCTCTTGGCCACCTCCCTGCTTAAGCTCTTGACATTTTTGCCTGGGCTGTGCTATAGCCCCCAAATGGTCTCTGGGCCCCCTACCCCCCTCTTTATCTTTCCTTCACTGCCACCAAGGTGATTTGCCCAGAACACAGGTGGCACCATGTTGCTTCTCTCCAGTAGCCTGTAGTCAGTCTCTGTTGTCTACAGAACTGTCTGAATGCTTGAGCCAGTTTTCAAGACCTCCTAGGGGCTGTCCTAAACCCTCTGCACCGGCCCATTTCCCAGTATTTCTCTCCATGCACCTGTGATCCAGCCCCCATGCTGTACCCAGAGAACACTGCAGAGTTCACACTCCATGCCTCTGTTCCTGCTGCTCTGCTTCCCCCAAAATGCCTCTCTCCTTCTCTTCGCCCTTTGAGAACTACTTACCCTCCAAGACCAAGCTCAAGTACAACCTCACCCATGAAACAGAATTATAATCACTTCTCACATATCCCCTCCATACTATCTTCGTATATCTTGGTAATGACAGCTAATGTTGATTGAGCCCTTCTATGTGTTAGCCTCTGTTCATGTATTAACTCTCCTGTTACCATTTTTACTTTACATTTGAGGAAACTGAAGCCCAGCAAGGGTAAGAGACTTGTTTGAGGTTGTGCAGCCAATAAGTGGCAGAGCTGGGATCCAAACCCAGGCAGACTGGTGTCTGAGCTCACACTCCAAACCAGGAGGTAACACGGCCACAGTGCATGGCACATGCCTCGCTCTGCATCCTGTTATGGTTAGGTTCTCATGTCCGTCTTCCCCACTACACTTCCCCTGAGGACCAGAACTGTCTTCCCTGTGTTTGTATTTCCCACACAATTCACTGCGGGAAGGCCACAAACCTTTGTTGGACACACAGCCCTGCTTTCAAGGGACTTCACACATCACAGAAATCAAAGACATTTAATCAAATAAGCAAAACACAAGGAAGAAGGTGAGCATTTTCTCTAGCCAGATTCAAATAAAATTTCATGAAAATGATTTCCCTTTAAGGTGCTAATTAGCATAATGGCCATTTAGAGAGGGCTCTTCACATGCCAGGAATGGTGTGAAGCACTTTTCATAATTCTGATTTTTCTCATCGGCCACATCAAATAATTCTTGCAAGGCAGGTGCTATTGTCATCTCCACTTAATGAAACAAGGCACAAATTGCTCAAGTCACTGATCTGAAATCACAGCTAATAGTTGATAGAACCAGAGTTCAAATCCAAGCCTGAGTTCAAAAGGTATTTGGAGGTCAGGGTGGTGGCTCATACCTATAATCCCAGCACTTCGGGAGGCTGATGCAGGAGGATCTCTTGAGCTCAGGAGTTCGGGTCCATTCTGGGCAACATGGTGAGACCTTGTCTCTGCAAAAAATACAAAAAATTAATCGGGTGTGGTGGGGTGCACCTGTAGTTCCAACTACCCTGGAGGCTGAGATGGGAGGATTGCTTAAGCCCAGCAGGTCAAGGCTGTGCCACTAAATAAGTCACAAGGACCAGGTATCTGAGGGCCTTGAAGAGGTGTGAGGAGGTCACACAATGGGCCATGATCGTGCCACTGCACTGCACCCTGGGCAACACAGCAAGACCCTGTCTCAAAAAAAGTGGTCTGAGAAGGTACATAGCTAGTACATTTCATACTCTCAATTACATTTTTTAAATGAAGCCATGCCTTGATTTTTCTGTCTCATTATTTGAGATGTTGATGGAACATTTTTGTGAGCACTTCTTACTCTGTGGTGATCCCTCAATCACGAAATAGTACTACTGCTACTGGTGACGATGATGAAGAAGATGAGGAGGAGAGAAATGATCCATCGTTAGACATATTATAAGTAGATTAGTAGATGGTTATTTATAGACATTAAAAGTGGAGAAAGAAAGAGAAGGTTAGGTCAAGATGGTGGGCTAAATACTCCAGCCCTGCATCATTATAAACAGCAGGACATATTAAAGAAAAGTCATAGCAGCCAGGCACAGTGGCTCACGTCTGTAATCCCAGCACTTTGGGAGGCCAAGGCAAGAGGATCACTTGAGACCAGGAGTTCAAGACCAACCTGGGCAACATAATGAGACCCCGCCTCTACAAAAAAAAAAAAAATACAAAAATTAGCTGGGCATGGTGCTGTGTGCCGGTAGTCCCATTTACTCAGGAGGCTAAGGTGGGAGGATCAATTGAGCCCAGGAGGTCGAGGCTGCAGCGTGCCGTGATCACACCAGTGCACTCCAGCCTAGGTGACAAAGTGAACTGTGTCTCAGAAAAAAAAGAAAGAGAAGGCATAGCATTGCTGGAAAACAGAAGGGGTGCCCTGGGTGGAGCAGAAACCACGAGGATTTCCTGGAAATTGGATGGCAGATTAGGTCACGTTGAGGGGGAAGCCCACAGTCCACAGATCAGACAAGCAAGGTCCAACACAAAAGCTGGGAACTGCTCCAGGGTGCCCCAATCTGGGGCACAGTGGACAGGGAAGCAGGAGCCCTGGGGTGCCACAGAAGTCATAGTCAGAAGGACCAGCTTTCTCTCTCCTTGTCCCAGCACTTCTTGTCAGCACAGGCAACACTCAGGCTTTGTCATGAGCAGGGCACCAGGGAGGATGCAGAAAAGGAGAAATCATTTGTACCCATGGGAGGTTGAGATGCACTAGCTGTAAAGACTGGGACAGGTTTGCAATTGCAGTGAGAAGGCAGAGCTGCCCCCAGAGACATCCTTCCACTATGCCCTGGGCCCTGCCCACCCGAGAACATGCCTTGTTATTCCTCTGGCTGCAGACTAGGATAATGAGATACTCCACTTCTAAAAATGTGATTTTATATTAATGTTTCTGGGATACATGTCTGGGCCATCACACATGTACTTACCGGAGGGTGAAAAACTCCAGTGAATTGCCATGGAGATGAAACCTGGAATGAGGTTGCCATGGTAACTAAATTGTTTCTGAAAGGCCACATCACCTTGGAAAGTAGGAAGCTCCTGTCAAAGCCTTGCAGTTAGAGGCCAAATCACAGACCTTCCCATCAGGGCCGGGTGCTCTTTCCATTTCTTTGATTTCTCCTTTTTTCTTTTCTTGTCATTTCCAAGGACAGGTAATTTTAATTTTGGAGCCCTTAATCAAGGTCTGGCTGTGCCACTAATAAGTCATGGACACCAGGTATCTGAGGGCCTTGAAGAGGTGTGAGGAAGTAGGCTGTCAGCTCCCATCTCTGGCTCTCTACTGACTTGTTGTGTGACCTTGGACAAGTCACTTCTCTCTTGTCCTGGGTCTCCTCCCATCCAAATCGAGGAGGCTGGACTAGATGGTCTCTGAGATCTTTCCCATGTTTTTTTCTCTCTCCCATGGCACTCTGTCTTGCTGGACAACCAGCCTCCCCACCTCTGGCCTCCCCAGCAATAGGCCAGCGAAGCTGTCCGTGGTGCTGAACACTTGGCTGTTGCGCTCCTAGGCCATGTTCTGTTCTCCAGCAGGTCCCGGCTGCTCTTAGAGGCTCGCAGAGGCTGCTTTTAGAGGCTGCTCATCTCAGATCACCTCCATCAGAAGTCTAGAAATCTGTTTGCAGCTGGAGAGAGATTTCAAAGGGCCTTGGATGTCAGAGAGCCCTGGAGGAGGAGTCCAATGTGTCCTAGCCTGATTCTAACACTCGTTCTCAGTGGGTTTTTGATGAAGCCACACCTCCTCTGTGGACTTCAATTTTCTCATGTGTGAAACTGAGGTAGGGACTAAGATGGTCCCTAACACCTGATGTCCCAGAAGAATCCTGGAAGCTTGCCTTGGATATGGGGAAAGGAGAGCCCATACCAACTCAGCCACACTTGTCATCCCGGCACTTTGGGAGGCTGAGGTGGGAGAATCACTTGAGGTCAGGAGTTTGAGATCAGCCTGGGCAACAAAGTGAGACCCTCTACAAAAAATAAGTCAATTACACAGGTGTGATGGCACGCTCCTGTAGTCTCAGCTACTTGGGAGGCTGAGGCAGGAGGATCACTTGAGACCAGGAGTTCGAGACTGCAGTGAGCTCTTATTGTGCTATTGCACTCCAGCCTGGGCAACAGAGCAAGATGCTATTCTCTTTAAAAACAAAAAGGAGAAAAAGAGAAAAAAAGAGAATTCAGCCAGTCCCCACCTCTCCAAAACTCAAGCTTCTCCAGTGGTGACTGTGGGTGGGGAACAAGGCACACTCCCTTGTCAAGAACATATGTTCTTTGTCTGGAAGAAAAGACAGGCAGTGAGCAGATGTAGCATTTACATTTTCTCAAGTGACAACTGAACACTGAGGATGATTAGTGCTTGTTATGAAGTGTGTCCAAACTATAATAAAATCTCCAACTATATCATCTGCCTATTTTTTTTTTTTTTTTTGAGACCGAGCCTCACTCTGTCGCCCAGGCTGGAGTGCGTGGTGTGATCTTGGCTCACTGTAACCTCCACCTCCCAGGTTCAAGCAATTCTTGTAACTCAGCCTCCCAAGTAGCTGGGATTACAGACACCCACCACCACACCCAGCTAATTTTTTTATTTTTAGTAGAGATGGGATTTTACCATGTTGTTCAGGCTGGTCTCAAACTCTTGACCTCAAGTGATCCACCCGCCTTGGCCTCCCAAAGTGCTGGGATTATAGGCGTGAGCCACTGCACCTGGCTGTCATCTGCCTACTTAACTGATCATCTTTATAGAATCCACTTTCCTGGTCAGTAGCACAGGATGAAGAAAGACAAGGAATAGAAAGCTTAAAGGGTGCTCATATAGACATCATGATTTATTGTGAAATGTCTTGTGTTTTTCATCCCTCAGCTCTCCCACTTGGCCACATAATGCAGTGGTTGAGAGTGTGAAGTCCCTTATCAAGACTTCCTTGATTCAAGCCCTGCTTCTATTCTTTATTAGCCATGTGGCATTCTTTCCAAGCCTCAGTTTCTTCATTTATAAAATGGGAGTTAGTTATACATACCTCTAAGTATGTTTGAAAGGATTAAATCACATCATTGATGAAAATGATGAGTTAGCAGAGGGTCTAGCACACACTGAAAGAGATTCTTTTGGTTATCTATAACTGCATAACTACTCCCAGAAATTTCTGGTTTTATGGTAGCCACTTCATTATCTTTCATGATCCTGCAGGTTAACTGGGCTCAACTGCTCAGTCCTGCTGCACGTGATACTGACAGGAACTGCAACCTTCAAGGACTTGGCTGGCTAGAGTGTCTGGCACCTTGGCAGGGACAGCTGGAAGGCTGGGCTCTGCTGAGATGGCTGGACCTCTTTCCTCTCCTTATCAACTCATGGCATTTCCTCCATGTGGCTTCTCCACACAGTCTAGACAGCAGCATAGCTATACTTGATGTATGGCAGCTTTCTTCCCAAAAGTGCAAAAGCAGTTTCCAGACCTCAATAATTGGCCCAGAATCAGCATACTTTCTCTTCTGCCACATCCTGTTTATTAAAATGAGTCACAGGGCCAGTCCAGATTTGATGTGTGAGGAGACTAAACAAGGGCATGAACACTGGGAGGCATGGTTCATTGGGGGTATCTTTGAAAATCAACTACTACACTGATCAATACTTTTTTTTTTTTTTGAGATGGAGTCTCACTCTATTGCCCAGGTTGGAGTGCAGTGGCGCAATCTCGGCTCACTGCAACCTCCACCTCCCGGGTTCAAATTATTCTCCTGCCTCAGCCTCCTGAGTAGCTAGGATTACAGGCGCATGCCATCACGCCCGGCTAATTTTTTATGTATTTTTAGTAGAGACAGGGTTTCACCATGTTGGCCAGACTGGTCTCGAGCTTCTGACTTCATGATCTGCCCGCCTCGGCCAAAATGCTGAGATTACAGGCATGAGCCACTGTGCCTGGCCCCTATTTTTATTTTTGGAATTCCAACTATGCCCCACTCCCTTATCCTCATTTTAGAAATATCATGTTTTTGGATTTGCACAGTTTTTGAACAAGTATTTGTTGATTAAATAAAATGATTTGGAATCATTGGTCAGCCCCTAACTATAATCCCCTAGGGTAGCAGTCATGTTTCTGTTTCTCCTGTGTCATCTCACAGGCTTCAGACAGGGCTCTGCATACAGTAGGCATTAGATAAAGGGTGTACATTTTGTTGGATATTAATATTTCTATACTAGCTTTATTTTTGGTTAGTTTCTTTGTGTATCTCTTCTTCAACTCATTGCTTGCAAATTTTCTATGTCGTTATATTTTAGGTACACATCATACAGCTGGACCTTTTTTAAAAAATATAATCTTTTTACAGACGTATTTCATCTTTTCATTTATTGTGATCACTAATATATTTGGATTATTTCTATCATCTTACCTACTGATTTGCTGTTGCTACACTTTTCATTTGCTTCTTTTTTTAACAGAGGCAGAGTCTTAATTTGTCACCCAGGCTGGAGTGCAATGGCGTGATCATAGCTCACTGCAGCCTCGAACTCCTGAGCTTAAGCAATCCTCTCACCTCAGCCTTCCAAATAGCTGGGACGATAGATGCACACCACCATGTTCCAGTTATTTTGTTTTTTGTAGAGATGGGGTCTCACTATGTTGCCAAGGCTAGTCCCGAACTCTAGGCCTCAAGAGATCCTCCTGCCTCAGCCTCCCAAAGTGCTAAAATTACAGATATTTGTTTCTTCTCTTACTTCTTTCATAGTCTCTACTAGTTTGAAAATTATACATATTATTTCTGTTTTTTTAGTGGTTACCCTTCCATTTTTAAAAGCATCCTTGTTCCAAAAGTCTGAAATTAATCAATATCTTTACCTTTATCCTCGGCAAAATCAGGACTTTAAATGTTTACATTCTAATTATCTCTCTCATCTACCAAGTTATTTTTGTCTAGTATTTTATTCCCACCTTGTTTTTTTTAAACTCTCCCCAAAGTAGTCATTATAAATGCCTTTTATTTTTATTTCAAATTTAGGGTAAAATTTACTTTTTTGACGTAGAGCACTATATATTTTGACAAATACTTAGAGTTGTGTCATCATGAACACAATCGAGATACTCCTTCATGCTGCCACTTTGTAGCCAAATCCACAAACTCTTCTTCCCTTAATGCAGACAACTACTGATCTGTTCTTTGTCCCTGTGGTTTTTCTTTTCCTGAATTTCAAATAAATGGAATCACCCAATAAGCTGCCTTTTCCATCTGGCTTCTCACACTTATCTTAATGCATCCATATCGTTTCACACTTCAGTAGTTCGTTCCTTTTTCTTGCTTAGTAGTAATATTCCATTGGATGGATGTATCACAGGTTTTTAAATTTAAATTTTTATCTGTCTTCAGTTGAAGGATATTTGGGTTGTATCCTGTTTTGGTGATTGCAAATAAATCCTCATGTAGAGTTTTTTTATGTATGTGTGAACAAAAGTTTTCCTTTCACTTGGGTAAATACCTAGAAATGAGATTGCTGGGTCATATAGGAAGCACACGCTTAGCTCTGTAAGACACTGCCAAACTGTTTTTCATAGTGGCTGTTCCATTTTGCATTTCCACCAGCAATGTGTGAGCATTCTAGGTGCTCTATGTCCTCGTCAGCACTTGATATTGTCAGATTTTGTGTTGTGTTTGTTTGTATGTATGCCAAGTGTGTAGTGACACCTCATTGTGTGTCTAATTTGTCTTCTATTGAATGATGATGTTGAGCATCTTTTCATGTTCTTAAGTGCCATCTGTATATCTTCTTTAGTAAAGTGTCTTTTGCTTTTTAAAAGTTGGGTTGCTTGTTTTCTTATTGTTGAGCTTTGAGAGCTCTTTCCATATTTTGGATACCAGTCTTTTGGTAGATATATTATTCAGGAAATGGCATTCTGGTTGCCCATCAATGAATTTGGTTAGCCTGAATCAGTCCTGAGAGGCTGACAACTTTTGGATGTCCTGGCCCAACCAAGTTTCTGGACTCTACTGCTGAGGACCAGATCTGGACTATTGTGGCCACTCCAAAGTCCACTCCATGATGTCCTGTCTCAGGGCCCAGCCTGAATTCCTTTAGAGGAGCTCTCTCATGAATCGGTCTTCCTGCTCAGTCCAGGAGAGGGAAGAAAGTCAGCTCCAGTGGTGGGAAGAATGGCTTCTGAGGACCTCCAAGGATTGGAGGACTTTCCATGGTTAGTGAGACAAAAGGGAAGGGAAAAGTTTTGTAGTGGAGAGTGGGATGGCAAAGGAGAGAGCCCAGAATAGGAAAAAAATGCTCAAGAAATGTCCTACCTTAATCCTTTCCCACCATAATTCAGCATAAGGGGACTGCTATCCATGGGAGTTGGTATGAAAAGTTTTGGGTGCCCTCTTGAGGAAAAATCACATGGCTAAACATTTATAATAGTAATAAGCTCTTGAGAGTGTTTTTTTCCCAAAAACCTGGGCTTCCAAATGCAAATGAAACCCAGAAGAACCTTTTCCTTTGCTCTAAAGTCTTAGTTCCAAAAAGAAAGATGAAAAAACTCTCCTTTCTCAAGCGATTTAAGGCAATCTGAGCTCTAGGATCTGAAAAATAGCCAATGGCTTTTGAGGACTACCAGACAAAAAGAAATACACTTAAAAGGATGTGGGTGGGGAACGGGGTTGGATTTATGTTACTCCAAAAAGAAAGCAGAATGCTTTTCCTTTTTGGTGTGTGATTAAAAATGTTTGTAAATTGGAGGTTACACACTCTACTGCCTGCTCTGAGCTCACAGTCAGTCTGTCCATCTGTCTGGTGGTAGGACACAGGTGACACTTCTGCCACTACGCCCAACCTCCTACTTCCCACCATCTCATCAGTATCGCTGCCTAGCCACATTCTAGATTCCCACCACAGTCTTTGTACTGACTCTCACCTGACCTAGGAAACTCCTCTGCCTGTTAAGGACAGCCTTGCATGCAGCTATCTTTCTCAGGCCACTCTTCATGGCTGCACAGAAACCTCTTATTTTTGCATTGGCAGTGATTTTGGTAAAAGCATTTCCCATCTCATGCTATTCACTCAGCCTTGTAATAGTTCTTGGAGGTAGGTTGTACATTTCACTGTAGAGGAAACTGAGGGGCCACACAGCAAGTCTGGGAGGGGAGCAGAGCAGGCTAGAGCTCCGTTCTCCTAACCTATGTCATGTGTCAGCTTTCTATGGACTGGACTCAGTTTTCAGGCAGACTTAAATGTCCCAGAACCTTTGACTTCGCCGGAAGTTGGCTCCATCTCTCACTGTGCCCCTGTGAGGACCTCTGGAGGCTAGGGAGAACTCTTGTCCATCAGAGGGAGTGGTGGGAGGGCGATGCCCTGATGGCCCCCTCCCCTGAGCTGGCACATCCCACTGGCACATCTCACTGTGGTATCCCACACCCAGGCCTCTAAGCAGCTCAAAAGGAGCTCACACAGACGTCTCTAAGGCTTCTTCCAGATCCTACTTCCAGTGGCTCTTGGCTTAGTCAGGCTGTGAGACACCTTGCTTCCTGCCGTCAGCACTTCCTTCAGTTCGAGAATAAAAGGAAGCCATTCTCTGAGCCCCCACACACGTTTCCCACCCCCAGTCTTCTTTGCTAGCTCCCGCTGTTGCAACTGTCAGGAGTGGATTTTTGGGTAATTGTTGCCATGGAGATCCTGTCTTGAATTATTGTGCAAATGTGTCCCATATTTCTCCTTATTTGGTGTGTGATTTGTATGCCTGTAAAATGTGAAGGTTGACGGCTCCACTTCTTTCCCTGCCCTCCAAGTTGGTTGGCCTGACCAAACCTTCTTGGCAGCCTGCTCCCCATTCCCAGCTCCTCTGAGGCCCCCTGGCCAGTTGCTGCCAATGGAAAGAAAGTCCTGCACAAATGGGGAGAGGAGACCCACTCTCCATGGGTTACGGGTGAGGTGACCCCCGGCCAGTGACATTTGGCAGCAAAGACTCCCAAAGCAGCAGCCATAAGCCCCTTGGTGGGAATGAGCCACCAACTCTCAAAGTTAGGAGTCGCTCAGTCAGATCTCCGACTCCCTCTCACTTCCATTGCCATGCTAGGCACACTGATCCCTGCTGCAGCGTCCTGGGTGAGTGCCTTGCCTCCGTTTCCCCTGAGTGCTCATCCTCCTCCATGGAGATGTCTGGATCATTAGCACTGATTGTATCATGTCTCTCTCCTGTCCGATATCTGGCCCATTTCCCCATCGCTGCTTCTACCAAATACAGGTTCAAACTGCATCCTGGGGCTGCCATCAATTCCCTTCTCTCTACCAAACAAATCTTCCTTCATGTCCTGTTTGCCTCTCCCCTTCTCCTCACCTGGGCTTCCTGCTGTCTGGGTTTTGTTTGTTTGTTTGTTTGTTTGTTTTGAGACCAAGTCTCACTCTGTCACCTAGGCTGGAGTGCAGTGGCATGATCTCAGCTCACTGCAACCTCTGCCTCCCAGGTTCAAGCAATTCTCCTGCCTCAGCCTCCTGTGTAGCTGGGACTACAGGCACCCACCACCACACCTGGCTAGTTTTTGTATTTTTAGTAGAGATGGGGTTTCACCATGTTGGCCAGGCTGGTCTCAGACTCCTGACCTCAAGTGATCCACCTGCCTCAGCCTCCCAAATTGCTGGGAATACAGGCGTGAGCCACAGCGCTTAGCCTGGGTTTCTTTTTTTGTTTTCTTTTTGAGGCAGGGTCTCACTCTGTTGCCCAGGCTGGTGTACAGTGATGTAAACTCAGCTCACTGCAACCTCCACCTCCTGGGCTCAAGCAGTCCTCCCACCTCAGCCTCCAAAGTAGCTGAGACTACAGGCACATGCCACTGTGCCTAATTTTTGTATTTTTTGTAGAGACGGGGTTTCACCATGTCACCCAGGATGGTTTTGAACTCCTGGGTTCACACGATCCACCCGCCTGGGCCTCCCAAAGTGCTGGGACTACAAGTGTGAGCCACCGTACCCAGCTCTCTGGAGTCTTGATTCACCTGTCAGCGGGCAGCCTCGCCCAGCTCACCCCCGCAACCTTTATGCAGCTATTTTTCCTTCTTGTGTGGCTTTCCCTGACTCTTTTGGGGATTCATCACTTTCTTCCCTCCATTAGCATCCTTTCTTGCCACATGCTCGCTGTGGAGCTGCTCTTTCAAGGATTTAGTCTTGGGGCGGGAGTGAGGGGACTCAAAGGCAGGGCAGCATGCTGACGAGAGCAGATGGTGGTATCCTCTCCAGCCAGCACTGGCAGCCACGCAGGCTACTCCCATCCAACAGGAGCCACGAGACAGTAGACACATGGCCGCCCCCTCAGCGTCTACTTGCATTTGACAAGCTTCCTAACGAAGGGATTCATCATTACACAATCATCAAGGGACAAGAGAAATAAGAAACACTGGCAAGGGCTGGGTGCGGTGGCTCACGCCTGTAATCCCAGCACTTTGGTAGGCCAAGGTGGGTGGATCACCTGAGGTCAGGAGTTTGAGACTAGCCTGGCCAACCAGTAGAGACAGAAACCCTGCCTCTACTAAGAAAATACAAAAAAATTTAGCCAGGCATGGTGGTGCATGCCTGTAATCCCAGCTACTCGGGAGGCTGAGGCAGGAGAATCGCTTGAACCCGGGAGGTGGAGGTTGCAGTGAGCTAAGATGGCAGCATTGCACTCCAGCCTGGGCAACAAAAGCGAAACTCTGTCTCAAAAAAAAAAAAAAAAAAAAAAAAAAAAAAGGACTGGCAAGGCAGAATCCTGGCCTTAGGCGGGTAGAGATTTCTACCCCAGAGGGGACAGGATCTGAGTTAAACCCTTGCAAGTGTTGTTGAATAACAGATTCTGATCCAGAACTAGCTTTATGTGCTGTGAATCGGTTTTTCCCTGAAGGTTAAGATGGACCCTCCTGCTAACTGCTCCCGGCTACCTTCTTCCTCCCACTCTCCATCTCTATGGGGTTCAGACTCCGTATCTTCCTGTCTTGCCAAGGAGGCTCCATGGGGCATGGAAAGATTTTCCATTCCCAGTCTGATGTGAGGAGAGACAGCATCTGGATCCCAATGGGATAAGGAATTAGAGTCTTCGCCCTCAGGAAGTTGCTAGTCTGATGGAGACACAGCTCTTGCTCTAGAGAGTTCAGGAGAGTCAGTTGGTAGGGTAGGGTGGGGTGGAGTGGGTTTGGGGTGAGAGAGATGAGACACACACACAACTATGCTCAAATACTCATGGAACCCAAGTACTGCTGAATCAAAGTGTTAACAAAAGTGAGTGCTGACAAGGTAGTTAGGATGATGGAGTTAAGACCTGGTTTGGAAGGCTTTCTGGAGGAGGTGAGTGCAGAAGGAATGGTTCGGTGAAGAGCAGACAGGATTCCAAGCCATGCACTGCTTCAGAGGTGTGCTTGGCCTCAGATCTCCATAGGGAATTAATGAGTTTTTCCTTAATAAGTGTAGTTTAGATGTCAAGTCTTTTCAAGTCTTTATTTGACTCTTGTTGAGATAAGAATTTGGGGGGCTCTGGCAGAGACACAACAAAAAAAGAGAATTTTAGACCAATATCCTTGATGAACATTGATGCAAAAATCCTCAATAAAATACTGGCAAACCGAATCCAGCAGCACATCAAAAAGCTTATCCACCATGATCAAGTGGGCTTCATCCCTGGGATGCAAGGCTGGTTCAACATACGAAAATCAATAAACGTAATCCAGCATATAAACAGAACCAAAGACAAAAACCACATGATTATCTCAATAGATGCAGAAAAGGCCTTTGACAAAATTCAACAACCCTTCATGCTAAAAACTCTCAATAAATTAGGTATTGATGGGACGTATCTCAAAATAATAAGAGCTATCTATGACAAACCCACAGCCAATATCATACTGAATGGACAAAAACTGGAAGCATTCCCTTTGAAAACTGGCACAAGACAGGGATGCCCGCTCTCACCACTCCTATTCAACATAGTGTTGGAAGTTCTGGCCAGGGCAATCAGGCAGAAGGAAATAAAGGGTATTCAATTAGGAAAAGAGGAAGTCAAATTGTCCCTGTTTGCAGATGACATGATTGTATATCTAGAAAACCCCACTGTCTCAGCCCAAAATCTCTTTAAGCTGATAAGCAACTTCAGCAAAGTCTCAGGATACAAAATCAATGTGCAAAAATCACAAGCATTCTTATACACCAATAACAGACAGCCAAATCATGAGTGAACTCCCATTCACAATTGCTTCAAAGAGAATAAAATACCTAGGAATCCAATTTACAAGGGATGTGAAGGATGTCTTCAAGGAGAACTACAAACCACTGCTCAATGAAATAAAACAGGACACAAACAAATGGAAGAACATTCCATGCTCATGGGTAGGAAGAATCAATATCATGAAACTGGCCATACTGACCAAGGTAATTTATAGATTCAATGTCATCCCCATCAAGCTACCAATGACTTTCTTCACAGAATTGGAAAAAACTACTTTAAAGTTCATATGGAACCAAAAAAGAGCCTGCATTGCCAAGGCCAAAAGAACAAAGCTGGAGGCATCACACTGCCTGATTTCAAACTATACTACAACGCTACAGTAACTAAAACAGCATGGTACTGGTACCAACACAGAGATATAGACCAATGGAACAGAACAGAGCCCTCAGAAATAATGCCGCTTATCTACTACTATCTGATCTTTGACAAACCTGACAAAAACAAGAAATGGGAAAAGGATTCCCTATTTAATAAATGGTGCTGAGAAAACTGGCTAGCCATATGTAGAAAGCTGAAACTGGATCCCTTCCTTACACCTTATACAAAAGTTAATTCAAGATGGATTAAAGACTTACATGTTAGACCTAAAACCATAAAAACCCTAGAAGAAAACCTAGGCAATACCATTCAGGACATAGGCATGGGCAAGGACTTCATGTCTAAAACACCAAAAGCGATGGCAACAAAAGCCAAAATTGACAAATGGGATCTAATCAAACTAAAGAGCTTCCGCACAGCAAAAGAAACTACCATCAGCGTGAACAGGCAACCTACAGAATGGGAGAAAATTTTTGCAATCTACTCATCTGACAAAGGGCTAATATCAAGAATCTACAATGAACTCAAACAAATTTACAAGAAAAAAACAACCCCATCAACAAGTGGGCGAAGGATATGAACATACACTTCTCAAAAGAAGACATTTATGCAGCCAAGAAACACATGAAAAAATGCTCATCATCACTGGCCATCAGAGAAATGCAAATCAAAACCACAATGAGATACCATCTCACACCAGTTAGAATGGCGATCATTAAAAAGTCAGGAAACAACAGCTGCTGGAGAGAAATAGGAACACTTTTACACTGTTGGCGGGACTGTAAACTAGTTCAACCATTGTGGAAGTCAGTGTGGCGATTCCTCAGGGATCTAGAACTAGAAATACCATTTGACCCAGCCATCCCATTACTGGGTATATACCCAAAGGATTATAAATCATGCTGCTATAAAGACACATGCACACGTATGTTTATTGCGGCACTATTCACAATAGCAAAGACCTGGAACCAACCCAAATGTCCAACAATGATAGACTGGATTAGGAAAATGTGGCACATATACACCACGGAATACTATGCAGCCATAAAAAATGATGAGCTCATATTCTTTGTAGGGACATGGATGAAGCTGGAAACCATCATTCTCAGCAAACTATTGCAAGGACAAAAAACCAAACACTGCATGTTCTCACTCATAGGTGGGAATTGAACAATGAGAACACATGGACACAGGAAGGGGAACATCACACACCGGAGACTGTTGTGGGGTGGGGGGAGTGGGGAGGGATAGCATTAGGAGATATACCTAATGCTAAATGACGAGTTAATGGGTGCAGCACACCAACATGGCACATGTATACATATGTAACAAACCTGCACATTGTGTACATGTACCCTAAAACTTACGTAAAATAATAATAAAATAAAAAAATAAAAAATAATAATAAAATTTAAAAACAAAAAGAATTTGGGGGGCTCAGAGTCATTTGAATGAATATTGTGTGCCAGCTTTGCATCGAGCATCTTATGTGGGGTATCTTGGGAGGAGAGAACAGAGGCAGGGAAAGACATGGGTTTGGTTTTGTGGAGGTTTGCACTGAGGGGTCTTTCACTGAAAGAGATGGAGATCCAGTGCAAACCAGCTTAAGTAGGAAAAGGATTTATTGATTGGCTCTCCAAATTGGGAAGTTCTGAGGCTTCAGGCATGGCTCAATCCAGGGACTTAACTGATATTGCCATCTCTTTCTCTGTCTCTCTCTCTGTTTTGCTTTCTTCTCGGATCACTTTATTCTCAGGTGGCCTCTCACATAGCTGGAATAAAAGCCTTCAGGTTAAGATGTCTCCATCTCAGCCATCAGTTAAGAGTGGACTAAAGGAGCCATGTTCCTTTTGAAACCCTTTCCCAGAAGTCTCTCCCAGCAACTTCTGCCCATATCTTATTGACCAGAATTGGGTGACCTGACCCCTACCTGCAAGAAAGTCTAGAGGCACAAATATCTTCAACTGGACTTCTTGCTAGATCAACAAAAGTGGCGTGTAGCTAGTGAGAATAGGGGAGGAATGGATGTTGGTCAGGAAACCAGCAGTGTCTATGGGAATTCCAGGGAAGATTCTGATCGGCCCACCGCGCAGTCATGTGGTCACCCCAAACCGACTGCTTTGGGCTGCTGACCCAGTCCTGCATGGACCAGGCCTGCTTCAGGCGCTGACCCTGCTGGAGGAGGCAGCCCTCGCTGAGTCCCGTGGCACAGGTTTTCCACAGGAAGGAGAGACAATGGCACCAGCAGAAGGGGATAAGGATTTGTAGTCCAAAGACGAGATGCTGGGTAGATAAATGACATCCACCCACTATAAGAATTTTCTGGAATAGAAAGAAAATGCACCAAAAAAATAGCTTCACAAAAAATAACAACCCAGCTTCAGGAATCTCCCCCTCTCCCTGATGCAATATATACGAAGTTATATTGCAGGAACCAAATATAGCCACTCTGAGAGGATGCAGAGAAAAACGGTTTAGAAAGGAAGACTTCCTGGTGGGGGTGAACATGGAGCTGGGCTGTGAGGGAGGTGATGTCTGGGGGGGAGAAGCAGCGAGGCAAACACCCCGAGGGAAAAGCCAGATTTTCTTGCAAGGCTGAAAGGCGGGCAGAGTGGGGGAAGAGAGGGCCCTGTGTGTTCTCCCACCCTGGGCCATTTTTCCTCTCTGAGTGTACCTGGGCCCCAGAAAATTAGAGGTTTCCTTTTCCTCTTGTGTCACTATCTGACTTTGGGGCAACCCTGTCAGCATTACCCTGGCCTGGGAGGTTGTGCAGAGGGGAACGGGGAAGCTCTCCAATGCTAAGTTCCGGAAGAATGGAGTAGGGTGGCCTCAACATGGGGGCAAAAGAAAGTCCCTGGGAACAAGTTCCTAATCCAATTAGCAGGTGATTATATGGTCGTTTTCAAGGGCTACGCCAGTTAAAAGGCACCTCCCAGGAGGCTCTCTCTGGCAGCTTGACAAGTCACTGCTAAACCTGTGATCTGGAGACGTGGGCTGGCGCGGCAGCTGGGCGAGGAGCCCAGGCTCAGAAAGCTGGGGTGGGAATCTTTAAGGATGAAATTGATGGGTAAGGAGCTTGCTGTTGTCATGGAAATGGGCTCTGGGTGGATGAGCTCTGGTCCAATGGGTAACCTGTGGGGAGAGTGCCACCCCTACCAGACTTCACTGTGGGCGGCCAGCGGGCACCTCTGGAACCCGCCGTTCCAGCCAAGCCTGTGGGCTGCGTCCACCTCTGTCTGCCTCCTCCTAGGGACAGCGTGGTCTGGCAGTGCGTGTGCCAGTTTCTGTCAATAACTGAGGGGTGTGGAGAGATGATGCCCTCAAGCTGGAGAAGCCTTTGGCGTGGCTCCTGCCACCCTGACTTAGCTGTGCCTGGCATGAACATGGTACAGTGACAGGCCATGGGCGTGTAGTTGGGGCGAGGGCCACAGGCTAGTTTAGGACAGCGTGGCATGGTGAGACTGTCCCTGGGCAGCAGCACTGGATTGGGAGTCGGTGACTTCCCCCTCTGACTCCAGATCTCTCATCACCGACTGGGTCACCCTTGGCAAGTCATTCTCCCCCAGAAAGTCTGGCTTGGTGGTCCCCAAGACCACTTCTGGCCCCGCTTTTCCTCTGTTCTGGGATTTGGAACTGGACAGTTTTGATCTCATCAGCCCCATGTCTCAGCCCACTGAACTACCCCACCACAGAAGAGTGCCCCCACACAGACCAGTCCCTGCCCTCTCAAGCCACTGAGCAGGGCCCCGGGCAGGCAGGATGGTGGGGCAGCCCCATCCTGTCAGCCCTTGCTGCTCGGGGTCATCTCCCCCGCTAAGTTCACATGGTGGAAATTCCTGAAGCTCATGGCTGCCCCTGAATGCTCTTGGAGATGGGCCTAATAAGCTGCCTGGTCCAATTACCCTTCCATTTCCAATAGGTGCTATTTTAATTGGGCCTTTCCCTGGGACAAGTGTGAAGGAAAAAGCAATTTGTAGTATGGGCTTTTGGCTCTGGCACTGATCATACACTTAGCAACTTCATCTTCTCCCCCTCCATCTCCTTCTTTTCCCTCCCCTTCTCTCCATCCTCACCCTCCTGGCCCTTTCACTTGCCTCTGCCACCTCCTCAGCCAGCCGCCTCCTCCTCACCTACAAGAGGCAGAGAGTCCACACTCTCTGGGGACCAGTATGGAGGGAAGAAGACCCAAGAATCCAGCTGGGGGTGAGGGATAGGAACGAGAAGTGACTCAGGGGCTGCTCTCAGCCCCCGTGAACTCTTGCAGAGACATTGAAAAATACTGGAAAGGCAACAACTGAGAAAGAGAATCTCAAGTTCCTATGATATGAAAGTGGGTTCTCCCTGTCTTTATCCCATGCTCCCTCCAGGAGGCCCCACGGCCTCTCTTTGGGATTTGGTTTCCTCTTCAACACACACTGCTCACTCCAATTTCAATCAATATTTATGAAGTGCCTACTGTGTGCAGAGGACCAGGGACTGGAGGAGGGCAGGGACTAATGAGTCTGCTCTTAGGCACCCCGCGTCTGGCCTCAACTTACCTCTGCAGCCTTTCTTCCCTCCTCCACACTGAACCTGAAGCCTGAGCTCCAGCCACAGAATCCTCCTGCCCTTCCCAGAGCACACCCCTTTGCTAGATGACTCCCTCTGCTGAGACCGTCCGCCCAGGCTCCACCTGCTCCAGTCTGACTCATCTGAGATTCAGCTCAAAAGCCTCCTCCAGGGTTCCAGGGTAAGTAGATACTACTTCTGCCATGGCCCTAAGCACCTTGTACCTGTGTGACGGTTTGTGCACTTTATTGCTGCATGCTCATGTATGTCTTCCCAGCTAGACGTGAGCATCATTCAAGGGGAGTGTGGCAGATTGTACTCTCCAAAGATGGCCACCCACCGTGTCAATTCCATCCCACCTGCTCTTCTTAGAATGTGACCCACATTCTTCCCACTGAGAGGCAGCTGGGGGCTTGTGACCATATGGCTTGTGATCACCACGGCCAAAGGAGTATGGCAGAACAGAGGCCCTATGACTTCCGAGGCTTGGTCATAGAAAGTACACAGATCCCACCTGCTCTCTCCCTTGGGATACTCACTCTTGGAACTCAGTCATCATGCCCTGAGGAAGCCCTGGTCCCATGGAGAAGCCGTGTGCAGGTGTTCCAGAGGATAGCCCCAGTCCAGGGCTCAGCGACATTGTGTGCCCAGCGACACTGTGTGCCAGCCACATCAGTGAACCTTCAGATGATTCTCCTCCCAGCCTTCAAATCTTCCATCTGAGGCCCCAGACATCGCTGAGCAGAGACAGCTATCCCAGCCACGCCTGGTCCCCAGTTCTTATGCTCAGAGGCTGTGAGGTGTAGCAACTGAGAGCTATTGCCGTCAGCCCCTATGTTTTGTGGTGATTTGTTACACAGCAGTGGATCACAATGCAGGTGGGTCACGTCTGTTCTCCAAGGCCCAGTCCCGTGACTGGCACCTGGTGGGTGCTCAGTTCGTAGCTATCGAAAGAATGGATGAATGAACTTTAGCAGGCAACAATTCCAGACTGATCTGTCAATCATCATCCTCATCTTTCCTACATCTTCCCACCATGGTTCCACGCCTCTCAGGGAACCCAGGCAGTCCCAAGCCCAGCCTTGATGATGTCACCGAGCCCTAAATCAACCAGCTCTGCAGGCTGCCCCACATCCACAGTTCTTACTACTTAAGCTCCTTAGATCAGTATCTAACCCCAGCAGTAAGATCCTGGGATTTCTGGCCCTTGCAGCCCTGCGCATACTCACTGATCCACATGCTTGATTGGCTTTGTCTTCACCACAGTTCTGTGAAGTAGGCCATTATTAGCATTCCCATTTCCCCTACGAGGACACTGAGGCTGGGAGAGAAAGAGGGAGTGAGCAAGTCCTAATAGGTAATGAACTGGAGATTTGAATTCAGGTCTTCTGATGAAGAACACAGGAATACATGTGCAATATCGTATCTTGTAACAAATAAAGTCTGACTGGCAAATACTTGCAGTCCTTTCTTTGGGGATATCAGATCCTTGACTCACAATCACACCAGCTGAATGAAGGGATCAGACCTGGGTCCTATGCAATGCTAGTGAACAACCACAACAAAACCTCAGTTACCATCTTTCTATGTCCTGGGCTGTGCAGTAGGCACTTTACAGGCATGGCAGTATGCACTGGCCACAGCTGCCCTGTGAGATGGGCATTATTCATCTCCAAAAGGTGACAGAACAGAGGCGTGGAGAGGTGAGGTGGCTTGCTCAAGGTTCCACAGCTAAAGGGCAGAGCTGATCTTCACACTCCACCTGCTTGACTCCAATCACTAAAGGTCTTCTGTCTCCTGACAAAAATCACTTCTAGGCTGGGCGCGGTGGCTCACGTCTGTAATCCCAGCACTTTGGGAAGGCCAAGGCAGGTGGATCACCTGAGGTCAGGAGATCGAGACCAGCCTGGCCAACATGGTGAAACTCTGTCTCTAGTAAAAACACGAAAAATTAGCCAGGCGTGGTGGCACATGCCTGTAATCCCAGCTACTCAGGAGGCTGAGGCAGGAGAGTCGCTTGAACCCGGGAGGCGGAGGTTACGGTGAGCCGAGATTGTGCCATTGCACTCCAGCCTGGGCAACAAGAGTGAAACTCCATCTCAAAAAGAAAAAAAAACTATTTCTAGTGACGGACAAGCTCTCAAATACAGGCACTTTTGCTACCACTTGAGGTAGTTATTATTATTCTCACTATACAGACAGGACGCTGAGGTTTGGGTGATTAGCCCAAGGTCAGGCTGCTAATAAACAGCAAAGTCAGGATTCTAAGCCATGTCTGCCATCCCCATCTCAAACATCATCCCACCACCCCCATCACATTACACTGCACCTAAAAAGATCATGTCCAGGTCTTCCTAGGACAGTGGGGCTTGTCCACACCCACACCAGCCTGACAGCTTCTCCAGCTCTCATCAGTATCTCAGCAGCATGAACGTAAGTTGTAGGGAGCTCTGAAGGTGTGTGGCAGTGACAGCCTCTGCCCTGCCTCCGCCTGGTTGGTGGTTTCACCAGATCTGGGGCAGGGTGGGGAGGGAGCAGGGGTAGTTCAGGTTGCCAGGTGCTCCTGGGAGAGAGACTAACAACCCACAGCCCACCACGACCTCTCTCTTGCACACATACACCAAAGAGGAGGCTGCCCTGCTTCCTGAGCAGTAACTCCTGGGGCCACAGAATCTAGGACATGCACAGGGTCCTTCCCCAGCCCTCCTGGTTTCAGAGACAGCTGAGGGTTCCTGCATCCACATTCATGTCAGGGTCCCCTGGCCTTCCTCCACACCCACCTCCAGCTTCACCCTAATACGTCCCTACTCTTTCCACAATCCACTCCAAACCCAGCCTGCTGAGAACCAAGCTCACATGGCTCCCCTGTGAATCTGGCCCCCGTCCCACCTTCCCCAGGGGCAGCAGTCAGTTGCAGCCTCCTCTCACTGCTGGGTGGGCTCTCCACCCTCTGATATCTACCCCACTTGCTTGGCACTTGACTGCTGCCCCGCGACATCTCATAATTTTTGTTTTTTTAAAATTGAAACAGAGTCTCATTTCGTCACCCAGGCTAGAGTGCAGTGGCACAATGTCGGCTCACTGCAACCTCTGCCTCCTGGGTTCAAACAATTCTCATGTCTCAGCCTCCCAAGTAGCTGGGACTACAGGCGCACACCAACTTGCCTGGCTAGTTTTTGTATATTTAGTAGAGACGGGGTTTCACCATGTTGGCCAGGCTGGTCTCGAACTCCTGGCCTCAGATAATCCACCTGCTTTGGCCTCCCAAAGTGCTGGGATTAAAGGTGGGAGCCACCATGCCTGGCCTCTCATAATTATTAATTACTTTTCTGTTTAAGGGCTGCAATACTGAGCTTGAGCTATTTCTTTTTTTTTTTTCCACAAAGGGAATATCCCAGGCCACCTACTTTTTTTTTTTTTTTTTTGAGACGGAGTTTTGCTCTTCTTGCCTAGGCTGGAGTGCAATGGCGTGATCTCGGCTCACTGCAACCTCCGCCTCCCAGGTTCAAGCAATTCTCCTGCCTCAGCCTCCCGAGCAGCTGGGATTACAGGCATGCGCCACCACTCCTGGCATTTTTCTTTTCTTTTTTTTTTTTTTTTTTTTGGTATTTTTAGTAGAGACAGGGTTTCTCCATGTTGGTCAGGCTGGTCTCGAACTCCTGACCTCAGGAGATCTGCCCACCTCGGCCTCCCAAAGTGCTGGGATTACAGGCATGAGACACCGCGCCCAGCCTACATTTTTAATTTAAATGTGGTTTCCTCCAAGTGAGTGACGACAGAGAATTGATTCCCAGGTGGCCTAAGGAGGTGGCCACAGCTGCTGTTCTGGAATTCAGCCCTGGAGGCCCCGCCTTCCAAGGGTCTCCCAGGGCCCCTGGATTGAGGTAAGAGAGGCTGCCCTTTGCCACAGGGGGAAAAAAGAAATGGTTTCCTGGAAGAAATCACCATGGACACGGAATTTATACCCACTCCATGCACATAGCAACAATAATTTGGACAGCACCCGGCAGCGATCAGGGGTTTATCTCCAGGGTTTTACCTTTTGACATTCACAACCACCTGGTGAGGTCCTGGGGGCAGCAGTGATTATTCTCCCCTCCTATAGAGGTCCCCACTCCCTGAGCTTCTGCCTCAGTCCCTGCACATGCCTGGGGCACAAGAAACTCTTAGAGGAGGCCAGAAGTTGCCAGGAGGTGAGCAGGGCCAAGTGGTCTTGGTTGAAAGAATGTGGATCCTGTTGCTCGGGCTGGAAAGAAGGGAGAACTGCTTCCCTTCTGCATAGCCCACGCCTGTTCCTCTCTGATGAGTTACCACCCAGCAAAGATGCAATTCTGTTTTGAGCTGAATACAGACAGGAAACTGAGGCTGGAGTGATTAAGCCCAAGGTTAGGCTGCTAATAAACAGCAAAGTCAGGATTCTACGCCATGTCTGCCAACCCCATCTCAAACACTATCCCACCACCCCCATCACACTACGTTGCACCTCAAAAGATCATGGGCAGGTCTTCCTAGGACAGTAGGGCTTGTCCACACCCACACCAGCCTGACAGCTTCTCCAGCTCTCAGTAGCATCTCAGCAGCATGAACTCAGGCCTCTGAGCAGCAAGTTTCCCAGCTGGAACACGGAGGACAGTGCGTGGAGGATGTCGTGCAGAAGACAGCACATCAGGCCTCAGAGCCCACAGCAGCCAGGGCTGGTTAGAGCTTCCTCCCTCCCCCAGGCCACTCCTGCCCCTCGACTGCTCCCACATCATCTCCTGTCCTTCACACACCCATCACCTCGCCCTCTCACAGAAAGCTCTTCCTGGTTAATGCCCCCACCACAATGGCCGCACTAAACTATCACCTCTCAACCTCGGTTGTTTCACGAGTAGATCCTGTCTTTCCAGCTGAACAGGAATGATACTCCATTGCACCTGGGATGCACTGACAGCCGTGGTTCTCAATCTCGACCTCACAGGAGACTCCTTAGAAAGTTAAAAATTAAGGCCGGCTGCGGTGGCTTATGCCAGTAATCCCAGCACTTTGGGAGGCCGAGGTGGGTGGATCACCTGAAGTCAGGAGTTCGAGACCAGCCTGCCCAACATGGAGAAACCCCGTTTCTACTAAAAATACAAAAATTAGCCGGGCGTGGTAGTGGGTGCCTGTAATCCTAGCCACTCCGGAGGCTGAAACAGGAGAATCGCTTGAACCCAGGAGGCAGAGGCTGCAGTGAGCCGAGATTGCACCATTGCACCCCAGCCTGGGCAACAGAATGAGAGGAAAAAAAAAAAAAAGAAAATTAAAAATTCTGAAGCCCAGGCCCCACTGTAGACCAGGTAGCTCGGCATCTCTGGGGAGCGAGGCCCAGAATCGGGACTTCCAAACTCTCTGGGGGACTCCAGGAAGCAGCCCAGGCTGAGGGTCACTGCCTCAGACCTCTGGAATCTGCCAAAAGCACTACGTGACTCGGGCCTCATGTCCACCCCAGAAAGGGACGTGGGACAGGTGTTACCCCCATTCTTAGAAAGCTGAGGCTGAGAGGTGTGTGGCCCGTGGTTGCTGCCAGCAGGGCTGGGACTTGAAGCCAGGCTCTGCATCCTGGGCTCAGCGCTCTTACCACAGCCTCCGGCCGCTGTAACCAGTGCAAACTGCGGAGGGCTGCTTGTCTCCAACTCCTTCCCTCTGCCCTGAAACAGCTAACACTGGCACTGGACACATGCCAGGGCTCTGGAAGACGGAATAAAGATGAATGTCCCCTCTTGTACTGTCAGCCACTGTCTTCTGAGGAGGTTGGAATACTTCCCTCCTGGGCCTGGCCCAGCCTCTGCCAGCTCTCCAGGAGCCACCATGTCACAGATGCCTGGAAGGAAGGGCCAGTGGAACCACACTAATGGAATTGCTAAGCCAGGAGTCAGCCTCCGAGAGCCCCCTCTTCCTAGATACCCTGCATTAGTCACGCCTGTCCTAGCCTTTAGCTTATCTAGGGTGACCATCAGACCGAGGGATCGCCAGGATTCAGGACTTTCAGCTTTAAAACCCAGACAAGTTGGTCACTCTACTTCTCTCTCCCCAGTCCTGAGTGACAGTTTCCCTCACGGGGCCCCATGCCTCTCCTCTTTTACTGCAGTCATTGCTGTTGTTGAGGCCCTGTGAGCACATGGCTCGTAGCATCAGTGGCCTTGAACCTTCTGGCTTCCTCCTGGCCTGGCTGCAACAGCTTTGCTGGCCCTGCATGGGGGATGGGCTCAAGTGCTCTCCTGCAGCCGCTTACCCGATGGCGCCTGCGCCTACTACGTGCCCGGGATGCACAAAGGCCCCTGCGGTGAGGAGCAACTCCCATTCCGCAGGAAGCGTGCAGTATGAGGTTGTTTGGAGGGGAGGGGCAGGCTTCTTGGAGGTTTCATGGGATTGTGGGGGTGTTTGTGGCACATCTGAGAGGAAACATCTTGTGCAAAGGTGCAGCTGTACTGAGTGTGTGGCATGTTCTGAGAAGACCAAGCAGTCCAGGGAGGACGGAACACCAGGCAGGGGTGGTGGGGAGGGCTGGGGGCTGCACTGCAGGGGCAGCGAAGAGCTGGCCTGTCACATCAAGGTGCTTTACTCAGCAGAGAGGTGTCAGTTAATGAGGGGCACCCAATGGCCACAAGGGATCTGGCTCCTTCTGATCCAGAGGGAGAATCAGGCTTCCATCCCTGCCCCTAGTTGGTCTCTGCAAGTGGTTCCCACGGTGCGGCCAGGGGAAGTGCATGGGGGACGGGCTAGCCTTGGGTTGATGTTCTT
This sequence comes from Homo sapiens, assembly GCF_000001405.40. Classification (NCBI taxonomy): domain Eukaryota; kingdom Metazoa; phylum Chordata; class Mammalia; order Primates; family Hominidae; genus Homo; species Homo sapiens. The sequence goes on along the minus strand of NC_000017.11, from coordinate 46,943,124 downwards.
GTATTAGAGCCATCGGCTCCCTACCCCTGGGCATTACAATCGCCTTGGGCAACTCCCAATGCCCCGGCTGCACTCCAGGCCAATTAATAAGAGGGTGAATGGAAGACCCACACATGGGTTTTTAAAGCTCCCGAGGGAATTCCAATGCAGAGCCAAGGTTGGGAACCCTGTACTAGAGGGACATGGGGATGAGGCGGGGAGGGATGGCTCACAGAGGCTCCATGGTGGGGAACTTACCAACAGCACTTGGGGGCCCAGCACCCCTGAACACTCCTCTCCCATGTGCCTTCCATATGAAATGAAAAGGACACAGAAAATGGGGAAGGAATGACACTTTCCTTTCTCAGCTTCTAAGTACAGCAGGCCTAAGGCAGTGTGTTCAGGGCCCACTAGCCACAGATAGGGCTATGCCGCCCCCTAGGGGCAAGGCCTGAGGACAGCTTTCACTTCAGATTCCCTCCCCTTCCAGTTAGGAAATTATTTCCCAACAGGGAACTTGCCCTATACTATCTGAAGGGTCTGCAGCAAACACCTTATAGCTCTATAGTCCATGCCAGCAGGCTGCACCATCTCAGTCCCCTGCACACCTCTCAATCCCCCCAGACCCCAGCAGAGCACCCCACGAGAAGTGTGGGAGATTAAGTGGGCCCATGGTTCCAAGCTGGATGAGGGGCCAGCTCCTCTCGGACTCCTGTGAGGCCTTCACAGTCACCACAGCTCAGCCCCTTGTCTGCATAATGAGGATAAATGATGGAGAACATAAGTGAGAGGGTTTCAGATTGGCAGGGATGGAGCCAGGAAAATCCCTGTCTGACCTCCGTGAGGCCTACAGGCAAGCTGTTTATGAAGGGCCTAGGCTTTCCCTTGAGAAAATGTCACCCCCCGGTTGAGACAGTAACAGATGACGTTTCTTTCTTTGCTTTGGCTACTGGAGCTGAAAGTCAAATTAGGGTTCCCCAAACATTTCTTAGGGTGTTACAACGTTTGAGTTCCTTGTCCTGATGTCGACATTCTACACTGACTTGATTTGTTCTTGTGCCTCACTTCTTTGTATCTGTTTCAGTTATTTCCTCAAAGTCTCCTCAAATCTTTTTTGGACTAAGGTAGGATATAAACAGTAAGAATTTATTTTGGACTTAACAAGTTTTGCTCTTTACACCAATGTGATCATCTTTGAGACAGAAGCTTTCTGTCTAGGAGACAGTGGTTCCAAAATACACACATCAGAATCACCTTAGAGGCCAGGTACAGTGGCTAACACCTGTAACCCTAGAACTTTGGGAGGCCGAAGCAGGCAGATCACTTGAGGCCAGGAGTTTAAGACCAATCTGGTCAACATAGTAAAACCCTGTCTCTACTAAAAAATACAAAAAAAAAAAAAAAATTAGCCAGACATGGTGGCACACACTTGTAGTTCCAGCTACTCAGGAGGCTGAGGTATGAGGATCACCTGAACCCAGGAGGCAGAGGATGCAGTGAGCCAAGATTGCGCCACTGCACTCCAGCCTGGGTGACAGAGCGAGACTGTCTCAAAAATAAAAAATAAAATAAAATCACCTTAGAGATTTAAAAAAGGTTCTAATTCAGATCTGGGGTAGGCCCCAGGAATATGTAATTTTAAAAAGCTTCCCCACTGCTTCTGAAGCAGCCAGCCCAGCCCCTGGCCATGGAGCAGTGTTTGAGAATCTCTGGCCTAGAAACATAAAAAAAGGGGGCCATTAGTTATAAAAATGAATATCGAATTCTTTTACAAAATGTGATTTTCTAAATAAAATAAACCTCAACTTTATTCAGCTGATGTGCTTCCAAAACAATGGGTGTAAATCCAAATTTGCAAATCAAACCCATTCAAATTCATCAGGGCAAAGGGTGTACAGAACTCCGCAGTGAAGTCTAAAAAATCAAGACTCCTCTAACTTACTTGGTCTTGGAGTTTGGCTTTTCTTACAGTGGTCCCCCTGAAGTAAATGTCCATGTAATAAAGAGATCTCAAGTTCCTCTTGATAACCCACCTGTTTTAAATCACAATAGGCACACCAAACTCATGTACAAGGTCACAGAGGCTGGCTACCGGAGTTTCTTGCATCAGCTCGACCTAAGAATTCACCCCCGCCTCCACTAGAGGGTGCTCCTTCCCTGGCCTGGACCCTTCCCTACACTGAGGCGGTGGAGAGAGTCACACTGTTAGGCCAAGGTCTATTTTTCACCAGGCACTGAAAGCAGATGTGTGAAGAGAAGTGGTCATGTGACAACATGCAGTCTCAATGCCCCTGGGTGTCCAGACACACTGGCTGCTGTCCACCAGCCGCAGGTGGTAAAGACCCAAAAACCACCTCTGCAATTTTTATTCCAAACTAGAGGACTGGCTCTGAAGGTGCAGCATGAGGGTTCATCAAAGCCAACCACTGTCAAGTGTGGAAAGCACTGGTGCACACCACGAAAAGATGTCCTATCAGTCCACGCATGATGGGTGCGGGGACTTCTGCCTCCCAGAGTTCAAGAACAAATGGCTCAGCTGCTCCCTGCAGACCTTCCTCCAAAGTGTGCTGTCTGGCAGGATCCTTGGGTGCCTGGGGGACAGGACAGCCTTGCCGTCGCAGTCTCAGAATCCATTTTATGGATTACCAAAAGTCCTGCGCTAGGTCCCTGGCACCGCAGCAGTGCTGTGTGTAATGGAAATGTCAATGTGCCTCCCCAGAGTTAGACAGATCTAGGTCTAAAGATGCTGCAACCCCCCAGTCCACCCTCCAGTCACTGCTTTAACTCTGGCAGGGCCCCAACCCATTTTAGGAGTCACAGATTGCTCCTTCCTTGGAAACCTGGGGCCCATTTGGCCCGGAGGGGTAGGAACAATGGAGATCTCCTCCAACCGAAAGTGTGAAATTAGCATCCAGGAAACTCAGTTAATCTATGACAATTAAGAAAACTTACCAAAGGGGAGCTATGCCACAGAGGTGCCTGAAAGGACCAACATGACTACAGAGCAGCGGGGAGGGGAACAAGAGAGGTGAAGAGGAACACAGAAAGGAAGGGAAATAAGACAGAAGACAGTTCAAGCAACAAGAAACTAACAGAGCAGGTAGGGCAGGACAACCAAAGGTAGGGTTAATACTGAGCCGGTTTCCAGATCTGAAGGATTTTGAGTGTCATTTTATGTCTTGCCATGAAGCTGCTGTGCCCAGGGCTGGTAGGCCTGTGGTAAATGAGAACATACACTAACCAGGTCTTTCTGAGACTTTCAGTGATTCACCACATTAGATGGACTTCAGGACAGATTGGCCTTTATACTAAATTCCACAATATACCTGGTATTAGTACAGCCTGAATCCGGGGCTGGTCACAGAAGGAAAAAGGTTGTAGTCCCTGAAAACAGAGTGTTACAAGGACATACACACTACAGATGTCTCCACGGTGGGATCTGCCCACACTGGCTGGGCAAAATGAGGGCCTGGCTGGCAGGTGCTAATATATTTCAGGGAAGAGAAGGGAACCAAAGAATTAGAGATACTAAAACTAGAGCTGAGACTGTAATTGGAAAATCACAAATCTTTGCCTACAGCTACTTTCTAAGGGGCAAAGGCCCACAAAGCCTGGGCGCAGGTGCCAAGCCACAGTCTCTGAACCTTAAAAGCCAACCACTCTATTAACAACTAGAAAAAATCAGTGACTAGGGTCAAGACTGAACACTCCCGGGAAATAACACTGGCCTCACTTTAGAAAAGAGAAACACCCAGCTGTAGTGTGGAAAATCTTACTTGTTATCGGCAATAGCACTACATCTTGTTTCCCCTAGGTAGCTGCTTCCAGGGAATGGTGACAAGTATTGGCAGTCAGTCATCTACATGTCACTGAGGCACAGGGGAGGGTGGCCAGGAGCACGAGGATGTGAATCGACCTACTATTTAATATAATGGCTGTGAGAAAAGGCCTCTTTCCTTTCCTTTCCACTTTTGCTCCACCCTATCAGGAGCCAGAAAGGCCTGATGGTGACAAGGTGTGAACCGTGTGGACAGTCCTGCACACAGGGCTCACTGTGGACACCTTCCCAGGGCACGCATCAGCTATGTGAACAAAGCCACCAAAGCCATTCTTTCCCTCCCCCAGTGAGAGCGAGAGTGAGAGAGACAGACCCGGGACTTCTTTCATTTCCTAAGCACCGCGCATGGTGGTGGCACTAGCTCCCCCTCCAAGATGTCACAGAAAACAGAGCAGGTTGGAAATTAGACCACAATCACTCCCAAGTGTCTTCACAGTTCAGACAGGCAAACATTTCAAAAGGCGGCCTCTGGGCCCCCCTCTCTCTTTCACACACACACACACTTGCAGGCTGTGGGAATGCTGTTCAGCCACTGAGCGTGGCTGGCTCATGTCAGGTACTGCACCACGAGGAACATGACCACACAGGTCAGCAGCATCCCACCTATCATAAAGTACTTGTCCTGGAAAGCCCGCTTCTCGATGAGCCGCATCACTGTGTTGGACAAGCCCAGCATGTTGGCAATGTCAAGGATCTTCTTCTGAGTCCCCTGGGGCAGAAGAGAACAGAAAAAAAAACAAACATCAAGTCGCTTTACCAAGAGTGGGTGAATGGCATCAGGAGATGGAGCTTTGCCAACAGACATTCTCTTGGTCATGCCCAGAATACACAGAAAGCAATATCAGCCAGAAATAGAGCCACTCTCATGTCGTCGACTGATTTTTGATCAAGGTACCAGAGCAACGCTAAGTGGAAAGAAAAGTCTTTTCCACAAATGGTGCTGGAACGACTGACTATATAATATCACAGGTATGTATTTTATATATATGTATCTCTCTTACAGATATGTGTGTAAAAATTGAACCTCAATTCACATTATACATAAAAATTAATTTGAGATGGTTCATAGAATTAAACATAAAAGCTAAAGCCACAATTAAAGCTTCTAGAAAAAAACACAGGAGAATATCTAAAAACTGCAAACAGGCCAGGCGCAGGGACTCATCCCTGTAATCCCAGCACTCTGGGAGGGGTGGGTGGGAGGATTACTTGAGGCCAGGATTTCGAGATCAGCCTGGGCACGTAGTGAAGACCCCTTCTCTACAAAAAAAAATTAGCCAGGTGTGGTGGTGTGCACCTGTGGTTCTAGCTACTTGCGAGGCTAAGGTGACAGAACCACTTGAGCCCAGGAGTTCGAGGCTGCAGTAAGCCAAGATCACACCACTGCACTCCAGCCTGGGTGGCAGAAGGAGGCCCTGTCTCAAAAAATACATAAATAAATACATACTGAAAACAATGGTGTCACTAATCACAAGATGAATGAACAAACTATGGTAAACCTGTACCAATGGAATACTGCTTTGCAATAAAAAGTACCTGACTACCAACATGGAATTAAATAGGTAACAATATGAATGAACCTTGGAAACATACTGGGAGGAAGAAGCCACATAGAAAAGAGTAGCATGAATACCTTTATATGAAGTTCAATAACAAGAAAACCTCATCTATGGTGAAATAAATCACAACAGTGGCTGCCTGGGGCAGAGGGGTCAACTGACTGGGAAGGGGTACGAGGGATCTTTCAGAGGTGAAATGGTCCGGGCCTTGATGGGAGTGTGAGTTACAAAGGCTGATACAATTGCCCAAATTCACTGAATTGTAAAAATATGATCTGTATACCTTACTGTCTGTAAATTATATCTCAACAAAAATACTTAAAATTAGAATATTTTATACTATAAAAAGAAGGCAACATCAAAAAACTTGTCCTCGGCTCTCTAGTTCCAATAATCATTGATACCAACCTATTTACTTTGTAGAGTACAATCTTTGAGGTTTCTTCTGAGTACAATGGGTGGGTCAAGTCCATATTTACAAGAGGGTCTCAAGTGGGAAAGACGGAAAGACACCAACACAATGACCTAAAACCCTTCTATAGATGGCATCACCCACCACCAAAACAAAAGGGCATTTTATTCCTAAACCAACAACCCAAACCATCCAGCCTGTCCTTCCCTACTGCTTTCTAATTTTCAGCTTAAAGCACATTCAATTTCTTAGTAAGAAACAAGTATAAGTGAATGCCGGGGCAGACCCCAAGTCACTCAGCACATATCACCCACTGCAACTTATATGCATGGCATCTAACCTCATGCCCCATATCCTTTTTTTTTTTTTTTAATAAATACACATTAATGAGCAACTGAGAGAAACAAGGAAAGTGAGATCAACATTAGGCATCATGGACAGGAATCCAAAATCTACATTCTGCCCAGAAAGCAATTAAGAAGCCTCAGCCAGAGAAATTACAAGTCAAACTTCATTGCCATCAGAGATCAGAGAAATGTATTTGTATTTTTTTTTCCCCGAGATAGTGACAATACAATCAGACTCTTGCTAAAGTCCTGCTTGGCTCTGAACACACAGATTATTTCATCACTGTATGAGGCTAAGGATCAACCTTCTAAATCACTTGAAAATGACCATAAATTTCAAAAAATGTATTCATTTTCAGCCACAAATTGGCCCCAGTCATCAGAGTGCTTCAGCCTAGCCCCTTCATGCCCTCTCCTATGTTCCTTTTGAATGGTGTAGGTGGAAAATCCCGACGGAGGCAGGGTGTGAGGCAGGTGGAGGGAATCAAGAGACAAACACCAGGTAGCCACAGGTGTGCAGAGGAAAGTTAGAAACCTCAAGTCTCAACCCCCAGCCACCTCACAGCCTTCCCCTCTGGTATCAGTGTGGGTGGCAAGAGGTGTGCTGATGCCCCAGCGCTGCCAGACTTGAGTGGGAAGTTAGCATGTGCCTTAACAGGACGCTCTAACCCCCACTGGCTCTTCATCAGTGTGACATGGAGTTTGGTCCTAAAAGGCCTCTACTGTTTTTCTGAGATATGAAAAGGAGAGTAGCAGTTTTCTAAAGAAAGGGCAGACTAATCAACATGTATCAGTTCAGGTCACTGCAGGTGGCTCTCATGAAAGGGGAGCGCCCAGCAGGCTGCTGGAGACCACCCTTCCAGGCCATCTGAGACACTGCAACTGTCAGCAGGAGGTGAGTGTCACTTGCAGCTTGCCTGACCCTCTCCCCCGTAGAGATGGCAGGGACTGTTCAGAAACGTACTGAAGTCCTGTGGAGCTGACAGACTCAACATGATCCAACAAAAAC